>NC_000015.10:95596919-96235346 GCF_000001405.40 Homo sapiens
TTTCTAAAAACAAAATATTCTTTTGTTAAAGAGAAAGAAAAAAAAAAGCTATGTGAAGTTCATGCCAGATCTGAAGAGTTTTAGCTGAGACACTTATTTGTCTGCAGTCAATGCAAAATTTGTTACGCGTTTTTAAGTTCTAAATGCAGAATCCATTTGAAGAGATGTTAGAGGCTTCTACCTGAAACATCCACATCCAGTAGTAACAAGTGTGATTAGAATACGTTACAGCAGCCTCCCAGTGCATTTAGCTTGAATAAGCTCTGCCTCATCTCCGCATTTCTGTTTTTAGGGCATTTGAAAATATGTTCCATAAAGTAATAAATAAGTTGATACCAAGATATTTACATGTCTTATTAATAAAATTATAATCATTGTACATAGGGAATACTAGTTAACTCTCCTTAGCAATAACTTTTGGGCTTTTCTTTAGATTTATAGCTGATGATTGATTTAGGAAGGGTGAAATAAAAATTATTATGCGATTTTGTAAGTATGAAATTTTTTGAAAAATCAAATTGTGCACACAGAGCAATGGAATTTGGCAAGTAACTTCCAGTGCAGCATTATATCGTAATTATCAGATAACTATGCTTTCTGTTTCTGATCTGTAAAGGAGCCAAAATAAATTGTTTTAGTTTACAAGCTCTTTTCTATTATCTGTCTTAGCACCTCCCAACCCACTATTTTTTCTCCCCTAAGCTTCAGTGGGATGTAAGCCATCTTTGTGTTCTTAATATTAAGATAGAGAATAAGAAGTCATAAAGATTCTACAGATTTATAAAGATCAATCGTGTGTTCTTTTTCCTTTAATACATTGTTAAAAAGACTTTCTGCATCAAAGTCTATGATAAGTTCATTCTGATGAGAAAATTAGAAAGTCGGACGTATTTATACCAGTCATGGGGAATGTGCATGTAGTTAAATAGGTCATTTCCAATTTTAACAATTCCACCCCCAATTTCATTCAGCATCTTTGACACAGAAACCCAGTTTAACTCCTCCTGGGAGGGGTAAAGCCCTGGAGCAGCAATTCCCTGAGTGGGGCTGGCGCATCCCTGGGATAGCTCCTTTACTTAAGGAGACTTTCTCCAACGTGCTGCTGCTCCCGGCAGATGTGCTGGTGAGACACCAGGGAAGGAAAAATTATTTAAAACATAAAAGGAAATTCACAAAACGTATTAACTGCTGTGACTGAAGGAGACCAAAGAAACACTAGTTGTTACAAAAAAAAAAAAAAGTAAAATAAGGGCCCCAGATTTGAGCTCATGTATGTTTATTCATCTGTAAAAACATGTAGTGTGCTACCCATACCTTTATTTCCTTTCTAATTTTATATGGTGTGTTTAAGCTCCGGGATTTCTTTGTAGAACAATTAGTTTACAATTGGCAAAGATGCCAATGACTAGTTTCTTCTCATTGGAGAAAGTTAATTAATTTCTTCCTCGTTGGCTTTTGCTAATGGAGGCAAAGATTGCATTCAATACCGTTTTTGCTGTGTTTACCAAAAGCCGGAGAAGCCAAAACCTCTTGCCAAGTTTCTTCAAGTTGCAATCTGGAATCACCTTTAACTGCCCGCATAATTTGTTGAGACTACACACAGAAGAAATAATGTATGTAGTAAATGTCTTGCAAGGAATAACAATGGTTACTGATACAGAGGCGGATGGCAGAGTAAATTGGGTCACTGACCTTGAACCTCTAAAGGCCCGAGGTTAGATCTGGATTAAATCACGAGTGAAATGATCACAGAGGTTTTGCTTCAAAAATTAGCACTCAGGTTGATTCACTTTGACAGGAAAAGGCAAGGGTGCCAGTGACTAAATTAAATAGAATTAGATTGTTATGCCTAAGTGGGGCATCTGTTGAGGATGAAGCTTTATTCTCATACATCTTAACCTACTGAATACCCAAGTTGGATTTTTTTAATAATATATGGTATAAAAATAGTTTTGAGATGGCATAAAGGATATCAAGATAGCATAAGAGGCTAAAAATGTACAGTGGCTGCACTAATTTGGCAAAAATAGCTTAGAACTTAATTACAGTTGAGTGCCAGTCCTTGGAACAGAAAGTATTCTGTTAAGTTTATGTTCAGTTTCCCCCGTTACCAAGTCTCTCCCCAGTATTTGGGAAAATATCTCCAGTCATCTGATGAATGCTGTGATTGTGTGGGACCTAAAATCTCAAAAGGAAGACCTATTTTAAAAAAGAAGTAAATCTATATTTGATAAGAGGTACCATTTTTAATGAGTATTGTGAAAGTTCCAGAAACTATGTAAAATATTATATTATTATAATTATTTCAATTGCTTTCCAAAGTATAGCATAAGAAAATTTCAAGTGATACAAAAACAGAAATTATGTAGTTATAAAGTCATTCCTTTAATTTTAATTATTTCACTTCAAGAAAATTGCATTTTATTTACTTTTTAATAAGTATCACATTCACTTATTTTTTGAATAAGTATCACATTCGATTCAGATTTCGAAAGCTAGTACAATAAAAATTACCCATTAGCCCGTGTTCATTTCATTCTTTTCTCATCCTATAAATATTTTTGTGAATCTTCTAGAGATATTTTTACTCAGATGCAATAACCAAATGTATATATGTATATGTAGAGTATGTGTGTGCATATGTATATTGGATACATTGTTTTGCTGTAACAATACATATTTTAAATTATTTTGTATCAGTAATAAAGAGGCTTATTATGCTCTTAATTAGCCATATAATAGTTTACCTAGTTTTCTTTCAATCCTCAGTTGTATAAAGGGGAAAGTATTGGTGCAGTGTCAGTATTTCTGAAGTGACTTTTTAACTTGTCCCAATCTCTCTTTTGTACAAAAATAAAGATAAAAAAGAAAAGAAAATAGATGGCAGAGATGTACATAATCTTAAGAAAATTAAGGCAAAGCTCTGCCATAGTGAGATAAGTAGGAGCCATGAAATTCAGTGACATAAGATGTGGGGTTAAGTTACGGGGAGGATGTTGAAGAGATCTAGGCCAGCATGCAGAGTGATTCAGCCAGGAAGTCTCAGAGTGTTGCTGTGGGATTCCCGTCCACCCACATTCCATATGCACTTTGGTACCACCTGATCGCACTTGTCTACTCTGGCTTAAATATCAGTGAGGATCCTCCATCCTTCAGCTGGCTGGAATTTCCAAGACAGTGGCCATGATTCCAGGACCCTCCCACTTCATTGGTATCCATGTTGTTCACCTGATCCAGAGAGATGCAGTCAGAAGACTCCTAGGAGAGCTGCTATCTGTGTCTTAGCTTCCCAAGACCAGATAATTTGCTATTTATCTTCCCTGTCTTGCCCTTGGCACCATATTTCACTACCCACATCTTTGAGATAAGAACTGTTCAAACTGCATAGGTCCACCGTGAACATCAACCCTGCACAAAACTATATTCTCCATGCAAATTGATTGTGCATGCTCTGTTGATCAAATATGCTGGCGTAACTATCTGTGTTATTACCTTCCTTAGGCCTGTCTATAGGACACCTTCAATGAGGACTATAAGACATGGAGATGTGGTGGTGTTTACAGATGACATGCTGCTAGATTCAGGGTACCCAGACTCCCAGTGCCATTGCCTTTCAATCTCCATATTTTTTAACATTGTTAGGTGTCTTTCCTCAACCAGATGAGGAGCTCAGTGTGATTATATCTTCTATTTCTTCTGTAACCACATCCTAATGAGCTTGACCTAAACAGATTTTTTAAATGCTTATCTAATGCTTCACATATAGTTGATACCAAATAAATGTGTGCCTCCTGTGTGACTTTCTCCCTTCCTTCAAAGCATAGGTTCTGAAGCTAAAATCGCTCTTACTAGATAAACAATCTCCTCCTTGGCAGGCACCAGTGCCTGACACATAACAAGCACTCAATACATGTTTGTGGAACCCAATGATTTGAAAGTGAATCCAGAGTTTACTGGTCTTTACTAAAACTCCGAATCTCAACCTCTCACACTATGAAAGGGGTATTATAAATACTTTGGGAAAGGAGGAGAGGGAAGGGAAAGGGAGGGAAGAGGAAGACAAAGGAGGGGAGTGGAGGGGAGGGGATGGGATACAAAAGGAGAGGAGGGAAGGTAAGAGGAAGAAGAAAATCTCTTACAGTAACTGATGTATATAGTAGGTGCTTAACTAAACGGGACTCACGTTTTCACTTTCTTCAATATCCTCTCTATGTGTTAAGCCATCTCCCTTTTTTCTCTACTCTTTTATTCATAAGTATGAATGATTATCCTAAGAAAGCCCCAGGGGCTCATGAAGTCCTACAGTTAACTAAATTCAGCATTTAGTAAGCTCAAATATGTTCCTAGGTAGCAACAGGACAGTCAACCAAAAACCCCAAGCTCAGGGGAAACTAGATTTTTAGTAGTACCCATGAACCCCATTTATAGCTTCACTACTACTCAAGGGATCCCAAAATCTGGCATAACATTTTGGTTTGTAATAGTCAACAACACTGAAACTCATAATCACCAACAGTAGAACATCTGCTTGCCTAGTCTGTCTTCTATAAATTAGAATTTTAAAACTGTTATTGTCAACATTGATTACAAATGAAGATATAGGAAAGTCAGGAGTTAGGAAAGTTGATTCCCTGGGTCACTGCGGGTGGACTAGAATTTTCTGTTATCCACAATGAACAAAAGTTACCGCTACCCCCAGCTTTTTATTTTGGAAATGTTCAAGTCTATGAAAGTCGTGAAAGATTAGTACAATGAACACCTAAATACCTAGCAGCTGGATTCACCGATGATTAATATTTTGCTGAATCATGTGAAAGTAAGCTGCAGATATCAAATTCTGCTCATCTAAACGCTTCACAGAGCATCTCTTCAAGTGCAGAGGCATTCACTACATCAAGTAGTTATCCCACCCAAGAAAGTTAACATTGATTGAAAATGCCTTCCAACTGTATTTTTAAACCACATCTTGTGTGTGCTTGCCCTGGAGCATTTTACTCTTGGAGAATTCTGCTTTATTAACTCTGATGATGGGTGCTCAGAATCCCACCCCTTAACAGAAACAGAAGGGCAGGGAACTCAGAGGAAAGAACAGTCTTTGAAGGTGCATAAACTTTGATTTGAATTCTAGCTTTGCCATATGGTATCCATGAACTTGACCAAATTTAACCACAACTAGCCTCTCGTAATAAAAGACAGGGATAAGAACACCTATGTCATTTGACTGCTAGGAGATTACATGAGACAAGGGATAAAAAGAGGCTGACCCATCGTTGATCCTCAATAAATATTGGTTATTTTCTTATGTGGTCCATACCAACAACAACAAAAAATGACCACACCTTGGAATTTTCATAGGAAAAGATATCGAAAAGACAAAGGCAAAAACAGAAAAAAAAAAAACCAAACAACAACAATAAAGCAAACTCTTCTTGAAGTTTCAGACAGATCACAGGAAAGGGGCTGAATGAGAGAAAATACCTGGGACTTCTCCATTGACATTCTCCAGCTTGTCTGAAACAAAATGACAGCAATTGTGTCGGATCTCCCCAGTTGGAGAATGTGTCAGGATTTTAGGAATAACTACATATATATATATATATATATATTTATATATATTTATAACTATATATTTATATATATTTTTACATATATATTTGTTTATTTTCCTTAAGGAGTTTATCTAAATTTTTTAAACTTTTATTTTAGGTTCAGGGTACATGTATAGGTTTGTTACATAGGTAAACTCGTGTGTGTCATGGAGGTATGTTGTACAGATTATTTTCTCACCCAGGTACCAAGTCTAGTACCCAATAGTTATTTTTTCTAATCCTCTCTCTTCTCCCACCCTCCATCGCCCAGTAGGCCTCAGTGTCTGTCATTCCCCTCTTTGTATCCGGGAGTTCTCAACTTTTAGCTGCCGTTTATAAGTGAGAACACGTAGTATTTGGTTTTCTGTTCCTGCATTCGTTTTTTTAAGGATGATGACCTCCAGCTCTACCATGTTCCTGCAAAGGACACGGTCTCATTCTTTTTTATGCCTGCATGGTATTCCATGGTGTATATGTACCACATTTTCTTTATCCAGTCTACCATTGATGGGTGTTTAGGTTGATTCCATGTCTTTGCTATTGTGGATAGTGCCACAATGACCATATGTGTGCGTCTAAATTTAATAAAACATTAATAATGTAAGTAGTGGTGGTAGAAATTAGCAAGAAAACCTACCTTCTACCTATTCTATTTCAATCTGAATCTTGCCAGACAAAAGAACGAGCTCCAGCTTAGGTACAGTGTTTTATTGATGTCTCTAAAAATCCCAGTTTGTTAAAAAGTATCAGGCCTACATCCTGAGGTGAGTAACCAAAAAGAAAAAGGCATCAGTAAAGGGGTTCACATTTTCTAATGCATTTTCGGGACCAGCCACCATCTAAACACTCCATACATATTTTCAGTTAATCCTAATTAGACAACCTGTACACAAAGGAACCACAAATAAGCAAAGTGAAGCTGAGTATTAAGCATTTCTTTTAGAATGTCTTAAAAAACACAATGTCGAGAATTCATCTTTAAGCTTTTTGAGAAGACTGAGTTATCTATTTCTTCCTTCTTCCTTTGTTTAAATACATTAGGTTCATTAGAGGAGTTATAAGATGTTAGGTTTTATATGGGCACAAGAAGTAATTGAAGCCAGTGGTAATGCCTAATGTTGTTTTAATTAAGTCCTCAATTAAGAATTTTAAAAGTTCCCACCTCAGGTCTCTCTGTGGTTAGGTACCTGACCTTGGGCAATCTTTTCCCACATAACAGGGACCCTATTCTTTTAAATAAAAATGTATATTGAATAAGGAACTGAAGTAGTAGCATAGTTTTAAGTAGATAATAGCTGATACGGACTTTTTTCCCCTTTCGGACCACCAGAAAATTAAATATTTTTGCAAGTCAAAACAATGCTGCTGTGAGTTTCATCGAGTTTCCATTTCCATGCTGCCTCCAAACTTCCTGATTCCAGCTGGGATCGTGATCAAAAATGCAAAAACATATGTAGAGAAGTTATTCTTCTGGAACATCTGACCGGAAGCAGGAAATGCAAGATATCTCACGGGACTGCCTGTTATCAAAATATACCCAGTCCAGCAGTGCAAAGACAAGAGAAGTTTGCTTGTTCAACACCCAGATAAAGAGGATTATAGAACATTCTGCTATAGATGCAGCACTGGCAAATGATATGGGACAGAAATGCCCCCTGTAAGTTCTAGTCCCTGACCCACGCTGTATCATTACGTGGTCTTGCAAAGTCCCCCTT
The DNA here is from genome assembly GCF_000001405.40 of Homo sapiens. Classification (NCBI taxonomy): domain Eukaryota; kingdom Metazoa; phylum Chordata; class Mammalia; order Primates; family Hominidae; genus Homo; species Homo sapiens. The sequence continues at coordinate 95,604,223 of NC_000015.10, forward strand.
AACCTCTGCCTGCCTCATTAAACACGTCTACACAACAGACTTTTACAATAATAACTTTAAAGCACGTCTCCCTTAACAAATCTTGTAAATGGGAAAATCCTATTATTATCCATGGATAAAATGGAGATTTATACTCATAGTAACTGCTAAAGGTTACCATACACTCCATCCCAATGCTCAAAAAGCAAACTGATTTTGCTATTTGAATTTAAAATTACACATTTTGTTTTTCCTGTAAGTCTTGAAAATATTTACTTGAGCTTTTCCAATAAAATCAAATTTCATGAAAACATGTATTTTAATTACATGGTAACTAAGTTTTATTCTCTTTTTTAAAAATAGAAGAAATTGAAGGGAAATATTCTTCAAGAATTCTAGCCAGGTATTCTAAACCCATCCATCATAAAATCATTGGCACACAGCAGGCAACTGGAAAAAGGATACCTTTTAACCTCAACTGGCATAAAAGTGTGTATTTATTTTTAAGAAGTGAAATATAAACAGACATGCTGAGAGTCAAGTGTTTTATGAATTAAAAAAAGATTTCACACACACACACACACAAACACACACAAACACACACACATACACACACACACATTTACATATAAAACTTTCCCCAGTGGGCCACAGAGGATTTATGTGGATGTGAACTCTATTTACTGTTAGTATTAAGGAAATAGTGGCTTTTTAACAAGTTACTCATGCCTGGAAAAAATCCCAGTTTTGCAAGTTATCCAAGATTCTTTGCCAACTGTCCGTGGGAATCACTGGGATGGGAAAAGTTCAAATTTGTTTTAAAAGAATTTGCTTAATGGAAAATTTAAAAAAAAAGTAGAAGAAAACCAGTAACCCACTGTGCTAATCTTTTGGTTAAATAAGAATAAAATATGGTCTAGTTACTTTATTTTTCTTCAGTATTATTTTAAGAAAAGGAAAAAAAACAAAAATTTTCCATTTTTATGTTATCTCATAAAATCACATTTAGGACTTTATTTCAGTTATCCAAGGGTCTGATGACTTGCTGGCTTTGATTAGCCTAAGATTATACCAAAAGGGGCCTGGGGACTCTGGTCAGAGGCATTAAATCAGATGACTTGACATGGCTTATCTTATGTCATTTTAAGATTTTTTTTTTTCTGTTCCAATCAAACAGCACAGTCTAGTTACATTATTGCTGTCAATTTCAAAACTACAAAACACTAAAAAAGCCAACATTAAAAGTTGTGTCATTTACAATTAGAAAACAGGAATAATTGTATCTTTTCTGGAACTTAAAAGGTGCCCAGCAGTGTTCCAAGTTCTTTTATATATATTAATGCCTTTCAAGTTTCCTTCCAACCTTACGGTTTTACTCTCCTTTCACAGGTGTGGAAACTGAGGCTCAGGGAGGTTAAATAACTTCCCCATGCCACACAAACAGTAAATGGCGAAGCTAGGGCAGAAACCCAGGTGATCAGGTTCCAGAGTGCTTGCTTTAACCTCGTAAATTATACCGCTTCTGAGAAAATATAATGCACAATTTTTTTAACCAAGAGATTTTATTAGAACATATCACAAGTTAATGTGATTTTAATTTGCTATGACAGAACCCATATTTATAGAGTAAGAAATGATAAAATGGAAACTTTGCTTTTCCACTTATGATACAAGAGATGTGAAATAGATTCTCTTGCAGCCATCCATGCAATGGGTGTGCTTGTTCTAGTTTTATTCTGCAAAAAGACCCTTGGGCAGAAGCATCAAATATAACTGGGCTCATATAGACAGACAGTTCTCAACTAAATAAACAAACAAAGAAACCCTTCTTCCTCCCCCCAAAAAATCATAGTTTCCTGTCCAGAAAAGCAAAATGGTAAAAGGAAAAATTCTACATATTTTCTATTTCAAAAATAGTTTTAAGAAAGGTGGCTCTCCTGGGTAGACATTTGATTAAAAAGAGTTTTCCACTCTCTTAATATTTATATTTTTCAAAGATACGGTTGAGCATATTCTAGAGATTCTGCCCATCATTTATTTATAGCATTCATACTCTTAGAAAGAAATAGTGCTTAGGGTTCTTTTTTTCTGTGCATTTATATTCTTTGATTTTTTCAGAATTTAATATCTAGGTGATTGCTTTTACTTGGCACGATTGGGAAACACTGCCAGTCCAGATCTAAATATTTTCACATACAATAATAACAACAAAACTGTACTCTGCTGAGCTCTGCTGATTTATAGAGCTTCAAAAAATGGGTTTCAGATGTGATTTTGCCAAGTTGTAAACCAAGAAGTCTTAATTTAAATTTTTCCTGACAGGAAGCTAATTCTTCATCTGAGATAAAGTATTTTAGTATTTTCACACACATAAAATAAGGTTTATAAATTGCATTCAAGCTGGTATTATTCGCACTATGGCTTTTTTAATACCTTGATATGCAACATAAGTGTACAATATTTTCACTGGGTAGAGTCCCATTGGAATGACTAAGACAAGGTTTATGCTACTGATTCTAGTTATAATTTTTACAGTAAAAATACTAGTCAGCATTATTTTATATGATTCGGTTGAAATTTACATACACTTGAGAGTTGAGATTGCAACTTAAGTTATAAAAGAAAGCCTAAGTTTCTAATTAATATCCATGAACTTCTCTAAGAACCATACTATTAATGGAAGTAATAACCATGTACACATATTTTTGAAAATTAAAATTAACAATATTGTCTTCACAAGTCACAGAAGAATGTCTTGTATGCCATGATTATTTTGCATTTTGCCATTAAAATATGCATAATAAAGGTGGCATTTCAAATCCAATTTTGAAAAATTGAATTATTCACCAAATCCTGTTTTACTGGCTATCACTGGGCAAAAAATAAAGTTAGATTCCTTCTTTACATAATTTACCAAAATAAACTCCAGAGATATTAAAATTTAACTAAAAAGAAGAAAAAGCAAAGAAAAAATAAGTGAATAATTATTTTCACTCAGTGAACATGTCTCAGCACATAGTAAGCTTTCAATAAATGATAGTTATAATTATTGCAAGAGTAAATTCTTTATAAGCAGAAAACCAAAGGAACAATGATTGATAGATTTCACTACACTAGCAAAACAAATTTTGAAGTAAAAGATCACTGTAAGAAAATGTAAGGCAAATAAAAACCTAGGTACAGTGTTCAAAATATTTGACCTACCAAAAGATAATATCCTTTATAAATAAAATGGTCTTACAATTTAATAAGAAAATGATCAGCACTTGGTCAGTACAAGTCCTGGTCAGTACTCGGCAAGTACTCAGTCAGTACATTTATGAATATAGATAAAATTTCATAAGTCAAAAAAAGGCAAACTAATTTGTTACAATTTCTACTTTTTCAGATTGGCGTTAGTGTAAGACAGTGAAGTTTTGTGTGTGGTGATACAAAGCGATAGAAGCTTTTCAGAGCACAACATGCTTTAACCTAGAAATTTCACTGTTAGGAATTTCTATATTTAGGAATATCCTATGGAAAAAAAATGGGGGGTATTCACTAAAACAGAGGTCCAAGAATGATCATTGCAATAGTATGTATAACAGCAAAAGTTTGAAAGCAACTTAGGTTTACAGAAATATTAGATTACATGCAGAAAATACAGAAAGCACACAATGAAGTATTATCTAAATAAAAATATCTAGAAATAAATGACATAAAAACTTATTCACATAAAATGTAAACTGAAAGATCTAGTTGCAAAACAATATGAACACGATTTTATGTACAGGTGTATAGGTGTGTGTAGGAGAAGATAATCCCTCCTCTAACCACACAGAAATATGTAGGAGAAACAAAGTAGAATGGCTGAATTGTCTTCCTCTTCTTTCTCCTTTGTTCTTTCATGTTTCTGCACTTTCAATTTTTCCTCAATTGATCATATATTGCCTTTGTGATTTTAATGCAAGATCTTGAGGCTATTGCTTTATTAACTCAGAGTTTAAAACACTCCCCAATTGTTTACTATTTTATAAAAACAAGTACCTGAATACTTTGAAAACTCAACAGGTATGAAAAGTTTTAATTACATTAAGAGTCAGAGTCTTACAAAAACTTTATATTACATGAATTAACAATTTAAGACACATGAAGGTGGAAATCCAGGAGTCTACCCTCAGTCCTCTTGCTTCTCTGCTCTTAGAAATTAGAAGCCAATGGTATTTTTAATGTTGAAAGCGACATGTTTATGGAAACCCAGGGTAACCATTAAGTTATCAACTACTACTTTTTTGTGTTTTCTTTAGAGGGTCACAGTATTATTTTAACCAAGGTTAGCTGGGTTTTTGTTTTTGTTTTTAGTATTTTGTTCCTGGTCTTACTTTGTTGATGTGGAAAGTAATTTAAACTTTATGGCCCATTTGAAACAAGATTATTTATATCTGTGTGGCAATGTCTGCGTGTGCATGTAATTTATACGCCACTGCTATTGCTTCTCAAATTCCTCCTACTTGTTGGATTTATTTCCATTGTAAGCTTGTTATTTTTCACTTTAGTTAGTTAGAAATTAGAAAGTCGGAAGAAAAGTTTCCTTAACCAAGGATGCACAATTGTTTTGTGTGTGTGTGTGTGTGTGTGTACTAGTTTCCTGCTTGACTTTTCTCTTTTTGTTTAGTGTTTGAAACTTAGCTTTTCTTAGGTGAGAACTGAAAACTCCAGAGTGAGTATTATGATGTTAAAGATGGCTTTAATTCATCTACTTAAACATTAGTTTAGAAAATTATGCCAAGAATATTATGATGGAGAATACACCAGCAAAATTTTCCTTTGAAAAATTATCTATTTAATCAACAAGACAGCAGAATATTTATAAATCAAATTGGGGCTTTATATCTTTAGTACAAATGAGAAGTCCTTCATATTAATTTTAATTCCAGAACTTTGAGTTCTACGATTCTAACTTATCATACTACAACATAGAGACATTTTCCCTCAGGAGTTAAAATGTCATGCTTAAATAGAGTCATATTTCCAAACATAAGAGCATTAAAGATGGCCTGATACTATATTTGAGAAAAGAGAGGTTTGTGATGAAATGTTCACTGTGGTCACTGCATTTTTCGATGCTTCCTGACAAAATTGTTTGTCATTTCCTTTGAGCTGGTATGTGTAATCATGAACCATTTTTTAAATGTTTTCTATTTTTGGTGTCTGTCATTATAGAGCATGGTTGTCTGAGGAAGAAATTTAACTGAGCCTCTAGGCCTTTAGGGATGCGCACCATGATCTAAAACCCTTTTCAGCCTTTCTTCCTCCCTCCATCCTAAATGTATCAAACCAAGTGTATCCAAATGGTGACTCCAAATGGTGGCCTCAATATAGGAAACATGAACATCGATAAGGGTGGGCCTTTATTTCCTCAATTTGATGTCTCCAAATGGTGGCCTCCATAGAGGAAACATGAATATTGATCAGGGTAGGCCTTTATTTCTTTAATTTTCACATTCCTAACTTTTCCATAATTTGAAAATTTCATATTCTGTTTCTCCATGCCCCTCTCTGATCAGGCCTGAGATTCCAATTTCACTGAATAATAAAGTTTCCATTACAAGCACCCTCTAATCTTTTCTGTTCATGAAAGATAAAGAAAAAGGGTTAACTGTTCCAAAGGAAAGTTGAGATAAATTCCAATATTCAAAAAAATGTGAGAGGAACGACCAAAAAGAATAAATGGCTTTTTCTCCTCCCACATCCCCCACTAAACCTTGAAGAAAATGGGATTATTCAAAGGTCTAGAGATTTCCATCTGAAGGCATCTCTCCTCCATTAGGAAGAAGAACATGAGTTTCAGCGGCTTATACAGAAGAACAACTCCAAGAGCTGGATGCAGCACGAGGTATTGGTAAAAACATTCCTTCTGCAGAAATACTAAAGGGCCCCACTGTGTGGTTTTAAATCAAATTTATTATGGAAGAAGTCTCTTTTGTTCTTCTAAGTGGCACCTGATCCATTTAAGAAAACAGCTTGATCTAAACAAGTTCATTGAGAGTGGCATTAATTATCGGCCTTCATTTTTCTATAAACTTATATAAAACTTGTAGCTTTATGTGTTTTGTTCCTATTGACAACTGAATCAGGCTAAACTTCTAAAGAAAAGATGAAGAACAAAAATAGAACACAGAATACAAAACAGTGAACATTCATCTTTTTGCTGTAGAGAAGCTGTTGCTTCCAAGTTCTGTGACTGCATTTTATATAAGCGTTCATGGTTTAGGGTTATAATCTTGGATTTCAAATGAGAAAATTCCTTCCTAAATCTGATTCAACCCCTCAACTGCTTTCATTATTATTATTTTCTGAAAAGCTGAACATTTGGCTTATCCTCCTCCCTATTGCTTAGAACTGTGCAATAACATTTCCATAGGATGAATTAATAAATAAAACCATACAGTATTCTGTTTTCCAGAATAAGGTATAGCAGCCATTTTAGTATTTAGAGAGAGACAGGTTCCCAAAATAAACTCAATGGGGGAGAAAAAAAGCTATCACTCTACAAATGCATTTGCGAGGCATTACGATTAATATTGATATAATGCCTCTATATATCTACTTGGCACCTGTTGAATTGTTGTACTTACCCATTAGCACTCCATTTAATACCAGAGGGCAGTTAATAAATTCTTCCTTCCTGTGCAGGAAATTGACTAAAAGACACAAAATTAGCTTTTAAATTTTAAAGAATTAAGATCTCTACTGCTGACTTTTTCCTTTATTCAGTTACCTTGAGAAGGAGCGTTCAACTTTATTCTTTGTGTAGCTAGAACCTGTTAGATCCTCAGACCTCAGACTTTGCTTCTAAAAGGCACAATTTGTGTCCTTTCTCAGATCTCCCCTGCACCAGTTTGCAGGAAAGATCTAGGCTTGGATGATTGTCTAGGCCTTAGGCCCCAGAGGCCAGAGAGGTCAGGCTTTTGTACTGAGAAGTTGCCTGGATTTCTTTACATTCTTTGTTTGATAAAAGATAGTAATGGCTTTTTGTACCATGCACACTCCACCCCCAACTGTAAGCACAATGGCATGCCAACCGAAAAGGGGATAAGCCAAAGAGGTACATCTTTATGGCTTCCATGGAGATTTTCTATGGCTATTTTAAATTTCAGAAACAAAAAGGCAAACTGTCAAAAAAAAATAGAATGCAAGAGTTTTGATTCTTTGCAACAAAGTCTCAATATAAGAAAAATGCATATTATGAAGGGTAAAAATAGCTCCTCCTAATTAATAACATTCTTGGAGAGAACAGCTTATAAATCTTTTTTAAAATATAAGATCCACATAAACTTCTCGAAACGGTATTATAGACACTAACAGGAAAAACTGCTGGTATCGGAAGGATGATGTTAGAATAGTAGTGGGTTCTCTTTTTTGTTTGTTTTTTAACAGTTTAAGTGTTTATTTGTTTATGATGTCTGTTTAGTTAGCAAAAAGAGATATTTATTATTCTTTTATGTATTTAGAGGAAAGTCTGAATTATTTTCCTTCACCATCTCAACATTCTTCAAAACTTTGGAAAAAATGCTTATGATTAGAAAATCCAAAAGAATTCATTGCTTTTTTTCCTCCAACATCAAGAGTCTTATCATCTTTCCCAGTGTCCTTCAATGGTAGTAAAAATCTACAGAAAAAAAAAAAAAAAAACAGCCTCTACTTTAGAACAGGAGAACTTATATCTCCCAAACAAGAATGCCCCCATTATTATCGGAAACACCCATAAATTGTGAGGGCGCCACAGAAAAGAAGGGCAAGTGTTTACATTAAGACTTCCTCAAGGCCGCCTTTGCCCATCTGTTGAGTATTTGTCTATTTGGCTTTTGAAAAAACAAATCCGTGTGGAGACTAGAGATAGATGGGGATAAAATAACAAATAAATCTGTTTTTATTCTTACATTTTAGCTTCATCTATCCTTTCTATTTTAAAAGTACTATAACAGAAAACCAATTCTCTTTTTAAGACTATCTCCCAGAAATTACTGATTGCTACCTCTATGACTCTTTGGAAATTTCCTTTCACATCACAGTGATGCATACACTAAAAAAATAAATTTCTCTTCAACAGTGATAACAGGTTTTTCAAATATTTAAGAATGATCAATTACCATTAATTGCCCGAAAATCCTTGGCCTTATTGCATTAGACAAGATTTGAGCATTCAGTCATTCCTTGTATCTTATTTCTTTAGCTTGTTTTTTTTTTGTTTTATTTTATTTTATATTTATTTATTTATTTAGAGATGGAGTCTCACTCTGATGCCCAGGGTGGAGGGCAGTGGAGTAATCTTGGCTTACTGCAGCCACTGTCTCCCAGGTTCAAGTGATTCTCCTGCCTCAGCCCCCCGAATGGCTGGGACCACAGGCCTGCACTACCATGCCTGGCTAATTTTTGTATTTTAGTAGAGACAGGGTTTCACTATTTTGGCCAGGCTGGTCTCGAATTGCTGGCCTCAAGTGGCCCACCCACCTCAGTCCCCCAAAGTGCTGGGATTACAGGCGTGAGCCACAGCACCAGCCAAGCTTGGTTTTTAAATCCCATTCCTCCAAGTTGATTTTTATAAGGTAAGGGAAGCACTGTTTTCCAAAGCTAGAACCACTTAACAACTCTGCAGTAAGCATACACTACAAGAATTTTCCCGAAGATTTTGGGGAAGCTTACCAAGGTGCCTATGCCATTGGGCAGCATTTCCCAAGTAACTATCTGAGCAGGAATGAACAAAGGTGGAGCAAAACCAAATCTTCAAGGATGGCCCTTCAGAGGTTGTTGCAGAGCTTTCAGCAGCTGCCACAAATGCCTGGCATTTGCCAATAGCACTGAGCTCTCTGTTGACTTTCTGTCTGAGGCCTTAAAGCAAATGGACTGTCCAACACTGAAATATTGCCTTGTACTGGTCCTAACTACAGCCAGGGAATTGTCACATAAAGCATACCATGCCATCTAAAGGAAATTCTGGTCTTTTCTTGGGCAACAGCCTAAATGTTTCTGGGTCATGTTCACAACTGCTCATATGCATCCATCATCAGGGTTTCCAATGTGCCATGGCTCTTTTGCCCTGGCCTGAGGAATCTCAACCATTCACCCATTTGACAAACATAGTAAGTTCCTACTTTATTCCAGGTAGTGTGCTAAATGATAAACCTACAGTACCTAACAAAACTGGTGTGTGTGTTACACCAATACATAAGTAATACCTATCAATCATATGCCTAGGAGTGTGATAGCTACTAGAGAATCCAAAGGATTCCTCTGCCTTTGTGGATTTTATAGTCTGATTGAGAAAAAAAGATGTTTACATTAGAAACCATTATGAGACAATACAGGGTGGTATTATTTTCCCCATTCTACAAATGTTCTCTTCCTTCCACATGTTACAAGAAAAATCCTATTCCATTTTTGTGAAATTATACATTTCTAGGACAATGCAGAAAATTAATGTGTCATAGATCCAGGGAGATTTTAGAGCATTGTCTTTTCTCTGAATCCCAAGCTTTTTTGTGCAGCTAAGAAACCGAAAAACCCGCTCTTACTCCGGCTGTTTATTCCCTAAATGTTAAGCCAAAAGTGTAAATTACCATCTTCCTAATTCACGAATGTGCTTTCAGATTCCTTTAAAAAGCATAACTTTTGTGGATTGAGCAAGTTTTAGAAGAGCCATCAAAATTCAGATTAGCTTAGTTTGTGGCCAAGAAAGGGGGTATCCTAAATAGTATGAGTTCTTTGCTAACAGACAAGCTTTGGCTTGCCACTGGACTAGCGGCAGCATTTGTATCTTTATGAAATGTTTTATGTTGTCCTCAGATTTAACAGACATACTATTTTGGGGCTTATCTTGGACTTCTTTTCACTGTCTCCTCAGAACCTACCCCTTACTTTCATCTGTGCATCTCACAGGAGTTTCATATTCTCTACAATTCCCTTGCATTTTGGAAATAGTTACTACGGCCAGTCTATAATGAAAAGCTGGAAGCTCCAACTCCCAAGGTCTCTTTAAGTCAAAGCTTATTGGACAATGTTATTCCACTTGATCATCATTTTCCTGGACAGGGAGGAGAGGCGATCAGGAATGTTAATCTGGCTACCATATCTATCTATCTATCTATCTATCTATCTATCTATCTATCTATCTATCTATCATCTATCTATCTGTATACACACACACACATATACATACACATATATATGCACACATATACACACATATATATACACATATGTGTATATATCCCTAGATATATATATGCATGTGTGTATATATATGCGTGTGTGTGTATGTGTGTATATGTATATATATCCCCTTCTATATGTATAGATAGATAGATGGGGATTTCTTGTTTTCTTGTTTTTAACCACTGAACTCCTGCACACAGTCCACTCTGAGACTTAGGGCAAATTTGAATCCAGAAAACATTGATTTCCTCACTGCTATGTTGTTGAAATCATAAAACTACATAACAAGAGTGCAGAAAGCCATATTTTATAAACACCCTAATGTATGGCACATGACTAAAGTCATAAATCTTGACACATTTACCAAACAAAGTAAAAATCTTCATTTGTCTTACAGAAAGAGAAGTACTCCCATGTGTTTGGACATCTGCACAGTCAACATGTGGCAATTATTGTGCGAAAAATAGAATCACTGTAATTGCTGTTGCAAATTACGGCCTCATTGATTAGTATCTTACTCCCTCTCAAACTCTCCACCTCATCACAAATAAGGAGACACACACACTCAAGGCCTTTGAGGAGATTTTCCCCAAACCGTTTTAGAATAGATTTACTCTCAGCAGGCTCTCCTACACCATTACACAGTCTTTGCTTTTTGTTTAAGGATATCTTCAGAATTTCTTACATACCCTTCCTGTATGTTTACTTAGGCACTAAAATTAAGTACACATAATGAAGCCATCTGCAGCAAACAGAATTAATAAATGGAATACCATATTGCTGTGAAGATGTATATTCAACAAATATGTAACACACCGTTCTCTGCGGAACTTGGCATTTCTCATGTGTTACTGAGAATATTTGAATGGGTCCCAAGTTATTTTGGTGTCTGGGGATTGCATACTGAGGCTGGAAACCTCACCAATAAGTTCATCCTGTAAAAAGTTTCTGACTCCTCGTACCAGACTTTCTATCAGGAAACTAATGTGATATACACATATCATAAAGTTTGGGGGACTGAGCAAATGAATATTATAAAATGCCCTTTGTTACTTACTCTAAAGATGTTTCTTCTTAGATTTCTATGCTGTTTTTTCTTCATATTCACCAGACCTGATTTGGGGCTGATTATTTTTCAAGATATACACGAGGGACACAGCCAGATGATGTCAAACTGCCCCACTACATCTATCAGAATTTCTTGGAAAAGCAAAGAAATAAAGTATGAAGCAATCATCCACGAGCTGCACTTGGCTTCTATATAAATATACCAAGGATTGATTATACCATTTCTGTCAAGCTTGTGTTTGTCTTTATTTCACAAGCAAATTTCGTATTGTGCTGGAGATGCTACAAGACTTAGCTAAGGCAGGGAAATGGAATTTAGCCTTTGAACCAATTGCAGGGGGGAGTCAGAAGTGAAGTTCAGATTCATTTCCTTCATACCACCCTTAGATAAAAGAGGGCACAAGCTGAGATGTGTTCAACAGTGCTCCTGGTCTTGGAAAGGGAGGGTATCTCTGACAAGGAAGATGCACTCTATGGACCAGCTCTCAGTAAGCAAATTTGTGCTAACCAGGGCTGACTTTCTCTCTGCTTGCACAGTACAACTGTCCTGTCATGGCAGCTCCACCAGAAGATTTGGCTGGGGGAGAAGGGGAGCTGTCACTAGGACATTTGCCATTGTTGTGCAATTTTTTTCATCAAGGCGTCCTTTGACTTGTATAGCAGATTCCTTAAGTCCATAAATACAGATTCCATAAATAACACACAAAAGGGAGACCCTGGGCTAAACATTTGCAACCTTAACCAGAATATGGCACACTTATTTTCTAAATTGCATAAGGATCTAGCCTAAGATCAGCATTTCCTCGGGACAAGTCTTCAGGTTATGTTTTTTTGTTTGGTTTTGTTTTTTTTTTATATATCCATCTTCTTTCAGACACCTGGGTAAAAATCCCAGCCTGCAGCCACTTGCTTTTTCCGCACCACAGAAGAATTCCCATGGACACAACAAATGACACCAATTGAAAGGCGGGCCTGCTCTAGTAGAAACTGACCTTACCTGCCTTCCTTCCCTTCCCACCCTTGAGGCTTCAGCCCAGCTGGCCAAGTTCCAGGGGAAGTTTCCCAATGACTTCTTAACAGTATGGGTCTCACTATAGGAAACACTGGAAGACAGTTTCTCTCTAGAGGTGACTGAGGTGAAGAACTTAAAGTCTTCATACTTACCATCTATTATTACAAGATGGAAGGAGAAAGAGGAGGAAGCAGTCACTTGTTGAACACTCACTTGTACTACACTGAGCTAGGCACTTAGACAGAGTCCTCATTTAATCCCCTATTACCCTGTGGGGAGAATGTTAAATTTACAGATGTTAAAACTGAGGCTCACAGAGACAGCCAGTGAAAGATCTTGAATTTGAATTTTATGTTTTTCTAAATCCAAAGCTTGTATTTTTTTGTTTTTTTGTGTGTGTTTTCTTTCTTTCTTTTTTCTTTTCTTTTTTTTTGCTTCAGATTGCTTCTTATTGTTTTTAATTATTTTTTAAATAGCCCTACCTATACCTCATCACTGGGGAGTCTTACCAGTACAGTTGAAGGTTAATTATGTGAAAAATCTGCTGTGTTATGACAAAATGCCCTAATGCCAGAAGAGAGGTTGGCATTCAACATGCTAGTGAAAGATCAACCCAGCTGGCAAAGATGTATATAAATTGCTCCATAATTGACCTTCTCCGTGGCTTGCTCTTGTATGATCTAAATGTGATAAACTGTATAAAGGGCTAAGCTCAGTGCTTGGCAACCAGAAGACACTTCCTTGTAGTTAGGGTCCCAGATGTAGCAAATGAAAATTCAGTACAGCCAGTGAAATTCTGATTTCAGATTAAAAAGTGAATAATATTTTATCATAAGTATGTTCCATGCAACCTCTGGGATAGGCTTATATTAAAATCTCATTTAATGTTTTAAATCTGAGATTCAATTTGAATGAGGCATCCTCCAGTTTACTGTCAAGGCATTCTATAGTTTACAATACTGGTAGCGAGAAGAGTATTAAAGCCCAGTGTGGTAATCATACTCTCTCTGGAGAAAGATAATTTCCTTAAGTAATGGGGATAATAGTGCCTACTTCACAGGTAAACGGAAAGATTATAGGTGAACCTATACATAAAACACTTAATATATAGTTGGGATTTAGCACAGAAAACTAAATTGTTTATTTACCCTTTGTTCAGGGAGTTTAAAGCTCTGAGGTCCTCTGAAGCTGCACCTAATTTGGGATTCCTAGGGGAGAAAAAGGAGAGCTGGCTGCCCCCCAGGGTCATCTCTGGTATACTCTGTAAATCTCAGAATCTCTGTAGCAGTTCAAGACCACAACTTTTAATAACGGAAGCCTGGTAAAATATGTGTCAGATGCTGTTCTAAACGAATTACCCGTATCCAATTATTTAGTCCTCTCAACAACCCTATATGTTTACCATCTTTAGTTTTACAAATTGGGCTTGAGGCACAGAGTGGTAAAGTAACTGGCTTAGGGAATCCCTGACCGCACAGAACCAAGGCAGCCTGGTTCCAGAGTACAGGCCCTTACGCCTATACTAAGACCCAGGACACTGACCGATGAGCATGAATTCGGACTTTGTCATGCTTGATTGCCTGGGGTTCTGTGGTGGTCTGGCATCTGCTGCTTCCCACAGCATCTGAAGACAAGAGTTGAAAAAAGGTGAGTGGAGTGTGTGCAATTGTGGAATTGCCCATGGATGACATATTAAATCTCCTCTTGTAGAGACTTATCTTAAGGGATTAGCTGGGGATCTATTTTCTGTGTGCTGAAGAGAATACTGGTTGTGTGCCTGGGAAACCTGTTCTTGGACATGGGACACCATGTGTGGTGGTAGAGTCAGCACCACCACTGGTGATTTGCTACATCTCATGCTGAAACATGTGTGTTTCAGTTGGTTCTTCCTGCTGCTGAGAACATCCTGACATAGCGAGGGCCACAGCATTGCCAAGTGGGCATTTGCTCAATGAGACATAGCCATTCAGAGGCTACTCTGCAAGAGAGCAGTCGCAATCCACTGTGCCAATGATCGGCTGATTAGCTAAGCATTAGGGGTCTGAAGGGCCTACCTGAATCCAGATGGATTTCAATTAGGCCCCTTTTTAAATACTGTTAAAAAAATGTTTACTTAAAAGCACCATTAAACTACAAATGCTGCAAGAAAATCAAATCAACTCTTGAAACAACCACAATACCTAGAGGATAGCTGATGGATCACTGAGGCACTGTGCTAGGCGCTAGGGGAAACATCCTATACACATTTCTCAGGTAACCTTCCAGTTACACTTCAGGGTGGAAGGGTGACGTTAAGTGCTTTCCTTGCCATGGGACCGAAGGTAAATCAGGAAGGAATGGGAACTGATGAGTGCCAAAGTGACTTCATCATGAGCCTCCAATAGAATTTACACTTCCTGATGGAAAGATTCCAAGATTTTTAGTTGGAAAAGCTGCATTTAGAAAACAAATATGCGTAAGCTACCACATAGATGTATCTTGAGCACACTGTCATTTAACAATCACGGAAAGTCCATCGGGGAATGTTTAGAGAACACACAGCTTTCATTCTCCCCAAATTCTATATTATATCTATCCTTTGGTCAAGCCAAATAAGGTGACCATTGGTAATTAAATTACACCATCTTTCTCTCTTCCCTAAGATAATTTCTCTCAACCATCAGTGCACACTGGGAATCTCGGAGAAAGTAGCCCAGCATTGCTCTTGCTCATCCGTCAAAAGGTTGCCTTGAATATTGTTCACTCAGGTGTACAGCTTTCCCCTATGAGACTCCCAGGGAGAAACACCTGTCTGAAATTAGTACCAATAATAGTTGAAAATCGCCAAAGCTACTGGTGATTACTTATTTCATGGATGCTATAAACTATGTATCTGAAAATATTTCTCTTCACTTTGGCTTCTAGGAAGCTGAAAGCTAACTCTTAAATCTGCCCAGAGGATCAGTAAATACATTGTGGCCAATCTTATTGGTATCACTTTTTCACTATACTTTTTTTTCAAGTTAATTTTAATTCATTCACTTATATTATTTTAAGTATACCTTAAGGCAGACTCAATACTGTTCCAAAGACAACAAAAAAGGTAGGAAGGGAAAAGGAGAATAGGCGATAGTAACTTCAGAACGGTGATGTGCGTGAGAGTATGGTGTCAGTTGTAGACTGTTGTGCAAAAATAATATATTTACACTATTAGTAGTAGAAGTCATATCTAATAATGGTGTTAATACTATTATCAGCATTAGTATCCCTATTTTGGTAAGACAGTGATGAGTGGCAGGAAAGAGAAGAAGAGAACTGGCATTAAACCAAACTTGGTGCTAGCTGCTGAAGGCAGGCAATGGCATCCATTCCTCAAGAACGACCCATGAGAGGAGGGTGTTCACATGCTCACTGTATAACTGAGGAAACGGAGGCTGGTGGAGCAAGCTGGTGGAGGACCAGCATTAGTGGTGCTCAGGACGCACTGCTAATGCTGAGGCTGGTGTTGCTGTCCAGGTCTATCTGCTTCCGTCTTTGCGTTCTTTATAGCACCCTGTGGACAATGAGGCCAACATTCAGCCCTGTTTGTTTGCATACCTCATTTGTCTCAGAAAATATTTAAGAGGGTAGCACCTGTTACTTATTTTACGCTTAAAGCTTCGGAAAAGATTCCCTTCCTTGCAGAAGTCTTTCCTGGTTCAGTCACTTCCCTTCCATGTTCTCCCACTGTCACCACACACATCACGGTGTGTTCTTACCTTGAGTGCCCACTGGCTGGGAGCCTCCCAAGGACAGGATGGCAGTCCTGTCCAGCACTGTATTTGTGGGACCCTAGCAGACTACCTGGCTGATGGCTAGTGCTACTCAATAAATGTTAAATAAATGAGTGAGTGGCGACTGGAAAGTCTGAGGCTGCCAAGGGGTGTGTGTCTCACAATTTCTTCTTTGTGTCATCTCTTCCATTGCAGATGAAGAGCCATCTTCTTTCTTTTTATGGCTAGACCACCCACCTTCCCATTGACCGACTGTTATGTTGTCTGCCTCTTTAAATATCTTGTTACTTTCCCACCAACATTTTCAACCTCTCACCCCTTTACACTAGGTCCTCTACCAGTGACGAAGTATTCCTGAGTATCTTGTGTCCAGTTGTCCCTCACCCTAGCTGATCATCCAAACTACCTGGAGACATGTTGAAATCTGAGCCTCACCTTGGATTACTAAATTGGGATTTCCAGGATTAGGCCTAGGTATTAGTCTTTTTTTAAAAAAAAAAAAAAAAAAAAAAGCAAAACAAACCCCACCAACAATCCTTTACTCCCATAAATAAACCTCCTTTGTGGATGTAGAATCAGTGCTCGACAGCAATAGCTCACTCCAGATAACACTACTCATGTTCTGTTTTGAATAATTTTCTCTTGCTATTATTTCCTTCCAGATTGAAGCTTGAAGACAGTTTTTCTTTTTCACATAAACAGTGAGTTTATCATCTGGTCCCATCTCATTCTTCTGAATGTGCATAGACAAAGGTGTCTAAAAAGGTAGAATGCTGAATACTTTCTCAACTGGCAAGCTGAGAGAAAGGGAAACAGGCAGAAAGGGAGACAGGACAAAGCGGAAGGGCTCATGCTACACAGATGAGCACATTTATGCCCCATATTTCCCAACCTCTTCAGGGAAGGTTGAAGTATGAGATTCTTGCCAATAGTGAGTAAAAATAACAGTTTCACTTTCAGTTGGAGGTTTATAAGCAAGGGTGTGAGTTCTCCATACCCATCCTTCTCCCACCACAGAGGCCTTGAAAGATGTGTGTCCCAGAAGCTATATAACCAGGTATAAGCCACATGAGTCCCTCAATCCTCCTGGAGAAGTGTTCCACCCTGGAGAGCTGCTTCTCTTCCAGAGGACTTTGAACAAGAAAGAAACTATCTTTCATGTGATAGGCCACTGAGAGCTGGAAGTTTATTACCACAGTACAGCCTTTCCTATTCTGATTAATACAGAAATTGGAAACAGAAGTGAGAATTACTCACAACAAAAACTAAGAATAATTGCCATTGGCTGAGCAGTGGGGCAAGAAGGTGAGAAAATGAATATCATATTTGGGAAATATTAAAATATGGAGCTGCTTGTCATGCAATGCTCAATGTATTATACATTTCAAAACTGCTTAAAGAGTGGATTTTAAGTGTTCTCAACACAAAAGATAAGTGAAGTGATTGATATGTTAATTTGCTTGATTTAATAATTTCTAAATGTACGCATATATCAAAATATCACATCATACCTTAAAATGTATACAATTATTGTCAGTTAAAAATAAAATAATACAAAAGAAGTAACTTTAAACATTTCAAAACATATGTATAGAAAGCCTGTTACCCATGTTCATTTGGGAGACGGATGCTACCTATTGAAATAGGAGAAGACTTTGGAAAACAATATTTAGCTGCTCTTAATTGAATTTGGCAAGATATTATAAGAATGAGATGAGCTCAAGAGAAAAACAATGCCAGTTTGAAGGCAGCAATGCAAAGGAATAGGGTGATTTCAGATATTCCAGGCCCTATAAGGTTGGAGAATATGAGGACTTGTGGAGATGAGGTTAACAACACTTGGAGGGACAAGTGCTAGGTGAACATTTCATTTGATAAAAAAACTTCCAGGGCAAAGATCAAATTAGGTGTATGGAACCCTCTTCGTTGATTAAAGTACCTGATGGCAAAAGTCATACTATAGTTATGTCCTCCTCTGTGAAATCAAAAGGCCACCAAGTAGCCACCATAGAGTAGAAAGAGGAAGGCCTAGGAGAGAGGCACATGAACAGGAAAAGAAATAAAACTGTGAAGATGCTTTGGAGAAAACCTTGGGTAAGATTTGGGCACAAAAAACAGTGGAGGCAGGCTGGGCATGGTGGCTCATGCCTGTAATCCCAGCACTTTGGTAGGCCAAAACAGGTGGATCACCTGAGGTCAGGAGTTCAAAACTAGCCTGGCCAACATGGTGAAACTCCATCTCTACTAAAAATACAAAATTAGCTGGGCATGGTGGTACATGCCTGTAATCTCAGCTACTTGGGAGGCGGAGGCAGAAGAATCACTTGAACCTGGGAGGCAGAGATTGCAGTGAGCTGAGATCGTGCCATTGCACTCCAGCCTGGGTGACAAGAGCGAAACTCTGTCTAAGAAAAGAAAAAAGAAAGCAGTGAAGGCACCATTGGGTACCTTGGCAGGCCAGGAACTCAGCAATGAGAGACATGGTAGAATAAAACACATGGTAGATCCCTTGAGATCCACCCAGACAGGGACATAGAATACTAAGAATTACTATAGTATATTAAGGGCTTACTAAGTCCCAGGACCTGGACTAACTGTATGTATTTATCCTCATTTTATCCCTGTGAGATAAGCATAATTATTCTCATTTTAGAGGTGGACAAAATGAAGGCTTAGAGGAGTTAATTTCCTGAAGACCTGTTAACTATGAAGCAGCAGACCTAAGATTCCAATCTTATTGAAGAGAAACAGCACCAGTCATGTATTAAAGGAGGCAAGACAGATTTTATCCAGACTACTGCAACAGGAGACAGAAACTCCAGTATAAGCTGAGTTCAATGTCAACTAAGATAAAGATGACTAAGGTTATTAAAGGGAAAACAAAAAGAAAACAAAAAAAGGTTATGAGGAAATTTTAAAAAGAGGAAAAAAAAGAGACTGGGAGCCAGGTGTGGGGGGGAATGGAAAATGATAGAAGATGTGCTTTGCATGGTTTGGCAGCATATATTTCCATGAGCAAAGACTCAGCATGGGGTTGGGAATCCCTGTTATGGACATAGCCTAGTGCAGGTGGAAGCCAAGTTAAATTTGGTCCAGTCTCTCAGAACAGTGTTAGGGCAAGACCTTTGTGCCATGTGGGAGTGCACAGTTTACACTCTCGCCTGGATGACTTCAAAAACCATGCTTTTAACCTTAATTACATACCATCTGTGGACAAATGGATAGTTGCCAAACAATTTGAAAAATGATGCAGTGCTACAGTAAGGTAATACTGGATTGCCGGAGAGCATCGGAGGGTGAGGCATGGAAGTAGAATCTAAAAAAATGCATAGTTGGTGTCAAATGGTTTAATATGTGGCTCGAGATGAGTTTGGCATGATAAGCAGAAATTAGAGCTCAAAGGTACTTGAAAGTCAGGCCACAACATTTGAGTTTTCTCCTCAAGATCATGGAAACTGCTGTTCTCTAAAATGAATGAAGATTAATTAATTACATCAGCCAAAATTAGGTACCATGTTGATCTAAAATTGCCATCCCAAAGTAGAAGTTGCCACTGACCAGAGGCCATAAAGAACTCAAGCCACTGTAGGAATCTTAGATAACTGTAGAGGTTAATGGAAAAGGCAGAATTCTGTTCAGAGTGATTTCAGCACACCCCAAACGATTGGCCCGTGAATCTCACGTATACATTTTAGGCTGGAAAGTGATTTTCTTTTTAGACCCATTCGTCACACCAATTAATCAAGTCAAAGAATATGATATTGATCATTATTGGTCCCTTTGTCTCAAATCCAGAGGTTGGCTCTCATTTTATTCCTCAGGCCACCCATCAAGCCAGAGAGGAAGCAGGAATCATAACGCTCAGGATCTCCTGATGCTAACCTCTATCCTGAGACCACCAGGCTAGGCTGCCTCACCCTGAAAGAGCTATTTTATCCAGAGAAGGCCAAGCCTCAAAAAATTCTATGCTGGTCTGTTTTCTATGGAAGTTCCCAACATTGTGGATGCTTATCTGAATGCTATCTGAACTATTCACATCTCCAGGGAGAGCATAATTGGACTGGAAATTTCCTAAAAACAAACTTTCTTGTAAACGTTTCAGGCTGTCCTGGGTTGGGTCAGGCCAGAAATATCCCTTCTCTAGCCCTATGGCCTGAATTCTGCATCCTCTGAAGATGAGGACAGTTGAGACAGAAGAAGTAAGGCCCTGGTGAAAAATGACAGGGTGGCCTCAAGTCCCCCAACACTCCCACAACATTTTGATAGTGAGTCCTATCAAGATCTGGAAGTTTTCTCATCATCTGAAACAGAAGTCCCAGGTCCTTTGGGCACATCTCCAGGTGGCCTCATTAATGGTAAATTAAATAAAAGCATTTTCTTACTTTTCCCCACAGAAAGTAATGATATTTTAATAATGCTATGCCATTACTTTCTTGGGATAACAACAGCGAGGAGAATAGCGAGGAACATCAGGCCTGGAAAATTGCCCAGAATATAGCATTAGGTGGTTAAGCCACAGAAGAACCGAAGAAGGAAAAACAAGGCAAAGAAATACTTCAAACACCAAGACAGGAGCTGAAGAACAGCTATGCATATGTCACAATGTTAAGTCATTATTTCTTAACATTGGCTACTTGATGAATGATTGCTGTTTGGCCATTACAAACACCCGCCTAAGATACCTTCACTTGACTTTTTTTTTTCTTTTTCTTATTTGGATTTAACTACAGACAAACAGAAATGGCTTCTCAGGGAGCCATTCTCCTCTTAAAATGTAGATGTCAATTTTTGTTTTATACAAGGTTTATTGATCACTTTCTAAACACAGATAATTCAGAGAAAACTGAGTCAGCCTCATTTCACTAATAGTTGGTGTTTTCTTTGCGGTGGTGGCATGCAGCTGGAAAGTGTATGGAGGTATGAATTTTCACATTATTGCATCTGACTGTTGAGTGAAGTCTGCTGGGAGTGTTGGTGATTTGTGACAAGCTAAGGAATTCCTTTCTCAGCCTGCAGTAAGCGTGAAGCACATTATTTAAAACCAACCCAGATCATTGATATATTGTCATCTTATGCTTTTAAGAGGGTCCTTTCCCCCAGAACATATAATTTTCTGTATGGCCTTTAGCTTTTCTGTTTCAAATCTTACTCTTTGGTGTTATGTTGCTGTTATCAAGATAAAGGGCCTATTTAAAATAGCTATCTAGTTAATAATTTGATTATAGGTGACTTTTTCCTTTCTGTTGTTGTCTAATTTATTTCAACAAGCATTTACTTAACTTTAATAATGAAAGTAACAAGTATATAAGTATTGTAAATGACTCTTTCATCTCTTTTGCCTTGTCTTATAGGTGAAGACTTCTAAAAATTTAGCTCACACTGATTCTATTCTTCTTTGAACTGCTACAGTCCTTATTTGTGTTTTTTCATTTTAGCTATTTTGTATACTAGCTGTTAGTTGCCAGTGACGCCCCCTGAGTGAGTAATCATGCTTTCAAGTGTTCCTGGCCTTGTACAGTAAGTAGCCTCCTGCACCAAATGGAAGCTGAGCCTTCAATTAGTGTTAATCAGTGGTGAGAGGCGCTTAACCAGTCTTGAGTCAGTGGACAAGGCCAGGCAGATTTGGCTGCTGCACTTTTGGGGGACTTGAGAATTGAAATCTGGCTATGCTGTGGCTATTTTAAAATACTAAGTTTTGAGATTACTGCTCATGTAGCAATGGATGCATTCATAGATGCCAAACTTTCATTTCCTTATGTTTTGTCTGAATGTCAGTGACTTTTTTGTCTGTTTCTGTATGTTAGTACGCAGCTGAGTACCACACACATAATAAGTTGCAAATAAGTATCAAAAGAACAGATGAACTAATGAGCGTATAAATGATTGAATACTATTAGAAACAGAAGGCAATCACAGAGTGACAGGGGGTTTTATTTGAAATATCTAAACACATCATTCAAGTTCAAATCTTACTGTGTCATTGTGAAGCCAATCCAATAAGAATCATGTAACTTTTACCTACAAAGTATCAGTCTCAACTCCTATTATTCGCACTATGGTAGGGGATTCAAAGCTTCCGCATCATCTGGGACCTGAGGAAAAATGCAGAATCTCAGGCCCCACCCCAGATCTGCTGAATCAGAATCTGCATTTTAGTAAGACCCCAGGTAACCTGTGTGCTCGTTAAAGTTTGAGAAGTGGGCCTCTAAGGCACCTACTTTTCTGTGTTATTTGTGAGTCTATCAAATGAACATGCTGAATAAATGCTTAAAAACGTATGACAATAAATAGGATTCTTTGAGGAAGATATCATTTGTGATTGACTGTGTTTCACAAGCAAGTGCATTCTGATGTCAACAACATCCACATTCTCTAAAGGCTCCCAGCGCAGCCACAGTGTCACCCAGCTGTGACAGCCTGAGTGATTTCAAACACTACTGATTGACATCTTAAACGTTGCCTGGAAATGCCGCGCTCTGCAAAATCCTTCATCACAAGAACACATCTGCCTTAAAGTCGGCTGTCCAAATGGAGGGGCATTTCCTCCAGAAAGCAAAACCCCAGGCTTTCATCTCTTCAAAGCAAATCCTCGTTTTTGGTACAAAGAGGAGTTTTCCCACCTCTTTCCAGTCACTTGAGTGCCCCTCCTGGGTGAGCACCAGCCCTTTGCTTTGGGCCCTGACCTAAGAACAGTTCCACCATGCAGATGATAAATCTCAGAGCTACCAAGCATTTGCCATATTTCCCGGGATCATGTTATGTGAATGGCTGACGGGAAAAACCCAGGGGTATCGCGTTACAGGAAAGAGCTGCGATTTATTTATTTATTTTCTTCCTTCTGTAACTAATTCCAAAAACAGACCCCTGCTTGGGAGCCGGAGTACAAGAGAACAAGATAAATTCTGCAAAATTCTAATTGGGGAACAGTTGACTTAATTGGTGTCCGTTTGGCAGACAATGGGAAAAGCTCCCCAGCTGGGCTGGGAAAGGACTCTGGGGGAATATAGCCTTGCAAGAAGCCTTAAAGCTCTGGGGACCGATTGTTTCCTGAGGTGAAACCTGGAGACCAGAGCTTGGATTAACTCTACAACTGTCAAGCTCCATTAGGGGCAATCAGAGGAGACAGAGCATGGGTTAAACACAGGAAACGGAGCTGACAATAGAGGCATATGTCTCTAAGAGCAGGGAAGGGAGGCAGGCATATCTACGTCTAATAACAAACATAAACATTTTTCTTTCAGGTTCAGATGTAGCACTGATGGGTCAAAGATATTCCTCAGTATGGGTTGTTAAATGTCAAATATTCGGAACCTAAGCAGTTCAGTTGCACGTGCTTATTTTGTGCAATCTGATGGTGGTGAAGGCCTTTCCCCAGCATCTCAAGTCTTTGGAGAATTAGAGCGGGTTGCTGAGTGTTAAGAGCTGAGGGTTGGCTGGAGGAGGACACAGGAGGACCCCAGGTTCCACTCCCTGCATTGTCTTTACCCTTCTGTCTTCCACTGGATGACTTTTCTGAGTATTCTAATCCTGGTTTGGTCATTTTAAAAATCGGGGGACTATTATCAATCATTTCTGAGGACCCTTCCACCAGTAATATTTCATTAACTTATATCTTGCTTGATTTCAAGAAACACAGAATCATTTTCTCTTTGTGTGTGCGGGGATGTGGTTATGTAACAAGCATGTACCATGTGTCTTTTAATATATTGCATATTGATACTATAACCCAAAAGCTTGTGTATTGTTATTCTGTAATATTTTTAAGTATTACAAATATTGTAATACATCACAAAAAACACAAAATACGTCATAGCAATGTATATATTATGTAAATACTTAAAATATTGTTACTAAGAGTTAAAATCACGTTAAATGCTAGCATAAAGAGGGCATCTATAGAACAATTAGGTCAAAATTCAAACAACCCTCATCTATAAAGGATCTGAATGTACTTAGCTTCTGTGCTTATGAAAGTTGTACTTTTTATAACTTTACACAAATGATTCATCTCCTCCAAAGACAGGAGACCTAAACTCATCTTTTTACAAGGAATCCTCCTAATTGGCCATGCACTCCTCAAGAGCAAGAACTGTGCAGAATTCTCATTGTATGGCCAGGATGCAGGGTGTGAACAGAGCCAGGCCAGATATGTGCACATCGGTTCAAGACGGCAGAGGCAACACCTTGGTTCATGAGACAACACAGAAACTTTTCACTTGATCTTTAAAGCACTCGAAGAACAAACTCCAGAGTGAATACATGGTCTGACAGGTGAAAGCAAGAAGGTGGGAGCTGAATTTTACCGGAAGGTGAATGTATAATCACTGAATGCAATTGACCATTGCAACCCAGAACAACATAGAATGGAAGGAAACAACACCATTTTTTTCAGAATTGTCCAAAATTCATGCATTAAATTAAACATCTTTGCTCCACCTCTAGAAGAATAGAACACATGATAGAAAGTCATTTGACTGTCCTGCACTCAAGGCATCCACCCACATATATTTGAAGTCCCAGAGAGAGCAAGGGAAGAATTCTCTTCCTTTTTTTCTCATGGGCATTTCCTGAATGTTGGAAATGAAGTTGGGAGCTTTAGACAGAAGACACAATGCTAGTCTGCAACAACCTTGACCTTTAAAATGGAAGGTTGGCAAAATCCATTTTGATCTCAGTTCACCTGTCTGCCTTCCCTCCTCTTCTGAAATGTCAATCTTATGGAAGAATTTGGTTTTGAGAGATATGAAAAATCTTTATAGGCAAAATGGATATTTAAATGCAAGACTTTTTTCCTCTCTCCTATTAGATTGACCAGCAAAAGAGAGCTGTGAGATTGTTTTGTTTTTATTTTTCTTTTTATCCTGAAAGTCTAACTTTGAATTAAGGAAAGTACCTTCACTGTCCCATGAGGAGTAATTAATTCAAAAGAGGCTTTTCTTATTTGGGTCAAGATATTTTTAAAACAGGTGAGCTGTTACTGGTGATGATATGAGATGAAGAAAAAGGAAGAAAACCTTTGTGACTGAAGATGGATTAAACTGACATATAAAATCAACGGCAAAGTGAAAGTATAGCGTTCTATGGTCCAATTAAGTCTTGATTATGCAATAGAATCATCTGAATTTTCCTCCTAATATTGGAAGGAAAGGCTGATTTCTTGTTCTCTCCAGTTCAAGCACTTTTTTCTTTCCATTTTTTATTTTGATTTTGCATTCTAAGTACAGCATTCTGTCTCGCTCCTCCTATTCAACAGCTACTTCTATTTATCTTTCATTCTCCCTGTCCTGTGTACCTGTTGTGCACCTTTATCTTTGTCCTTTGCATCTCTTAGACCAGGCCCATGCCAGCCCCAGGGTTTGTCAATTTTATGATTCATAGCTATATTTTTCCCAGCCTCCTACAAAGAAGGTCTTGGAGTAATTTAAAAACAGATATTTCCATTGGCAAGCTGGATTGGGGAAAAAAAATCCCTTATTGACTGATCTTATCTCGTATAATGTAATCTAATAATAAACCTGTTCTCAGAGGAAATATTCAATAGATATTATACTGTTAAAGCAGATTTTAGACAGTGTGCTCAAACCCATTAAATACAACAGAGCTGTCCAGTTGGTTTCTATTTATCAAACTGCTTAAAAAGAAAAGTTGTGATCATATTTTTCTCAAAGTCTAAGGAAGTCCCCCCGTATGTTAACAGTCCACAAGTCTGTAATCCTAGGACATGCCTTATCTTTACACACACCTTTAGACCATAATTAAATGGCCACTCATACAGAAAGTTCTTGGCAGTTGTTCCGGTAGTTAAATGCAGAATAGCAACCCAATTTATGTATAGCAAATGGGTAAGAGCAGCTTCCTTCATCTGCCAGTACGTTCTTTCATCAACACCATTTTCTGAGTGCTTAACATTTTGAAAAGCACTATGCGGCATGATTTCCTTCAACCATGCCACCCTATGAACTGGCACCATGGTTACCTCCATGTTACTGGGAATAAGAGAAAGGAAAGCATGTAGTTGGTGCAGTTACATGGTTGATAGGTAACAAGACTCAGATTAGGTTTTATGCATTCAAGCTCCATAGCTTATGCTCTTAACATCACACTATACTGGCAAGAATCTTAGACCTTCAGTCTTTCATTAAATTCTTTTTTTTTTGGTTGCTTTTTAAAATTTTTAAAATTTCTTATTTTATGGGTACATAGCAGGTGTATATCTTTATGGGATACATAAGATATTTTGATACAGGTATACAATGTGTAATAATCACATCGGAGTACATGGGGTATCAAGCATTTATCATTTCTTTGTGTTACAAACAATCCAATTATACTCTTTCTGTTATTTTAAAATGTTCACTAAATTATTTTTGACTGTAGTCACTCTGTTGTACTATCAAATACTACATCTCATTCTAACTATATTTTTGTACCCATTAACCATCCCTACTTTCCCTTCCCCTCCCCACTACTTTTCTCAGCCTCTAGTAACCATCATTCTACTCTCTAGCTTCATAAGTTCAATTGTTTTAATTTTTAGCTCTCACAAATGAGTGAGACATGTAAAGATTATCTTTGTGTTTTCGCTTAACATAATGGCCTCCACTTCCATTCATGTTGTTGCAAATGACAGGATCTCATTCTTTTTCATGGCTGAATAGTACTCCATTGTGTATATGTACCACATCTTCTTTATTGATTTATCTGTTGATGGACACTTAAATTGATTTCAAAGCTTGACTACTGTGAATAGTGCTGCAATAAACATAGGAGTGCAGATATCTCTTCAATATACTGATTTTCATTCTTTGGGGTATATATCTAACAGTGGGATTGCTGGATCATATGGTAGTTTTACTTTCAGTTTTTTGAGAAACCTTCATACTGTTATCCATAGTGGTTGTACTAATAATTTACATTCCCCCAACAGTGTACAAAGGTCTCATTTTATCCACATCTTCACTAACATATGTTATTGACTGTCTTTTGGATAAAAGCCATTTTAATTGGAGTAGGATGATTTCTAATTGTAGTTTCGATCCACATTTCTCTGATGAACAATGATGTTGAGCACCTTTTCATATACCTGTTTGCCATTTGCATGTTTTCTTTTAAGAAATGTATCTTCAGATATTTGCCCATATTTTAATCAAATTATTAGATTTGTTTTCCTGTTGTGTTGTTTGATCTTCTTATATATTCTGGATATTAATCCCTTAACAAATGGATAGTTTGCAGATATTTTCTCCTATTCAGTGGGTTTTCTCTTCAGTTTTTTTTTTTAATATAATTTCCTTGGCTATAGACCAGTTTTCAACTTGACATGATCCCGTTTGTCCATTTTTGTTTCGGTTGGCTATGTTTTTGGGGTATTACTCAAGAAATCTTTGCACAAATCAATGTTTAAATACTTGAATGTCTTGGAAGTCTCTACCAAAAACTGCTAATGATGCTGCCTCCAATGAATAGAGAACTAGGAAGAGAGAGAGGCTTAAGTTTCACCATGTACCCTGTGGGAAAATTTGCATTTTTTATTATATGCATGTATTACCCATTCAAAAATACGGTAGTTTTTTTGCATAGCTTTTAATATTTTGCATAGCTTTTAAAACTTTTCTTGCTTTGCCTCTATCCTAACTTGTTCTTACTAGCAAATATATCAGTGAAGACTTTACCAGAGCATACATTTCTTCAACTGAAAATTAGCTACTTTTTATTGTGATAAAATATATAACACAAATGTTATCATTTTAATCCTTTTTAAGTGTACTGTTCTATGGCATTAAGTATGTTAACATTGTTGTGCAGTCATCATTTGCATCTACCTCCCAAAATGTTTCATGTTCCCCAACTGAAGCTCTGCACTCATTAAATGACAATTCCACATTCTCCCCACGCCCCAGCTCTAGGCAATCACCACCACTCTACTTTCTGTCTCTACGAATCTGACCACTCCAGGTATCTTATATGAGTAGAATCATATAGCATTTGTCCTTTTGTGTCTGGCTTATTTCATTTAGCATCATGTCTTCCAGTTTCATCCACGTCGTAGCCCGTGTCATAATTCCTTTCCTTTTCAGGGTTGAATAGCCTTCCATTCTATGTATATGCCACATTTTGTTTATCCATTTATCCATCAGTGAACACTTGTGTTGAGCATCTGTTTTACCACAGAGCGTCTTTTTGATTAACTACGTTTCTAGGTGGAACCCTTTTAAAAAGTTGGAAGGTTATGAGATCCAGATAGGTGTCAATGTTGTGCCGGTATGATTCTTTCCTGGCCACATCTAAAACATCAATTAGCATTTGTGAGTGAACACCCTGAGAATGATTATTCTTAATGTTGTTCATAATTAACATATCATCAAATTAAGAAAACCTTTCTGAATGTGAACACTAACTACAATAGTTAAAAACATTAGCTTAAAATATTTAACACAAAGTAAGAAATATAATTGAAACAGTGCTTTAAACTCACAATTTAGATATCTTATGGGCCTTGTAAGCAGAAGTATCTTAACCTGTGAAATATTTAAGTACCAATCTTAATAAGTTAGCAAGAGTTTAATGTGAAAAAGCAGCTCTTCCAGCATAGACATATTTTTATTATATTGTACTTGTAAATTGCCAAAATTCAGTTACCGCATTTTATAAATGTACTGCCCATATAAAAATTATGCCATTAATTTAAATGAAGCTCCTTTTGGAAACTTACTTTCTTCATTACCATAATTATTATCACGATTATACATATTTTACCTGGAAAAATTCTGACATGTTTAACCTCTTTGGGTCAAAAAATTTAAATAGAATATGTCTTGATATTTTAAAAATATGTATTTGGAGACTGAATAACTAAATTACAGAGCCATTGGACATCAGAAAGAATCCAGCCTTTGGCCAGACATGCTGTTGGATATGAAACAAACGAGGAATTCTTTAGCTATTTTGTTTGTCCACCAATTTCTATTAATCATTTCAGTCTGTATTTATCACTCCTTGTTTTAATAATTAGTTATATGTCATATACGTGTCGTTTCATACATGTAGCTTCTTGAATAGGAGCTCTGTTGGCTAATTTTACATTTTTAAATTGCTGCACGTGTGAAATGAAATCAGCTTTAAGTGAAATCTTGGTATAGGAGAAAAAGCACAAGCTCTTGAATCAGAGAAATTGGTATTTCAAGCACAGCTCTAATACTGATCAGCTATGTGCTTGGAAAATCACATAAGCTCTGATTCTCTGTAAGCTGGGAATAAAATCAGAAAAAGTAAAATGGTCCACACAGAATGGTTGTAAAATGAGATGAGGCATGCAATGTGCCTAGCACCCAGTGAAGCTAAGAACACAGTAGGCATTCAATAAATGTTGCTTCTCTTCACTTGCTTATTGTTATTTTCATGTAATTTTATAGTAGATCCCCTTAAAGAGTTACTTTTATTAAAGTCCAGGATATTTAAAGGCCCAGAAGTGCCCCTTGTTTCAGCAAATTCAGTTCTTTGCAATGGAAATTTCTGAAATTTTCTACATTGATTTATAACCTTAGAGGGAAAAAAAAAATCTTAATTCTCCATGGTTTCTGATCACTTAGGCTTTTCTGGACTGGGGTAACACAGCATGCCACATGTTTTCCTAACAAATTGCATTCGGACACTTTCCGACACTTTCATTATTTTAACTCAGGTAATAATTAGTCACTGTCAGAGGAAGGACTTAGGTTGTGCAAATCAGAATAAATTTACCTTGCCGTAGCAGCAGTCACAAATGAAGCAATAAATTAGAAATAGCAAATTGTTACGGACTTAAGAGATCACAAATCAAAATTGCTCCCTGAAATCCAGGAAAAGGTAGAAGACTGCCAAGATTTCTTTGAGAGCTTAATTTGTCCAGATAAACTTTTGAGTTGGATCAGTTTGTGACAAATCGCAGAGAGGTTTCCGACACTGATCACAGAGACAACATCCTGGGATTCCACCACGTCACAGAAGCTATATTATAATGTTGCTAATTAAAGAAATAAAGACTTTAAACACATTTTATAATATTAGGAAATTATTAATCTTTATATAAACATATATGTGTGTGTATATATATATATAAATATATGCACACACATACATACACACACAGCCCTATACACACGTGCAAACACTAACACACACACAGACTTACAGAAAAATTAAGAACTCTTCTTAAAAGTCCCTTTGAGGATACAAAGCCTTTTCTGGTTTACCCGTGATCAAAATGACAAAATTTGAGATCATGAGAGAGTTCTGGACTTAGCAGAACATCTGTTACCAGAGGTGGCTAATTAGTGAATTGAGGCCACTGAGGGGATACAGTTCTTGGGGGTGTCATGCATATTGTGTGCTCAGCCTTGCCTTGCTTCGCATTTTTATCCAGGATCAGAAAACAGTACAGAAGGTGTATTGATGAAATTTTCTTACATGGAACCAGAAAGGAGCTGGAGTGAGTGCAGTGAATGATAGAATGTGAGTGGATATGAATGATGAGCAGAAATCTACAGTAATGTAAGTGGAGCAAATGTAAGGACCTGCACTTCCATTCAAAGAGGTAAAAGGCCTAAAATGGTTGGAAGAGAAACCTGCAGCTTAATCAAAGTCTCTGTGAAAAAGATTAGTGGTTAAGATTTTGAAAAAAGAGCAGTATGTGGGCGGGGCATGCTGGCTCACGCCTGTAATCCCAGCACTTTGGGAGGCCGAGGCGGGCGGATCACGAGGTCAGGAGATCGAAATCATCCTGGCTAACACGGTGAAACCCCATCTCTACTAAAAATACAAAAAAAAAAAAAAAAAAAAAAATTAGCCGGGCGTGGTGGCGGGCGCCTGGAGTTCCAGCTATTCCGGAGGCTGAGGCAGGAGAATGGCATGAATCCGGTAGGTGGAGCTTGCAGTGAGCTGAAATCGCACCACCGCAACAGACTGGGCGACAGAACAAGACTCTGTCTCACAAAAAAAAAAAAAAAAAGACAAAAGAGCAGTATGTGTCAGCTATATGATGTGACACCCAGTAAGCTAATATAGTCTTGCTGCTGATTACAGAAAGAGAGGTACTATCTGTAAGGAGGTGATTATCTTACATAAGCCCTGGTCAGGTAATGACCAGTGTTGTAGTCATTTATGAGTGTTACATCCTAAGAAACCCACACAGAAATGCTGGAACAAGATACTAAATGGGAGAAAATTCCAGTTCATGCCATGAGCAGAGTATAAGCCTGTACCACACAAAGAAGCTCTGTGTCAGCGTAGAAATAAATGAAGGTTATCTTCCATTGCTGAAAGATTTACCATGTAAAGGAAAGAATGGGTTTGTTCTCTTTGGAACAAAGATGAAGAACAGGCGTTGGCCCAGAAAGTTGTAACTAAAGCCAAAGGTTATATTTCCGGTTAAAATGGCCACTTGATATAGAACACCTAATTATTTCCCAGGCCTACTGCCCACTAAGATTATTAGTAAAATTATCCAAAGTTTTTTCTAACTAGGGAAAAACCTTCATCATCCATGGAAACAGAGGCAGCCATAACAGAAATTTTGAGGAATTCCTGTTGTACAAGTTGACACACGTATGAAAACATACTAAAGGAGGACGTTGAGAGTCAACTCATGGTTCTTCCTTCTCAGCATCATCATGAGTAAATAGATAAGCCTGCAGATAATCCCACTCACACTTCTTTGTAGGAGACAGGCTAAAAGAACTATCAGAAGCTTGGGTGAACCCAGGAATCCACTCAGTGCTGCTGCTGTTGTGAGAGTGTCTAGATAGCTGCATAGGGAAAGCTGGCAGGGTCTGCAGCTGGCAATCTGATGTGATAGATGGCTCCTTCCTGGTGCAATGGGAAGCAGCATCAGGGAGAAAGTTCCCATATGCACATTGCATAGCTGGCACAGAGGGTAAGTTTATAGGAAAGGTAGACGCGGTTTTCTGTTCCCCAGCTGCTGTTTAACCAATCTTGAGCCCATTTGGGCTGATACAACAAAACACCACAAACCAGGTAACTTATAAATAACGGAAGTGTATTTTTCACAGTTCTGGAGGTGGGGAATTCCAAGATCAAGTCACCAGCAGATTTGGTGACTTGTGAGAATCCTCATCCTGATTTATAGATGACTCTCTTCTCACTCAACCCTCACACGGCTCCACCCTAATGAACAAATCACTTCCCAAAGCCTCACCATCCCCTCAATATCATTGCCATGGGCATTAGGATTCCAACATATGAATTTTGGGGAGACACAAACATTCAGACTATAGCATTATCAAATAAAACCTTCCAGAATTTCCCAGAGTTCTGACTCTTAGCATATTGCTCCCAGATTTTTGGATCAGGGAGCAGGTAATGCAAAGTAACTTTAACCTGCCCACTGGTCTACAATCTGAGAGGTTAATTCTAGATGAAAGTGGCTGGACATTATGAAATGAAAGGAGAACTCACCCGCCAGATTCATGGCTGATGTGGGCTTCTCATTGTAAGTTACTAAATTAAAACTACATTGTTTTTTAATTAGTAAAACATGACCGTTGAGAGATTCAGTAAGATATGAGAAGGGAAACAAAGCACTCACAGGGAGTATTAAAATAATATTTTAGGGGAAAAGTTATTATAAGAAAAATAATTTTATATAATATACATTTTATTTTTTTAAAAAAAAAGAAAACAGAGCTATGAAATCGAAGGCTATAAAGAAAACAAACTGCCCAGAAAAGTAAGCTGGCTTAAAAAAAAAAAAAAAAAAAAAAAAAAAGCAGACATAAAATGACAGAGACTCTAAGGGGACAAAAAAATGCAATATAAATACAAAAATTTTCACCAGATCAATTAAAGTGAAACATTCATCACCAAGAAAATTGATCCTGTGGTGAAATTTTCACTCAGAATGCAGAAGACAGGTATGAAGAGTTGGAATTTATAAAAGAGGCCATCAGAGACCCAATCCCCTAACAATCAGCATTTATAAAAAAAGAGATTAGAAAAATGGAATTAAAACAACCAAATAAGTTATACAGAAAAAAATAGAGATAATTATGTAAAAAGCAAAATTTGAAGGATAGAAGAAAGCTCTGAATAGAGTCAAAGGAGAGCTTGCATAGAAAGCGACTGATAAAAAGAGATAAATATCTATATAATTTGGCTAAAACATTAATGTAGAAGAATAAAAAAAAGTGGCACATATACACCATGGAATACTATGCAGCCATAAAAAAGGATGAGTTCGTGTCCTTTGTAGGGACATGGATGAAGCTGGAAACCATCATTCTCAGCAAACTATTGCAAGGACAGAAAACCAAACACCGCATGTTCTCATTCATAGGTGGGATTTGAACAATGAGAACACTTGGACACAGGAAGGGGAACATCACACACTGGGGCCTGTTGTGGGGTGGGGGGAGGGGGGAGGGATAGTATTAGGAGACATACCTAATGTAAATGACCAGTTAATGGGTACAGCACACCAACATGGCACATGTATACATATGTAACAAACCCGCACGTTGTGCACATGTACCCTGGAACTTAAAGTATAAAAATTAAAAAAAAAAAAGAATCCTACAAATATCCAGAAAGAAAATATAAATTAACTATTTTGGTATGTAATCCCCCAAAATCACTTTGGCATCATACTTCTTCTCTGCAGCTTTGAAAGTCAGAAGACAGTGGCATAGTTTATAAGATTTGAGAATAAAAGAACTGTCACAAGAACCCTAAGTCAAGTTGTCATTCGTTTTAGAAGGCAAAACAGCCAGTGCATAGCAACACATTTTAAAAATTCCAAACAGATAATGATTAGAAATATATTTTAAAAACTCAGAAAACTTACCACTTCCTACGTATCTTATTCCACAACTTTACATTTCACGTCTCAGATCAGTAAAATGCCTATGAACGAACACACAGAAAAGCCTAACTATCATTTAAAAGGAGACTCTCAATGTTGTTACTGATTCTTAAATGAAGATTTCTGAGGTAAAACTTTCCTTTTTTTTTTTTCGAGATGGAGTCTCGCTCCGTCCCCCAGGCTGGAGTGCAGTGGCGCGATCGCCTCACTGCAAGCTCCGCCTCCCGGGTTCCCGCCATTCTCCTGCCTCAGCCTCCCGAGTAGCTGGGACTACAGGCGCCCGCCATCACGCCCGGCTAATTTTGTGTATTTTTTAGTAGAGACGGGGTTTCACCGTGTTAGCCAGGATGGTCTCGATCTCCTGACCTCGTGATCCGCCCGCCTCGGCCTCCCAAAGTGCTGGGATTACAGTCTGGAGCCACCGCGCCCGGCCCTGAGGTAAAACTTTCTAATTCAATCATAATAACTAGGATCCAGAGTCATACTTTATATTTTTAGACAAAGTGATTTCTTAGTTGCTTCAAGGGGTTCATGAACATGCTAAAGGGTGATTTGACCTCACAGAGGGGATTCAAGGATAATGACTTGGGAGGTCAAGGCCACTCCAATCTTCCCAACTGTATTTGATGGGTTTTTTTGCCTAGACCCCTGTAAAACAGCATTAAAACTTTTCTTTTATAGCAATGAATATGTTTTGGCTTATATTTGTTTTACTTACTCTCAGTTATTTCTTGAAACTTCTACAAGCATTTAAGCTCCGTGAAAGTGAAGTCTATATTCTGTTATTGTTTCGTTTTGTCTTTTCTGTATCGTAACCCCCCTTACCCAGCATCTAAATGGCTCTAACATCTAGAAATTATGGCTAAATACTCATTGATTTGTGTTCAACTGTAGGCCTATGGAATATCCAGCGATGTGCCACTTACAGGAATGGAAACTCCTGGAGAGTTACAAAAGCTCATGGCATAATGAGAGAACAATATAATGTTCTACAAAAGAAAATACTCTTTTGAATATAGATAATTGTCTCATTGTACAGAAAAGTTATAGTGTAATTTTGGTGCAGTTTGACAGCGAGCATGGGATGATATTGTAGTTGGCTGGAGTTTTGTTGGAAGGTATCACTGAGGAAGTAAAATTTGAGATAGAACTCAGAAAGTTGGTAAAGTTTCCCTGACAAAGGGCTATGAAAATAATCTTTTAAGGGTGAGCTTTAAAATTGGAAGGCTATCTAGGGGAAACAAAAATTCACACTTCTCGCCATGCACTGTAATAAAAGTTACACATATTAGAAAAGGGAGGATAGATTCAACGGGGAAGAAGTAGATAAGATTAGTAGCCACACTAGGGTGGGTAAGGATACTCACGGGCCCTCAGCGGAGACAGAGCTCCCTTCCATTCTCATTTGCTTTCTTTGAAAATAAAAATACTCCACTCTATCCTCCTCCTACTTATGTCCACCCAGCTTACTCAGAATCCTATTGGATGTGTTTCACTCCAGAAAGTTCCCTTTATAAATGATATTTTATATTATATTTAATTTTTATTTTCTTATAGACAGAGTCTCACTCTGTCACCCAGGCTGGAGGACAGCGGTGCCATCACAGCTCACTACAACCTCCAACCCCTGGGCTCAAGCGATCCTTCCACCTCAGCCTCCAGAGTAGCTGGAACTACAGGCACACCACCACACAGGGCTGTAAATGGTTACTTTTTTGACTCTCCATATTAATTGACTAAATTACACCTATCTACATAAAGCATTCTTAAATAACCTATAGTGTTTCCCTAGGTACTCAGCTACTGTTCTATTTTTTGTTCTCATATACTTTATATTTAATTAGCATCCAAGCCTTGTTTGTCCCTTCCATCTTAGCTCAGACCGTCATGATTTTCCACAAAGATTTGCTGCCACAACCTCCAGCTCCCAGTGTCCACCTATCTAATCTATCCTATGTGTTATTGGTGGGTTATCTGCTTTCTAAAACATACTCTAAGACACGATAATTGAATTTTAAAGCTGCTAGAGACTTTAGACATCTACTCCACTGTTTTGTAAATTTTCACCCTTACAAGACAATACTGGCTGCTATAAATATTCTGCAGTAAAATGTTTCCCATAACATTCGGGAGCTACTCTTCTCTAGAGTTTCCCTTCGAGATTCATAATGCATATTAGCGCTCTACAGACCAACATGTGCTTTGCTAAAAAAAAAAAGCCACAACTGAACTTTGTATAATCCAGGTGACTTGCAAGTATGTTAAACCACACTCTGTGGAGGACCCTTTGGAAAATATTGCTATGGTCCAGTCACCTCATTTTGCAATTGTTCTCAGATCAAGTGAACTTAAGAAACTCAGTGTAGCTTTTCCTGACTAACACCGTTATCGAATATTGTTGGACCTCTTTTGCTGCCTTCCCATAGCTCTTGGCGATTGCCTTTCTTCCCTAGTGGATTCTCGTTTCCTATGAGGGCAGAGGCCGTGCCTCTGTTGTACACTTCTCTCCAGCATGCAGTAGGTGCTCTATAATGTTGAATGACAGCCTGACCAATGCTGTTCCAGTGAGAGTTTGTAGGCAGGGTCTATGTGATACCAAGCTATTCCTTCAGCTTTGCAGAATTATAGAACAGCTTCCCTCATCCAATTTGGATGCATTCATTTTAGAATGAAGTGACCTCTCATTGTGAGTGGTATATAGCCATAGAGAGTCCTCAGCTTAGAGAAGTCTCATTGTCATCTCAGCTATGGGGAGATGTAGCAATATCCAGGCTGGGCAGACCCTAGGATTAAATTCCCATGTGTTTCTTGAATAAACAAAAAAATGAACAAACAAAGACCCTTAGACCACCAGCTCCACCTCACTTGGTAGTGACTCCAGGTAATGAGAAAGAGAAGGTATAATTTGCACTGAGTGTTTTCATTCAACTGTTGAATCATTTGTTAGGCAGCACTGGTCCCATTGTGTCCCTTGTTTGATGACAGACAGCCTTCCAAGATGTCATATAGATGTCTCTCTCCACTGATTTTTCCTCCATCTCCTTAAACCTATTACCTCGAGCCTCTCACTCACTTCTTGCACCTGTGGTCCCCTTCCTCCCCATTCCTTTTAGCTATGGCAGTGATGCTATTTGTGTACAGTAGGAAGATCCCTGCACATGGCGGCAGAGAATTTGCTTGTAAGTCTCAGTTCTTCCTCTTAGGAAATCTGTGACAAGGCACCAGCTCCTCTGAGCCTTTGCTTCCTTCTGCTAAAATGTTCACACTAATGTTTGCCTTACCCACAGCATGAAATCCTTGAAGGGACCCATTGAAGCAATGTGTATCAAATGACATAGTTAGCTAGACAGCCCTCTGTGTATGAAAGTTTTCCAAAGTTGTCCCTAATCATTGTCTCTAATCATGGGAGAAGCTCTATGAAAGTCTCCAGTACGTTTAAGAAACCACACATGCTCTATCCTTGTTTAACATATCCATGATGCTCATGAGGAATTAGAGGTTTGAATGTCTGCAGCAAAAAACCTGTTTGACCCAGAGATTCCCCCCAAGTAATTTCATCAAGAATTCCGTCTTCATTTGGTTAATGTAATAAGTATTAACCTCTGGCAGACACTGGAGTTCCACAGAACACACTTTGGGAAATGTTGCCCCTGGCTGATGTAAGGTAATCTCATTGACAGTGTGTGCCATACCTCCAAAAACACTCCTGTTTTTTATTTGTTTTAAGGAACTGTTGCTTCTTAATTAATTTGAGTGAGAAGCAGTGGGCTTGTCAGGTGTACTGGCAGAGGAGATGCCTGGGGAGAGGGAACCTTCTGACACATTGGAGAAGGCAGACGGCTGACACCCTGTCTTGTCTAAAGGGCCAGTCCTGCAGAACCCAACACATGTCTGTTGGCTCCTTTCTGTCCCTTCAATACAGCCTGAGCCCTCATTCTCTCTCCCACAGATGAGCTTAACAGCCTTCTTACTAGCTTCTATGTCATCTATGTTGCCCTTAGCTGTTATAGGTCATCCTTAAAATTTTGACCTTGTCCTTCACTTGATTAAGAATCCTGTGACCCACCCTCTTTGTTTTTGTTTTTGTCTTACGGAATGGAGCCTAAACTCCTTAGCAAAGAAGTTATGACCTTTCATGATCTGACTCTAACCTATCATTGCAGGAGTGTCACCACTGGTCTGACCACACCTATATCTCAATTACTTTGACAGTCAACTGTTCCTTGAATGTGACGGTGGTACCAGGCCTTTGCACAGGCTGCATCTTCTGCCCAGAAAACAACCTACCAAATTTCTTTTTTTAGTGCAAAACCTAACATAAATATTCACTAATTTATGACTGCTCCAAGCAGTTAGCCTATCTCCTCTCTGGGGTTATGGTACTTACTACAGTGAATATGGCTGATATTATGGATCAGCCCCTGGCACTGAGATGAAGAGCACTTTGGAGTTTGTCCTTAGTCTGCTCAGGCTGCCATTACAAAACACCAAAGGCTGAGTGGCTTAAATAATAGAAATGCTTGCCTCACAGCTCTGGAGGCTGGAAATCCAACATCAGGCATCAGTGTGGTTGGATCCTGGTGAGGACCCTCTTCCTGGCCTGCAGATGGCTGCCTTTTTGCGGTGTCCTCACATGGTGGGGAAAGAGAACGAGCTCCCTAGTGCCTCTTCTTACAAGAACACTTATCAGGCCAGGCACAGTGGCTGACGCCTGTAATCCCAGCACTTTGGGAGGCCAAGGTGGGCTGATCACCTGAGGTCAGGAGTTCAAGACCATCCTGGCCAACATGGAGAAACCCCTGTATTTTCTCTACTACAAATACAAAAATTAGCCAGGCATGGCAGCAAGCACCTGTAATTCCAGCTACTCAGGAAGTTGATGTAGGAGAATTGCTTAAACCCGGGAGGCAGAGCTTGCAGTGAGCTGAGATGGTACCATTGCACTCCAGCCTGGGCAACAAGAGCAAAACTCTGTTTAAAAAAAAAAAAAAAAAAAAAAAAGGTTAGGTTAGGGCTTGAACATACGAATTTTTAGGGGACGGGAGGCACAAACATCTAGTCCATAACAGAGTTACTGATATTTGTACCCCAGTATGCAGCACAAAAGTGCAGTGACTGACACATGGCAGGCACCTGGTAAGTTATCATAGATA
Organism: Homo sapiens; assembly: GCF_000001405.40. NCBI lineage: Eukaryota > Metazoa > Chordata > Mammalia > Primates > Hominidae > Homo > Homo sapiens. The sequence goes on from NC_000015.10 coordinate 95,643,235, forward strand.
AACACACGGACAAGCAAATGAGCAATATAATCTAGTGAAGAAGGTGAAGTAACAGAATCACACAAAGGGGAGGGAAATGTCTCTACCAGCCCAGTAGGCAATAGCAAGGAGTATTAAATTGGCAAAGAAATCCATTTAAGAGATCTGGAGCAGAAGGAGGTTCGAAGGCCAAGTCCTGGGGAAGCTGAAAGTGACTAGAAATATATCTCTCCTGGATGTCGGAAGCAGTGACACACAATGGCTTTACTGGACATAGTGGATTTATCTATCAGTACAATGGGGTTGATATACTGTGTTGGCTTTACATACTTTTAGAATATCAGTGCAAATATTTTTGGCTTTCTCTCTCTTGAAACAAAAAGATGTTAGGCAGTGAGCAAGTGTCTTCAAAGAAAGACATTTTCTACCATTCCAGTTTTAGGACTGAAATTTACTAAGTCTACCTAATAGATTAATTCTTTTGAAAGAATTCTTTGGGCTTGACAAATTCAGGAGATGTAGAAAATGAATTTCTTTAAAATCACTGGAGAAAAATATGTCTCCATAGGGCACTAGGGAGTGTGAGTTAAATGTCATTTATTTAATACGTATTAGTTGAATGTTTAAAATATGAAACTCTCTTTGATACTAGGCACTGGGAACAGGGCAATGAGCAAAGTCTCTGCTGCAGAATAAGCTGTTTGTCTCTCAGTAACTCCAGAGATGGTCCTTACCAATTAAAGAGGCTGGCGTCCATTTGTTACCTCCTTAAATGGCTGAAGGAGCTGTTGATTGCAGGCTGCTTTGCTCAGGGAACCACCATATTTGCAAACACAAATGCATATTTACACTCTGATGAATAATGAAGGTTATGTATTGCATGTACTTGAAATAATGGTTGATTTTAGAGTGCCATTCATAAAACCCACATCAAAAAGTGTGTTATGGCCTGACGTTTTCATTGCAGTTCAAGTAAAATAGTCCTTGGAAATTGTCTTGCTACCAAATTGCAATCATAAAGGCAGGGGTTCAGACTGGGAGAATCATGTTGTAGTATTGTGAACTTCTGGATAATATATAACATAACGAGTTTAATTGAATCATTCAGTTGGGTTTTTGCCCAGAAAAGTGAGAATTTAAATGCTGATACAGCTTCAGCTTCCAATGACACCAGTCAGCACTCCTTAGATTGGATGTAAATAATCCTATTTGCGGATATGCAATATGGTAAGGGGATGGTTGTCTGTAAACTTGCTAGCAAAGGTAATTAAATAATTCCATCATGTCTTAATACATATGAAAAAAAATCATTGGTCTCAAAGATCTGAAATGCATTTTCCTTCTAACTACTACAAGAAAGAACACTGAAATTTTAGCAACCATTATCTTACTTTGGAACTGCAGAAGCAAGATAGAGAACATACCACATACACACACACACACACACGCACACACAGACTAAAAGCTCAGAAGTTACCATAGCAACAGTAGCATCTGCTCCTGACCCATGTTTGGAGAAGTTGCAATACACACAGTCCAACCGGGTTGGGCTGTGTAATTCTTCTTTCCTGGGACTAGAGATTCAAATTTGGTTCAAATTATACACTTTAATAAAGTTCATCTTGATTTAAATTCTGAACTTCTCAAGTCCTGTTTCCTGAGCTCCAGCCTTATCATAGCATTCACAGGAAAATAAATCAGCTACAGGGTCACTTAGAACATTGTAATGGAGTCACACACAAAAGGAATGAAATGCATCTCCAAACAAGATTTTTGGTTAGCTATTTTTGGTTAGCTTGTGGAAAATAAGAGTTCTTGATGTGTTCACAATGGGCCCTGTCCATGTGACTAAACACAAAATCAATTTACAGACAAAAAATTCTCACGGAAAGAAAAGAAGAGTACCCTTCCCTCTGGGAATTCACCTCCCTGCTATCATACAGGATAGTAATATTAACCATTGTATTTTGGTATCACAGCCGACCTCACTCTTGATTCTTCATCTTCTCTTTGATTATTCCTTCTCAGTCTCTGTTTTTACCTTCCTCATCTTCTCAATGTTTGTACACTGCTGTTCAAAGGAGCCCCATTTGGCCCCTTTCTCTTCTCACTGAGTATTCTTTTTCCCAAGTGAGGTTAGTCACTGTGCAACTTACAATTCCCTGCCATCCATCTCACCCAAGACCTTATCTCTAGCCAAGATTTTATCATCTCTAGAGCATTCTCCAAAACCCCATGCTGTTTCAGAGTTGATTACCTCCACCCGACGTCTGCTCAACACATAAAACTCACCATTGTTCTCCTCATATGGGCTTCTCCATCTCTGTTAGTTGCTCCTCATTCATTTCTGCACTTCAGCTAAGATATTTGAAGTTATATGAAACTTTTCCTTAACCACCAGGTTTTCCTTACAGTGCAGTAGAAATTTGTATTTGTTCTACTTCAGTAACATGTTCAGAACCCAGGGCCTCTTCATTGTCGCCTGATACTGCCTTTAGTCTATTCTTCATCACCCCTGAGGCTATTTGGAATCATTGCTTAGCCGGACACCCTGTCCCCTCTTCTATGCAATTCCCGAGTTGTATCATGTTTAGTCCTTCAGGAGTTCCCTTTACCAGCACCGTGAGGGCTTTGCCTTGATCTGTCATCCACTCACCCCCCTCACTTATCTCTCCACTAGTCTCAAACATGGGGTCTCCCTGTCCTTCCTTTCCCCATGTCTTATAGCAAGGATCATAACCTAGACTGTCTCCTGGGTGCTTGAGCAGTTTCAAGCTGATAGAGAGTCCTGGGGACTGTGATAAGCTAGAGAGCATGGACAATCTGAAGCAACTAAACATCGTTTTAAATACATTGTGCCAGGCAAGTAGAACTCTTCTCTGGGCCGGATGCAGCTTTTGCGAAGCCATTGCAACCTCTGTATGGACTCTGACCACACTCAAATATTCTGAGTTTCCTCTAGAGTCTTTGCTGGGTATCTGTAAAGGTACAATCTCCCTCCTGTAGAGGACTGTTTCTCTCACCCTGTCCTTTAGATAAATTCATCAATACAGGGGGCCAACCAAACTCTTTCCTACCCAAAGCCTCTGTCACTCTGGCACCCTGACTGTGCCAGGACAGAGATTAAGCAAGGTGGTTAAGGCAGTGTTTTGTTTCTTTATGAAGTTGTAAATAATAGCAATGAAGTTTAACATTTGTATGGAACTTGGCAGCTTCCTAAGCACTTTCATACTTTTGATATATCTGGAAAGGAGAACTTTAAAAGGCATGAAGAAAGCAATGGCGGCGGGGGGGCGGGTGGGGGAAAAAAACTTATTTGTAAGCCATGGGCAGATCGTTGTGTTTTTGGTAAGATTTTTCAAAAACAAAACAAAACAAAACAAAACAGAAATTAAACTATCAGTCTCTGTTATGGAGGCTTTTCTAGAATCGCTTCCAACTTTCAAACCTGTGAATGATTACCCAAAATCCACTTTATAGATCGACTGCAGGTACAATGTGCCCTCCATTTGGTTTTTCAAAAGCACATACCAAGTTTTCTTTAATTATAGCTATATCATGCTTCTATGAAGGTTTCATATTTGAATTTATGGAATTGTTATATTGAAACGGAATTGTGCTACACCTTTAAACCTCAAGTGGCTACTAATATTTTATTAAATACAGCTGCCACTAGGCAATAAAAATCTCCAAGGGGCCAAAAAAAAAGAGTACAGTGTTTTTCATATCTGCTTTCTTCTTGCAGAAGCCATATGCTAGTAATACATATATGCTGTCTGGTATTCAATATATACTCCAGCTTTGTATATAGTTAGCCTAGAGCATTACACACCACCTGCATAATTTCAAAACACTGAACACTAGATGTCACAAAACAAAAACCCTGTGCTGTGCTCTCAAGCACAAATGCATTTACAGTTGGTTAATGAGATATACAGAAAGCTGCTGCAAAGCCAAAGAAGTTAGTTTCATTATACAAGTTTAGGAAATAATGGTGAACTTTTGAGGACAAATATTCCGCAGCCATAATTAGCTTTAAGAGAAATCCATTTGGTATGCATTTGGTTTTTCATTAGGACATGCATTTTCACTCCCATGTGCAATGTTTGAAAGGTTTACATTACATAAAATTAGGGCTGTATAAACTGTGTGCTTCATCTCTTTCTCTAAGGTGATTGCGCCTTCCCTTGAACACAGTAGCCTGACTGATAGTCCCCATTGTATGCAATGCACGTCAATAAATACCGAACATGAATGTGAATCAATATTGTGTTAGTATTGGGATTAAGCAAGCTCTTTTCTCCTCCTTTTTTTTTTCTTCTGGGGAGATGAATATGAGTAAATAAAATGAGTGTTTGTCTGAAACTGTGTTGGGGGATTAGGCTTTGTGTTTTCCTTTTGAGGAGCAGCATGCCAACTGGCAAGCCTTGGCTGGCTACCTGGGCCGAGCACAAAAAATGAGATGCTCACCCTTGTGGCAGCGAGGCCTGCTGCTTTGAAGGACGCAGGGAGGCAGGCCTCCTCTCACCCAGAAAAGCCAGGTGCAGTTTCTGCAGCGGAGAAAGGTTATGCTTCATATGACTTCGTTTTCTCTCTGCAAATTAAGGGACAATTTATGAGTGTCTAGACAGGAATTAATCGGAATAATATTGGCTGCTTTTGACCCAAGAGTGCTATTAAAATAAAGTATATACAACACAAATATAGGACAAAATCATTTATATAGCCTATTATCATGCCAGCATCCAGAGGCACCTTACAATAATAAAATGATTTACAAAAGAAAACACTAACAAAACATATCTCAGATGACAAATGGCTTTGAAAAGCAAACTTAATCTGTTCCTGAAGTTATAGTTAAGAGAGAGAGTCTGTAAGTGCTTATGAGATAAGGAGATTGTAAATGATGGTAAAATAATAAAACAGACGGCTGGTGGAGAACCGCAGATCTAAGACAGAAGTAGTTTCTACGATTTATACGAAGTGAGTATGTGAGAATCTTCCAAGATCCCTGTAAGTACTAAACCTGGAGAATATATGTTCAAATCTAAATGTACTAAATTCCTGTCAAATGGAAACAGAAATCTTGTACTTAAAACAAAAAACAAGAAAATGCTAGCTTTCTCTATGACAAAAGTATGAAATTCAGAAAAATTTAAAAGTTGCCATTTCTATACAAATAAAACATATTATTTTTCAAAAATTTTTAAAAATGTTTGTAAATTCGCTGGCTGAGGGTAGGAAGTATTTACAGAATTAATTCTTAAAGACAACAATTTAAACCATCTGATTCATGATACGTCACCTGATTTCATTGTATGTTTTCTGACTTTGGGTAGTTTATGGAATAAAAATAAATGGTTTTTCTTTAACCTTTTATTTGGTAGAATATAACTGTTTTTACTCAATAAGAAAAAAATACGATGTACATTTTGTTATTTTAAAATAACTTTTCTCAATTATCAATTGTTTAAGTAACACAAATTCATTGCACAGAACTTTTAAAATATGTAAAAGTATCAAGAAGAAAACAAAAATCACACATAATCTCCATTTCCAGAAGTAACTACAGTTAATGCCTTGGTGTATCTTTCCTAAAATGATAATTTTTCCAAATTAACTTGAAATTGATGCTAGCCACATTTTAAACTGGAAAAATGAGCTATTTCTGTAAAAACACCTGCCACATCAAGTAGGGGTAAGAATTATGGCCACGAATGGACCAATTTAATTCTCCCCAATATTTTCTCTACCTTGATAATTATTGCATAACTATTTTAACTGGATTATCATAGTTTCTGCATTGCAATTTAAAAAAGGAAACAAAGCTACCTTTTAAAAATCAAATGCCAATATTATTTATATTTATAAAATAATATAACTCTTAATTTGAAGCAGTAAAATATCCTTCTACTTTCTTTTTTTGCTTTAGTAATAAGTAAATTAATACATTTAATCTCTTATTGACACAAATATACATACATACATATATACAGGTATATATTACAGGAATCACACATATAATTTGGCTTCTTCCTATTTCCTTTCCTTATGGTAAGAGCAGAAATGTTTCTACTTTCTCAAAAAAGACACAACAGGACAGAAGACAGGGGGTTACATTTCTGTCTTTGTTCGGGTGGTCCATCTCTGAATGGATTTAATCAGTTCAAAGCATGATGTAAAGGCAGGGTGCCCTGGCTCATGCCACTGAGGGTTGGCTCTCTGGCCTGGGTAGAAACACCCTGGGCCTTATTTTGATGTGGATTATTTCAAACAGTTCAACTGTGAATTGCTGTTCTAGCAAAAGAAATATCCAGGGCAAAATCTTCACAAAGAAAATACAATGCAAATATAATGTGAATACTGTCAGATAAAGGGCTTTTAATTTGAACTTTTATCCGTCCTTTAATGTTTCCTTGCCCCTTAAACTTGTGAATCCATCCTTCAAGATTGGAGAAAATCTCATCTCTCTACCCTCAGCACAGTTTTCCCTCTGTCTCATCTCCTTGACTATATGACTGCCAAACTGAATTCAATAGGCCTTCAAAATCATCTTGCTTTTTCTTTTCCTGTCCCATTCAGCCACAGACCCAAATGTAAGGGCAATTTTATTTTATAATATGTATTTTTGTTTCTTTCTTTCTTTTGCTATTTCATTTCTCCTGAGGGTAGTCCATTCCATGGGCCTTTTAAGAAAATTAAATATAAAATTTGGATCAGCATTTAAAGTCGTATTGGACAAACAGACATATTCACTCTTGTGATCATCTAAACCTTGATCTGGTCTTTTGAGGACTTTAGGACTAGAAAGAAAACCTCACGTCAGCTGATTCTGCTGGTAATGTCAACAGTTGCTCCACTTGAAGGAACTTCTAGCACTTCCGAGTGACTTGGAAAATGTTATTTGTTTCTTCTTCCTGCAAACATGGCTAACCTTTCTTAAGTTTATGAATTATTGTAAGTTTCTTATTACGGTATGCTTGCCCCTCCCCCAATACAGCTAGAAATTACAGGAAGGGCCACGCATGGTGGCTCACGCCTGTAATCCCAAAACTTTTGGAACCCTGAACAGGAGGATAGCTTGAGGCCAGGAGTTGGAGACCAGCCTGGTCAACACAGTGATATTCCCTTCTCTACAAAAAATAGTAATTAAAGAAATTAGCTGGGTATAGTGGCACACGCTGGTGGTCCTAGGGAGTCTGGAGGCTGAGGTGGGAGGATTGCTTGCATCTAGGGGTTTGAGACTGCAGTGAGCTATGCTCACACCACTGCATTCTAGCCTGAGTGACAGAGTGAGACCCAGTCTCCAAAAACAAGGAAAGAAAAGAAATATACCAGCTTCACGCAGAATCCCAAAGAGTAATTCTGAGAAGACAGTTCTAGTTAAAAGCTCTGGGAACTGAACTCCAATGGGAACCCTTAATACATCAAAACTAAAAAAAAGTGTCATTCTCTTCTTCCACCATTTCTGGCTATTGACAATAAATTTTGAAAACATATAAGTGACTATGTTTCCTATTAGATGAGATAATTTAATTGAAAGAATTCTGTTTGCTTAGTGGTTTGTTCTAATGAACTATTCAATTGTTGGGGTTTTATGTGGTATTTTTCCCCCTCACTAACTTTTATCTTTCTCAGCTCTTCCTAATATGGGTTCTCATTTCCTAATATGGGTTCTTTCCCGAAGGAGGGAGGCTGTCCTGCCCACATGCAGGTGCTGTGGAGTCACTATACACATGCCTGGGGTATATTCTAAACAGGCTCCCAGGAGAACAGGTAGTTGAAGAGAACAGCCCAGAGCTCACAGTGATGACTCTTCAGAGGCAGCATTGCATTCTGGCTAATGGGCTGAGCCCTAGAGTCAGATGGTAACCCTATGCCACTGAGTGGAGCGCACCAGCTATGTGAGCTTGGGCATATGGTTTAATGGTGCCTTAACCCATAAAATAGGGACAATGTATAGTAGCATCTATTATTAAGATGTCTACCTGTATTTAAAGAACTTCAGATTGCGCCTGTAGTTTGGTGCTCAACAAATCCTAGTACATATTAGTAATTGCACCTTAAGTTCATACTGGTTTAATTCTTTTAAAGCCACGTTCACACATTTCTTTACACAGGCTTTTCTGTCATTGGGAAAAAGGGACTGTTTTCAGACAAAAAAAAAAAAAAAAAGGGCAGGTGCAGTGGCTCGTGCCTGTAATCCCAGCACTTTGGGAGGCCAAGGCAGGTGGATCACCTGAGGTCAGGAGTTCGAGACTAGCCTGGCCAAAATGGTGAAATACCGTCTCTACTAAAAATACAAAAAAATTAACCAGGCTTAGTGGCGCACGCCTGTAGTCCCAGCTACTCGGAAGGCTGAGGCAGGAGAATGGCTTGTACCCAGGAGGCGGAGATTGCAGTGAGCTGAGATTGTGCCACTGCACTCCAGCCTGGACAAGAGCAAAACTCCATCTAAAAAAAAAAAAAAAAAACCCTGGAATTATTATCAGAACTACATATATTGGAATCCCAATTATGCCCTTGATTGACTAGGATGTGATCTTGAACCCAGGAACTTAGCTCTTTGAGACAAGGAGTTGGAGACTAGCCTGGTCATCATAGTCACATCCCATCTCTACAAAAAATAACAAAAATTAGCTGGGCAGGGTGGCACACACTTGTGGTCCTAGCTACTTGGAAGGCTGATGCAGGAGGATTGCTTGAGCTAAGTTTTCTTGGAGCTAAGTTTTCTGATCTGTAGTAAAGCCTAATGCCTCCCTCTCCAGGATTTTGAGAATTAAATGAGATGATATAAGCAAAGCTCCTGTTAATTAACAAATCTTGATTTGAATTGAAATCTGCTTCAGGTTTGTCTGTATGTAAAGCTAAACGCTGTACTGGCTGTTTACATGCACACTTTTTTCAGGTTTATTTTTTGTTAACCTAGAAAATCAACCAAAGATTGTATCCTCAAATTGTCTCTAAACCATTGTTATACACATTGCTAATTACACAAGCAACATCCAACATTCACTTCCTCTCCTGATCACTTTTTCCAGTATTATGCCCACAGTAAATAGGCCATTGACAAGTTAACCTGACTCTATCACAACAATCTTGGTAATTTCTTTAATGTCACTTGCAGCTAGAGGTGGGCACGTATTAATACACAAGGGAAAACTCTGTTACAGTACTCCTGGGAAAGATTTTGCCCACTGATAAAAGAAAAAGCTCTTTTTATGTGGCCCTCACATTCTGCCTTGAATGCATTTGGAAAAGGCTAAGCTGCCTGGATCTGTGGCAGCCACACTGCAAGCAAGAGGCAATACTGAGAAAGGTGGAACAAAGTATTGGAAAGTCCTTAAAAACATCACAGAGCCGCTGCACTACCAGTAGAACCATTTCTCTAGACTCTCTGGATGGAAAGATTATTAAGTATCTTTATTGTTCGAGCCACCGTTAACCAGATATTCTGTCACTTTCAGCTGGTATGACTATACATCTCTAAGACTCCTGTTTGCTTAATCTAGCTCTCTGACTTCTTATTCCTGCTGGCTAGATGATGCCAGAAATATAGATCTAGACATAGATACGGATATGGGTACAAATATAGATATAGGTATACATATCTGCTGTGTATATATTTGCACAGGGATTCTACACAACCAGCAAAAGGAAATAAGAGGAATTAAGATATAGGAGGATGTTTCCAGAGTCGGGTGAGAGATTACATTTACATAAATATTCCTTCAGCTTCCTAGGTGAGTAAGAATCATATTAATAATAAAAATGAAACCTACCGGTTATTGCACTTTCTCTCTTGCCATACTTGTTACTAAGCATTATCTGCATTATTTCACATAACCCTCAAATTAGTCCTCAGAGGTAGACATTTTTATCTCCATTTTACAGATGAAAACCCTGAGCTTTACAAAATCAAAGCTGTCCAACTTATCCTACTAAATTCATATATACTATTTCACCCTCTAACCTTCTTCATGTTAGCCTCACGAATCCTTTCCCATCCTGCAGGTCTGAACTGAAACCTCACTTTCTTGGAAAAGCCTTTCATGACCCCAGGCTAGATTGGATTATTGGAGATAAACACGCTGTTAGCATCGTGTACATCTTCCTCACTGTCTTTCACACATTTGCAATCATTTAATTGCCTGTAGTTATTACCTTCTTTTCCCCCTCCGTATGTTTCTTGGGAGGAGTGTCCATGTCTATCCTGTTCGTCATCGTAGCCGCGGGGTTTGGCCCTCTGCTGAACTTATAAAACAAGTCGTTCACAATGTTTTTGTGTCTTTGGTACTGTTTAGAATTTTAGAACTTTTCACAGCACTTAAAAAGGAAAATAAAAGATTCAAAGACTCTTGAGAATGTCTGATCACATCCATAAAGCATTCTGCGTCATCCCTGTAGTTGCTTGTGTAACCTTCCATCTGTGTACTTAGCTGTTCCAGGAAGCTTCCATTGCTCCATTTACGGATTCACCAAGCAAAGTTCCACTTTCAGCCTGACACATTAGTCCAAAGGTGGAGTAATTGTGCCCAGCACACCTTGCACCACATGAGCCATTCAGCTCAGTACTACACCCTGTAGGGATCACTGTAACAGTATTGCGATTAAGGCTGCTAATTGTCATCCAGTCACTAGTCTTCCATTTTTCTTTTTAATAACAGAGCCCTGCCCCCGAGCCCCTGAGCTTTAGCTAGCAAGTAGCCATCCAACTGAAAGCTGCATTTCTCAGACTTACTTGCATCTTGTTTTGTCCATGTGCACCTTCTTGCCAATGCAATGGAAGCAAAATGTGATGTGTGTAATTCCCTTTTTACTTCCTTGCTCTCCATGACTTTGATTTCCTCCTTCCTGTGGAACATGTGTAACACAGGCATGAATCTTGTGGGCCAAGTTTGGCCATGTATCCAAGAAAGCTCAACTTTAGGGAATTGCTGAGTTGCAAGAGTTCACTGCAGAAGCAGCTAGGGTTCTACAACCACTTGTAGCAGAGTCGACTACTGCCCCAGGCCTCCCACACACTTTGGACTATTCTATGACTGATACTAACTTGTATCTCGTCATTATGTTTTTGTTTTCTTTTTCTTAGCAAAGCTTAGACCAAACACCAACAAATACGGATATGTATATGCGGTTATAAAGAAGAGAAAGTTTACAAATCAAAAAAACCTGATGGTACTTCCTGAGAGTTTACAGTGTATCAGTGTGCCATATGTCATGGCCCAGGGGTCTAGAGCCAGTACTTTGCATTACCTAATATGGTAGAATATGTTGATCTTATCAGCTATCCTTTGGAACTATAACCTTCAAGTGACATGCGCACAGCTACTCCTAACCCTCCAAGGTAGCTGGATGAGAAAGCAACACACTTGAGCAAAGAGAGAGTTGAGGCACCCCCTCTAGCATTGGGCTGTCTAAACGCTGGTGAGAATGGGTTGATTTGACTGTCAATTCTGCAGTGATGTTCATTTTGTCCTGTGTCTGGATTTTCTGATAGATTCTGCCAACTCCTGGGGAAAGGTGGCAGCACTCACTGAAAAAATTGTAAAATAAATCTGTTGTAAAGTAACAAAGAGACAAGGTCCCTGATTGTTCTACCTATTAGTAAGGTTGTATTTTGCTTGGTATTTTTCTCTGCCAAAATGGTGATGGCCACATGGGTGACCAACTGCATGAAGATGACAGTAATGATGGAGATGATCTCAGGAGACCGTGACTAGCCTTAGATTCAACCATGTCCTCAGCAGAGACCAGGAGCAAATAGACAGAAAATGGGAGAGCAAAGTAGATAATACAGAGAACAATTGTGGCCTCTGGAAATGAAACAGGGAAGAACAGAACTAACCTGTAATGGACAAAGGATTCCAATCATTATGGTTAAGGATTCTGAACTTGGCTAGGCCTCTGCCTGAATCAGGGAAGTGCTTGAATTAGGGTTGAGAAGCCCAGCCCGGTTGCTTATGAGAGTCTTTCATTGACATTTTTATTGTTATCCTCACCCATTTGATTATATTTCATGCAGAATGGTATGAGCTGAGAAACCTGGACCACATTTCTAAAATATAAATATCTACATGCAAAGCAAGTCTTCTTTATTTATCATAGAGATCTGCCTGGGAATCAAAATAAACAGTTATATAGTTTGCAGTGGGGCTAGGCTCAAGACTGTCCCCCTCCAGCAACGAAGAAAAACACTCTGGGGTCAGGCCAAACTCCTCTGGGGATCTTTTTCAGAGAATAACTAACTAGACAGACATACTTTCGTCTCAAAGTGTATTTCAGAATTACATGATGGTCCAAGTCAATTTTTAGGGATCTCAAGTTGATATAAATATACTGATGTTTGTGTTCTCAACCTAGCGTATGCAGAACATCAAGAGCTGGCTGTTTACCAAAGAAATAATTCAAATTGGTGGACAAAAAATTGGGAAAAGTGTCTCAGAATATGCAAAGCTATTAACCAAATCTGAGTGTGAAGCAAATAAAAGTCAATAAGTCTAAGGAATTTGAACAGATAGGAACAGCTAGTCACAACATTCTTTCAAAAGGCAAATTGAGTGAGGAACACACATACAATAGTTATTTTTAAAGTATGGAAAACAATGTTGTGCCCATTTGTGTTCCCTTACTTGTGGTTTTATGTATATGTTATCTTTATGTAAGTATCTCGTAAGCTCTTTGGAGACATAGACATGACTTATGCATCTTTCACAGTTCATGGCCACCAGTAAGTGAAGCAGCACTCAGAAGTGAGATGGACACTTAGAGGAATGTGTGGGGCATAAATGTGTATATGAGTTACACAAGAGAGTGAAATAAGGCTGAAGGGTGAGGGATGGTGGTCAATCATGAGAGACTCAAAGCATCTTTTTATATAATTTTCTCAGGTTGTAGTCCGAGGATAGAAGGTTTGGCATGTCAGAATGCTGAATGCATTGTTGTTTGTGTTCACTGTTCCTTAAATACTTGCCAATGGAGGTGTTTAATAATGATACAGGTAGCAGCCACGTGCAGTGGCTCATGCCTGTAATCCCAGCACTTTGAGAGGCCTAGGCAGATGGATCACCTGAGGTCAGGAGTTCAAGACCAGCCTGGTCAACATGGTGAAATCCCGTCTATACCAAAAATACAAAAATTAGCTGGGCATGTTGGTGGGCAACTGTAATCCCAGCTACTTGGGAGGCTGAGGCAGGAGAATCGCTTGAACCTGGGAGGTGGAGGTTGCAGTGAGCCAAGATCATGCCACTGCACTCCAGCCTGGCTAACAAGAGTGAAACTCCGTCTCAAAAAAAAAAAAATTATATGGGTAGCTTTTTCATGGGAATATGAAAAATATACTTGGTTATGAAGAACAGAGTAAGGGTACATATAGTTTGTTACATATTAGGGGCTCAATAACTAGTAATAAAGATAATCTACAGACTTGGAATACAGTGGGTCTATCATCTGCCAGAGAACATTTACACATTGTTCACAAGTTATCTCTGTTAGTCTTCACAATTATTAACCCCTGTCACAGATGAAGAAACTAACACACAGAGACTTGCCAAGGTCACATGGATCATTAAGGGTGGGGCTGGAATTCAAACCATGTCCAGTTCCAGAGTGTGGAACAGAATTCTATGTACAGCAGCATCTGCCTAGACTCTTTCAGCAGTCTTCTGAAACGTTAGCAGGCTTCAAACACAAACGATGAATAAATAATTTAGATTTAACAAAAGGCTAACATTCCAGTAACATTCAACAACACTACAAAGTTCATTTATTTAAAAAAAATTTAAAAATCTTATTTTCTCATCTGAAAACAGAAGCTCATGCCACCTTTTAAAATTTATCATGAGATGACTATAAATTTTGATTTCACATATGGTGAAATGTTGAATCTTTGAAAGAAATCCAGAAGCTTAGACTAACTTCCACGGTTTATAACAGTGAAAGGGAAGTTGAACTGTGGTTTAGTCATCCAGGTGATCTTAACTCGAAGGTGTAAAGAAAACACATCATTCAAACTCACAATGCATGAATTAACATCTCTCTGTCACCAACCTCTTTTTTCCTTATTCATTGGGTCAAGGGCCCCATGGCCTCTCCTTTCTTCTCAGGGGAACAATGAAAAATACTTTTTTTGAAACATGGCTCCTAAGCTGCTAGTACCTGTATTTTGTCTCAATCAAAATGCGTTTGTTCAAAAAACAAATTTCTGTTTGTTCAGAAAATATTTCTTTAAGAAGTTGAGAATAATTTTGGTGTTCACCAGTTAAGAATATAAACTTGGTCAGGAGAAAACTGACCATGTAATTTATGGTCCAAACCTAGATTCTTTTGAGAATGAAAGGGGATGCTAATAAGAATGACACTGTCACAACAGGCATAAACCTGTTGCAGGAAAGGGAAAGCTATAAGTCTTATGGGCCAAATTAGGAATTATTATCTTTATCTTCAGAACAATTGAAAGCCACTAAAATTTTTAAGTAAAGTAAAATAATCAAACACGTGTTTGAAAATATAGAACACAGACATCCCTAATGTGTGGAGAAGAGATATGAGAGGCCAAGAGTAACTACAGATTAAAACAGGTAGGCCATGAGATATGATGATAGCCAAGACTACAGGGGATAATGGAAATGGGTGAAAGAGTTAAGATCTGAGGGATCCATTGAGAATATCAATCCAGTGAACACAGAGATGTTTGGATGGGGCTCATGGATGAGGAGGAGAGATGATTCAAGGACCACTTTTTTATGATTTACCTAATTAGGTTGGATAATAATGCCATTCATTGAGTGCCAAGTGTTCAAGAGTGACAGAGGGCTAAGATGGTGGGTGGGAATCTGCAAGATTGGCTCCTTCACTTTCTTCAGTTCTTTATGCAAATAGCACCTTCTTAGGAAGCTTCTCCCAAGCACCCTTTGAAAATATTACCACTTCCTGCACCCTTTCTCACCCCCTTCCAATACCCCCTACCCACATTCCCTATCATCTTGCTGTGTATACATACATAGATATTTACTTAAAAGTTATCTTTCTTATACTCCTCACTAGAATATAAATTCCGTTAGGAAGAGTTTTATTGTCATTCCTATCGGAATCCAAGATTCTTTGAACTGCACCTCTACCTATAGTAGGAGCCTGGTAAATATTTATTAAAATGAAAAAAATGTGGAGTGAATCAATAATCAACTAAAATACACCCTATTACCATGTCAGACATTTCAAGAATTTGTGTAACACAGCTTTATGTTACAAAAAAAAACAAAAAAAAAACTGTTTAGTATTTCCAGATTGTGGGTTGGGCAGGGGACGGTGTTATAAATCAAACTTTCTCTGAGGGACCAGTTTCATGCTACCCGTGCAGTATGGCTAAGAACAGAAGTTGGATTCTCTTGGCCACTTGGTTCTCCTGGTTCTGTGCACTTTGCCTACCTGACTCATGTCTGGACATTGATCTTGTATCACCACCCCTGTCCTGTGCTAGGTCTCTAGTGACCACCATCCACAAATGTAATTTGGATGTGCAGCACACAGTAGACATCCTCTAGAGACATACCTTAACCCAACAGGAGCAGAAGGAGGGAAAAGAGAGAGAGAGAACACAGGAACCATGGCTACTGAAGAGTTCGAGATTGAAAGAGGGAAGAGAGGATGACAACCAAAAGAGTGAAAGCAACTCTGTCTCCTGGATTTTCCTCCAGGGAGTGTTACATACCCCTGTGGTCTCTGTGAGTCTCTATAAAACCCAACAAGAGTCTCCCCTGGGTAGGTTTTCTCCATGTGACTTCCTCTCTAGGTATTTTTAGCTACTCCACTTCTTTGGCAGAAATATTTTAAAAATTGGGACACCAGAGTTCAATCTGCTTATTCATTTATTTATAATTTCAGAAGTATTTATGTAGCCCATACCATATAGTACCGGTATGATTGGCGTGGTGGATTCACCAGTGAAAAAGCTGGATGTGATGCTGTGGCCTTAGAATTTATAGAGGTTTACAAATGACCCATAAGGAAGATGCCATCCTTTTGGGCAAGACCCAAATACTCCTTGCCTGATTGTCCCTTCACAGCCTGGCCTCCTGACTTTAAAGCAAAGAAGAAAGTTTCCCCCATTCCTCCCTGCTTTTTCAGGGACACCTTTTCCTCTCTGTCTAGACAAAGCATCTGCCCATTAAGAATATGGATGTTTCACACATACCCAAATTATTCGGGACAGTGGCCAAGCCAGAACATCATTTGTGAACTTGCTTGAAAGGGCATAAACCCTTTTAAGCTGCTTAGGATATTATCTCTTTCTCTTAAGTGGTAACCAGGTGACCTGAAAAGGCACATTGAGCTTCCAAAAGGTGCTTAACAAAGAATGAGGAAAGTACTTTGGCCCTTAGAAACTCTGGATCATTAAATAATACTTGCCTTAAATGCATCAATAAAACATTGTACATTAAGGTTTGGCAATCAGAGGGCTGAGCCCAAAGACGGCTTCTTAAATTCCTTTTAAAGGAATTGGAACAGAGATTTACTTTGCTCATCTTCCTATCACAGGGGGTGATCTCCCCGAAGACTTTATTAGCAGCGCACTTCTGCCAAAAGTGCTCACTGCCCTTGCTCTCCTCCCTGAGAACCAATGTCCCGTGAGAAAGCACGTTCCCACTGCTCCGCTGTGGGAAACACCAGGAGAAGGACTTTTCCCAAATCTGTGCGAATTGAGCAACTGGAAGCGACACTCACAAGCTTCCTTGTTTATGTTATTCTCTGTAAAAACACTGAAAACCCAAAACAAGTCGGAAGCGTGTTGGCACTGAATTATGTCAGCGCAAACATTCAATTCAAAAGAATGGCTGGATTTATTTTAATAGCTGAGAAACCTGGAGGCATGTGCAGTCTATTCTGCCTGTCAATTTATGATCTTTAAACACATTTTTTTAATTGACTGGTCCTTAAATACATCCCACCTCATCTTGTTCGAGCCAAGTTTTACAGATGCCATGTTAAAAATCAATTCAAAGAGCAGCCATAAACTCAAATGCTTCCTCCTTGAAATGTATATGGCAGAATGCAATTTTGTTTAATTTTAATTGACAGAGATGTCAGCTTAAGAGAATATTTTAGAATATTAGTAGGAACAGTAAACTTGTGCCTTGACACTTTTATGGTATAATGGTATAATTCCCTGAAAAAAAAATCACCACTGTCAGGATTTACACTAAAGCAATACATGGGTTACTCCCCTCCCCCCTGCCCTCCCTCCTGCCCCCCACCACTCAGTAAAGGAGTGACAAATGTATTACTAATTACACAATTGCTTTATTATGTGGAGCTGTAACTAAAATCTTTTCTGGATTTTCCAGCAAAATTGAGCTTCTTCCGAAACAATTAATTCTAGCAAATGGACTTGGGTAGAAAAAATTGATTCCAGCTGAAAGAAAGACTAGCTCCTTCCTCCCCTTAGTTGGAGAGTCAGGTGTGGGTGACACAGACACTACTTAGGACGGACTTCCAAGACTGACCACATACAGAATTTTTTCAAGGTAGAAGATTTTCAACTAGAGATGTGAGAAGCCAAACAATGATTTCTTTTAACTTTAGATAGACACATAGACAAGAATTCTTGGCTGTAAGTCCCAAAATGTTAGAAACTAGGATTAATTGGGGCTTTTAAAGCTTTATCCTAGGGCACATGCCTCTTTTAGGACTTCCATAGCACCCAGAGTATATGTCAGCCTTAGAACTTAATACATTCTGTTAAAATAATGTCTTATCAATGTGTGTTACCCATTAGTGCACAATGAGATGTCTTAATTAACTTTGTATCCACAATGTCTTGGGCAAGTCTTGGCACTCAGGAGAAGTGTACTGAACTGAAGTAGGACTCTTCATTCAGCTAATGTAAGCCAAGTGATGGCATCTCTGCTGCTTTTGGATGGAACAAAGAATGCCACTTTTTCAAAAACAGGTTCATGTAGCCCCAGGAATAACCCTTGGTCCAAAAAAAAAAAAAAATAGCCATGCTAGAGCATGGGATATTATCAGTCAGTCAGCATCTCATGATTTCTAAGGACTAAGAAGGTGTCTAACACAAAGCAAAATGTCATCAAACATAGCAAACATAGCAAGATACTAATGCAGGACATCTTTTGGACATTGACCAAGGCAAAAGAAACTTGGAAAAATGGCATACTTTCATCTGAGACATTTAGTCTTAGTCACCCAATTGAAATCAATTTTAGCACAATTCAGGGATTTCAAAAAACTTCACTAAGCCCCCATCATTGTTAAGAGAGTGATTACATGGGGATGCGGGTAGAGTACCTGTGTGGGGACAGATAGGTACTTATCATTGCATAGATTACACATTAATAAGATCATGTATGCAAAACTTAGTCCTATGGCTGGCTCGGAATAAACGCATAGAGTAGGAATTAAGATAATAATAAGAGCTAAATATAATAGGAGGAATGTGTGCCCAGTAACTAGCAGTAGTACACATTGCTAAGTAAGAACCAAAGAGGAAAAGATTAGTTATAAGCAGATCAAAGGAAGCTTCTTAGCACTGATGTGGTTCGTCAAGGATAAAAAGAATTTAAAAAGTGGCCATAAGGGTGAAAGGATTTTTAGGTAGGAAACACTGTCTGAACCAAGGCAGGAGGAAAGAAAGCACATGGTGGGTTTGATGTTACTAAAATTACATCACTTGATCTCTGTGTAATGGGTGATCTAGTTTAAATGGCATATTGGGGTTTCCTTATGGCAGGCTATGAATACCACGTGGTGGCTCATACCTGTAATCCCAGCACTCTGGGAGGCCGAGGCGGGCAGATCACAAGGTCAGGAGATCGAGACCATCCTGGCTAACACGGCGAAACCCCGTTTCAACTAAAAATACAAAAAATTAACCGGGCTTGGTCGCAGGTGCCCGTGGTCCCAGCTACTTGGGAGGCTGAGGCAGGAGAATGGGATGAACCCAGGAGGCGGAGCTTGCAGTGAGCCGAGATGGCACCACTGCACTCCAGCCTGGGTGACAGAGCGAGACTCCCTGACAAAAAAAAAAAAAAATTAAAATTTTTAAAAATTTAAGCCAAATAGCTAATAATGCATGAATCATCTTTACTTACCACTTAAAATGGCTTTTAGTGAGGTTTTGGTCCTTTTCTACCAAGAAAGACAAGGATATGTAAAAGTAACTAAGAGTAACCTAATAATCATTGTCCAAAGTTTGTAAACGTTATCTATTTAAAGCTATGTCTAGGAGTTACTGTTGGATTTCTACTTCTGTTTGTTTCCAACAGATTGGATTTATATCATTGTTTAACAAATTGTGTTCTGAGGTGCACTGGTTTAGTAAGGTATTAACTGGTATTTTCCTCCAGAGAGTTCTGTGGCCCTATAGGTTATAAAGACAGTATGAAGGCCATCTTTCTCTAGGAGATTCATGGTGCACATTTGCAGATAAAACTCTCAACATCCTGCCATTGAAAAACCAGTTTAACTGTATTTCAGCCCAAATCTCACAAACTTTTTAATCATGAAAACTAACTCTGTGTGTGTGGACTAACCATTGACATCTCACTGACACAGTGTTGGGGAAACAGGTAACACATTTTGGGAAATTTCCAGATCAATTCCTGAGCTGTCACAATTGTAACTCTAGGTTGAACCAATCGACTTTGAACTCCCTGGAAAGCCTCATAGAACAAGATACTTCTGAGTCTTTGCTGATCATTTTATCCTTGAAGTGTACTGAAACAGATTGCTCCCACACAAATTACATTTAAAATAATTCTAGAATATTACTACTGAATCTACCCAACCTTATCATCTAAAATATTTTAATGAGTTATATAGACTTTCTCTGCCCAAGTATTTCCACGTACTAACTGGAAGAGAAATATCTTGTCATGTCCTGTTCTCAGACTTTGTCAGATAAAATCAGTAAATCTTCCAGCCTCTTCCTAATGTCTTCAGCTCAGTACTGCCTGGCTTGCTTACAGTGTTGATAATAGGATGTAAATGAATTATCATATGGGAGTTTAATAGCAGAACTCCCCAAAGGTAAGAGTGGTGAAGGTGAAGACTGCCTTAATCACTCCGAAGTTGCATACGGAGAAAGTGAGCTTGCAGTGAAGTTAAATGTCTTGAGCAAGTCCTGCAGCTATATTCATGACAAAACACTGCACTGGAATCCATTCCAGTTTGCCTGTTGCCTCTCTTACTGTATTTTCCCAATACTGAAGATCTCCTCACTCCCAGCAAGAGGAAATTTCCATTGACTTAGAGACAGAGGCTTGAGCAAAACCATAGATGCTCCCTGTAAAAAATGTGTCCAAGAGGAATAAGGAGATCATAGCCAAGTCAAACTGTGATAAAGGCAACTTTGGAGAAGAGAGACAAGGTCTGTCTTCGCTTAACATGCCCATTGGTGAGTAGGTTTGCAGATATGCTAGTCAGGGAATGTAGCCAAACAGCCCGGTAGAGATGGACTGTACACCAAGTGACTCAATGTAGAAGTGAAAAATTCAATGCATTTTAAAGTTTATGTCTGATTTCAGAAGACATCAATGATCTTTCTCTCTGCATTCATTCTCTAGATTCCTCATTCATCATCAGCTCATTTCCAGTTGTTTTATCCAGCAAGTGAAATGTGTTGGAGGAGGGGGGAGGGCAGGGGTGAGCTGAGGGCCAAGAAGGGGAAACCAAGGGCAGTGCAGCCAATGCTCTGTGATCTGGGAGTGCATGAATTTTAGGTCAGCTAAATCAGGACACAAAGCTACAGCTGCGAAACCACAAAGGCCTACATATAGCTTCCCTGGCTCAATTGCTTCCCAGCCTCAAATCTGCGGAAGAGAGACTTCCATAGGGGAACCTTCTTCTTCCCCAATTAGTGCCTTTTCACAGTGGCAGGATAGAAAAGGTTTTACTCGGCAACATTACTCAGTATCAGTAATATGCAAAAGATCTGTGAAATCAATTCCCATTATTTCAAAGGACGCTGCATAGTAAAAATAATGCATAGTAAAAACACTGTAATGAAACTACTGCTTAATCTGCTGTGATTATCTAAAACGAACAAGCAACTGTTTCATCCTTATTTTGCAGCATCTGCTCATTGGTACATAAACTGTGTGTGCTACAGCAAAGCTTCATGCAATGGCAGTTGAAACTGAATCTTGAGGTGTCATTGAGATAGAACTTTAGGGGGATTGAATATCTAGCTTAAGATCATTAAAGCTTTTCCAATCTCACCTCTCCTGTCTCATTTGTTTTCTGAATTCTTAGGTCTCTGAACTACCTTCTTTTTTTTTTTAACATGAACAAATAGCTTAAAAAAGCACAAACAGAAACAAGCAAAGTGGTTTTCCTTTTTTAAAGCTAGTTTGATCATCATGCAAATGGCATACTGCCCACATTCTCTCCCTCCCCCTAGTTTGCCCTTCTGCCCCTTGCTAATAACAGTCAGCCTTGTTTGGCCGCAGCTTGGCAAAACTCTCCAACAATTTTGCCGCTCTATATTTCAGCCATGACTTTTGTCATATTTTGGAGAGAAACTTGCACCTGGCCAACCAACTTGCATGCCAAGTTCCAGCCCATTGAGATTTAAAATGGATTTGAATCGATTGCCCTATAAAATTGAGAATGTATAACAAAGACAGCAGTAAAAAGTCATGGTAGTTTCTTGCAGAGTTGAAAATAAAACAAAGGGTACTGTGATAGGTAGCATTCACCTTGCAGTACCTTTAAAAACACAAGTAGTATTTTTTTGCCCTATGCAAAGATAAGGAAAGAAAAGGCAGCTTACAAAATGCATCAAGAGAATAGAATGCATTTTTCTCTTGACATAGCTAATGTAAAAAAAAAGAATATCCATTTTTATTATTGTTATTGCAACTTAAAATTAACTTGGTGCACAGGTATTTGCTATTGGGTGATCTATTATTGGTTACCTTTTGAGTCATACTTTTAGTGGGAAATGGAGACCTCCTTTTCTCTAGGGATTTCTGCTTCCACAAAAACTATCTTCTGACTTCTCTTTGATGCTTTCTGCTCAGCCAGGGGGAAGATAAGTAGAGAAAGGTTATGTGTTTGTCAACTCACCAAGGAAAACTATACTGTAGAGGTAGCAGGCATCTGCAATTGCCATGTAATTGAGAGCAGACTTGCCCTCTACTACGGTATATGAAGCCCAAGAAAATGCCAAACTGCTTCTATTTCAGTCCAGCTGGAATGTGCATAGGAATGACTTCAGATCTTGTGAAAATGCAGTTTTTGAGTGAGTGGGTCTGGGCTGTCTAAGACCAGAGCATCTGCACCAAGCTCCCAGTGTGCTGCTGGTCTGCCAGGGGACAGATGCTTCTGGTCCCGGGACCACAGCTTGAATACCAAGGTTTAAGTAGACTGGGCCCCTTCCATACATACAAGTGTTACCAATATTTTAGGATAATTTTCTGAATGTGATATAAAACTTGGTGGAAGCCTAGACAAATTGAATGTCATGGCCCTAGAACCACAGACATAATCTTATCACAGGAATGTATTGAGGTCACACAACACACTCCAAACATGAGGCAGTGAAGGCAGGGAGGTGGAGAGCTGAGGCAGGTAATAAAGATCAGATGGCCAGTGGGGAGAGATCCAGGGGCCGATCTCACACTGTTAAAGTCACCAGCTCTAATAACATCACTTTCAATGTCTTCAATTCTATTTATAAATTTTTAAATCTAATTCTATGTAATATGTTTACATCTTTTATTGGGAGCAGATTCAAACCTATTTTTTAAAGAAGAAATGCAAAGATTTTAAAGAAGCAAAGTAAAAAAATAAAATTTCATTCTCACACGTTGTATAACAAAAAGGTAGTTATTATTTGTAATATTCTGTATAGTTAAGATGTGGCTGGGCAATTGATGATATACTATGTCATTGGAAAATCCACCCTTAAGTCTGACAGACATCTTGGCCAATTATATGGATGCAACTGGACAAAAGGAGCTAGTGGGAAGCTGAACTTTGACTTTTTAAAGATTTGTTTGAATGAGACATGGATTTAATATTTTCTGATCAATATTGTGTAAAATACATTCCAAATGATACCAATACTTTAGCCTACAAAAGAATCGAAAGGATGATGTTTATTTAAAATTATCAAAAATAATTGTGCAATGATATTCCTACGGGCTCATCTCTCAGCACTTGTTCCGGCCTATGTGAAAAGTCAGCCTTGGTGCACCCGGGCATGTCAGCCATGCTACCAATGGGAGACTCCCTGTGTCTCACTTTCATCCTGGCTTCTGGGTCAAGATAGTCTAAGCCAGAGTGTCTAATCAATTTTAAACCTATCTTTTCTGGCAAAAAAAGGAAAATGAAAACAAAAAAGAAAGAAAAAAGAAAAATAATAAATACATGCTTGAGTGTAACATCGCTGGTGGCTGGTGAACATTGTTTCACTGTATGTCCCAATGCTACTTTTTATAGCAGGAGTCCAATTTTTAAACAATCATTATGAATATGAGCATGATAGAAAAGTAGTGATTTTATCTCAACTACATAGGGAGACACATGCGAGGTAAAAGCACGGATGTGGTCTTCAAATGTATACGGCAAGAGTGATGGGTCAGTTAAGTTATAATATATATACTGCATTTTTACTTCTATGTGGAATTGAGAAACTGAAATGGAATTTTTTCTTAGTTTATATATGGCTTATCTATTTGGGATAATGTTTCTGTGCATATGAGTTGGTAGACGGGATAGCAAGAAGCTTATGGAGATAAACTTTAAGAACCTGAGGAAAGTATAAAAAATGTCCTAGCAAATAAAAGAATATAAATCCAGGTTGAATATCATCCACTCAAATAGAAGTCTGCACATTTGGTAATAGGTCCATCTCAAAGTATCATGTTGACAATCAGGTTTTACTCCTTAAAAGAGAAATAAGCAAAAGAAATATGAGGGGCATTATATGACATTTTCCTTCTTTCCAGATTTTAGAGAATTCCTTTCCAGGAAGGTCAAATTCTTAACTGACTTTGAGAACGTTTTTCTTATTCCACAGGTAAATTATTTTCAGTCCTCATTTTGCCAAAATTTTGTTTCTGTGCAATTTCAAATATATCTTCAACTTTAAAAGTAGATGATTTTGTAAATGCTACATTTTTCACGTTATGGTACTGCCAAAGAGTCAAAATCTGAAGAATCCTCGTTTTACAAACAGGGATAAACAACTAGATTTGGAAGTGTTGCTAGAAGCCTGAACTGTAGCTTGTGAATTGTTCCAATGTTATTTTTACAAGTGATATGTTTATTTTTGTGATCAGTTAGAGATTTTGTCTATGATTCCCAGCTGAGAATCCCAAGTACTTCCTCAATTCCCAAGAAATGGAGAACACCTGGAAAAGGATTCTTCACATGAAAAATACAAACTCCCCACCCCCCCCACCGCCACACACACACACACACACACACACACACACACACACACACACACGAACAAGATACATGAGAACGGCCGCTCCATTCTCAGTTCAAAAACAAACAAAAATAAATATCAAATAGAAAAAAAAAATGTGTCTGATTATCCTTCACCTTGAGTCTTTGGTTTAAAGCAAGCAGATAAAGAAATAAACATTCCCCAAAAGCAGCCCTCACCCCATGCCATTAGGATCTCCAAAGTAAATAAAAAGTGGTACTGCCGAGAGTGAATTGCTGTGGCAATTCCAGGGAGAATCCTGATTTTAGCACCACTGTACCAAATTTGTCATTTAGGGAAGCTCTTGTTCCCTTTATTGAGTTTCACTGTAGCGAACAATTTCTGCCTGCATCCCTCGTGTGTCCTTTTGGTTTATTATCTTTCACTGTGAATTGAGCCTCTACAATCAGTTTCACGGGAAGCCTAATTTCACTCACTGCTTATACATATGAGGAGACACCCCTCCCTGCCTCCCCCTCTCCCAATGTTCTTATCAAATGAAGAATTGTGGATAAGGGTTAGGTGCAGATAAACATGAGTGTAGCACTTTCAGAAAGGTCGTGATCCCCCCCATAAGGTGCTTCTTGTTATGCCTGACCTTCAGATTTTCATCATCAGCCCGCCTGACAACTTAATAATGCAGAGGAGCAGGATTCATTTCGCCCCTCTGAGAAAGCCAGCACGGGACGCCCTTTTCCCTGATTATTTCCCTGCACTCCCGGCTGCCCTTTATAAGCCAACCAGAACTCCATCAATCATGCCCCTCTCTTCCCTCGCCTCCTCAGCCCCCAGTTCTGAAGACTCTAAAGCTGCCCTGTTCCTTTTGTCTGGGGCTGGATTGTGTATACAAAGATCCCCAAAATGGGGGTGGAGAGGCACACCTTTAGCAAATAACTGCTCCCCTTCCCAATCCCTGCATCTGGGTCTGAGGATGGTGCATTTCTTTTTCTTTTTTTCTGCTTGTTTAAAGAAATGCTTTTAAAGTTCTCATCCTTATTCGTGGGTAGCGTTGTCATGCACCATCTCTCTTAACGAGCTCCTGTAAATGCTGGGGTTTAAATAACCTGAATGTGAGTTAGAGGTTTTTTAGTCTTTTTTGGACCCGTTTCTTCGTTATGGTGAATATTGTTATTATTAGTGGTTTAGCATTCTAGAAGCAGCTAAAGGCAATGAAGCCTGTTTCACATCTTCTTCCTCAGCCCTTTTCTCCTTTGGAGTATGAGGAAAGAGGGAGAGAGAGGACAGAAAAACAGAGACAGGGATGAAAGCATACAGACAGAGGATAGGGAGGGAGAAGACTCAGGCTTGTGGGAGTAATCAGGCATTTATTTCACCTTGGTCAGAATAAAAGCGACATGCAAAAGTTTTGAGGGAAAAACATGAGTGCTTTTAGAAGGTGATGATATAGATTGGAATTGGATTCTAATAGCTGTAATCAACCTGTTCTATAAAATATGCTTGGACTTCACTCTGTACCTTGCAAGTGTTTTCCTGCAAATAACGAAGAGGTTTTAGGGTACAATATAGACAGGGTGCCACCTAAGGTGTCCGTGTGTGCCTTTCTCCAGGTCCAGGTCCGTGGCCTCCAGCAGCTGCCTTTCTGTCTTGAAAAAGGATACCATCTTCCCGAGGCTAGCAACTCAGCTGGCTGAGGGAACATGAGCCCAGCCAGCTAGTAGACTTGCATCCCAGGTTGCTGGGTGAGCAGGATGGAAACCTGTGCCCAATCGGATTGGATAGCAGGTCAGGCCAGCACACATGAGGCTACTGCCCTGATGTTGTTTGTTTTGTTAGGTTTTTAAGAAAAAGAAAGGAAAAGACTACGCTGTGGAAAATACAGTAGATTCACTTGATTGCCAAACAGTTGTTAAACAAATAAAACAGATCTCAAATCATCTTCGACAATAACAAAGCCAAGAGGTAAGGGCAGAAAATACATCACATAATGTTTAATCAAAGACATACGTGTATCCTTTACTTCGCAGCACAAATTCAAAACCTTTTGTTAAAATAGAAAACAAGTTACTCAGTTTCATTTTCATTCTCATTGTTTTGTTTCATTCTCAGTGACTGGCCAGCAGCAGCCTCAAGGTACAGGATCTCTAAGTAAACACAAGAGATAACGGACACATATTTATTAAGGGCCTAGTACATTCCTAGTTTTTAGTGAGATGCCATGATGTTCAGAGCCTGATATTAACTGGAAACTTGTAACATAGATGTGTGGGGAAATAGAAATCAAGATTTCTGATGTTAACATCTTATTGTAAATACCTATTTCCAGAAATGAATAGAATTAGTTAGGAACACCAGACTTAAACTTGGCTTCCAAGGATTCATTGTGCATGCATGTCCCTGAGGTTGCATTTATTTATTTACAAATTTTAGAATAAAGAAGTCACTGTACTTATAATGTGGATTGTTCTGGAAGATCAGAGATGAAAACCAGTACTTTATTTTGGTACTCTGGGAGATTAGAGACATAGGAATGATGAGTAATGATTTGCATTTTCCATGAGTATATAGTAGTTTTTAGGCTAGGGTAGACTTTTCATCTGAGAAGATCCCTCCTGAAGAAGCAAGTTGAAAGAATATAACAAATTTATCTTGACATTTCTTGAATTTGATGCTTGCCAGACAACCAGGTAGAGATATCAGTGGATGGACAGTTGTATACATGAGTTGTGGGTGAGATCAAGACTAAACAGATTTGTTGAAACTATGAGAAAGGATAGAAAAGTGTGCATAATGAGAAGAGACAGTAAGAGGGAACCCCAAAAAACACTAAGATGAAATGATTGCTGGAAGAAAGAAGCCTATGTATGAAGTAGAGAAAGGTTAAGAAGCCTAAAATAAAATTGCTTTGTTTATGTGTTTATTTGTTTCTTTAATATTCCTTTCACCAACCCCAACATGGAGGTTCCTTCAGGGCAAGGACTTTACCAATCTTGCTCACAGGTGTACCTGGAATATAATAGAAAGCCAAATAAATATT
Source organism: Homo sapiens (assembly GCF_000001405.40). Taxonomy (NCBI): domain Eukaryota; kingdom Metazoa; phylum Chordata; class Mammalia; order Primates; family Hominidae; genus Homo; species Homo sapiens. The sequence continues at coordinate 95,670,663 of NC_000015.10, forward strand.
TATTTACAAATAAAAAGGAGTGGATAGATAAAAGGAAAACAGAGAGAGTGTAGTACCCTTTCCTATTCAACAGGAATATGGAAGTAAACCCTAACAAAGGAGAATATTAAAAATGCAGTATAGCAGAGAGAAGTCGTAATTCAAGGACAGGAAAAACATAAAGTAGACTTACCAATTAGGAGGTCATTGGTGATTGGCTAAGAGATCTTTTGACACAACATTGGGAGCAGAAACTGGATTGCTAAACACTGAACAAGGAAAGAAGGTGATAAATCTGGGCTGCTGAATGTAGAATTTATTTTCAAGGAGTGTTTAGATAACAAGAGCTTAGGCTGGGCGCGGTGGCTCTCGCCTGTAATCCTAGCACTTTGGGAGGCTTAGGCAGGTGGATCACTTGAGGTCAGGAGTTCAAGACCAGCCTGGCCACCATGGTGAAACCCCGTCTCCCCTAAAAGTACAAAAATTAGCCAGACATGGGGGCATGCGCCTGTAATCCCAGCTACTCGGAATGCTGAGGCAGGAGAATCGCTTGAACCTGGGAGATAGAGGTTGCAGTGAGCCGAGATCGCACCACTACACACTCCAGCCTGAGCCACAGAGCAAGACTCTGTCTCAAAACAAAAACAAAAACAATAACAAAAAACAAGGGCTTGCCAAGTAGACATGTGGGTAGACCCACAATAAACAGTTTCCTTCCTTTTCAGCTATTTACTGGCTATGGATGGAGTTGAGCACCTCAGGTGATGCAACATCTGAGCACCTAAGATGTCTTGGCAGGCAAAGCATAGCAAATTACATTACACTCATGTCATGATAATTTATTAATATCTATAATCCAACACATAAGAAGTTAGAATTTTAATAGATATTCCTTATTACAAAATGTGTGGTAATTATACAAAATACAGAAACATTAAAGAAGATAAAAACTACGCCTTTTATCCATGTTTAATATTTTATGTTGACTTTTAAGTTCTTTTCCCCCACATATCTTTAAAAATAGAACCCTTCTTTATAGTTTTGTATGTATATATTGTCATATATGTTTTTTATCATGTGCCACACCAGTAAATATTCTTAAAATATGACTTTTAGTTGACCCCATACTAAGCCATTCTTTGGATATAAATTTATGTAACTATTCTCCGATTGGGGTGGTATTTAGGTTTGTGCAGGGCATTTTTCATTCTTTCGCTGACCTGGAACTTTTTAACATTCTTCCTCTATCAGAGGAATTTCCCATACTCATGTCCTAGCTCCCCAGGTAAGAAACCTTAACTTCCTCTCCCAGCCTCCCTTGCAATGAAGGTGGAGTCATGTGATTAGGCTCTATCAATCAGACACCCCCACAGGACCCTTCACCTAGGAAGAAAATGTGCTGGGAATGGGCAGATCCGCATTTGTTAACAACAGCAAGGCTGGTGTCTGGCTCTTTGGGATTGTGATGGCTGAAGTAATGGCAGTTAGAATCTAACCTAGGTGGTGTCAGCGGTGGGTTCTGTGACAAAAAACAGCAGCATAGGAGTCTTCATTGGAATGGCCCCATCATATGCCTGTAGAGCCCCTAAACGTGACTCTACGCTCCCTGGAATTCTGTGAGCCACTTGCAATAAATTTCTTTTTTGTTAAATCACTTAAAGTGGGTTCTGTTTTTGTTTGTTTGTTTGTTTGTTTAATCTAAGAATCCTAAAGATTCAAAGTTATTTTTCACGTTTGGCTGAGATGAATATCTTTGTATATCCCTTTCTTTTTGCTTTTAAATTCCTTATATGATTTCTGAGTCAAATAATGTAAACATTTTTAAGTTTCTGATATAATTAACAGATTCTTGAAAGGCTTAGTATCGGAGTGGCACTATATGAAGAGTCATCTGAATGTTTTCTCACTAGCATTGAATAGTAACTCTGAAATGTTTTAATTAAATGGGCAAAAAAAGCCTTTTAGTTAATTTGTCCTTTTTTATTACTGAGGATAGTTTCCTGTGTTTATCAGTTTTATTTTATTTTTTGTGATTTGCCTGTCAATTTGCCTCATTTCTATTAGAATGATGTAATTTTCTTATTGCTGTATAAATGTACTTTATAATTTATGATATATGACCTTTTCATATATGTTGTCTTTTTTTTTTTTCAAGACTGGGTCTCACTCTGTCACGCAGGCTGGAGTGCAATGGCACAATCATGGCTCACTGTAGCTTCAACCTCCTGGGTTCAAGCAATTCTCCCACCTCAGCCTCCTGAGTTAGCTGAGACTATAGGAGTAACAGGGACTACAGGCACATGCCACCATGCCTGGCTAATTTTTGTATTTTTTGTAGAGTAAGGTATCATCATGTTGCTCAGACTGGTCTTGAACTCCTGAGCTCAAGCAATCCACCCATCTTGGCTTCCCAAATGGCTGGGATTACAGGCATGAGCTGCTGCATCTGGCCCTGTTGCCAAATATTTAATTATTTATTTTGGAATTTTAACTCCATTTATATTGGTTTCTGATGTGTAAAAGTTTGAAACATTTATGTGATCAAATCTATTGAATTTTCAGTTTTTTTTCATATTCTTATGCTTGCAAAGTTTTTCCTACCCAGAGACCAATTAGACATGCATCTATATTCTCTATTAGATTGATTCTTTACTTTATTCTTCCTTTATAAGAAAGATGTATAAGAACATGTATACAAAAGTTGCTGGATGCGGGGAAGACAACCAGTGGGGGCTGGGGGTCACTGAGTTTTAGAAAGATCATTCATTAGGACCTGGAAATGCTTCATAGCCTTAAGTTAATCATAAAAAGAAACCTGTCAGCTTTGATATCCCTTCATTGAATTTCACTTCCAGGTATGTTTTCCAAAAACACCATTTTATCATGCCCTTGACTTTCTCAAACACTTTCGGTCTTTCCCAAAACTCATGCAGATAAGAAGGACCCCCTAAAACTCAAGCATAGAATAAAAAATCCTTCCTTGATGACCCTATTTCATCTTCTCAACCTTCCATCCATTCCAACCTTCCTCAGCCCACAGCAACATTATTCAACTGTTGGTTGGGTCATATGAAATTGCTGGTATTAGGCCATTTTTTCACCTAAAAATAGTCATTTCATTTGGTTCAATCTAAATATCTGAGGAAAATGCATTCATCTCCCAATGTGATTTTCTGCATAGTCTCGACACTGTGGAAAGCTGTCTTTTTCTTCTTCATACAGATAACCTGAAGCTGTATTCCCACTCCTGTAAACAAACTTTGCTGATTAGTGCTACCCTTGGCTCTTTCTTCACAAACCACCTCTTTAGCATTGGATGTTAACTATTTTGTGTCACCACTTGCATTGATGGATGTTATGGTTCCTGAAATCCTATAAAGAAACACCTTACTTTGTAATTACGTATGTGAAAAACCACTACTCTCCGCTGTCCCCTCTGAAGTCCCTGTTATTGTTGCCAGATGAGCATTTTCCACTTTCCAGTGATGTGCTCCTACAAGCATGGGACAGATGAAAGGCATTTGGGTGAATGTCCTTAAGCTGTCATCTCTCTGGACCTATCCTGAGGCCAATTTCTACAACGGAGAACTCAGGCATGCTGTGGGGCAGGTATTGAGCATGACAGTTCTCTGAGAGCTCTCAAAAGTAAACAGATTTTAGACAACAAGATAAAATACCTGTGGAATGAAATACAGAAAACTATATTGTGAGGCAGACTCTTTCGCCAAACCAGTGGCCTTAGGCTAGGGCACAAGTGAAGGCCAGGAAGCAGAAAGAGAAGCCAGGGAGAGCTGGGAATTACATGTGAGAGAGGGGATTCAGAACAAGGTGGGCTTCGAACACTAGGCACGATGTGCAGAGTTGCTTGTGGACAGAGCCCAGCATGGACTTTTCGGGTTAGGACTGGGGATGTGGATAGGGGAGTGGAGCACACACCAGGTATACCAGGTGTGCCAGATGAGCTAGGGATGCTAAGGGATTAATAGAGAAGTAAAATGGAAGATGACAACAAAAACAACGACAGCAATAAAATGGGCATCATACTTTAATGGAAATTGTGGATTTAGAAAGACAAAAGGAAAACCAACAATGAAAAGAAGAAATTTTCTAAAGAGACAATACCAGTGGCCAATTTCTAGTAAGAGTTCATGTAACAGTGACACCTTTCTGTTTTTTTCGTAACATTCCCCCACATAACCCATTGTTTAAAAACTAACTCAGTAGCATGTTAATAATTCCATTATCTGCAGAATCATTATATTAACAAGAAGCCCCTTGAAACAATTAGAGAATGTGCTGCTATTGACTATCAGTCATTCACACCTTTATGGTTTATGGAAATGCTTTTCTTCTTGTACATATATGATTTTAAGCCTCTAAGGTAATCTGTGCTGTTTTGGGGGATCCCTGGAAAGAAATGGCATTTAGAAAGGAGGGGGAAACTCTGGTCAAATTTTAGAGCTTCATGAGAACTTCATCTTTCTGGGGAAAAGAATTACTGGAATTTTGAAAGAGAGGGTGTAGAATGGGACCAAAGTGTTGAGTTCAACTTAGTTTCTCATATTTCTTTTATTTAAATTTTGTATTTTTTTCTGTTACTTGAAACTTAAAACATTTTATTTTTTAATTTAGTTTTTAATTTTATTTTTCCATAAGTTATTGGCGTACAGGTGGTATTTGGTTACATAAGTAAATTCTTTAGTGTGATTTGTGAGATTTTGGTGCACCCATCACCCAAGCATTGCACCATATTTGTAGTCGCTTATCCTTCACCGTCCTCCCACTCTCCCCGCCAAGCCCCCAAAGCCCATTGTATCATTCTTATGCCTTATGTCCTCATAGCTTAGCTCCCACACATCAGTGAGAACATACGATGTTTGGTTTTCCATTCCTGAGTTTACTTCACTTAGAATAATAGTCTCCAATCTCATCCAGGTCACTGCAAATGCTGTTAATTCATTCTTTTTTGTGGCTGAGTAGTATTCCATCACATGGAATACACAGTTTCTTTATCCACTTGTTGATTGATGGGCATTTGGGTTGGTTCCATGATTTTGCAATTGCAAATTGTGCTGCTATAAACATGCGTGTGCAAGTATCTTTTTCGAATAATGACTTCTTCTCCTCTGGGTAGATACCCAGTAGTGGGACTACTGGATTAAATGGTAGTTCTACTTTTAGTTCTTTAAGGAATCTCCATACTGTTCTCCACTGCAGCTGTACTAGTTTACATTCCCACCAACAGTGTACATGTGTTCCCTGACCACTGCATCCATGCCAATATCTACTGTTTTTTGATTTTTTTATTATGACCATTCTTGCAGGAGTAATGTGGTGTCATTGTATGGTTTTGATTTGCACTTCCCTGATTGTTAGTGATGTTGAGCATTTTTTCATGTTTGTTGGCCATTTGTATATCTTCTTTTAAAAATTGTTTATTCATGTACTTAGCCCACTTTTTGATGGGATTGTTTGTTTTTTTCTTACTGATTTGTTTGAGTTCTTTGTAGATTCTGGATACTAGTCCTTCGTCAGATGTACAGATTGCGAAGATTTTCTCCCACTCTGTGGGTTGTCTGTTTACTCTGATGACTGTTCCTTTTGCCGTGCAAAAGCTCTTTAGTTTAATTAGATCAAGGATTTCATGACCAAGAACCCAAAAGCAAATGCAATAAAAACAAAGATAAATAGCTGGGACCTAGTTTCTCATATTTCTTTAGGCTAAGTCTGACCAAAATAGGGAATATATGGATAGAGACCAGGGAAGGATTTTTAAATTTTTCTCTTTATCAGGCTTTCTCTAGAAAGAACTTAATTGCATTTGAGATGGGGAAGGAATTACAAAGTATTTTGGGAGTGAAATAGGACATTATGGCCTAGCCAGGCAAATTAACCATGTCAGTATCAGAGGATCTCAATAAGGAAGCAGCGACCTCCATGAGGCATCCTTTGAAGGGGGTGTTCAATCTGGCTATTACCATTGTTCCCTCCCACATTTATTTTTGAGTCAAGGTCTCACTCTTTTACCCACGCTGGAGTGTTCACTGCTCACTACAGCCTTGACCTCCCAGGCTCAAGCGGTCCTTCTGCCTCAGCCTCCCACCTTCTCACATTTTTACTTTCCTCTAATTTTCTTGCATCCCTCCACTTATCTTTCTCCCTTCCCATAACCCTACTTCCATCTGATCATTGCTTGCCAGGACACTGATCCTCAAAAACACTTCTGACATCTAAGAAATTTACTTCCAGCACCCTCCTCAGCTCATGGCTCTGTTTCAAGGAAGAAGTCTTAACTCCAGCAAAGCTTAGGAACTCTTAACCATTGTTTTCGTGAAAAACACATTTTTTTTTGAGGAGTCTTGCTCTGTTGCCCAGGCTGGAGTGCAGTGGCATGATCTCTGTTCACTGCAGCCTCCACCTCCTGGGTTCAAGCAATTCTCTGCCTCAGCCTCCCGAGTAGCTGGGATTACAGGCACCCACCATCACACCCAGCTAATTTTCATATTGTTAGTAGAGACGGGGTTTCACCATCTTGGCCAGGCTGGTCTTGAACTCCTGACCCCGTGTTCCACCCGCCTCGGCCTCCCAAAGTGCTGGGATTACAGGCGTGAGCCACCACGCCCGGCTGAAAAACACATTTTCAAGGCAAAATTTTTGACTTACGTCTAGGCTGCTGGAGTATGATGCCTTCTTTGTTTGGATACAGCCTTCCTGTCTTGTTTCCAGGAAAGTATATAGCTCATCTCCAATAATCTGATTGGATTGTAAACTATTGATAATATGTTCTCTGTGTGAGGACACAAATCCTTCCCTCCCTGACTCCCTCCTGTATAGACTGTGCCTTGCACATAAATATGGAATCAGTAAATACCTGTGTGTATCTCTGAAGTGACTAGGATGGACCTAAAATCATGTGCAAATTGTACCCTAGCTTTATCGTGAGCATTCCTTCTCTGAGTTTGCCTTGGTAAGGGTAAGAACTAAAAAAAAAAAAAAAAAAAAAGAAGCCCTCCATGAGGATAAAAAGCATCATAACAACAAAGTGTTAGTATAACTCGTAACTACTTTCTCCTGCCATTCTCCATGCTTTGATTTTGATTAAACCAAAAATCCCAAGTTTCAAAAAAATCCACTTGATTTGCAAAGGCCTATTATGTAAAAAAGGAAATCGAGGGCCAGGCACGGTGGCTCACACCTGTAATCCCAGCACTTTGAGAGGCTGAGATGGGCAGATCACCTGAGGTCAGGAATTTGAGACCAGCCTGACCAACATGAAGAAACCCCATCTCTACTAAAAATACAAAATTAGCCGGGCGTGGTGGCGCATGCCTGTAATCCCAGCTACTCGGGAGGCCGAGGGAGGAGAATCACTTGAACCCAGGAGGCGGACGTTGCAGTGAGCCAAGATCACGCCTTTGCACTCCAGCCTGGGCAACAAGAGTGAAACTCCGCAAAAATCTTCATCCTCTCATTTTGAAAAATACAGGGCTTGTGTAGCTCTTACTTTTGGATGCTGCCAAAAGTAAAACAGTGTTGGGGGTTTGTCCCCTTCCTATCTGATTGGATCTTTGCTGGAGGGAGAATTACAAGGAAGGAGAAGGTTGATCTCACTCTGGCTCCCCGAAGACTGGGTTACCAGTACTCTCTTGGGTGTGCAGTGGAGTCCTGACCCCAATATCTTCATTCCTTGCCTTGGCAGCAGCTCCTCTTGGCTAAGAGTCCATCAGCAAGCCTGACTAGATTAGAATGCAAAATATTTAACTTGCATATATTAAAGAGAAGAGTTCTTTCACATTCTGAAATCCAAAGATGAGCCATTGATATTCATTTCTAAATAAATCCCATTTTCATTATTGGGGAGAGCAGGTTATTTTGGTAACTCAAGCAGGATGACCTAATTAAAACTTGATATAAAAATTCAGCATGCCATACAGTACTTTACCTGCTCAAAGTAAACACAGACAAGCACGATTTATTTTACTGGAGCATCCCTCATGCAAAATTACTAGTGAGTATATCACAACCAATTACAGGCCACTGTATATGCAAATTATTACTCTTTCAATTATTTATAGAGAACTGTGAGTGTACACAGCCCTTTATAGAACATCAAACACAGAAGACAAGGGCTCTGAATGAGGAAATCGGAATAGCAGGGACTTTTCATGGAATGACATGGTTGGGTGACAGAAAAACCAAATGAAATTCATTCACAAACAGTTGAAGAAGAAAATGAAAAAATAAATATATTACAAATTTGCTTTTCAGGAAAGTCAGTGGAAGCTAGTCACCAGAACAAGCATCAGCCCCATACAAATTTGGGACCATAGCAAATGTTTTTATTATGTCCTCTGGCTACCATCCCCTACACTTATCCTCCTACATTATTTTACTGTAAGTGATGTTCTGGACTTCGTTTTTAATTTAATTTTTTTTTACTCAAACTTATATTCAATAAACACCCCATAAGCAAAGTTAAGAGAAATGAAACAAACTGAAATACAATATTTGCAACACAGCTGGCAGTCAAGGTTAAATGTCTAGAATTTTTGAAACCCTGAAAATCAATGAGAAAATGACAAACTGCCACCTCCAACTCATAGACAAGTTATCTGAAAAAGCAGTTACCGTAAGAAGAAACACAAATGGTCAGTTCAGTCACACATATGAAAAGATGTTGTTCATCATCATCAGTAACTGGTGGGAATGTCAATTGAAGTAAGATATCCTTTTTAAATTTCAAAATGTGGTTGTATGTTGGCAATGGCAAAGGAAATTAGAAACTCTCAAGCAGCTGAGTGTATATTGGTATGGGTATTTTAGAGAAAATTGGCAGGTTTTATTTAAATTGTTTTTTGTTTACATGCATCTCCAGTGTCCCAGCCATTGCATTTCTTGTTTACCACCCAAGAATTACACTTATACTTTACTCAGGAGATAGGTTTAACGATGCTTTTAAAAAGATATTTAGAGACCGGGCACACCTGTAATCCCAGCACTTTGGGAAGCTGAGGTGGTCAGATCACCTGAGGTCAGGAGTTCGAGACCAGCCTGGCCAACATGGTGAAACCTCATCTCTACTAAAAATACAAAAAATTAGCCGGGCATGGTGGTGCACACCTGTAGTCCCAGCTATGAAGGCGGCTGAGGCAGGAGAAATGCTTGAACTCAGGAGGTGGAAGTTGCAGTGAGCCGAGATTGTGCCACTGCACTCCAGCCTGGGTGACAAGAGTGAGACTCCATCTCAAAAAAATAAAATAAAATAAATAAATAATACAAAATAATAAAAAGATATTTCGAGCAGTGAAAGTACTCTCTATGCTACTTTAATGATAGATACCCGATGTTAGCATTTGGCAAAACTCATCAAACTTTAGAACACAGAGTGACTGCCAAAGTAAATGAGGGCTTTTGCAACAATATATCAATATTTGTTCAACAATGGTAAGAAATGTACCATGCTAATGCAAGATACTAGTAATTGGAAGAAAGAGAAAATGTTGTATATGGGAACTCTCTGTACTTTCTGCTCAGTTTTTCTGTAAAACTAAAAAACTGCTCTAAAAGATTATTTATTTTATTTTTTGAGACAGGGTCCTGCAATATCACCTAGGTGGGAGAAGAGGGGCTCAATCACAGCTCACTGCAGCCTCAATTTCCCAGGCTCAAGTGATCCTCCAGCCTCAGTCTCCCAAGCAGCAGAGACTACAGGCATGCACCACCACGCTTGGTTAATTTTTAAATTTTTTGGAGAGATGTGGCCTCCCTGTGTTGCCCAGGCTGATCTCAAACTCATGACCTCCAGTGCTGAGATTACAGGCATGAACCACCTTGCCTGGCCAATTATTAATTTTTCAAAAATATAAATTAGAAGCCTTTAATGCTATTTGAGATACGGTATTGCTGTTAACAACGACGATACTGACAATGGGATTACATAGAAAAAAGAAGTGTGTGTATGTATGTGTATGTGTGGGCCTACAGACAATGGTGGTAGTAAACATTTATTTGTTTGTCTTTTCCTCTCTTTTCTAATGTAGAAATGCCTTTTCTTCAATTAAAAATTAAGCTTCTTAAGAGCTGAAAAGCTTTTGTTAATGTAGTATTCCTTTATAGTCAGTGATATAGTTTGAATATGTGTCCCCTTCAGATCTCATGTTGAAATTTGATGCCCAGTGTTAAAAATGGGGCCTGATGGGAGGTGTTTGGCTCATAGGGTGAATTCCTCATGAATGGCTTCGTGCCCTCCCCACAGTAGTGAGTGAGTTCTCACTCCAATCATTCATGATATTTTGTTTAAAGGATTGTGGCATCCTTCCCCCCACCTCTCTGTCTGGGTTGCTTTCTCATCATGTGATGCCTGCTTCCCCTTCCCCTTCCACTGTGACTGGATATTCCCCGAAGCCCTCCCCAGATGCAGATGCTGATGTCATACTTCTTGTGCAGCCTGCAGAACTGTGAGCCAAATAAAACTCTTTTCCTTATAAATTACCCAGCGTCAGGTGTCCTTCATGGCAATGCAAATGGACTAAGAAAGTCATCCTAGGCCAGGCGGGGTGGCTCACACCTGTAATCCCAGGATTTTGGGAGGCCAAGACAGGCGGATTGCCTGAGGTCAGGAGTTTGAAACCAGCCTGGGCGACATGGTGAAACCCCATCTCTACTAAAAATACAAAAAAAATTAGCAGAGTATGGTGGCATGCACCTGTAATCCCAGCTACTCAGGAGGCTGAGGCAGGGGAATTGCTTGAACCAGGGAGGTGGGGGTTGCAGTGAGTTGAGCATTCCAGTGACAGAGCGAGACTCCATCTCAAAAAACAAAAAACAAAAAACAAAAAAAAAAAAAGAAAGTCACCCTAAACAGAGAAATATTAATGCCATTAATGTTGCTATTATCCAGACAAATATTATAACTTAAAATCAATCAGTTTCATTTTTATATAGAATAAACCAAACATCTGTCAGAAAAAATAAAAATGACAGTAGGAAAGATTAACATAAAGATATTTTTATTTGTTTTTCTCTAAAAAGAACTTACATGTTAAAAAAGAAAAATTAAAGACAGAGAAGAGACTTTTATAATTTATGAATTTTCTGTAAAAAATTTCTATTTCCTATATTCCTAAAACCACTTCCTTCTTCTGGCCTCCACATTTTGCCACCCCACACACCACCACATGCACACATTTATAACCAACTCTTTTACATTCATTTAACAGTTGAGCTACAACAAGAGATGTATTTCACTGTTGTTGTGTCTCTTGTTTGTTTGTTGTTTTTTGTTCCTGGCATCATACCTCTCTTGCTTTCACCTCTTTCCTGCCTTTTCACTTATAAATCTTAATTGGACGTAGTAACATTGCCAGCTCTCTTCTGCCTCTCAGCTTCCAAGTCTTTATGTCTATCCTTCTACAGGGCTATAAGCCAAAGCTTCCAGACAAATTGGATGGTATATTAGCAAGTTACCGAGTAATCCTTCCATGGAATCAAAGGACAGTAAGTAGACCCCCAAGATTAAAGTTCAAAAACTGAAAAACCTTCTTGGGTTTTAGGTTGGGTCTTTGAGATATTGACGTTTACACAAAGAGGTCATCATCATCTGATATTTGAGAAGGACTCTGGAGTCGGACCAAAGGCCTATTGAAAGATCCAAGCCACTGCAAATTGACTTGGCAGAGGAAGATCCTCTTGAATAGGAAAGAAAACCAGCACAGTGTCACTTGCAGCAGCAAACACCATATGCTTGACTCAGCATCCATTACTGGGGAGGTGACAGAGCCAGAGAAACACAAATCTGACAAGTAGGGCAATCCTTTGTCAATCGGAGCACAACATTTCTCTCTCTCAAATCAGTTTAAAGGACATGTTCTTTGCCAAGAAGCTCCACAGAAACCTGAAAATGTATGCTTTTATTATGATGGGTTTTCATTTCAATTTTGAAATTCTGGGACAACTGCTTAAAAAGGAAAAGAAAAGATGTGATAGAAGGGAAAGCACATTCAGCTAAGACAGGTTTCTTGTCAAGATCTAAAATATGTCAAGACACACTTCTGTCTTTCTTGAGGATAGAAAGTAATTGGGAGGGGAAGGAATACACAGAACCCTTGAATGAGACTTGCTGTTCCTGGCTGCTTAGACTTTAGAGAATAATGAAAAATAAATTTACTGTTGGCTAAAATGTTTGTGAAAATGGGCATTGTATTTCAGGGGATTTCAAAGCTGTAATGAATAAATAAGATTAGTTTCATCATGAAAGCAGTAGTTTTTAAGGGAATTTTGAATAAATCACATGAGCAAGAAAATAGAAGTATGATTTGAGAATTTAAATTATACATTTTTTTGAATGAGTGCAGTAGCAGAGTAACAGTGAAACAGCTTGAGAAAACTTTTTCTCCTCCTTTTCATAGCCCCTGAACCAAATGATAAAATAATAAATTAAAGTATATAGAATTAAACTTAATAATAAGTGGAAGTGGTTTTATAAAGATAAGGGAATTTCAGAAAATGCAAGACATATTTATCAAGAGAATATATGTTGTATATAACATTGTATTTGATACTTTTTTGATTGATTACATTTGTTAAGTTATAAAATACCTTTTCATTGAAATAAATCAAAGTTGTATATAGGAAAATGTCCATATTCCCCTCCTCACCTTTAACCCTACCCCTCTGGTAATCAGTACTAACAACATGGAGTGTATCCCTTCACATTTCATCTTGATAACCAATAAAAATGTTTTAATTATTCTTAGACCAAACTTGGAATTCATTGCAAACATGAATCATGTATGATTGAACTATGTACCTTAGTAAATAAATAATAATCAAAATAAACAGATGAATTAATGAATGTTTACCACTGTTTGATGATTAAATGTCTTGAGGCAGGATATTGCATCTTATTCATCTCTATATGCTAATTAACTATAACATCACCATGCAGTAGTGTGGAGTCTATTCATTTTTCTTGAACTGTTGAATAAATACATGAAGAGTGATCTTCAATCCTAAATTGGCTAATTACAGGGGGAAGTAAGAAAAGAAACAATAAAATGAGTAAAGAGCATAAGGAAAAGAGATAAAGTGTGAGAGAAATAGTGAGGAAAAAAGAGAGATGGAGGAGGAAGAAAAGAGAAGTAGAGGAAGATAAAGAACAAAAGAGACCTGAAGAGAAAGCCCCAGGGTTAGAAAATGCACATGGTAGCAGGAAAGAAAGGAGAGCCCAGAAACAGAGTGCATTTTCCAAGTCTCAGTAGTCTACCTGTCAAAAGCCATTCTTAACTCATCTTACTTCCTTTTCCTCCAAATCGAATCACTGAGAATATCTCAGATGTTTGGCCCATACTTTCCCTTTCTTAACCAGCCTTTTCACTGCATTTTCCTACTTAACCACAATTTATTATGTACATAGCCGTTGAATTAATTTTCACTGCAATGCTGTTTAAATCTTAACATTTACTGCTAAAACTAGTTTTATGTATTTATCATGCTTAATAAATTCAAACTCATTATCCCCAAGTTTAAGACACTCTATAAGGTGCCCTGTTTATCTTCTGAGTCTTTTCACCGGTCTAGCCAATATAGCTAGGTTGTCATGTGTCTAACATAGTGTATAAGTTCCCGTTTCAACTGCATCTTACCCAACACAGACTGTTCTTGCCCCAATCCATTCAATGCAGTGCCAATCATTATTCTGCAGCTGTTAGTGAGTGCTTCTTTTGAATGCCAAGAATGTTAATAACATTAATTCTAAAGTACAATGACATGTAGCTAGCTATTACGGACGCATTCTCTTAAAACTTCATGAGTGTGTGATTGCTCCCTTCATTACTTGAAAGATTATATGATGCACCTACACTGTGCCATGGAATAATGTTTAAAAAAAAATAGTTCCTACCTTCACAGAGCCTGAAGTCTAGTGAAAATGATGAGTAAATACAATAATGCATTATGATTACTAACAACAAGAGAAAAAAGGTGCCCCCAGAGAGAAACCAATACATATGGTATAATGGTAATAAACTAAAACAAACTTTACAAATTTTACGATATTTTGGGAGGAATTTCTATTTGACTGTAAACCTAGTTGAGTTGTACTGGGAAATATAACCAGTGACTAATTCATGTTATGTCTTATGATAGAGGTCTTGAAAGAGGTCAAAGATATTTTTTATTATGCCACACCATCTGCTTCTTATCTCAGGAACCCAGAGTTTGTTTCTTTTCTGCACAAGGAGTACTTTTTGAGGCTACTAGAGTATGTTTTCTCTTTTATCTTTTGAAATTACTTTCCGAGTTCCAGAAAACAGCAGTCAAGGAAACAGCATTGCTGATTAAACATTAGATCATTGGAGTTGCAGCACTCATGGTGCATGTCACTCTTTGCAAAAAACACCATGTACATGACTCAGCATCCCAGAGCAACAAGGTGAGGCAGTCAGAAAATATCCTGACCCCAGGGATCTTCTTTCCAACTATTTTAATATCCACTGGCTATTCTTTGAGGAATCTTTGATTACTATGGTTATTGTAAAATTATCAATCTTGTTAATATTGGCCTTTCTGATGGATATGGGCTCTTCATTTATTGTAATTTTCATTGGCATTTTCAGATTTCAGATTATATACAGTAAATTTTGATATAATTGTTGGTCATTTCAGTAGCCTCTTCTTTGAAATGCCTGTTTGAGATTCATGTCCATTTCTTTAAAAATGTTATTTATGTTTTATTTCAACAGCTTTAGGTGGTTTTGGTCACATGGATGGCTTGTATAGTGAAGAAGTCAGGGCTTTTAGTGTACCATCACCCAAATAGAGTACATTGAACCAAATAGGTAATTTTTCATCTGTTATGTCCATTTTTTTTTCTTTTTTTTTTTTGAGACAGAGTCTCACTCTGTTGCCAGGCTAGAGTGCAGTACACTATTTCGGCTCACTGCAACCTCCGCCTCCCGGGTTCAAGCGATTCTCCTACCTCAGCCTCCCGAGTAGCTGGGACTACAGGCGCAGGCCACCACGCCCAGCTAATTTTTCTATTTTTAGTAGAGACAGGGTTTCACCATGTTGACCAGGATGGTCTCAATCTCTTGACCTCATGATCTGCCCACCTCGGCCTCCCAAAGTGCTGGGATTACAAGCATGAGCCAATATCAGATCATATGTCTTTAAAAATATGATTCTTTAGTGAGTGATGTTTGTTTTGAACAGTTTCTTCCTTTCTGCACTTTTTATTTCTAGTGTTTATATTGATGAACAGAAATATACTGACATATTAACTTTTTTCATATCAATTTTTTCAAATTTTTGGTTAAGGCTTTTTCTGTCCTGTTTAGGAATTCCTTCCCATTATTCCTAATATTACATTTTTAAAGCTGTATTGTTTAATCTTTCGTGTTAACATCTACAATAAATCTACAATCCTCAAGAAGGCTAAAAAAAAAAAAAACCCAATGCGGTAAAGATTCACCTAAAGAAAATAGAAAAACCGTAAACAACAAACTCAAATAAAGTATAATAAAGGCTATAATAAAATAAAAAGATAAATTAATTATATAGAAAGCTGAAATACAGTAGAGAAGATGAAGATGAATAAAAACAAAAATTGATTATTTGAAGACAATAAAATCGAAAAGACAAGATAGGAAATATCAAGAATAAAAATAAGAACATCACCATAGATTCTGAGCCGTTAAAATGATTATAAAATGATATTATAAGCATGTCTAGTTAATAAATTTGAATTGACACAAGACAAAATAGACCATTGGCAAAGTCCTATAACTACTAAATTAAACAGATAATTTAAAACCTTTCCTGGTCTTCTTGTGCTCATTGAAACACCTTCACCACCTAACGTGGAACTCCAATTATTCTAAATGCCCAATAACTATTTTATAAGTGGCTAACTGGCTTTTTAGAACAATTGCATCTATAGTTATTGGGAGTGTAAGCAATATTGTGGAGGGAAATAGGACAGTAAAGAATGAAACTTTCAAAAATGCTTGTATTATTTGATAAACCAATTCCTTTTATAGGAATTTATCCAAAAGAGGTTGCCAAAAATGTACAAAATATGTGTCCCTTTAAAAATATCATTATAAAATGTAAGCGAGCTCAGTGTCCAAAAACAGAATACAATGTATTTTATATAATATTGATCAGAAAATATTAAATTTATGTCTCATTCAAACAAATCTTTAGAAAGTCAAAGTTCAGCTTGCCACTAGCTCCATCTGTCTGGATGCACTGTATAATTGGCCAAGATGTCTCTCAGACTTAAGGGTGGATTTTCCAATGACCTAGTATATTATCAACTGCCCAGCCACATCTTAACTATAGAGATATTACAAATAATAACTACCTTTTTGTTACACAAGGAAAGAGAATGAAATTTTATTTTATATTTTAATTTTCCTCATTAAAATCTATGCATTTCTTTTTTAAAAAGTAGGTTTGAATCTGCTCTGAATAAAAGCAGTATACATATTACATAGAATTAGACTTAAAAATTTATAAATAGAATTGAATATGTTGGAAGTGATGCCATTAGATCTGGTGACTTTAACAGTGTGAGATCAGCCCCTGGATCTCTCCCCGCTGGACATCTGATTTTTATTACATCCCTTAGCTCTCTACCTCCTTGCCTTCACTGCCTCATGTTTGGAGTATGTTGTGTGACCTCAATACATTCCTGTGATAAGATTATGTCATATAAGTATGCATATGATACTTATATGATAGCAGATCATATGCATATAATGGACTAATGTGCATATAATTTAATTATATGCATATAGGTATGGGATAGATGCATTAAATACTTTTAGGCATTAAAATCCATCCTGTAGAATGCGTTGACATTAGAAAATGCAAAGTATTGTTGAATGAACAAAGACATTTACAAAACAGCAAATACGGCATGCTCTCAACCTTGTAATTTTGCCTAGAATTAGAGTAACTATATTTATAGGCAGAATATATGGCAGTACATATTGTGTGTTGTTAGCACAAAATATCTACTCCTTTGGCCTGCCTAAAATTTGTATTATTTAGACAATATATTTTTTCAGAACACATTAGCACTGAAAAGGGTTTTTTCCTCCATTTTCTACAGCAAACAGAGATTTTGAAATGAACATGACACATTTTCCAGAAATGGGGAGATGATGAGGACAGATGTTTTCCTAATTCCTGCCCCTTTGAACATGATCTGCCTCACAATCTGAGTTATTATAAGTACAAAGCAGGTACTGAGTAATGAAAACATATGTAACAAAAACAAGAAAGCGGAGGCCAGTTCCTAATCTGGAACAGGACAGATCCAGGATGAGACAATGAAGCTAAAATTGACTCATTACAGTTTTGCCTAGGATGGTCTTAACGTCAGAGCCAGCCACCCTGCCTCCATCTATGCACCTGTCTTTCACAGGTAATTCATGTTTAAATGTATCAATTCACCCAGGTTCTGGAAGGGACATATCTCCAGCTTGTTTAGGTATCCTCTAATGCCTCATTATATCTATTATCACTACATCAAGGTACAATCATATATAAGGAATAACTACAGGATTTTCAACTTAGTAGTGCTGAGTAAGAAATAAGAGATTGTTGTAGAGCAAAGTCATGAAAAAGACTGAGCTACAGAAATTTAAAAATAAAGTATAACTAGGTATAAAGATTGTACTGATGTTAGGGGCCCTAAATCCTGAGAGATGCACATGATAAAAGATTAAAGGGCTACAAATCACTTACTTCTATCATAACACATATATTTTAGTCTAATTGTCTATTTTTTGTGTGTCTCTTCATTAGCCTATGAATTTCTTGAATGCAGGGTCTGTATCGTCTTCATCTGTGTACCCCCCACCAACACACATACACTTAGTGAAGTGTTTGGCATAGAGAAGAAATTTAATAAATGAAAGTTGAGAATACAATTTTATGAATGAGAGCTAATGAGAGAGAAAGAAATAATAATATGCCATCCAAAAGAAGTAAAAGCAATCAAGTTATCTTTTATACAAATACTAGAGACTTACAAGTTTCAGGGCTAAGGAGTTCAACCCCATGGGTAGAAATGGTATTCCCATCTCTGGGGAAAAATGAACTTAAAAGCATACTTCATCCATGATTTAATCAAGGTATTATTGAGATCTATAAGAAGCAGCAATTTTCATCATTGGAAATGAATAAGAAATAAGATATTTCTGCTGCAAGAGCAATTTAGATTAATGTTACTGAGAAAGAAAAGAATGAACAATTGTAATACTCAAATGCTGCCCAGTTTTTAAGAACACCAAAGTAGATTCACGTTTTCATGTGCCTGAGGTGATTAGGTGAAATCCTGCATGAATACAGAGACAAATATATGAGGTAGACTGTTACATTCATTAAAATTTTAAACCCTGATGTTCTACAATTGCAACATAAATTCCTCATTTTAAAGGTAGTTGTATAATACACGCTACAGAATAGAAAATTAACAGTTGGAAAAAGATGAAGTCCAGAGATTCCAGATTAAAGTTTGGTTTTTATATGGAGTCGTATTTGCTTACCTTAGGATTGTAAGGACATGATATTAAAATAGTTCCATTCATAGTTCTAATAATAGCTCTATTTTGGGTATTTGAAACAAAAATTTGGAGGAAAACGTATTTTCAAAAAGTTAAATATACACACTCATGAGCTCATTAATATCTCTTATAAATCATGTAGGAATTTTACTAAACAAAATACATTTTATAGAAGTAATTTAATAAATATTATATTTGTTTTCATTTACTCATTAAACTTATTGAGTAATATGTCTTTCTCTGTGCCTAACTCTGTCCTATCAGTTTTGGGGATACCTTGATGACAATATCATATCTGGCATGCATAATGCCATTTCCTCCTTCCACATACAATTCTCAGATTTTTAAACTCTTTCTTATCAAGCCCAGACATGCCCTCAGCATCCTTCTCATCACAGGACTTTAGGCAGCCACTTCCATTTGGTGAAAAGTAGCACGCAAAATGCATCTAATTTGCCATTTCTCATATGTGACATCAAATAACTCAGTCTAGTTGAAGACAGTACACAGCTCACAAATGTTTGTGTGTTTTGATAAGGCAGGATTTTGATCATTAGTGTGGACTGTATAAGTTTCAGTGGAGGAAGAGATCACTCCAGGCTGGAGCAGGAACAGAGGTGAGTTCAGGTAATTGGTCTGCCACTTGGCAGTGTTGAAATGTGGCTTCGAGTTTAAAGGGGGAGAATGATCAAACAGAACAAAACAGTAGGAACAAAAATGTAGGTAGAGGATGAATGTGCAATGTGTTCATCATTATGCAAGGTAATATTTCTTTTTTAAAATATGCACTAATGTAATTTCTTAAATCCCCAAGGAAACGTCCAATTCTAGCTTATTTTACTGGGTTTGTTAAATAAATATACCTTCTCCTATCCATGTGTTCAATGAATTTTAAACTTCTGACATGTTCCCCTTCAGCTTGTGTCTTTCTAGCTAGAGTTTAAATTTTCCAGTCTATCGCCTCTTATCCCCTTGAGCGTTTTATTTGTCATTCTCTGTACAAGTTGCAAGCACATGGACACTTTCTTGAAAAGAATAAAGGGCTGTGGTGACAATAACTTCTCGTGTGCAGACTCATGTGAGTTTATGAAGTGCTGGTGCAAACACCCACTGTCCCAGGAAATCATCTTGCATGGGCTACTCCTTGAGTTTCCCTTTCACACATCATCTATCATTAATCTCTTTCTTTTATTCAAAAAAAGTTATCAGATGCCAACCACTCTTTCAAGGTTTTGTCTAAAATATTGGGGTTAAAGGATTCATAAGAAATGGTCTTTGAGGGCAAAAGAAAATCCAATGAAGTCAACAGATGCATAAAAAGATATTTGTTTTAAAAAATGAGCAAAATGCAATGATGCCTATGTTCACAGAGTGTCTTGAGAGCAATAAGAAGTGATCTGCAGCTTAGCTTGAGGGAGGGATAAATCAAGGAAGACTTCCTGGAGGCCAAAGTACCCAGTTTGTATCCTGAGGACTAAAATGATGTTGGTCGAAGAGAGAGACTTCTGAGGAACACAGGGCTTATCCCATAAGCAAATGACATAAGCCGTTTGCTATTACTATGTTTCTGACCACAATGCACAACTGACTAAGTTTTGGTTTCTAATCAACAGCCACCCGTGTTTCAAAACGGCAATACCATATCCTCAGTTCATAGCTGTGTGTTTCTGATTCAGCATGGAGAATATTATACTGGCCTAGTCTATGATGGCTCACAGGTGATACAGAAGGAACCCACTACCCAGTGATAAGAAAATAAAGAGATTTACTCTAGATGAGTGCTTCTGAAAGTGTTGTCCCTAGATGTGCAGCATCAGCTTCACTTGAGACCATGTTAGAAATGCACATTCTCAAGCCTCGCCTGGAACCTGCTGAATCAGAAACTCTGTGGGTAGGGCCTAGCGATATGTGTTTTAACCAGCACTTCAGGTATTTCTGGTATGCTGAAAGTTTGAGAAAACTTCCCTAGATAGGAGCTGAATCACACCAAAACGGCATTGGTTTTTCCAAAAGAAAGCTGGAATGTTCTTACCTGAAAGGGAGAACAATGAATGATGGCCAGCTGTTCAATGTTATTCATGAATACAATATTTGGAAAAAATGTATAAGAAGACAGTCATAGGTCCAATGTGGTGGCACATGCCTGTAATTCCCATGCTTTGGGAGGCCAAAGCAGGAGAATCATTTGAGGCCAGGAGTTGAAACCAGCCTGAGCAACATATCAAGGGCCCCATTTCTAGAAAATATTTTAAAATTTACCAGCTGTGGTGGCACATGCCTGTAGTCCTAGCTACTCTGGAGACTGCGGTAGGAGGATCGGATAAGCCAAGGGATTCAAGGTTACAGTGAGCTATGATGGCAGCACTACATTCCAGCCTGGGCAACAGAGCGAGACCCACTCTGTCTTAAAAAAAAAAAAAAAAAAGAGAGAGATAGTAATAATATTTAGAAACTCTATTTATTTCATCGCTTTAATTAATGAAAGAGTTAAAGGAATTTAAACTGTATCTTTTAAAAACTACGTGGCCCTCCTTTTAAATCAAAGACTTCAATCCAGGTCTTTCTATTGTACTCCATTTGTATTTCCACATTAGAATTTCTCTATGCCAAAGAATTATGAAAATCTATATTTTGCCATTGTACCACTTTAATATTCATTTTAATGACATAATATAAAAATTCCACTTTACTAAGAACACCCATAGCATAAATACCGTATAATGGGACATTTTAATTTTAATAGCAAAGAAACTGTGCTTATGCATCGCTCTAACATGATGGATAAAAGCATCCAAATTCAGTTCTTAGTACAACCTTTGGTCTACATTAGCAAAAATAAATATTAACATAAGAAATATATGATGGAAAATCTTTAGCACTGTATGAACAATTAATTCAAAATGGTATATTGATCTTTAAGTGCCCTAAAATAAAATTTATTAAGCAATTCTAAATGTTTCTCTAGCAAAAGCCTTCAGTATTTCACACATTTTTAGATAACTTAAGTAGAAAGAACCTACTAAACATTGAAGCAAATCTTGATGGTTTGGATGGGAAATTCGTGGGCCTCACTAGTAAGACAGAATTTCATAGTTAGGAATATATTCTTATAATAGCTTCGAAGTCAGCTTATTTTAAGATAGGTAAATATTACGCTGCTTGCATTTTGATTCCCTACTAAAAAGAGAGTAAATATTCATATGAATTACTCTCATGACCTCCTGTTCAATTGAATGGAATAGCTGGTTCAGAGGGAATCTAAAACACTGAGAGGAAACCCATCAGTTTGGATACAGAACCAGGAAAGGGGGTCCATGCTGTGTGGAGAACATGGGGGAAATATACATTCCTTTTCTCTTTCTTCTTATTGCTGCTTCTCCCCATTGGTATCAGTGCAGGGGCTAAAATTCTGAGAGAAAAACTGACCTTCTAGCTAGAGACTGGGAAAGGGGACTTTTAAAACTAGAGAATGTGTGGGAAATACTGAGAAGAAGAGAGGAAGTACTCTAACTATGTATATAAGCTGACTAAAATTCCTGCTTTTCTTCCCAAGCTCTTGCAAAAGCAAGATCAAATCCAAGAAGCATAGCAAACATTTTGAGAGCTGAACTAAAATATAACTACCACCCAAGTCCTAGCTGAAATTTTGATTGGTACCTTCAGAATAGCAAAGCCTTTGAAAACAAAACTGATATTGGAACAGCTAGCCAAAGAGGGTGAAACAGAATTTGTGTTCAAGGCAGAATGGGTTAATTCACAGGTGAAGAACAATTTAAAATTATCCAATAGATCTTAATGGGTTCCAACATCTCATAACATATTATTCAAAATTATTAAGATACTATCAAAGTTCTTCAGTATACAAAGAACCAGGAAATCTGACCAATTAACAAAAAAAAAAAAAGATATATCACAGCTATTAAAGTTATAGTCTTACCTCAGGGATATTGCAGGCTCAGTTTAGACCAATGAAATAAAGTGAATATCACAATAAAGTGAATTACACTTTTTTTGGTGTCCTAGTGCATATAAAAGTTGTTTATACTATACTACAGTCTGTTAAGTATGGAATAGCATTGTGTCTAAAAAATGCCTTAATTAAAAATACTTTATTGCTGAAAATGCTAAGAATAATCTGAGCTTTCAGCAAGTTGTAATATTTTTGCTAGAGGAGGTTCTTGCCTTGATGTTGATGACTGCTGACTGATCAGAGCAGTGGTTGCTGAAGTCTGGGGTGGCTGTGGAAATTTATTAAAATCACACAATGAAGTTTGCTGCATCAATTGACATTCTTCATTAAAGATTTCCCTGTAGCATGTGATGCTGTCTGATAGCATTTTACTCACAGTAGAACTTCTTTTAAAATTGAAATCAATCCTCTCAAACCCTATTGCTGCTTGATTAACTAAATTTATCTGATAGTCTAATTTTTTTGTTGTCATGTCAACTGTGTTACAGCATTTGTACCAGTTGTATGTTCCATCTCAGAAACGATGTTCTTTGCTCATCTGTAAGAAGCAACTCATCATCCACTAAAGCTTTATCATGAGATTGCAGCAATTTAGTCATGTCCTCAGATTCACTTATGTTTATATATATTTAACCTCATTTATATTATTTCTGGCATTTTTTTGAATCCGAATATTCATGTAATATCTTGTCTATACAACTTCCTTTAGCATTTCTTGTAGTGCAGGCCTTTGGCAAGAAATTTATCCCCGCCTGGTGTAAAAAAAAGTATTTAACTTGTTTTCATTTATGAAAAACATTATTACTGTACACAGGGTTCTAATTCTTTCAGTACTTTAAAAATATGACTCCATTGCTTTCTGGCTTGCATAATTTATAATGAGAAGTCTGCTGCATTGCTTATATATGTGACTCTGTATGTTTTATTTTATCTCTAATTGGCTAAGATTTTTACTTCATTTTTTATTTTCATCACTTTGGCTTAAATGTCTATTTTTTTCTTCTATATTTATCCTTCTTGGGCTTTTCTAGGATTCTTCAATCTGTGATTTAAATCTCTTCATTAATTTGGGGAAATTCTCAGTTGTCACCTTTTAAAATATTTTCTCTGACCAGTATGTCCCTCATTTTCTTTCAGAAAGACAATTATATGTACATGAGATCATTTTATATTTTCTCATGGCTTTTGGATATTTTGCTTGTTTTTTATTCTGTTTTCTTTTTGTAACCCTGTTGAATAATTTCTATTGACCTGTCATTAAGGTAACTCATCCTTTCTTCAGATGTGTCTAGTAAACTGGTATATTTGTCAAAAAAGTCTTCATTTCTGTTATCTATTTCTTTATTTCTAGGATTTTCATTTGATTTTAAACAGTTTTCTATTTCTATGAAAATACCCCACCTCTTCATTCACATTATCAACCATCATGCCAGACCCTTTAACATATTATTTACAGTTATTTTCAAGTCTCTGCTGTCTCTAAGTTCGTTTCTGTTAATGCCTTATCTTTTAAAATGGGTAATTATAGTGTTTATTTGTTAATTTTGATGTATCATAGGTTTTATTGAAGAGCAGACATTCTCTATAAACAACAAAAAATTAGAGACTGAGGTAAATAATAATTAAAACCATAATTTGGCACATCTTTTCTTTGGCCACTACTTTGAGATGTTGAGTAAATCTAGTAAGAGATTAAGCTGAATTTCACTTTTTTGCTATAGTTACCCTCAAGGCACTACAGATTTAAAGCCCTGAAATTGTGGAATGCTATTAGTAGTCTCCACATACAATTGTCACAGGGGAGTCTCTCTAAACTCTTGCCCCTCTTTCAGTAGTAGACAGCTAGTGCTCATGACTCCATTCTTGGCTCATTGTAGGGGACTAGAGGTGGTTATATATCCTCCTGCTTCAGACTCAGTCTTATGCAGCGCCGGTGTACCTTGAGGGTAAGCCTTTTTCAGCATTTTTGCCTCTCTCCCATGGCAACCAAATTGTCCTGTATCTGTGGAGGTCTCAAGCCAGAGAATGTCCTGTCCATATCCAGTATTATTCAAACTCTAATTGTTATTTGTGCAGAATTCTGGATTCAAAATGGCTTCCTGCCTTTCCCTCAGGGAAATATGGCTTTTATTTCTACTTCTCCACCAGAATCAATAGCTTTACCCAGGCCCAGGGGCTAGAAAGTAGGATTCCTCTTCCTCACTCAGTGACTTAAAAACTTGTGCTTAGATAATCATTCAAGGTATTGAAAGAGACTTTGTGCCTTCCATCAGCAGCAGTCAATAACCCCTAATGAACCAATAAGTGGGTCATTTGTATTTCCAGTCTCCTATTCTGCCCCCAGTATGTGTTGTGAGTACCCAGTACAGGCAGATGAAAAGGAACTTTAAGTGAGTACAGACTCCCCTGTGTCCAGTGTTACTAGTTACTCTAAACTGTAACATTAACCCACACTTGTCCTTTAATAATTTATAAAAATTTCAACTACTTTATTTTTACATGCTTTTATGGAGACTACTTCTTTTACCTGTGGTTATCCAAAGATAAAAGAGTAGTGTTTTCTCTCTCTTTGGAGAGTCTTCCTATTCTTTGGAATTCAATTCACTTGTTGGGATAATGATCTCAGCTCTTTGATGGGATCAAAGTGGTGATTTTGAAGATTTGTCAGCTATTTTTCATGGTTAAGATGGGAATGACTTTCCAGTGTGTTGTTTTTATATCCTAAGTGGAAAAAAAAAACTCCATCTCCAAGTTAGTTTTTAATTGTTTTACTTCCCTTCCTGGAAACCACACAGAAAATAAAAAAAAATAATAAGAACAAGAACTAACAACTCAAACTCCCATTATTGGGTGTATGTTAAGAATCTACAAATAGAGAAATTCCACACATTACAAAGTATAGGTAGTCCTCAGTCCAAAACCAATTAAATATGCAAAAGTAAATAATTAGGTTGTAAAAAGAAATATGTATCTGTAAATATATATACATGGGCATTCATAGATTAAAAATGAATAAGACACACAAAAGTAAAACTCAGTGTCTGAATTTTGATTTTTAAAATGCTATAAAAGTTATTTTGGAGACAATTGAATATGGTCTGTGTTTAAAATAATATTGTTAATACTATTATCATAGTACTGTTATTACTGCTACATTTCTCTATTATTAGGGTGGTGCAAAAGTAATTGTGGTTTTTGCCATTGAAAGTAATGGCAATATTTAGTATATTAGGTATGTTTGCACCAACCGAATGTAAGGGTACTGTCCTTATTTAAAGATAATGTATTTATTTTTAGAAGATGCATTCTGCATAACTGTGTTTTAGTTAATAATACATGTGACTTATGTTCAAATGCTTCATTTGCCCAATTGTATAGAGAGGAAGCATACATGATAATTTAAAACAGTAGATTAATCTATATAAAGGGTATTGAGGTGTTTATTGTACAAGTATTTCAAATTTGTGTAGGTTTAAATTTGAAAAAATGCTTGGAGGGGGATTTTTTTCTTAACTTTTTGTAGACACATTGTAGACAATATAAAAGATTAATTATAATCTTTTATAATTTATATGAATGATTTCTAATGAACACAATAAAGTCATTTATTATCTATTTCTAAATAATTTATAAAGCTTACAGGAGACATATTAGAAGGGCTCCATTTCAGCCCAGAGAAATGACTACTTTGGAGAAACATGGCTTAAAGAGGTTGTGGATGGAAGTTCAGAGTTTAACACCGGGTTTCAGTAACTTCCATGAGAGTTAACACTGTGATATTTTTTTCTGAAATACCCCTAATCGAAAGATATGAAAGGAAAGATAACACAATTCAATTACTAGTTATAGTGGGTTAAAAAAATTCTAATCGCTGAGGCAAAAGTTAGAATTTGTATACCATATAGTCATGGTAAAAATAAAATTACAGACAATCTAACAAACACTGACCTCTGAAAGGACTTTCATAGGAATGTACATTATGTGGAAGAGATGTGTTCTATATAACCTTGAAGTGAAGGTAGATAAAGAACCTACGCGAAAAACAATCTTATCACATCATTACCCTACTTAAAACTCATTAGTGACTCTATACTGTCAGGATAAAAATATAAATCCTTGAGCCTGCCTAACAGAATTTCCATAGCCTATTCCCATTATACCCTCCACCTTCTTTCCTACTGATTTTCCCACCAGTATTTGCACTGCCTCCAACAAGCCAAACATTTATGGACTCCAAGAAACTGCACGGGTTTCCTTTTCAATGTCATGGACAAATCTGTCTAGCTGTCCAAGTCCTTTTCAGCTTTCTGAGCTCTGCCCAATCACAGTCATCCCTTCCGTAAAGCTTTCCATCACTCTCCCCTAACTAAGATGACCACTTCACCCTCAGAATATTCCACATATTTATCTCCCCAATTTAGTAACTGCATTAAAATTAGGGACAATGTCTTATTTGTCCTGTCTTATTAATATCTAATAGTGAGGTGCTAACTCTGAAATCAACAAGTGCCTACTTGATCAAGCATCTTGTATTTTCCATATATAATAGTGGATGATAACATGTGAACTAAGGCAAAGTGAAGAAACAAAACTAAAAGAGATTCTTGCCAATACAGAAAACAATGATCATCCTTCTGACAAATACAGTAGATTGCTTTTGGTATTCCAAATTTGATTCCCTGGAAGGGGACTCAAAATAGAATGTATTGCCCTCCAAAATACTCTGAGCCACCAAAACAGATTTTATCTACATAGTATCTAAAGCTATCCAAATGTGATGTGAAAATGTAATTGTTAACTTTAGTATGTATCTACATAGCCAAAAATGCCACTTAATATAAAGCAACAATTTATAGCAATATATTATTAAGCTCCTCATGAATGCTTAGAGTGATGCTCTAACATCTTACTATTTAAATACTGTCCTCAGAAGTGTACTCTCAAGATCACCTCAGAACTTGTTAGAAATGCAAATTATTGGATCCCAGTCCAGACCTTTTGATTTGGAACATGCATTTTAACAAGATCACTAGATGATCATATAGGTATTAAAGTTTGAAAAGCACTTGTCTAAAAGATATCTAAAATATCTAGAAGAAAACCTGAGTTTGACTAACCTTTTTTATGGAAGAAAACATTTTGCATTTGCTCTGGTGGTGTCAACTCAGCTGTTGTGGCCACATTCCTAATACACGAGATTGCTGATAGCATTTGTATCCATCTTGTATCTGTGTTATCAGGCACACACACTTGTCTGCATCTGCTGTTCACAGATAAAGCTCACATTTTTGAAATGAGTAGCTATATCACCCTATTTGTCCTCAAATAATCACCTAGTGTTTATTTTCTTTCTGTGGAGGAATGTGCATGAGTCCACACACTACAACTTGACTTCATAATGCATTCAATATTTTTAAATTCAAAAACGAGCAATAGAAATGTGCATTGTTGGACTACTTTGAGTCAAGGAGATTAAAAATTAATAGTAAAGAAACAGCTTAGGTAAAACTGTGGTTTTCATGTTAGTTTCTTTTTGTAGCTGTGCTTTCTGAAATTGACTTCAGTTTCTTCAGTTAAAATTTGAAATGCAAATAATAAAGTTATTTAAATTTCTAGGGATTATGCTGAGGTTTCTTTTTAAAAGAAATAAAGCATCTTTTGCTAAAAGAAATGCTTGAAATGTAATGACCTATTTAGAAGACAATAAGTGTATTGAATAGAGTTATAAAAAACAGTACATTTCTGCATTTAAATAACCTATGATTTGACACTTTTTGTTTCCCTTTAAAAATAAATAAGACTTACATTAGCCAAGGAGAATTTTGGTAGCTTGACTAGAGATAAATTCTCCCACAGGTTAACAGACAAAACCCGTAAGAGAAGCACATCAATAGGTTTCTGTATCTGCCATCTTTGTTTACTTAAAGACTTGATGAGTTGGTCTAAATAGGAACCGTATGTTTCATTTGCATGCAATGGATTGAGGGCTCTATCACTTCTGTTTGGAAGGAATTTTTCAGGGATGATACAATAGTTCACTTACTCATGTTTTCTGGGAGAATCATACCAAATGACAAAATTACACTTGCAATTCATTAGATGTAATTAATGATTTAGGGAGGTCATTGTTCATATCAATAAAGAGATAAAATTTAGTATGGGGATGAAAGCACTTTTAGATATTTTATTTGGTTAACATAGTAATCACATTTCACACAGTACAGCTTTATAAATATAATTTAAAATCTTTAATGAACAGGGAGTAATGTCTAGGTTTTAATTTTTCCAGTGACTTAATGCTTAATGATAGAGGTAAGATATTACTCCTAAATGTTTTCATATATACTGCATCTACTCACTTAAACCAATGTAATGGACTCTAGATGTTACAACTGATTGGTAGGTAGAGTTTAAGGAGATTGGCATTTATGATTTTGATTTTTTAATTTCATAGCATACTAAGTTTAAAAACTTGAGTCTGGACAATTTACAAAAGAAAGAGGTTTAATTGGACTTATAGTTCCACATGGCTGGGGAGGCAACACAATCATGGTGGAAGGCAAGGAGGAGCAAGTCACATCTTACAAGGACAGCAGCAGGCAAAGAGAGCTTGTGCTGGAAAACTCCCGTTTTTTAAACCATCAGATCTCGTGAGACCTATTCACTATCATGAAAACAGCACAGGAAAGACCTGCTCCCATAATTCAATCACCTCCCACTGGAGTCCTCCCATGACACATGGGAATTATGGGAGTTTCAATTCAAGATGAGATTTGGTGGGAACACAGCCATACCATATCATTCCGCCCCTGACCCCTCCAAAATCTCATGCCCTCACATTTCTAAACCAATTATGCCCTCTCAACGGTCCCTCCAAGTCTTCACTCATGTCAGCATTATCTCAAAAGTCCACAGTCCAGTGTCTTATCTGAGACAAGGCAAGTCCCTTATGCTTATGATCCTGTAAAATCAAAAGCAAGTTAGTTACTTCCCAGATACAGATATTGGGTAAATACAGCCATTCCAAATGGGAGAAATCAGCCAAAACAAAGGAGCGACAGGCCCCATGCAAGTCTGAAATCCAGAGGGGCAGTCAAATCTTAAAGCTCCAAAATGAGCTCTTTTGACTGCATGTCTCGCATCTGGGTCACTCTGATGCAAGAGGTGGGTTCCCATGTTCTTGGGCAGGTCCATCCCTGTGGCTTTGCAGGGTACAGCCTCTCTCTCTGCTGCTTTCATGGGCTGGCATTGAGTGTCTTTGGCTTTTCCAGGCACATGGTGCAAGCTGTCAGTGGATCTGCCATTCTGGGGTCTGGAGGACAGTGGTACTCTTCTCACAGCTCCACTAGGCAGTGCCTCAGTAGGGACACTGAGTGGGGGCTCTGACCCCACATTTCCCTTCTGCACTGCCCTAGCAGAGGTTCTCCATGACAGCCCCACCCCCCAGCAATCCAGACATTTCCATACATCCTCTGAAATCTAGGCAGAGGTTCTCAAACCTCAATTCTTGATTTCTGTGCACTTGCAGGCTCAACACCACGTGGAAGCTGCCAAGGCATGAGGCTTGCACCCTCTGAAACCACAGCCCAAGCTCTATGCTGGCCCCCTTCAGCCACAGCTGGAGTGGCTGGGATACAGGGCACCAAGTCCCTAGGCTGCACACAGCACAGGGACCCTTGGCCTGGCCCATGAAACCACTTTTTCCTCCTAGTCCTCTGGGCCTGTGATGGGAGGAGTTGCTGCAAAGGTCTCTGGCATGCCCTGGAGACATTTTCTCCCATTTTCTTGGGGATTAACATTGTGCTCCTCATTACTCATGCAAATTTCTGCAGCCTGCTTGAATTTCTCCTCAGAAAATGGAATTTTCTTTTCTATCACATTGTTAGGCTGCAAATTTTCTGAACTTTTATGCTCTGCTTCCCTTATAAAACTGAATGCCTTTAACAATACCCAACTGCCTCCAACAAGCCAAAGTCACCTCTTGAATGCTTTGCTGCTTAGCAATTTCTCCTGCCACATACCCTAAATCATCTCTTTCCAGTTCAAAGTTCCACAAATCTCTAGGGGAGGGGCAAAATGCCACCAGTCTGTTTGGTAAAACATAATGAGAGTCACCTTTCCTCCAGTTCCTCACAAGTTCCTCATCTCCATCTGAGACCACCTCAGCCTGGATTTCTTTGTCCATGTCATTATCAGCATTTTTTTCAAAGCCATTTAACAAGTCTCTAGGGAGTTCCAAACATTCCCACATTTTCTGGTCTTCTTCTGAGCCCTCAAAACTGTTCCAGCCGCTGCCTATTACCCAGTTCCAACATTGCTTCTACATTTTCAAGTATCTTTTCAGCAACACCCCACTTCTGGTACCAATTTACTGTATTAGTCTGTTCTTGCACTGCTGATAAAGACATACCTAAGACTGGGCAATTTACAAAGGAAAGAGGTTTGATGAGACTTGCAATTCCACATTACAGGGGAGGCCTCACAATCATGGTGGAAGGAAAGGAGGAGCAAGTCACATCTTACATGTATGGCAGCAGGCAATGAGAGCTTGTGCAGGGAAACTCCCATTTTTAAAACTGGCAGATTTCATGAGACTCATTCACTATCATGAGAACAGTGCAGGAAAGACTTGCCCCTATGATTCAATCACCTCCCACTGGGTTCCTCCCATGACCTTTGAGAATTGTGGAAGTTACAATTAAAGATGAGATTTGGTGGGGACAGAGCCAAACCATATAAATGCTCTATGCAAAATGCAAAGATTCTTCCCAAAATTCTAGTCTAAAAAGACTTTGATTTTGCCCCAAAATTCTTGGTTGGCCATACTGGCTTCTTAGACTTAGGAACTTTCTTACGGAAAGGGAAGAGGGAATGGCTCAAAGCAAACATAATTTGCGGTGTCATAAATGTAAATAAGTCATGCTTTGCTAATACTTTAATTGAAACATAACATTTAAAAGGCTATTCTAAGGCCAGGCGCAGTTGTAAATGTCTATAATCCCAACACTTTGGGAGTACAAGGTGGGAGGATCACTTGAGAGCAAGAGTTCAAGACCAGACTGGGCAACATAGCAAGATCACATCTCCACGCAAAAAATAGTAAGAATTAAAAATTGCCTGGGTATGGTGGCATGCACCTGTAGTTCTAGCTAGTCCAGAGGCTTAGGCAAGAAGATCACTTGAGCCCAGAAATTTGCAGCTGCAATGGGCTATTACTGCACCATTGCACTCCAGCCTAGGTGAAAGAACAAGCACCTGTCTCAAAAAAAAAGGACATCCTAGAGAGTTAAACTGTATTAAAGATTTTTTTACATGTCATATTAAAATTTATTCAAAAGGTTAAGGAATGTAATGTCCCTGTCCTTGCATGAATGTAACTTCACTCTAGATTTTTTAAGGATATAATTTTTTAGGAGAGTAGCCAGTTTGTTCATGTAGAAAAATCACTAATGAAAACAAAGTAGACTTTCAGATATTGGAATGGGAGAATGTGAAGGAACAAAAACAGAAGTAAAATACACCCTCAAGGTGCTTATGATCTAAAGTGAGACTATACTATGTCTCAATACATACTCTAATATCCTTAAGGATGTATGCAGTAAATAAATGAGAGAAGTAAGGTAGGAAAAAATATGATATATGCTGGAAATAGCAGGTGGTCTGGTTTTGATAAATTCAGTTGTAAATGAAGCAGAGAAAGATCAATCTTGGAAAAGAAATTTGTATAATTTCTATTCTATTCGCTAAATTGTTTTTTCATGCCACTGGATGTAGTTTAACTTTCTGAATGTTCCATTCAAGCTAGAGAAGAATGGATAATCTGCTGCTGTTGGATGGAACACTCTATAAATGCCAATTAGATCAAGTTGATTTGTAGTGCTGTTCAGATCATCTGTATTCTTACCGATTTTCTACCTGCTGGATCTGTCAGTTGCTGCCAGACAAGTATTCAAGTATCCAACACGATATTAGGGGATTTGTCTATTTCTCCTTTCAGTTCTATCAGTTTTCATCTCATTTAAGGCTCTGTTTTCAGTGCATACATGTTTAGAGCTATTATGTCTTTTTGCAATATTGGCCTCTTTATCATGTAATGTTTCTTTTTACCCTTGATGATTTACTTTGTTATGAAATCTGAAGTTAATACTCTCTGGCTTTCTCTTGATTAATGTTAGCATGATATCTTTATCTATCCCTTTAATTTAACATTTCTGCATATAAAATCTATGTCTAGATATTAAATATAAATATTTAAAATAGGTTTCTTGTAGACAACATATAGTTTGATTTTTTAATCTATTCTGACAATTAAATGGCATATTTACACTACTCAGATTTAAAGTGAGTATTAAAATCATTGGAATATTATCTACCATCTTTGTGGCTGTTTTCTGTTTATTGAATTTACTCTGTTTCTTCCCTGTTGGCAACTTTTCTTCCTTCTTTGGACTTAATTGAGCATTTTGTATGATTCCATTTTTATTCCCTGTCATATAATTTATCTCTTTTTAAATTAATTAGTAATTATCCTAGAGTTTACAATATACATTTTAAAGTAATCTGTATCTATCCTCTGATAACACTATACCACTTAATATATTGTACAGGCACTTTACAGCAGTGTATTCTCAATTCCTCTTTCCTGTTTCTTGTGATATTGATGGATGTTATTATTATTTATTATTTTCCTACACTTTCTTTAGGTAGAGCCAAATTTCTGACCTCCATAGTTTTTCTTTTGCCTAAAAACTTCTTTAACATTTTGTCAGGGGAAGGTGTGCTCACAATGAACTCCTTCAGTTTTTATTTATCTGAGAAAGTCTATTTCTCCTTCAATGCTGAAGGATAATTTGAAAGGATATAGGATTCTGTGGTTGTAGTATTTTTCTTTCAACACTTAAATATTTTACTGCTCTCTCTTATGATTACATGTTTTCTGAAGAGAAGTCTGACATAATTCTAATCTTTATTCCTCTGTAGGAGAGATAATGTTTCCTTCTCTGACATTCTTCAAGATTTTCTATTTGTCTTTAATTATTTGAAATTTGAATATGATATGCATGTGTGTGCATGTGCGTTTGTGTGTGTATTTGTTGTTTATTCTGTTCGGTGTTTTCTGAGCTCACCTGGACATGTAATTTGGTGTCTGTCATTAATTTAGAAAGGTCTTAGCCGTTATTACTTCAAATACTTCTGCCCCATATTTTTCCCTCTTCTTCTGCTACTGCAATTGTGCACCTTTGGAAATTGTCCCTCAATTCTTAAATATTCTGTTGTTTTTTCATTATTTTTTCCTCCTTATATTTCTGTTTCAGTTGTTTCTATTGTCACATCTTCAATTATATTAATTTTCTCCTTGGCTATATCCACAGAATGATTCTACTAAATACATTATTCATTTATAGAACATTATTCATGTTCTAAGACAGTTCTTCATTCTTCATTCTTTAGTAGAAGAACATTTTCAGTAAACAATGTCATACTTTATTTATTCATTCTTTGATTTCTAGCATTTTAAAATGTTTTCTTATAGTTTTTAATCTTTGATTTTGTCAATTGTTGGTTTTTTCAGTTTTTTCTTTGCATGTTTTCTAATTTTTTCAAAACAGTTCTTAACGTATTGATCATAGCGATTTTAATTTTGCCGTCAGAAAATGCTAACATCTGTGTCATATCTGAATGTGTGCTCTGATTATATTTTATTCAGACTGTTTTTCTTTGCCTTTTAGCATGACTTATCATTTTTGCCTGAAAGCTGGACATGTATTGGGAAATACAAACTGAAGTAAATAGAGCTTTAATGTGAGAATTTATGTTAATCTGTTTAGGAGTCAGGGCTGTGTATAATATTTGTTATAGCTATAGGGACCAGGAGTTTCAATTTCCCCATTCCTTGTGTTTGTCTGCCCTCTTGCCTTTGGGAATTTCCTATGTACTTCTCCTTAGAGAGAGTTTGTGTCTTCCAGTTCTTTCAGCTGTAACCCACAATTATTATACTGGAGCCCTATTGAATGGTGGTAGAGTGAAGAGGAGGGGGATATTCTATAATCTTTTATTTAAGTCTCAGTCTTTTCTTAGGCCTCTGTCTAAGGGATGTGGCCTTCCTTTCTCTTTCATGTTTGTGTCCCTCCTACAGTGTATAGCCCCCTCTTCCCACCTCTTCTTATGCAGCATTTCCGATCTGTTTTCCTTGAAACCCTGTTTCTCATTCATCGTGTTGCCCCTCACCTCCCTCCCCGACCTTAGATCAAATAGGAAGGCTATATAGGACTGGAATAGAGAGGAATTCCCTTCCTCCAGCTGGAATAAGTTTTCAGAATTACATTCTGGCAAAGTCATTTTCCCTGAAGAGCAAGACTTTGTTACGAGAAAGGTTCAGCACATGTATCAGAATGTTTATACCTCCGTTTTCCATGCCAAAGCCATGAAAGGGTCTTTCTTGGATCCGCATGATGAGAACCTGGTGGATTCTTGGAAGGCAGGTCAAAACAGCGCGAGGGCCTTCTAAGACTGTAGCCTCCAGTAGTTTTCTCCCCCTCACACTAATGCATGCTCAGCGGCCAGCAATTTATCAACATTACCATTTAAGTGTTCCCACCAGTTTGTGGCTCCAGGGCCTTCTGCTCCTGGTGAGTAGATCTCCATTGATGTAACTTTTTGGATGTCTCTGTGTCTTCAGGTTTCAGGGTGGCAGCTTGCTTTGCCACGTCTGTTCTCTAATGAGTTTAAGATAAGTTGTTGGTTCTTGACTTATCCAGCTTTTTCTTATTTTAAGTAAGGGAGTGACTCTTTCCAATCTCTTTACATGTCCGAGCTAAAAGTAATAGTTCTTAAAAAATAAGTGTGTCGGCTGGGCACGGTGGCTCATGCCTGTAGTCCCAGCACTTTGGAAGGCAGAGGTGGGTGGATCACCTGAGGTCAAGAGTTCAAGACCAGCCTGCTCAACATGGTGAAACCTCGTCTCTACTAAAAGTACAAAAATTAGCCAGGCATAGTGGCGCACACCTGTAATCCCAGCTACTCGGGAGGCTGAGGCAGGAGAATTGCTTGAACCCAGGCATTGGAGGTTGTGGTGAGCTGAGATCGCACCACTGCACTCTAGCTTGGGCGACAGAGTGAGACTCCATCTCAAAAAAAGAAAAAAAAGTGTGGAGGCAAAATATAAAAGTGTTTATTCAAGAAGTTTGGATTTGAGGACAACTGAAGCTTTGAAACAAAGTTCTTATAGCAAAAGTCTGCTAAAGGAAATATTAATTTAGCAGTAGTGCCCAAGTGGACTAAGGTCAGGGGAGATGGTAGATGGAAAGAGCAACTGGGAAGTTATTGATGTCTCTGCAGTAAATACTGATAACTTAAATGCATGTTGCAAGAGTGCAAAGAGAAAAAGAAAAATGGAAATAAGAACTGCAAGGCAGAATAGCTTCAATGTGTAACTTATGGCACATGTAAGAAAAAGAAAGCAAAGGAGAAACCAATGGCCAATTCAAGGATTTCAAGGGAATAGTGAAGGCAGTGGTTGTAACTTTCACAAAAGTAAGGCCCAGAAGACAAGTCAGAACCTTAGAACCTTGGAAAAGACATGCTTTGCTGGTCTCGGGCAGTTACATTCAAACGACTCATTAAAAAGATGGCAGCTGGAGATTTATATTTGGAAGACTGCTGCATAGAGACTCTAGTTGAAGTTATGTGTCTGATTACCTTAGAGAATAATGGCATTTTATAATATTTCATTAATAATATTTAACAATATTTATAAAGCATCCACTGAAAATGAGTTTATGCAAGTATTGCTTGCTTACTTTCTTGTTCGAGCATAGGCAAAAGAGATTTAAAACAAGATACACCAAGCTGTCAATGAATAAAGTATTACCTAATGGATGCATCTAATGTGGGCCACATTTTAATGGACCTCCAATGGTGTCACATTTATCAGGCTCAAACCTATAGCCAGAGGTATTAGGGAAGTGTAAATTTATGGACACAATCCATTGGATGTGAAGTTGACCATAACACAGGGCTATTTTCTTCCTGACGTCACTAACTATGGAACTGAAATGCATTTGGATCTTACCAGAAGCATCAAAGAAATTCCCATAAAATTGATATTCATAAGTACATTATATAGGAAAAGAGATTTCTTTTGAGTTAGTGTGTTTGGGTACATTTAGATTCTATGTATTAAAAATATAAACAAATAGCTAATAACAGTGATTAGGAAATAGGAGTAAGCATATAGGGAAAACATCTCTCATGCTATATATTGAGGGGACTTACTGTTAGTTCTAAAGAAGAAACCAAAATATTGAACGCACTGACACTATTGCATTTGAGTCCACAAATTAATTTGAAAAATCAAAGAAAAAATTTGCCAGACCAAAGATTATTTACCAATTCTTTCCAAATCAACTAATTTCTGAATTATTAGCATTGCGTCATGTGTATAAGTCAAATTACCCAGGAGTGTAGCCCAACGTCAATTTATAAATAGACAAATAATGAAAGACAGATCCAGCATGGCTCTGTTCTATTTCTGCAAATTCCTGCTTACCAGGTTTATAATTAGTGCCTGGATTCCTTTGAAAGTCATGCTGGCTTTGCATATTCAGAGTTCTTTTAGCTTTTGGAGATGTGCAGGTGTTGTCATGTGGAAGATAAACTACTTCCTTTGGAGTGATACAACACATTTCTGTATGAACTGATGCAGCCATACGTCACAGGCACTAAATCCAGGTGCTCTTGAAGAGCAGCTGAAAGTTAAAATCATTCCAGGTGGGATGCAAAGGCATAGAACATCAGCCATTCTCATAGGAGGTTATGACTTCTGCACAATCGCAGTCTATATATAAATATTATAGATTCATATTTTAAAGCATATGGCCTTACTCTAAACATGCATTTACACTTATTATTTATTTTTAAATATTTCTTGAGTTAGTGATGTACCTACCCTATGCACTCGAGGATTTCCATGAAGCTGCTGACCAATCAGAAGTCGCTCACCATAGGACTGGAAAATGAAAGAAAGAAATCTTGTGCCCATCTAGACAATGACAGGAAGTGCTAAAGCTAAGGAACTTTCTTTTAAAGGAGAGCTACATTGCACAAAAGTGAAGAGTCAACTTTTCTAACTTATGAATAGCTAAACAGATTAGACAATTTTAGATGGTACCTGAATTTTTCAGATTGGTTCTCTGTATTTACAAGATAAACGCATTTGTTGTCCACATCACTTTCTGTTATGCTAGCAAGAGTACAAATATCTTTTAAAAGTCAAGAGAAAGCAAGAGAGGGAGTTAAACAGAAGAGGTATGGCTAATATATTTCTTAAAGTTACAGTAGAAACATCAGCACAAACACTTTAAAGGAAGCTTGTCCAACCTGCTGCCTCTGGGCAACAAGCTGTCCAGGATGGCTTTGAATGCAGCCGAATGCAAATTGTAAACTTTCTTAAAACATGAGATTATTATTATTATTTTTTTAGTTCATCAGCTATCGTTACTGTTAGTGTATTTTGTGTGTGGCCCAAGACAATTCTTCCAGTGTGACTCAGTGAAGCCAAAAGATTGGATACCTCTGCTTTAAAGAGTGTGAACAGATTTTATGCTGCTAAATGTATAATACTTTTAGTTACACATATTAATAATATCTGGGATTCTTCTGATAGCTACTAAATTTTAAATTTTATTTGAAAGAATTTGAACCCATTTTTGAGTGATAAGTGCATTGCAGCTTACTGTACTGAGGACTGGTGAAGTTTCTAAATAAATCATGTATTTTGTCACTTGGCCATGAAAAACACTATATGTTTTTCTCAATGGTGTCTGGGGCCAACTTTTGCAGGTCTAATAGTAGTATTTTTTCGGTATTGAACATGTTTAGAAGAGGCTTGCAAAGATAAGTAGAATGTAGGATTGAAATAAAATTGGGAGCAATATGGATCGTACATATAAACAGTGTTAATATAGCAAATATTTTTAAGAAGCACACATTTTCATGATTATAAAATATACATGTTAACTTTAGAAATACAAAGTTAACCTATATAAATAGAAAGCAAAAATAGAAAGCACAAAACAGAAATCATATGAAATCTTCCAATCGAATGAACCACTTTCTTTCATCTTGGTTCATATTCTTCCAATCTGTTTTCAAGCACTTTAAAAAGAACAACAGTGACCATCAACAGTTTTTCTTTTGTATTAAAAAAATCAATTTGCTATGTACAGAACGACAGCTTTATATTTTCATCACACTACAAATTCTAACTAAATATGAAAAGTCAATTAGAAATGTTGGCTCTAAATGTTACTTTTTGGCTTTAGTTTTCTTTTTTTTATCGATGTTACTTTG
Source organism: Homo sapiens (assembly GCF_000001405.40). Classification (NCBI taxonomy): domain Eukaryota; kingdom Metazoa; phylum Chordata; class Mammalia; order Primates; family Hominidae; genus Homo; species Homo sapiens. Next base: position 95,709,537 of record NC_000015.10, read on the forward strand.
ATTTCCTTGACCTAAATAATTGGATCACTGTCTTTGTGGCCAACTTTCTCTCACGTATTTGAAATGTATTTTGCACATAATCTTAAATAAATCCCATTCAGTAACACCCATAAGTAATTATGATAGAGAAAAATACTATTAGAATAAAGAATAAATAGTCAATGATTAGTGCTACATAGAGGATAGATATTGTTTTTGTACAGTGTCTAACAGATAGTCCTGGCACTCACCTGTCTAAGAATGCACAGGGAATTAGAATGTTCTCTGTTTTAATGCATGTTAGAGCCATTGTTTAAATAAGTTCTCATTTTTCCTTCCTCTACCCCAAAATACATGTTAACTAATATGAAAATTTTCATTTATGAGTTAACCTACTTTTTTTTATTATTGCAACCTCACTATTCACTTTTATCTCATCCCTTCCAGACAGCAGCCAAAATGTTTAGATTCTATTTATTTTACACTTCTTGCCAAATTATCGCTAGATTTGTGCTTTAAAATTACATTCACAGACAGCTCACGTTGGGTGCATAAACATGTTTAATTCATTTGTCATTAGGCCATGTGACACCTTGTTCCTTTAACTTTGCAGCCCTTGCAGCAGGCTAGCAAAAGTCCTCTTTTCTGTGTGGGTTAGTTAAGATGTATCTGGCTGTTTTGCACTATCTTTAGTATGCAGGGAGCACAGAGATGAAGATAAAAGGCGAAATGTCTATCTTTGAGTCCTCTGCAATACCGAATAAGTTATCAACCTACTAACATGCATGTCTGAATAGACTCCTTTGGCAACAGTGAGATGTTATCTTCCATGACATGCGAATTCCTCCCTCATGTCAAGCCATGAAAGTACTAAAGAATGAACGCGCTAGTAAAATGAACGTGGCAACACCACTGGGGCTGTGAGAGCATCATATTTCCCCCATGCTCCTTTAAAAAAAATTTCTCCAGTTGAATTCTTGATATACATATAAATTAGTTAGTTTGAAGAACTGCTTGAAAACCCATCTCTTTAATCTTGTAGAGTAGGCGGAGGGCTGCATATACTCTATTTAATGCTCAGGGGCCTTGCTTTTTTCCCCTCAACCTTGCCAGCCTCCTTCACACCCAGCCCACACAGATGTAACTAAGAAACAGTTAGCCTGGATGCTGGTCAGTTGTGCTGGCCAAATAGCGTAAACTTGACTGTTTCTTGACCCAGAGTAGACTAACCCATAGCAAACGCAGACAGGCTGATTAATTTCATAACAATGATCATAAGAAATGAGAGCTAACAGTGTGGGTATAAAAGCCACCATCTGCCAGATGCTATACAAGCACATTACATCCCTATGTCCTGGGTTGCTTCCACGAACCCTAAGAGGCTGCATTTAATATCCATTTTACAGGTGAGGAAACTGAGGCATGGAGAGCCTACTTAACAACAAAGTGGTGGGTTGGTATTCAAACCAAATATTGTGGCTACTCAGTCCATATCTCTAACTCTCTTCTCTGCTGCTTGTTCACAGCCGCCTCATGTGTTTTTTAAATATGCACTCTCCCTTTTCCTCACCATAATCCAGTAAGGTAGGCTTTGTTATACCTGTGCTCAGATGTGCGTACACAATGTACCAAGAATCAAAGAACACGTGATGCTGCATAAATTATCCAACTGCATATGTTATTTAGTAGGGTGGAAATCAAGTCATTCATAAATTTCGCTAACAACAATGTGACTTAAACAATTTTTAATCTGTAAAAAAATATTAAAACTTTCAAGACTACAAATGAAGTGGTACGCCTTCATTTTACTTCTTGAACCTGGATTGAGGTCTTGCTGGACATGATACATGATATGACAAGGTTTACAGCACAAGAATGTGAAAGTGACAAAGAAGTGAAACTCGAAGTCCTGGTAGTAAACTGCTCACATTAGTTTACTTTAATAATATGTTACTTTGGGTCTATATGTGCCAGGATAATTAAACCCAAATTCTAGGAGCAAGGATTACAGCAATTAAAAATTAACCTTTATTTCAAGGAGCACCGTAATTATATAATTAAAAATACAGACAGATGACTAGAAATAATTATATTCAGATAAATCAACTGATCAATCTATCCAGAGAAGAAAGGTAGGAAAAGTGGAATTTATACAAAAAGAGTAGTAGTAGCTAATAAAGAACCTGTAGTAACATTTAATTAATCATAATTTTATTCAAGAAGCAATTATTCAAAACTTTCATCATATATAAGGGACTCTGCTAGGTGACATAATTAATACAAAATCCAACTTTCAACATATCATCTCTTGAAGAGTTTCCACTCAAGGTAGAAAAGGGAAAAATTGTAAGAAGTGGTTAGAAGAAAGGAATGCCAAAGACAGGAGTCCACCCATTCTGCGTAAAAGTGAGAAAGTACAAAATGCCGCCGCAATTTAAAGAAGGTGATTTTAGTTTAGGAAGAGTTGTTGGATGAAGAAAAGGGAACTGAATCTTGAGGAAAATGGTGGGCCCAAGATGGAATGCCAATGCCAGAGAAAGGCCATATGTAAAAGTATGGAACTACCAAGTGATTTGAAGGAGCTGGCAATAAAGCATGGACTGGTGGAATCATGCAATGACAGCACCGACAAATATTACAACAAATAGGATAATGGACACCAGATGATAATGAGAGGGTATAAATGTAAAGGGAGGAAGTTTATTGGCATCAAGTAAGTGATAGGGAATCAATATGGAGTCTGGAGTAGGCAATGTCCATGATACTTTGCAAGGGGTTGTTGGAGACATGGAGGTTTTGTAAATAAACTTTCTTAGAAGGAAAGGAAACGCTATTAAAACTTACAGGGCCATGAACCCAAGCCTAAGGTAGAGTTTCAGGGATTTGTCAGGCCCACCTTAGCCTGACTTAAAAGAACTGAGCAAAGTCTGCAAGAGTTTCTCCATCCTTTATAAAATGTCTAATGTCTGTGGAGACGGCACTGGCACTTAGAGAAGAAAGAAACGCTGTGCAATTTCATTGCCAGGTTCATAGTTTGAGTAACTCTAGTATGATTTTCTAGGTGTGGAAAATAAGGTTCTAAGAAGTTAAAGTAAAACAGGTCATCCAGCTAGAAAATAACATGGATGACACTCAAATGCAGGTATGTCTCAATTCATTTTCATACCCTCAAGATGGTTATACTCCACCTAAGAAGACAGGATTTCTAATTCTCCCTCTTTTTCTTTTCTTTCTAAATATTTGCTTAAAGTGCTTTTCTATTTAAAAATTATATGCCAGGGCTCATAAATTGGTAGATGATAAAATGAATTCCCATCCTCCCCATTTCCCTGTGCCCTCTCTCTCCCCTTCTCTATTTGCATTGGCATGAGAACTTCTAGTTCCACTAAATGAGTCATTTGGGACAAGAAAATTAATTTATTTGAGCAGATGTATATAAACGTTACTCAGAATAGAATCACAAAACAGCCCAGTATTTACATAAGGTCCCTATAATTGATGACCTTTTATAGTTTTGTGTGAAGAATCCAAGGAGCTGACTAAGAAGCTACATGGGAAATATCAACATGATTAGAAATACAGGCTCATCTCTTGAATCCCAATTCTGTGGTGTGACATGCAGTGAACCTAGAGAAAAACAGCTACAGAATTTCTCTGCAGAACAATACATTCTTCACCCTAAGTGAGCCAAAATCCAGTGAATATCATAGTCTGAGAGTGTCACAATTGTGGTATTGAACATTGTTAATTACAAATATTTAATTCCACTTTTTTGCCAACAGTAGAAAATATCCAAGTTTTAAAACAAAACTGAGTTGTTGCGTTTGCCTTCAATGGCACCATTCTATTTATATTAAAACTAATCATCTCTACTGCGTGGCATTTTCAAACTTCTGACTGTAGATTTTTTTGCACTAAACGAAGAATACTGTTTCAAAAAGCTCACGACTAAGCATAACTCTTATTTTATGGATCAAAGACTTTCCCTCAAGATTAAGACCTTTCATTTTGCAAGATTGCAGATTCTGTACTTCTCTCCCAAAATGAGAAAGAAAAGCCATGATTTGGATTTAGAATCCTTCCAGGCAGTGGGTGGAGTTTTCTAGGGGAAAAAAGAAACACGCTAGGTCAAAAACACCACAGATTTCTCCAGACACAGATGAGTACCCCTGATTGAATAGGAAAATACTTGAAAAAGGAAATAAAATCACTCGGAACTACTTTGAACAGGAATTAATAATCTGAAACTTTAATGTGTACATCATTATAGATGGTGCTTTATTTTGAAGAATTAAAAGTTGAAAGTACAATTCATTTCTCTAGAGAACTAAAGGCAAGAAGGACAACAAAGCCTATAAAAATAAACTTAAAAATTAAAAAAAAGGTAGAGAAAGAGCAAATTCTATGTAGGAACCCCTAAACAGATAAGTTTCAACAGAAAAAGATGGGAGCTTGGCAAGTTTTTATCAGTTCATTCCTGGCAAGAATTTTATGAAAACTCAGAGGAATAAATTTGTTTACTGCCAAGAGTGATAACAAAACAAAGCTCCATGACGAATAAATGTGAGGCTGTTTGAAGGTGCACAAATGAGTCCTTGAAAACAATAATGATGATACTTGTCTAATAAATAGACACAGATACTTATTCATACATCTATAAATTCTTCAAAAGGTTATTGAGTACCTCCTGTGCAAAGCAAAGACCTCCTTCCTGGAGATATTAAAATGAGAACACTTCCTGGAGAAAAAGATGGGTCCTGGCCCTCAAGGAGCTCACTGTTTAATGGGCAAGATAAGTGATTCCCAAATTAACAGAGCAGGTCCATGCTGTGCCAGAACATAAGGCATTGTGAGAACATGGAAGAGGAACTCAATCTACTACAAATAGCCTCACTCGGGCTCAGAGGCTAATCCTATGGGGTGTGAAGTGTCCACCTTTGCTCTTACAGGAGAATGAACTTTATTAACTATTAGTGGAAGGGTAGTGAAAAGGAAGTATTATCAGACTTTCTACACTAAGAGAAAAATTACAGAATGAAATGTAAGTAGTATACAGTTCTAGGTAGCCATTAAGGATCTCCATTTTAAAAAATTATTTTTTAAATAATTTATTATTTAATAATAAATTAATATTTTATAATTTATAAATTTTATAAAATTTTGTAGTTTAAAAATTATCATGTATTAATTAATAAAAAGTTGCATGCACTCATTATGGATTATAGGAAAATGACATAAAAAGAAAACTCATTTCTAATCCAGCCACTGCCCCATTCAACTTCTGATTGCGTATTTTCTCTGGGAATGTTTTTCTAAAAGATTCCTAATATTTAACTCTGTATTCTAAGCCTGTACTCTTCGATGTTCTTAGAAAGCATTTTATATTTCCTATGCAAACCCCAAATATTTTTCTACATTTCCACTGGGAAGAAACATGTGATTTCTTGAGTGGGTGTGTGGGATGCCAGTGCTTCCAGAATGAACGATGTGCTAAGTAATCCTGGAGACAACCTAGTTGATAAATCAGAACATATTTGTTTTTTTGCCATACTATTATGCACTATCTTATCAATGCATGCTTTATCTCTCCAAATATATGGTAGTGTCTGTGTGGGCTGGGATCATCTCTTAGAATATTTGCCTGTTCTATGACACTAGTACAATGCTAGGCATATAGTCAGTGTCAAAAAAATGCTTGCTAGATTGATCTGTCAGGTCTCAGACTTGGGTAAGAATTTAATCACACACCCTTGGCCTCACAAGCTCAGAGCTTGGCACTCAGTTTAACTGGCCTTAGATGAATAGGGATTTGAGGCAGAGCCACCTGGACCTTCACCCATGAAATCCTGGGACTTGCATGTTGTAAGCCTTTTAGGCTCTTTCAATGTTAGAACCATAAATTACCTAATTCTTCTTAACACCAATTACCATTATTTGATCCCTGAAACACTTGCATTAGTTGACCTCGAACTTCAGTGAGCTCATATCTGAACCTGAGTTATTATCTCTCCTTTTTTATTTTTTCAATTTTCCAAAGAGAAAGTACCCTGAGGGTGGCCTTCCTCTGAGGTGACAGTATGATGTAATGACATTCAGGTCACTGTGTCATGAGCCATTGTCCAGAAAGTGATAACCCCCATGTCCACTAATCCATCCTTGAATGCTGAGGTTGGATTCAATCTGGCAAATGGAAAGTGACTCGCCAAGCTCAGATATTTGCCCCAAACTAACTGCACAGAACTATTTTAAGCAACCTGTAAACAGCAGGAAAAAATCACAAAGCAGCAGAGAGAATTCAAGGCGATGCTCTGCTGCAGAATCATTTCCTGTGGCAGTTAAGATTTGTTTGGTTATCTTCTTCAGTTTGCTACTTAAAACAAAACAAAAAAAAATATATATATATATATATATATATAAAACAGCTCTTTTTTTTTTCCTCTTCCCTTCTTCCCCTCCCTTAGGGCCTCAGCTTGTGTCTGTGCATAAGTCCCAGGGTCTTGGGTGTCAAATGTCAGGCCTTGTACTGAGCTGTCAAAGAGAAGAATGGGCTGAGATGATTGATGACTGGGAGGCCTGAAACCCAAACCTCCACTGCAAATGCTTCTTTTACAAAAAAGCTGGGGCTACCCACAGCGCCTATATTCAAGGTCACTTCGCATACCATTACACCCACCACTGTAGGCTCCCGACAAGCCAGGCCATTCACACAGGGGCCGACTTCTCAGCCTCGCTCACCCCCTGTCTCTCCACCCCTCCTCTGCTCCCCTCACAAACCCATGCCCAAGTGTTGGAATACTTAATCCCAATCAAATAAAAAAGATGAGCACAAAGATATGTATTTTTTCATCTTGTTTGGTTTTGTCTTGTTTTTCTTCAGGCTACATTTGCTCTGAGAAGCCATGAGCTGGAGCTTTCTGGAGCACAAGTCAGATGACAAGATTATTAATGGGAGCAGGGCAATGTCATATCTGATTTCATGCATATTCATGTAGGGAGCCACACAGCTGGGACCATGCGCTGTGGAGAGGACAAATAAAGAGTGCTCTACCCCCCACCCCCAGCATGAAGAATGTCATTGTGGAGATGAGGAGCCTGATTGGAAAAGTTTAAGTAATTGTAGCCTTTATTTTGAAAAAAAGGGATAGAATTTGCAGAAACAACAACAAAACAAGGTTTGCTACCCTGGCCAAACTAAGTCAATACTAAGTTATACAGAACCTTGTATCTAAGGGTCACCCACCTAGAAGCTCTCTGGATTGAAGTATGCAGAGAGACAACTTTTGCACTTGGTGTCAACAAAAGAAGTAAATGTTTAGAAGCAAAAGAGAAAGAAGGAAGGAAGGAAGGAAAGAAGGAAGGATGGAAGGAAGGAACAAAGGAAGGAAGAAGAAAGAAAGAAAGAAAAAGAAAGAAAGAGAAAAGAAAGAAAGAATCAGCTTCTAATGACAGTTAAAACATGGACTGCTCTCCCAGTGAAAGATAAAGTATAGTTAGTTATGGATTAAACAATGTAAAATCCTAAGAGGGATAAAACTTAGTTAGTTACTAAGACCAGGATCCAATATCCTTTCAGTCCCAACAAAATAATTGCCAGGAAATTCCTTGCAATCTTAATTCCGTAGCCCAGACAAGCAACAAAGCAGTTGTCTGTACCCTAGGACTATTTTGGAAGTTCTACATGGTATTACAGAACCTGCCAATCATAGCTAAGAGACTGACCAGGAAAGAAAGTTACTCACAAAAGTGTATTGTGCAACTAACTAGAACGAAAATAAGGTTCTCAAGAGGCACCAGTATGAGAAGAACTGTTGGGAAGAATCTTCTTGGCCATCCACCTGGGCCCAAGCAACCACAGGGAACAGGGACCAATGAGAGGAGGCCAAATAGCTGTCTTCAAACAAGAAAGGTGGACACGTCTAATGTTCCCCTCTTTCTTATTTATGTATTCACTCATTCGTACATACATGTGTGCATGCATTCATTTTACTGTGAAAATCATTCTATTCTAGGACTGTTTCTTGGAATTATGTAAGTGATTATTATTTCAGAAATTTTCAGTTAAATATTAGCTATTAGCATAATGGAATTCATGCTGTATATTCATTATATTTAATTATTTAATATGGAGATCAAATAAATATGTTTCTACCCACTTAATATCTTCCGTATAATAATAAAATAGGTGATGGTAACCAGAGTTGACAAGTCACTCCCTCCCATATCTCCAGTTTCTGATTCTCAGTTAACTCCATTTGGGAAATATTGAGTAAGATGAAGGTGTGTGAAGCAAGTGGCAATTATTCATTTGTAGCTTTGTAGAACTTCTTAACTAGCTCTAGTTCGTATGAGAACATTGGCAGAACATATACAATATGATTTTGTGGGCTTGGAAAGTGACTTCTTCTCCCCTCCTTTTCTTCCTCAATCCATGTGTCAAATGCAGGAGTCTGTCTCAAACAATAAAGTAAATTGCAGGGACCCAAATTTCAATAAGCACAAATTCAAAATTTGCAGTTTTGTGTAGGTAATAGTTTTTTTTCTTTTAATTTCATCAAAAATATAGGTAGTGTAGTTAGTTAAATCAGATGGTTTATATTAAATCCTTATTAATAAATATCAAATATTTTAAATAGAATACTAATAACAAATTAAGTTTTATGAATCCTAATGATACATTAGGTTTAACATAAAATATATTAAATTTATATATTTATTTCTAATAAGAATGGAGAAATCATGGGGGAAATATGTTCTGTAATCTCCCTTCCCTATCCTCTTTCTCTATTATTATTTTTTTTAATGAAAGAAGAGCACTGAAGATGTCCGCAGAATCTCACTATGCGTTGCTGAAAAGTTTCAGGATAAGTAAAAAGAAGAAAAGAGAGATTCAAGGAAGTTCTAGAAAGCCAACCATTCTGTCTGTTGGCTCTGTGCTGAGGGTGCCCCTGGCGTGGAGAGGCCTCTGGGAAGGGTCTCTACAGAGGGAGGTTTTGGAGGCTGTGCTAAGCTTGGGGTCATGGCTGTAGAGGGAGGACTCAGGCACCAGCCTGTGGGGGAGGCTGGGACAATGTGGGATTCAACTCGGAGAAGCCTCTGAGGCAAGGCAGCCAGAAGCCGGATAAGAATAGAATATGAACAAGACAAACACACGGGCCAGCAGGGCTAGGCGGGAGGTCTGAATTTTGGCAGGGAAGTGCTGAGGCCCTTCAGGCAGAGCAAGCTAGACAGCAAAGGTGAAGGCGAAGTTTGCATTGCCAAGGGAGAGGCTGGAAAGTGAAGGCAGCCCACGGCCTCAGCCAGGGAGCCACTGAGCTGCAGTTCTTATCTGGACTACATATTAAAAACACCTGGGGAACTTTTTAAATTTTATTTTTTATTATTTTTAGTAGTTCTTAGACACAGGATCTCACTCTCTTGCCTGGGCTGGAGTGCAGTGGTACAATCATAGCTTGCTGTAAACTCGACCTCCTGGGCTCAAGCATTCCTCCTGTCTCAGCCTCTCCAGTAGCTGGGACTATAGGCATGCGCCACCATGCCTGGTTAATTTTTTTATTTGTATTTTTTGTAGAGACAGGGGTCTCACTACATTGCCCAGGCTGGTCTCAAACTCCTGGCCTCAAACAATCTTTTTGTCGCCGCCTTCCAAAATGTTAGGATTACAGGTGTGAGCCACCACACTGGGCCCATTCTTCTTTAAATAGTTGGAAGGATTCTTCTTTAAAGCTATCTTGGATCTAGGCTTTTCTATTTAGAAAGATTTTTGATTATTAATACAATTTCCTTTTTAAAAAGGGAAAGATATAGTAAGATGATTTATTTCATCTTGAGTCAGTTTTCGTAATTCATTTCTTTCTATGAATTTTTCATTTCATGTATGTTCTAATTTGTTGGTGTAAAGTTGTTCATAATATTCCATAGCAATCCTTTTAATTTCTTTATAAAACAATCTTGATAGGCTGGGCTTAGTGGCTCATGCCTGTAATCTCAGCACTTTGGGAGGCCGAGGCAGGCAGACCACCTGAGGTCAGGAGTTCCAGACCAGCCTGACCAACAGGGAGAAATCCCATTTCTACTAAAAAAACAAAATTAGCTGGGTGTGGTAGCACATGATTGTAATCCCAGCTACTCGGGGGCTGAGGCAGGAGAATCGCTTGAACCTGGGAGGCAGAGGTTGCAGTGAGCCAAGATCGCACCATTGCACTCCAGCCCGGGCAACAAGAGCAAAACTCTGTCTCAAAAAATAAATAAATAAATAAATAATGAAAAATAAAATAATTTTGATACATTGTTACTTTCAGTTTTTTCTTGGTCTAGCTAAAAGATTTTCAATTGTGTTGATCTTTTCAAGCAATTAACTCTTCATTTCATTAAATTTCTCTATTTTTTGTGCTTTCTATTATATTCATTTTTATCTTTGCTATTCTTTTCTATTTGTTCTGGGTTTAATTTAATATTTCTAATATTTTAACTTGGAAACTTAAAATATTGATTTGAAACCTTTACTTTTTTGTAATATTGGTGTTTTACAACTATAAAATTCCTGTAAACATTGTTTTAGCTGTACTCAATAAATTTTTATGTTTTCTTTGTATTTATTTAAAAATATTTTGTATTTCCTTTGTGTTTTTCTTTTCCTTTATGGATTATATAAGTATGTTATTTAATTTCCTTATATCTGTGAATTCCCCAAATATTTTTCTGTTGTTGATTTTTAATTTAGTTTTTTTGTGATCAAAGAGCATATTTTGTATCATTTTGATTCTTTTAAGTTTAGGAAGATTATTTTATGGCCTAGTATATAGTGTATCCCTGAGAATGTTTCATGTGACCTTGAAAAGAAGTATATTGTGCTATTATTGGATGAAGTATAATATAAATGTCAGTGAGGTCAAAGTGGTTGATAATATGGTTCAAGTTTTTATATCATTCGAAGACTTCTATTCATTTTTGAGAGCAGGGCATTAAAATTTTATTGTCTAATTGCCTATTTTTTCCTTTTACTTTTCTAAGATTTTTCATTCATTTATTCTGGGGCTATGTTGTCATGCATATATATTTATATTTACCTTATCTTCCAGATGTATTGACCTTTTGTCAATATTTCCTGTCTTAAAGACTATGTTGTTTGATATTTATATAGCCACTCTAGCTCTCTCAGCTACTGTTTTGATGGTATGTCTTTTTCTATACTTTTATTCCTGCTTGTTTGTGTCTCTGAGCCTAAAGTGTTTCTTTACAGAGAGCTTATAGTTGAATCATGCTTTTTTATCTAGTCTGACAATCACTGCCTTTTCATTGTAGGGAGAATTAATCCATTTATATGTAACTTAATTATTGATCTCATAGGATTTACATCTGCCATATTTCTAGTTGGTTTTAATGTCTCATGTCTTTTTTGTTACCCTGTTTCTTCTTTCCTGTTATCTTTTGTATTTACAGACATATATAATATAAATATTACTTCTATATTTAACATTAATATATCCTTATATTAATATGGGAATTATATGAATATAACAATATATTAAATACAATATATAATGTTATCTATTTAATTATATTAATTATATATGTATGCATTCTAAAATATAAACATAATATATTTATATATTAGTGTAATCTATAATATATATTTAATATTAACATATAATATATTGTATCAAATATATATGTCCAAAGTATAAAATGGTAGGAAAGGAGATATATAACTATATTTAATGTACTACAATATGATCTATATATAATTCATATACTTATATATATCAACATAATATGTATCTAATGCATGTACATATGTACACATGTTACATTGCTATTAGGATTAAATGCTACATTGCTATTTGAATTAAATATGTCTCATGTCTTTTCGTATTTACATATACATGTATAATACACAGACACACACATTTTAACTCCCCTTTGATTCTCATACACTTTTAGTTATTTTCTATGGCTCACACAATCGTTATTATAAACCCCTTTGGATTTACTACCTCAGTCTGTTTTTTGTTTCTGTAACAGAATACCACAGAGTGAGTACTTTATAAAAAAAAGAAATGTATTTCTCACAGTTCTGGAAGTTGAGAAGTCCCACATCAAGGTGATTGCATCTTGCAAGGGCCTTCTTGCTGTGTTATCCCATCGCAGTAGGCAAGAGGGTGAGGGAGGGCAAGAAACAGAGAGAGAACCAAACTCACTTTTGTAACAAACTCATTGTCTCAATAAGAATCCAATTCCCCAATAATGACATGAATCCATTCATGACAGCAGAGCCCTCATAGGTCCCACTCTCAACTCTGTTACATTGGGGATTAAGATTCCAACACATGAACTTTGGGGCAGACGTTCAAACCATAGCAAATAGTAACAAATTTTTTATAAAATATAGAAATCTTGTTCCACTATAACTTCATTCCTCCTCCTTATTTTTTCTGTCATATGTATTGTATCAATATATTTTATCAATCTGACAATACTGGGTGATAATTATTGCCTTATGCAATCTTGACCCTTTTAGAGAAGTTAAGAGAAAACAAAAAAACTTATACAGCCTTATATATGTACATGCATGTTTACCATTTCAGGTCCTTTTTATTTCTTCCTGTGGATTTGTGTTAATGTCTGATGTTATTATTTCCAGCCTGAAGGAATTCCTATGGTATTTCTTGTAAAGTGGGTCTTTGTTTATCTGGCTTATTTTAGCTTACCAAGGTGGATATTCTTTTTAAATATAAGCTGTGTGTTTATCATTATACATTGTTTTAGATGCACCCCACAAACTTTGATATGCTGTGCTTTCATTGAAAATATTTTCTAGATTTCGTTTTAATTTCGTCTTTGTGATTTATTTAGAAGTGTGTTGAATTTCTGATATGAGGGTTTTTGTAGGTATTTTCTTACTATGATTGCCAGTTTAATCCTTTTGTGAGCAGAGAATAATACCTGTATGATTTGATCCTTTAAAATATATTAAGAATTGTTTTATATCCCATCATTTGGTCTATTTTAATTTATCTACCATGCACTCTTGAAAAGAATGTGTGTTGTGCAGTTGTTGAATGATGATCTGAAACCAGTTAGATCATGGTACTTGATAGTGTTGCCCAGATCTTCTATTTTCTTATTAATTTTGTCTGGTTCTATCAATTCGTGAGAAATCACAATTGTTAAAATCTCCTACTCTGATTGTGGAATTTTCTGTGACACTCTTTGTTATATTTTTTTCTTTTTATAATTTGAGACTATATTATTAAGTGCATGTACATTGATAATTTTTATGTCTTTCTCATAAATTGTCCTTTTGTCACATTAAAATATTTTTTTCTTCTGGTATTACCTTTTTTTCTTTGTCCTTATTGTATCTGATATTAAAACAGCCACTCCAGCCTTCTAGTGCTTACTTTTTCAAACATACATTTTTTTCTATCCATTTACTTTCAATACATCAATTTTACACACACACACAATATAAAAACAAATGTGTTTCTTATAGGCCACATAGAGTAGCTTCTTGCTTTTTATCCACGATGGCAAGATTTTCTGCATTTTTAAAAAATTGAAATGTTTGAACCATTAACATTTAATGTAATCTTTAATATGGCTGGATTTAGAGTAATCACTTTATTACTTACAATTTTATGTAGTTTTTTGTTCTTTCTTTTCTGTCTTTTAAAAAAATTTTGAGAATTTTCAAAACTTTTTATTTTAATATATTGATTGGTTATTAATTTACATCTCCTTGAATTATTTTAAGTGGTTATTCTACCGATTTTAATAGACATATTTAACATTTTACAGTTAATATTGCACCACTTTATGTAAAATGTAAATCTTTATAACCATATCACTTTGTTTCCCCACCACATGGATCTTCATTTTATAGATGTCATATACATTACATCTACATACATCAAAATCCTCACCAGACAATATTATAATTTTTGTTTTAACAATCATACATACTTTATGCTTAAGGAGACAAAGGCAACATTTATCTTTACACTGCTATTTACCATTTCTATTGCTTTTTTTTTATTCCTAAATATCTAAGTTCCTCTCTGTAGGTTTTGCCCTCAGTGTGAAGGAACTCCTTTAGCCTGTCTTGTAAAGCAGGTCTGTCGGATATACATTTTCTTAGTTTGCTTTTATCAGAAAATTTCTTTATTTCACCTTCATTTCTGAAGAATACTTTTACTGCAAATAGAATTGAGTTGACAATTACTTCTTTAGTATTTCAAAGATATTGAAAGATAAATCTACCATCATTCAAATCATTTTTCCCCTACATGTAATGTGATGTATCTTTACTTGCTCTTAAAACATTTTCTTTATATTTGGTTTTGACCCAATTGTAATATATTTAAGCATGATTTACTCTGAATTTATTCAAGTTGGAATTTGCCAATCTTTAATCTATAAATATGTCTTTCACAGGATGTGATAAGTTTTTGAACATTATTGCTTCAAACATTTTTTTCTGCCCCAATCTCCCTTCCCTCTTCTTCTGAACTCAAATTACACATAGAATGGGCCTCTGATACTGTTCAACATGATCTCAAGGCTCTGTCCATTTGTTAAAAATCTTTTCACTCTGTTCTTAGGGCAGCTCCTATTGATATATCTTCAAGTTTGTTTACCTTTTCTTCTGTTTTCATCATTCTGTTATTGAGCCCACTTTATAATTTTTAATTACTTACATTTTTCAGTTTTAAGTTCACATTTAGTTCATTGTACAATTTCTATTTCTCTGTTGATATTCCCCTTTTTATCAATCATTTCAAGTGTGTATTAACATACATAATTATGAAAGCCTTGTTAAAGTATTTGTCTAAAACCTCCAGCATTGAGATAATCTCAGGCTTGGCATACTTTTTTAGCCATTGCAATTTTATCATTTTTTGTTGTTGTTGCTGCTTGTTTCATTTATGTATTGATTAATTTTGGATTGTACCCCAGACATCATGAATGACATGCCCAGGGTACCATCCTGTTAAGATTCTCCAGAGAATGTTGATGTTTTATTTTTACCAAGTGCTCCACTTAGGATTAGATTGTAAGTTGTGCCTTCTCCTCCGTAGGACATGGTTCAATCAGGTTAGTCCTCCAAATCTTTGCTATACTATTTAAGTTTGCCTCATGTGTGAACAGCTCAGAGGTTAGTCAGACTTTTGTGCAGGTGATTCAATTCAGTTCTCCAATCCTTTATCACTTTAGTTTGTATTTATTCCACATACATACACCCCAGGGACTGGGCTGAAAGACTTATGTGTGCCATTCAAATCTCTTTTCAGTTCTCTAAGCCTTAGCTAAACTAGTATTTGTCTGTCCTACATGTGTAACTCAAGACTTAAGCTAAGACTTGTATGTGCTTATTCACAGAATTAGATGATCCTCCTCTCTCCCTTTCAGCATCCCCCTCAATAATCTATGACCTACAGGGATGCCTTTCTCTGGTTCCTTTGGCCAGAAAGATGGGGTTTCTCTCAGATTTTAGCTGAAGGTTCCACCCCTGCTCCCATGCTGCCCATGACTGGGCATGAGAGAGGTATTGCATGACTGAAAGAGAAAAAAAAAAATGCTAGGTAACTTAGCTCTGTGTAGTTGCTTCTCCAAATTTTGGCTCCACTGTACCTGCTTTTGTTTACTTTTCAAAGTCCTCAGTTAGTTGTTTCTGCATTTTGTCCAGAGACTTTAGTTGTAATTAATTACTGGAAGGAATGGGCTAAAGTGGGCTACATCATTGTGCTGGGGCAGGAGCACCTTTGATCCCCTTCCCCTACCACGACCACATAGAAGGTTTCAAATAAGAGAAGTTAGTTGGTTGCTATGTGGGAAGTGATATGACAACAGAGTTGTTGAATTATTTACTCTAAATTACAGCTAAAGGTGACCTGAACTAAGGGAGTGTTACTGGAATAGAAAACAAAAGTAGATTATGAGTAAGAATTGACAGAACGATAGGAATGATGGGATGTGATAGGTGGCAGAGAGGAGGAGTCACTGGTGAAGGCCTGTTTTTGATTTAGTTCGCCATTTATTTGGCAATGTTCTTCATTAAAATAGTGAGAATATGACATAAAATTTAGGAGATGGGTGGGAAATAAGATTTTCAATTTGGACATGTTAAGTTTGGGGTATCCATGGGATAGTGGAGACGTTTATGAGCAGTTTATAGACTCATTAGCATAAAACGGTTGCTCATCTTTGAGTCTAAACTTAGGCTATTATGATAAGTTTCATTCTCCCTCTGCTTTACATAGCAACAAGACTTTTGATGAACTACAGGAGTTATTGACATTTCACTTCTCCCCAGTACCGTCAGTCATTGTTTAGAATTTAAGTATTACAAATGAAATCCCGAGATTAGTGAAGGCATTGCCATTTTTTGTTCCACTCAGATGTTTTGTTTTTTCTCAACTTTGAGACTTTGGGGATTTTATGGATGACATGATACAGAATGACTATGTACTTGTAGTTGTGTACAAAGTACTAAAATAATGCCTTTTGATTGATTCAAATTTACATTCACAATGGCCTGATAAAAGGAACTAGTTATTAAAGCTTTATCTACACATCACAAAAACTAAGGTAGCAACTAAAAATTGTCAATAATATATAGAGAGAGGCAAAGGAGGGTTTACTAAGTGAAAAGGGCAGAAAAAGGGTTCATGTTTATTGAGTCTTTTGAAGTGCCAGCACTTTTATATCTGTTATATAATAGCATTCAAAGTTCATAAAATCACTTGAGATAGATATTATTAGTTCTACTTTGAAAGTGAAGCAAGTGAGACTGACAAAATGGAAACATTTGCTTATTATCAAATGCCTAGGAATCAGTAAATTCTAGATTCAAATTCCTGCCGGAGGGTCTTCAAATGAGATGTTGGAAGTTGTTGCTGTTCTGGCTATGTTAGCCTACAACAGTGAGCAGCTCAATAAAAGATTTTGGAATATCAGATGATTTAGGTATTCCAACTCTGCTCCCATAAAAACCTAGTGGCAAAGTAAGAATTTATGACTATAAGGAATTAAAGCAAAGCTTCTATCCATTATTTATGATTGATCAGTTTCATAGCCCTTTTGGCTAGAGGAAAAATTTTCTCCACTTAATTTTGTCCAAATGTATCAAAGGCTGTTTTGTAAGGTCCCAGTAAAGACATCACACAAGGAAACTGTGAAATAAAGGCTCAAATTAAGCCTCATGTGATGTGCTGTCTTGACATCTGAAGAAGCTGGGAGGGCCTTGAATGGCCTAACTGTTAAGTTCTTCACCTGTCTCTGCTCCCACAGATATGATTCCCTAGCCAAACAACCCTCCTTATCAAGTAGACCAGATACAGATCCTATGTATCTCATAGTAATAAGTTTCAGTTCCTTGCCAGCCTGTGGAATTATTCAAATAATCCTATCACATCCCTCTTGCCAGCCTGTGGAATTATTCAAATAATCCCATCACATCCCTCTGTGGGAACCAGGGGTCACTGCACCCTTTTGCTGCCATAGGTCACCTCCGACAGACCTGCCACTTCACTCTGGTCCTGGGCGCAACTGCTGTGTGTCTCCACATGACATGCAGTGTCCTTTTCCCCTGGGAGTGGGTTTATGTGACTAATAAACGGATGATGATCTCATCTTCCAGTGTCAGGTTGTGTGTTTGGCCATTCCCATCACCTTAGGGTAGAAATCTCTCCCTCATTAATAGAGTGAATAGGAGGGGATTAAAACAACACTCATCAAGGAATAATAATCGTTAAGTGAGAATTTTGATCTTTTGTTTCATTGGCATAGGAACCATCCAGAGAGTCAGCGTATTAGTACGTTCTCACGCTGCTATAAAGAAATACCTGAAACTGGGTAATGTATAATGAAAAGAGGTTTCACTAGCTCATGGTTCCACAGGCTGTACAGGAAGCATGGCTGGGGAGGCCTCAGAAAACTTACATTTATGGTGGAAAGTGAAAGGGAAGCAAGTATGTCTCACATGGCTGGAGCAGGAGGAAGAGAGGGAAGGGGGAGTTGCTACACACTTTTAATCAAACAAATCTCATGAAAACTTGCTATCATGAGAACAGCAAGGGAGAAATCCACCTTCGTGATCCAATCACCTCCCACCAGGGCCCTCCTCCAACACTGGACACTACAATTCTACATGAGATTTGGATGCGGACACAGATCCAAACCCTACCAGTCAGAGAATCCCTGAAGCTAACCCCAAAAGTGACCTCTTACTTCATGGATGCTCTGAATAAGAGATCAGGGGAAGATGAATAAAAGACTTCAAGAAGCCTATCTTGTTTCACTGTCCTTTTCTAAGAGTAAAGGGAGAAATACATAGGTGAAATCTGGAGTGTTAGATCCTGGAAAAATACAGCATAGTGACGAAAGGTGCAGACTCAGGACTCAGGAACTGGTTTCACGGAGTTCAAATCCTAGCTTCCACACATACTAGTTTTGTGGCCTTTAGCAAGCTTATTTACATCTCTATGACCTATTTTCAGCCCCTGTATAAAAAGGAAATAATTATACCTAATAATATAATTGGTAAATGTGGTGAAGATCATAGAACTTTAAGTAGCAAAGTACTTATTTCAGTGCCTGCTTTTTGCTAAGTGTTATCTGATTAATAATGCTGGTGTTTCTGTCAGTAATAGTATTATAAGTAGAATTATTAGGTAGCCATTATGTTGAACCATATGAAATTAACACTTTTTATGTAAAAATGAGATAAAATATAGGCAATTTCTTCTGATCAGCTTCATTCATGTACATATTCTTGGTGTTAACCACTGAGAAGAGAAATTCTGAAACTTCAGGTTATTACTGATTTCTTACTCTGGAGAAGCGTATCTGACATGGTTTGGCTACACGTCCCCACCCAAATCTCATGTCACATTGTAATCCCCACGTGTCTGAGGTGGGACCAGATGGGAGGTGATTAGATCATGGGGCTGGTTTCCCCCATGCAGTTCTCATGACAGTGAGTGAGCTCTCATGATATCTGGTGGTTTAAAAGTTGGTAGCAGCTCCCTACCCCCACCTGCAACCACGTAAGATGTGCCTTGCTTCCCCTTGACCTTCTGCCATGATTGCAAGTTCCCTGAGGCCTCTTCCAGGCATGCAGAACTGTGAGCCAATTAAACCTGTTTATAAATTACCCAGTCTCACGTAGTTCTTTCTGGCAGTGTGAATACGGACGAATACACACAATCTCTAACAGTATCCATAACAGAAGTTCAGTAACCACAGAGCATGAAAGTCATGGTCAGGTTCCTGGGACTTGTATACAGATAGGGACTTGTACACAGATAGGGACTTGTATACAGATAGGGAAAGTCTTATATCACCCACTAGGTGACAAAAAGGCTGTAAGCTTTGTGAGATTTCAAGGGAAGAAAAGAGCTTTGCAGCAGACTCAGGCTGTGGTGTGAGCAGCCCTGCTACTGCCGTGTGACCTGGCAGATAAATGATATTAGATGCATCAGTGGTTGGAAAAGATGCCAAAGGGACAGCAAGTAAGAAAAGATATCTCTGCCCTCCTGGCAAAAGTAATTAGCACTACCATCAGGAGGAGGTAAAACAGAGAAGAACAAGTTCAGTAACCATCTGGGTGCCTCTTGCTATACTTCTTCCTAATTCATGGTAAATGAGCAAGTGCAGCCACCATAGCCTGAGAAGTGCATAGTGACTACGGGCATGCAACCCTTCAGAAATGAGAATCTTGGTCACTCTACCCTCCCCACCACCACCCCACCCCACCCACCCCGGCCCAGGAAAGGTACCTAGACCTGCAAATGGGCCAGCTTAGGATGAGGGAGATCTAGAATGGCTAGTAGGAAAAGGGCATGATAAGTATTGTTAAAGCCTCATGACCAGCAGTCATGGTGAGGACTGCAGTATGTCCTATCAACAACCTCTTCTTATGTTTCCTCACGAAAAGAAGTCACCAGAATTCTGAAGATGCTGAGCCCCAAACTTACATGAAGCCACTGGATTTAAGTACAGCAAGGGGTGGATTGTGATGGATGCTGTGAGATGCCCTCCACAGCCCCCAGGACTGAGACCCCCATACTTTCCTAGCCACTGGGAGTACTAGTGACTCACAGCTGGAGTTGAGAGCCCCTCTCCTCCTCGTGAGTTTCCCAGATGGAAGCGTGTCACCTCACCCAAGCTCATGTGTCCTCCCTTGAGTAACCCACATGAAACACCTGGTCTATGTAAAAAGCCTAGTCCTTTACTCCACTAGGGGACAACTCAATGGGACCATTCCAGCCCAGCTCAGACCTAGGTTATGAATGCATCACAGTCTGATTTCTCCTTCTATCAAATTCTGATTCCTTCCATCCAAGGAAAGTATAGATCCTGAAAGCACACCCCAGAAAATTCCCAGCCACAATCTCTGACTCAGTCAAGCCTCCTGGGGAACCTGACATGTGACATACTATTTGGCTCTGAATAAGTACTCAATTCTTCTTAGCTGTCATTTTCTAATTGACCAAGCTGGAGCCAATGGGGTCCAACCAGGAAATAACTTTATTCTCTCTAACCACTTGCTGTGAAGACTAACCAATGCCACTGCTAGGTGAAATATCAGACAGGTCTTTAGGGCTTCTAATTCTCTTTAGTAATGTAAACCGTCTTATAAACCATAAGTAAAATGGCCATCCTTTCTCTGGGTGCTCTCAGCTTCCTAGGTGGCCTTCTTTGGGGGGCTTTTATTTTTTTTTATTTTTATTTTTTTTCAGAAAATTCCAGAAAACTTCTCCCAAAGGGCCTACACTTGGTTTTTGAGAAACCTGCACTATCACAATGTTCTGCAGAAGTCATAGAATATCCTTGTCTTTGCTTTCAGATGTCTCCAAGTGGTGGTGAGACATCATCAAATCCTAAGAAACAATATACTTGAAGATTTTTCACTCACTGCATCAAAGGTAAGAAAAATACTTCTCTCCACTCCCTAAAGATATGTTACTTTTTTGCCTCGTCAACCTGTTCTCTTACAGTCTGGAGATCCGTCATGAACGATGCTGGCAGAATGAGTTTTATCACATCCTGATGTGGTAGTTCAGCTCTTCCACTTAGGCTGGTAGGGTTCTGAGAACATTATATTTTTCTCAACAACTGGGGCCCTGGCCCAAAAGGAGACAAAAAAATCCCTCGTTAGCATCCCATTATAATTATTATTAACAGTAATTACATGTAAGAGCAAATGCCACTCTTGTTATTTACTTGAAAATTAATTATGTAAAAAAATTGTTAGCAAATAATTTCCCCATATGGCTTTTTGTACTGGATGTATAATAAAATGTAGATTGAAAGTGAACTATTTCTTACAACATAAAGAGTAGATAAAAATCTACTTTCACGATCTGACTGGCAGTTTTGGAATTTGAAATCTCTGTCTTTGTCTCTCTGTCTTTTTCACACACATGTGCACACACAAACACACAACTAGTTCATTTGTTTTATAAACATTATAATTTGCTTCTAAATTATGAGCTACTGGATGTTACTGGAAGACACATTTCTACAAACAAAATATTCTGGGAGCAGATAGATTATTATATTATCAATAAATTAAAAGACAAAACATAATAAATGGAGTATTTTTTGCTATACTTTTCTTTTGTAACCTTGGGTTTTGAATCACTATCTACATCTCACTCTAGTTCATACAAACTATGATGGAATAAATACAGCTGGAACAATCTATTGAAGCTCATTGCACAATTATATTTTCACACTGCTGATTAACTTATATGTTTACATCACTGTTTTAGTCTTCCTTTCTTTAATCAATAGTATTTTATCTCATTAATAATTTATAGACATAAAGGAAATAAGTCTAAGAATAAAAATAATTTGCTTGCACACTATAACCACTGAAGTAAGACATGGAGGTGTGATTGACAGCCCATAAGAAGCATTATCAGATATCCACAAACTCCAGAAATATTTGAATTTCATGTTGCTCTTGTAGGTTCTCAAAACATTCCATTTTTAAAGAGGCAATATTTTGATATTGTAGTTATTGATTTAAAGTAGACATTAAAAGATAAACCCTGTCTCCACTAAAATACAAAAGAAATTACCCGGGTGTAGCAGCATGCACCTATAGTCCCAGCTGCTAGGGAGGCTGATGCGGGATAATTGCTAGAACACGGGAGGTGGAGGTTGCAGTGAGCCAAGGTCGCACCACTGCACTCCAGCCTGTGTGAGAGCAAGACTCCGAGAGACTGGAGTGAGCAAGACTCCGTCTATAACAACAATAACAACAAAAAAAGACCTCACTACTGTTGTAAAGGCAAGAAGTGTTTGGAGACATTTGATGGACCCCTGGGACAAGGTGGTGAAGATGGAGGGGAACCATTGAAGGAATTTCCACCAGAATGAGGTAGTATCAGATTTGCCACAATGTGGTGAATTACGAGATATTAGGGTGGGAGGTGGGTGGCCTGGAAGATGGAAGAAGAATTAAATTTTATTGCAACAATCTAAAAAAGAGATGGTAACAACCTGAACTAAGATGGTAACAGGATTTGGAGAACTGGATAGATTCTAAACAAAACGTGGAAGGAATACCTTTACCTTTGGTAATTGCTTGCTTGTGGAGGGTGGGGGTGAAGCAGAGGACAAAGATGATGTGAAAGTCTGGTTTGGGTCACAAATTAAATATGGTGTCACTCACTGAGATAAGGATGACAGGAAGAAAATTAAGAATAGGTTTTTATAGGAAAAAAAAAACTTCAGTTTGCAATATTTTCAGTTTGGGTATTTGTGGTTAATTCAAGAAGCTATGTCACCTGAGGGCATTTCCACAGGTTTCTGGAGAGAAGAGTAGGAATAATTGGAATTGATGATCTTGGTTAGTACTCTGTAAGGCATCACCATACAAGGGACTCACCATCAACTGCTGGTTACCACTCTCTGAACATAATACTCATCTTATAGATTAATTTAGGCGTTTTGACTTAAGTGTTAAATTCTGTCAGGATTACATGTGTTTATTACCTATCCCAAGTAATATACAAAACAATAGAAATTAAGACAAACCTTAGAAGTTCCATTACCTATATCTTCTTGCATCTCATGAAATAAGATCTATGTCACTAACCTCTGTTAAAATAACTTCTTAAAACTAACTTTTTAAGCTCTTTCATAAATTCTTTAAGCTAATCTCTTTGAAAAATTCTCCATTTATCCTAAACTGAGCCAGTTAATAAAAATGAGAAAAAATGAGAATTTGGAGAAAATTTCATGATGAGAACAGACTGTAGAGCTCAGTGGTATCTCACATTTTTCCAGCCCTTTCAAGTAAGGCTGATGCTCTTGCTAAATGTAAAATCCTATATTAATTTCCCATATCTTACACCACTGCATCGTTTCTGCAATCAGTAAAGTACTGGATAATTTAAAACACTAAAATATGCCATTTTTCTCATGCCAATAAACCAAAGAAAAATCCACTGATAGAGATGATAACAGTGTGAAGAACATGACAGGGAGATCAGAACAGAGGAAATAGCATGCTAATGACATTCAATATTCTCCCTGTGTGAAGTCATCAGCATTTTTATTGCAACTATTTCTCAGCATACACTATTAGAATTTATTGAGTCAATCTGTCTCCATCACCTGTGATATAATATATTTTATTCAATAAGATATGAAATAATATTTATCTTTCAACTCCAATGACTGGTTTTCAGGACAATAACTGCCTATCAACCAAGCATTACAAGAGTAGGAGAAGTTGTACATTTTAATATCTGACCTGAGAGTTGTCATTTTAGCATCTGCACATTTGGTATTAAGAAGGGTGCAGACTTCAAGAAATCACTCAGATTCAACAGTTATGGCAAAGGATGGCATCAAATTATGTTTTAAATCAGTAGCACGGTGAAGCATACTGCGTGAAGTTGAGGAAGGAAAAGAGTCGACTCTGAAGTTAACTCTACAAGACAGTTATACTAGAATCTCTATACCAGAAATAAGAATTAAGCTCACGACTGAGCTCATTCATCTCATAAAAAAAATGGGAAGGGAAAAAAATTTTTTTAATGTCTCAAATAGCCCTCATTTAAAATTGAGACAGAAATGAATCTGTAAGTTATGTTTTCAAGTTGTCTGTCTGAATCTGGGGCATTCAGGGAAGCACATTGTGTCTGATTTTCCATGTCAGCCACTTGGAAGGAAAACTAGACTGTTGATGGCTGCGTGGTTCTTTGGAGGGCGGCGTGTAGGTTTCAGTCAGCCACGCGATAGAATTAACCAAGTTCCCAACTTTCTGCACTGTTCAGCTCCCTGGTGGTCTGTCACCTCAGGTAATTTTGAGAAAAGAAAGAATTGAGTCTTTTATTCCCCTATGTGCTTTGATAAACATTTATTTCATATCCGCTTTTTTCCAGCTTTCCCCTCAGAAACCCCATGTCAACCTGTGACAAAGAGGTGTCACAGCACTGACATGATTGAGTTGGTATTTGGTGGTTTCACCTCAGAAACGAAGGGGTCCACAACTCCTGCTGGTAAAAAGCACTAATTCATCTGCTGTTAGCTTTACTCACCAGGAAGTCCCCTCTCCCAGTCAGAGAGCATAGAAGTGCACAGAAGCTACTTCCTGTCAGGCAGTTCATTGCTTGATTGTGTCAACTACTGCCGGCCTGCATGAGTGGGTCAGGCAGCAGGTAAAATACAGAAATATCTGCCTTCCAACAAGCTGTTGAGATGTCATCTCAACACGTGTCCTGGTGACACCATGTGTGCCCAAGGCAGCCATCTTTACCACTCTCTGCCTCCTTTTTTTTTTTTTAACTGTAGCCTGAGTTTTATTAAAATTAAACAAATTTAAAAAGTCAACTTTCTATGCCCCAACCTACATGTGCTTACTTATTTATTGCATATTAGAAGAAAGTGGAAAAATGTGGATGTTGAAATCATCGTATTTGAATTTGAATCCCAGTTGAGTTATTTACTGGCTGTTTCATCTTAAGTGAACTCCCTCTGAGCTGCATTCTCTTTATCATTAATGCCTGCATTTAAAGGCCCATGGTAAAGACAAATGAAATCATATATATAAAGGAATCGCCTCTCTGTGTGACTCATAAGTAGGTGCACTTGCTTTCCTCAGCGGGGGCAAAATGAAACAATTAAACTTTTAGGTTATATTATTCTCTCAAAAGAAAACATAGGAGAGTGCGGCTTGTTGGTTCATTTATTTACTTATTACTGCACAGGAAGAGGGAGACAGGAAGGAGGAAGTGTGGTCAGGAGAGATCATGCATTAACCCCATTGAGAATTGCTCTAAGTGTGTGTTTTGTGTATCCTACTTATATCTTCTTAGTGTCCCCATTTTAAAAGCACGTCCTTTCTTTACTTTGCCACTGCACAGGATGGTAACAATCAGATTAAAAGGAGTGTATGAGGTTTAAGATTTGTGTTGAAGCTTTACTGAAGTCAAAAGAAGGTGTTATATTCCCAGCTTAGTGGGAGAGTGCTTGGCACAGGAAACCTCAGCCTCAAATCCTTGGCTGTCCTCCATAGATTTGAGGTTGCTTTGTTGTGTGTGTGTACTTTTGTGTATTGGAGGGGAAGGGGAGGTGCTGGAATTGGGGTGTGACTTTGGGGAAAGTGAATGGAGTGGGGATATCTGATAAAGAGATGTGTGGGTTTGGATGAGTTCCCATTTTTTGTGCTCTGGCTTCAGGACTAGACAGTCATATGTACCAATGTTAGCTCTACCAATCGGAGCAGGTATTACTGTGGCCAAGTGCTTCAACCACAAGGCACTTGACTTATCTGTTGGTTGGGGAGAAGAATATCTATCTTATGGAAACTAAATGAGGAAATATATGTAAGGTACATGGAGCAGTGACTGTTCATCGCTCATTACATGTTAGTTTCCTTTTTAAAATGTGGCTTCTTACCTTATATCCTGATGTAATTGAATCAAGGAGAATGACACTGTGACATCTATTCCCCTTGCAAAAATGCTGAGCAATGAAACAGCCACTTTAGACCTTAAGCTTTCTCATAGACAATCTATCTCAAAACTTCTCTCCCATTAAATAAAACTACACTTCCTTGGACCATATGTCCTGATTAGATGTTCAAATGATATGGTTCTATGAAACCTACATGACACCCTTTATTGTATATGAAAATGAACAATCCAATTAATCATCAAGACTGAAGCCAGCTCCCAATCGCTCAGATGGCCCTAATGGAATGGTAGGTTATTGGATATTTATTTAATGAGTTATTGAGAACCTACAAAGTGCCAGACACTGTTCTAGGTGCTGGGGATACAGAAATAAATAAGATGTGAGAAGTCCCTGAACTTCAGAACTTGCAGGACAGTGATGGAACCATACAAACTATCAAATACCTGCACGAAGTGGTGTCTGGTCCTGATTAAATTCTAAGAAGAAAACCAAGGCAGGATACAGGGATAGACAGTAAAAGAGGGGAAAGGTCTACTATAGATAGGAATGGTCAAGGAAGTCGTCTTGGAAGAGGTAATGTATCTGAGATCTTAATGAGGTAAAGGAGAAATCCAGGCAATGAACTGGAGGAATAATATTTCAGAAAGAGAGGACAAACTAACCTGAGACAGGAGAAGACTAATACAAAGAATACTGTGGTTGGGGCTTGAGAGAGCCAACATATGAGGAAGAGAGATCTGTCAGGTAGGATATAGGTGATAGAGATGTATTAGTCCATTCTCACACTGCTATAAAGAACTACCTGAGACTGGGTAATTTATGAAGAAAAGAGGCTTAATTGACTCACAGTTTCACAGACCTAACAGGAAGCAGGCCTCAGGAAACTTACAATCATGGCTGATGGTAAAGGGGAAGCGAACACCTTCTTCACATGGCAGCAGGAGACAGAGAGTGAAGGGGGAAGTGCCACACACTTTTAAACCATCAGATCTCATGAGAACTCACTCACTACCACAAGAACGGCAAGGGGAAATCCACCCCCATGATCCAATCACCTCCCTCCAGACCCCTCCTCAAATTTGACATGAGATTTGGGTGGGGACACAAATTCAAACCATATCAAGAGATAATCAGGAACCAGAGAGAGCCAGGCAATGTAGACTGGGCTTAACAATGTGGATTTTATCCCAAGTGCAACATAAAGCCATTGCCAGGTTTAGAACCTGAGACTGCTGTTATCTCCTTTATATTTTACCAAAATTACTCTGGCCACTCCATGTAGAACTGGCTGTTAGGGAACAACGGTGTACACATTTCTGCTGTAAGCATTGTTTAGTCAATGCAGTGTGACTCAATGGTGAGCATGGACTGTGCAGCCTGCTCCTCACCAGTGGGCTGACTCTAGGCAAGGCACCGAACTTAGAGTCTTGGTGTTCACATACATAAATTGTGAGGAAGATGACCCACCCCCAGGACTATTCTGAGAAAGTAATAAAGGGCAAATGTGAAATGCTTGGCGGTGTGCCTGGAAAATAATAAGTGCTCAAAAGTGTTAATTCCTCCTTGCTCCTCATCTAATGACTCTTCAATTATTCAGCTACTTAAGGATAGTTAGCCTTTACAATAAGCAAGGGGCTTTGGTCATTACAGAGGGTATGGGATCTCACGTCTTCCCTTGGAGGACTCTCAGCCCAAAAGGATTGGTGGAGGGTAACATGGAAAAGTAGAAGGGCAGATCACAAAGTAATTGTTAATGTCAAATGATGCATGGAGTGAGTTCCAGGGAAATTCAGTGGAAAGACAATGACCACAGTGGAGTTGCCAGGGATACCTTCGAGCCCCTGCAAACCTCAGGGCAGTGGGTGAGCAAAGGGCAGTTGAGTATTAACATTAGCCCACATGTTGAGCAACAAAAGATACTTAGTGAACAGAGTGGGAGAGAAAAAGTATTACGTTGGCAATGGTAGAAGATAAAGTTGGAAATATATGATAACTCCAGGCTGTGGAGATCTTGAGATACTGGGTAAAGATGCTTGCTTTTTTGTTTCTTTGTTTGTTTGGTTGGTTGGTTGGTTTCTTAGACGGAGTCTTGCTCTGTCACCCAGGCTGGAGGCAATGGCACTGTCTTGGCTCACTGCAACCTCCGCC
This sequence comes from Homo sapiens, assembly GCF_000001405.40. Taxonomy (NCBI): domain Eukaryota; kingdom Metazoa; phylum Chordata; class Mammalia; order Primates; family Hominidae; genus Homo; species Homo sapiens. Next base: position 95,737,602 of record NC_000015.10, read on the forward strand.
TCCTGGGTTCAAACAATTCTCCTGCCTCAGCCTCTCGAGTAGCTGGGACTACAGGCACATGCTACCACACCCAGCTAATTTTTGTATTTTTAGTAGAGACGGGGTTTCACTATGTTGGCCAGGCTGGTGTCAAACTCCTGACCTCGTGATCCACCTGCCTCGGCCTCCCAAAGTGCTGGTATTACAGGCGTGAGCCACCTCGCTGGCAGTTTCATCTTTATACTCCATGACCTGCAATTACCAACACTGAAGACAATTATCTTGAGTTAGAAACTATTCCATCTGTATGTTGCCCAGCTGAGATGAGATGAAAGGACTGATTGCCCTCAGGTGCCACAACATAAGGGAATCCCATTATTAGTGATGTCTCTGTGTGAACAAACACATCTCTCATTCTGCAACCCTTTAGTTAGACAGGGAGGAGTCATACAAAAGGGGTTGTATAGTCAGAGAAGGTGAGGAAGTAGAGAAGGTAGAAAAGCATGCAAAGAGAAGAGAAGGTTCTGCCCAACCCTGCAACTGGTGTTTAGTGAACCACTGTGCAAACACACAGCCATGGGACCTCATAATGAATTTTTAACACAATAAATCATTGTCATTTATGAAATTGTCACTGGTGAAGAAAATAGCCAAAAGATTCTTTGTGTAATTTCTTTTATGCATATTACCCATCACTAGGTCAAAAACATCATCATGGGTTCTTCTAACACAAATTTCAGAAAGCTGTGTGCTTCTGGACTGACAGCCACCTATTAATAGGTGTCTGGAAAACCCATTTTCTGTTATATTTGTTAATAAATCATAGTAAAGCATGAATTATAAAGAAATGTAATGTCTTAGCTAAAGAAATCAATAATGCTTTTAAACACAAACTCATTAGTATTAAAGATTATTCCCATTTTTCATTATATTGAGAAAGAAAATGATAATCATATCAATGCGTGACATCCATTGAACTAACGTGATGTTAAATGCATTGTCTAAAAAATTTAAATGCCCTGTGCAAATCAGATATTATTTATTTACTGCCCCTCCTCCCAGCAATCCTTCTCCCATGTAGATACAATTATTTCCAAAGGGTATTTGAGACAGCTTATAAAATATGCATACAATGAACTGAGACAAAAATAGGTAAATCAAGAAATCAGAGAATCATGTATTACTATTAAAAATAGCATGTCATATAAGTGAGAAAAGGAACAATTAATACATCATCTTCTTTGGAAGTGGTTGCTTCTCATCCCATAATCTAAAATACTCTGTAGCTACGATCCTATTAATAGTCCTATTTTTTTGTCCAAATAATTATTTTAGAAAAGATTAGTATTCAACCAAATATTGAGTAACTTGAGATGACTGTAGAAATAAGAAACATTCTGAAAAACAGTTTTCAGAATATCTTGTAAGTCATTTAATCATTATATTTTCACCAGTGCAGGTAAGCAAGTATTAATAATAGTACTTGATGACAACAACGACAAAGTCACTGGAATATTGTTTGTGCATGCAAATCCAGAGCCCCAGTTATATTCACACATATTCACAGGGATTCACACGTATACATATGCTTGTGTTTCAGTATGCATAGTTTTATGTTTACTTGTTTTGTGTAAAGAAAGAGACAAAATTTTCCCAGAAGGCAACTACGGAAGGAGACTATCACATGTCTTAGTTCTTGCGGTATGCAAGCCAGTACTGCTCCGAGACAACTAGACAAGTGGCTTTTTGCCAAAGCAGGATTTGAGCATCGTGTGCAGCTACTTGTCCTTACCTGTGACCACATCCCAAAGTAATTTTAACCAGCTCTGGATTCCTTACAGGTGAAAGTGTGAGGCAGAGACAGTAGTATCCATGTACTCATGCTACTTAGGGAGAAGAATGAGGAGCATGGAAATTGTGCTAATGTTTTTATAAGGAATGCATAGCTACAAAGTGTTCCAATGCCACCCACTGCTCATTCATCCAATCGAAGAATACGATCCACAGAAGTCCCTCAAGAAAGCAAAGTATAACTTTCTTAAAGCATTCTAAAAGTTTAGTGGTAGATTTGGCCTTCGTGGTGAATTTCACTTTAAATATTTATTACAGAGTATTGCTATTTTCCCCCTTTTTCTGGTTGATCTTCAAAGGAGCATATTTTATTAACAAACCGTGGATATAAAATATGAAATCAAGATCACCTACTGCAGAGGAGAAGCCAAACATCACTAAAAAGGATTAGTTTCTTTCACTGTCGGGAGATTTTTCATGGAAGACCTTGGCTGGCCTTTTGATATTAAAACTTCCTAACAAGTATTACACAGGAGTTTTAAATTAGAACTTGCTGTCACACAGACAGTTATAAACTGTTAAATATGTCCTTTCAATGCTAAGCTCCTGTAAAGTATGTACATGGCCACAGCCAAGAGACTCCCTGACAAGTAGCAGGGTGAGATCACAGAGATGTTTGCAAGCTGCCTGCAAGGCCCTGCAGGTGACCCTATGTTATGTGTGTCTGTGCATGAGCGTATGTGCGTGCTCAAAAGAAGCTACACATTTCTGCTTCTCAAATCAGATACTTCCCTTCAATGAAAACTTCTAATAAAAATGCATGTCATATTTTGCAATGATATCTGCCAACCGAAGAGCGATGTTAAAACTCACGTTTCATGCATTGGACTAATTTAATGTTGCGTTTTCTCAAGTAGCAAGAACTCAAAACATCATTCTATCCTATCATTACAGATAAAGTAGAGACTCATAATTTTACACACTGTGTAAGTTATGGGTCATCCTTTAAAAAAGTGTTTTTTATTATTTCTTTATCATTCTTTTTTACAAAACAAAAAAGTTAACGTATGAGGTCAATGGCACATCACAGAAATTGGGCGGGGAAGGGGGAAGAGAAAGAAAACTTAACTTTTCACTTCTTTTATTCCATGTTTTATTTTGTTTATTTAATATTTTCCAATAGCGAAAGTCTCCTCCAAGGGCTTGTTCTGGAGGTTGCACAATGGACTCTGCTTTTTCCTATCTGACCAGTAGAGCCCGTAATTAGTACTTAATTGTGGTTTATATGGCTACTTTGACCAGGAAGAAAAGAGTAGCTTTGTTACAGTCAATGAAGTATTTAAAGCTATGCTCAGGATGAGGATGGGTTTATTAAACACTTGGGTAACCAATAATAAACTTACACTGATTGGGAAACTCGATACATTTCTTTCATGTGTTGCCTACAAAAAAAAGAATCCAGGTGGAATTGAAAATAGGAGCCCTGTTTGAATATACTAACAGTACCCAATTCTCTGCAAGGCCAACAGACTCTCCAAAAACACGAGATATTCCTACATCATGCTGACTTTGACAAAAATGATGGACACAGCTTAGATTATAAAATAATAGGTAATATGTCTTGAGAGCCAGGCCCGGGCTCAGCACTTCACCTGTGGATGAAGGTTAAGTAAATTGCCCAAGGTCACAGAAAAAGAATTCACACCAAGGGAGTTATATTTTACAACAGGATCACTTAAACTCTAAGTTTCTAAATTTACCTTCTTCAGACTATGTAAAGAAGGTTGCTGCTTGTGTGAATGTTAGCTTTTTATTTAAAAAAAAATTTTAAATTATTCTTGTATGGCCTTTCTTCCAAAATGAAACATTGTTAGGAGACAGCATCCCCTTTTCTCTATAGTAGTGAGAGAGACTGGATGCTCATTTTCCCAGCTTCCCCTGTAGTAGGGGCACAAGCATGTGCCCTAGGGCCAGCCAGTAGCTTCCCAGGACATGAATCGGGGGCTAATGATGCTCACAGGTGGAGCAGAGGACCATTCATTTTGGCAGCAGCAGATGCAGCAGTAGCAACATCTAATTACCTAGATGTAGAGGGAGCTGAGGTGCCAGAAATGATGTGGAGGTGACAGGAGACAGAGCCAGGAGGGTTTGGTGATGGTGGGCAATGTGCTGCAGTGTCTGTGCTCATCAGGGCAAGAGTGGTGTGCTTACAAGCCTGGTCCTGACTGGTGCCCACCTTCTATTTGCCTCTATTTTCTATGTCTGCCTCTCCATTCTTCCCATTTTTCTGGTGGCTCAAAAAAATGTGTTCCCTATTTAAACCCACTCGCTTTGGTTTGATGCTTGCAACTGAGATCTCTGTTAAACACTAGATAGAATAATAAGGTGATGTGTTCATCTATTTCAGCATTCAACAAAATAATTAAGTTTGTTGTATTTTGCAGAACAAGATGAATTTTAATACTTTGAGTCTGAAGAATGACATTTAAAGTTTCGTTATTTCTGTACTGCATCTCACCCCTAGCAATCCAGTTCAATGCATGTATGGATAAAGGCGAGCACTCTAAGCCCGCTACTTTTGAGCCTGCACACCCTCTGACAAGGGTGAGAGAAGGATGTCAACATTGTCATGCTTTTTAGTTCTCTCCCAGGTGAACTAGAGGAGAAACACTGCTTGAGCAAAGGATTAGAATGAAAATGAAACTGGATAACATAAAATACAAACCACTTCCTTCTACTTCCTTTCTTAACTCTAATGTTTTTTAGTACCAAAAATAATCACCACCAATACCTCTACGATACTCACTCATTCATTCATCCCTTCATTTATTCTTTGCCTTGGAGGAGCCATGGCCTTGCCTGCTTAATAGGAAATGTGGGAGCAGACAGCAGTCAAATGATCCCACAAATACGGTGTCAAATGGTTCCATGAGCTCCGAAGGGAAAGTCATGGGGACTATTTAAGATGGGAGGGGGGATCTGGTCTAATATGTAATGTCCTAAAAAGAATTTCTGGAAGAAATTGCACAGGAACAGAGAGGTTATTTAAGTATTATTAATTATTAATTGTTCTTTAGATATTAATTATTAGTTATTAATAACTGTTTATTAATAGTTGCTGCCATAATAAATCACTACAAACTTAGTGACTTAAAACAATACATATGTCTTACATCCCTGCAGATCAGAGTTGGAAATGAGTCACATTGGGCTAAAATCAAGGTATGGACAGGACTCGTTTCTTCAGACTCTAAGGACAATTCATTCCCTTGCCTTTCCCAGTGTCTGAGGCTAGGGGGGTTCCTTGGCTCATGGCTCCTTCCTCCATCTTCAAAGCCAGCAGTGTAGCATCTGCTCTCCTTTCTGACCTCTGCTTCCATCCTTACATCTTCTGTCTCTCATTCTGACCCTCCTGCCTCTTTCTCATAAGAATCCTTGTGATTACATTGGGCCCACCTGGAGTATCCGGGATAATCTCCTCCCCTCAAAATCCCTAACTGAATCACAACTGCAACATTCCTTTTAGCATGTATGGTAACATATTCACAGGTTCCGGAGGTCAGGATGCAGAAGGGGCATTCTGTGCTAAGGCACTGAGACAGGCTGGGGCATGGTGCATTTGAGCAATGAAAGAAGGTCAAGTGGAGAAAATTGGGAAGAATGTGTCATGAAACAGCTTAACAGGAAACAAAAGCCAGTTGGCACAGGGCCAATGTTCACCATCTTCCACAAGGTCCCTATGAATTTTGTAGAGAGAATATTTTTCTGATCACCTTTGGTTTTGACTTCCTTGATTATATGAATTAATTTAGTTTAAGCATTATCTCACTTTTCTGTGCACACTCCACTGGACCTTTGGTGCTTGTGCATTTAGAAAACTTTGCTGTACATTTTTGTTTGTTCATTTTTCGTATGTGAAGAGGTCACTGGGAGGTATAATATGTTAGGAGAACAAAATAAAATAGTAACGTCAATTCAATACATTGTTACAATTCTGAGCTTCTTCCCATAAGTATCAGGAAACCAATTCATCTCCAGATATCATCAAAGACTCATTCCAGGAATATTTACTTATTTTTTTAAAACAAAAGATACTGGTGACTTTGGCATTGGCAAGAAGCATAGTTTGTCTCCCAAAAGAACCCACTCTGTGCTGCAACTGACTCATGGTGTTGCCAAAAATCCACTTGTGACCCCTTGTTGCCATTCTCCCACTAGTTTGTCAGAGCAATGGATCTGGAGAGGTTGACTCCAATCATTGTCATGGGTCTCTTGTTTAATACTCTAATAGCACATCTGTGAGCTACTTCCTCCTTCAAGCACTCTCTTCCACTGATTTGTTCCACTGGTAAAACAGTGTGCTCTTTTGGTGTGCTCTGGGCCCTCTCATCCTCTTCAACTCAGCTATGACATGTTGAGGGACCTCAAAACTCAGCCCCAAAACCCTTATCTCTTCTCTTTGTACATAACATCTTGTATCCTGATTGCTCAAGTCATACTTCGGCTCAAACATCCCTTTGAGGTTTAGACCCAAAACTCATCTTCACCAGGATGTCCGCCATGTCCTTGAATGTCCTTCAGCTCTTTACAAAGTCATTTTCCAAACTTGGCTCTCTTCATGATTCTATTTCATCAGCGATTCATCTAGCTGGGTGAGTCAGGAACTTGATTGTCCTTCTTAATTCCCTTTTCTCACTAATGTCTGTCTCTTATCTATTACCAAGACCTGTTGATTCTACCTCCTACATTCTACCTCCCTTAAAAGTCACTCATTTTTCTTCATCTTCACTGGTATTTTAGTCCATACTCTCTCACTAGTACTACCAAAAGTCTTCCATTTCTTTATATGTAGCATGCTTCCATCTTTCCCCGGGACCTTTGCACATGCTCCTCTCATCACTTGGTTGACTCAGATTTTCGATCTCAGCTCTATAGTCATATCCTTAGGGAAGATGTGGTTGACCTTCCCATCTAAATTAGCTCCTTTCTTTATATGTATTTTTGAGTCCTTATTCTTTGTCTCACATTATTCAGTGTAAAATTTAGATTTATTTAATGGATAATTTAATATCTATCTTTCCCACTAGGCTATAACTTGCATAAGGGTAAGACTGTATTTTGTTCATTAGTACACCCAGCATCTTGCACAGAATTCGACATATAATAATATATTTTGTTAAAGAATAAATAAATTAGTAGCTCAGATAATCATAATAACATTTAACCTAAGTGGGAATCAACAAACTTTTTTGTAGAGACCGGATAGATATTAAATATTTCAGGCCCTGTGGTCTTTACAGTCTCTGTGGCAACAATTCACTATGCCATCATAGTGGGAAATGAGCTACAGATAATCTGTAACCAAAAGGGCATGGCTGTGTCCCAGTAAACCGTATTAACAAAAACAGGCTGCAGGCTGAATTTGGTCCAACCAAGGGCTTACTTAGTTTGCTGATCCCTAATCTAGGCTATTGAGTTTTTAAATAACTCCATGTAAAGAACATTACATTGTTCTTTTGGACTCTGCTTCCACCTTTTACAAGGGTTAAAGATTTCTCCAATTCACATTACTAAATAGTACTTTTAGAATCTTCATCTTAATAAGAACTGCATTTAAATTTTAGAGGCTCTCACGGTTTTCTTCTAGAAAAATGAGTGGATGTTCACTTTTATTTTCACCAAATGGCCATACCTGGTTGTTTCCTAAACCAAAGGAAGTCAATAGTGAGGGCTTTGAGGGTTTTACCTTCAGCAAACTAAAGTAGTAGCTACCGCCAAATGACACTAAGCTAATGGAAAATAGTTTTTCAGTAACGTTACTGTTCATGAATGACTGCTCCCTCTCATCTCAATGGGTGTGGATTGTATTTCCCCACCACTCCATGGCCAAATGTCTTTCTTTGGCCAATGTGTTCCAGTGCCAGGTTTCATTCCAAGCCAATGCTTTAAGAGATTGTGCCGCTTTTCTATTGCCCGTGATTGACACCAATGTGCTAGAGATAGATCTATCATCCTTGGGCCCAAGGAGAAGACAACTTGGAGTACAATTGCAGCCTAAAAATAATGACTATGTAATAGAAGTAAGAAATACATGTTTTGTTGTCATAGCCATTGATTTTACGGAGTCAACAGTTACTGTACCTTACCATAGCCTATACTGACCAATAAACTGAAAATTTCCTGTGTTAGTCCATTTGAGCTATTATAAAGGAATACCTGAGGCTGGGTAATTTATAAAGGAAAGAGGTAATTGGCTCATCGTTCTGCAGGCTGTACAAGCATGGTGCTGGCATCTGCTCAGCTTCTGTAGAGGCCTCAGGGAGCTTTTACTCATGACGGAGGCTAAGTGGGAGCAGACAGTCAGTCACATGGCAAGAAAAGTAGTGAGAGAGAGAGAGGGGAGGTGCCACAAACTTTTAAACAACGAGATCTATCACTTCTTGGCCTTTTAGCTAAGATCAAGTGTAGTATCTGTTTTTATCAGTTTAATATATGATACATCTTCTATCCAAGGACAATATATTAAATGGATTTTTGGAGCAGAGAGATGGAATAGAAGCTTGCTCCATCCACTCCATGCATCGACCTGGTATTGCAGTACCTCCAGGAACAGTGCACCCCCTCGAGGTATTAAAAAAATAAAATAAAATAAACAACCAGATCTCAGGTGAACTCAGAGCGAGAACTCACTCATCACCAAGGGGATGACGCAAAGCCATTCATAAGGGATCCATCCCAATGACCTAAACACCTCCCACCATGTCCTGTCGGTAACACTGGGAATTCCATTTCAACATGAGGTTTGGAAGGGACAAACATCCAAACCATGCTACCTCTCTACTCAAACATAAAACATCATATTTAGAAAAGTCATTATTGTTGTGGCATAACTATATTCTACATTGATTTGAAAAGGCCCCTAATTATAGCCAGCAATCATATGATGAGATTAAATTGAATTGATGAACAGATTACATAACAAAGGGGACAAAACATGTTTTGTGAAAACACACTTTCAATATTGAACCTAGGCCGGGTGTGGTGGCTCACGTCTGTAATCCCAGCACTTTGGGAAGCTGAGGCAGGCGAATCACTTGAGGTCAGGAGTTCAAAACCAGCCTGGTCAACATGGAGAATCTCTGTCTCTACTAAAAATACAAAACATTAGCCAGGTGTGGTGGTGCACAGCTCTAATCCCAGCTACTCGGGAGGCTGAGGCAGGAGAATCGCTTGAACCCAGGAAGCAGAGGTTGAAGTAAGCCTAGATCGCATCATGGCATTCCAGCTTGGGGACAGAGTGAGACTCTATCTGAAATTTAAAAAAAAAATTGAACCTACATTAAATTATTTTACAATCTCTCATAAAATATAGATTTGCAAGCTTTCCTAACTGACACAATTAATTAACATTTCTATATAGCAAGGAAGGGCTGAATCTGGGTTTTGACTGCCCCTTTAAACAAGGCAACCACCATCGAATTTGCCTCAGCCCTTTCCATTGTCATCGTAAGTACAAATGCTCTCCATCAACTTCCCCTGAGCCTCCACTTCTCATCTGCCATGCCAGGCTTTATATGTGCTGGGCACCAGGTCTGTAACCTTAATCAGTGAGACTCTTGAGACAAATGACTGTGCCTTGCTTCTTTTTTCACCCTCAGCCCTGAGCACAGTGCTTGGAATGTAAGACATGTTCGATATATGCTGGCTGTATACATAACTGCAAATGAACTTCTGTAACTAGAAGCTTCCATAGAGTTAAAGACTTAATAATCAACTAGGCTTCAGATTTACTTTGAAGTGATAAGCATATCGACCCATATAAATATTAATTAAACCCAAAGAAATATGGAAGAGAATACATGTATGAGATTGGGTAAACAGAACAGGGAGGCTGACGAGGTCAAAGGAATACATATATGATATTGGCAAGTTCTGAAACCTGCACGGTATCTTCCAACACTCAGTTGAACTTCAAAGGTTTTTAAAAAGCAAAAAATTTAAGAACATTTTCATTCCTGATATTTAGTATCATTTAGCATGAGACTCTTGCTCCAAGCCAGGAATAGTATGGTTCATCCAAATCTTAGGAAGAGAGAATAAAATTTGATGTCTGTGAGCTCAGAACTTTAATATTAATCACGAAAGCGATATCCTTTTCCCAAACCTGCTGTATTTCATTTCCCCATCCTTCCCTCTCCCCACCCTCCTCCTTGGTCCATTACACTTTATTCTCTTCTTGGGTGTGGGTGGCAGAGGGAGAGGTAATTCATCCTGCATCTTCAGACTGTGTGCAGAATGTGCCTCCCTTCAAGGTGAACGGCAGTAAGTGAAACTCTTTATTTAAGGGGAGAGAATAGGATCAACCGTAGGCAAAAAAATTATACACACAGATCAGCAGGACTGTGGCCAAAAAGGATCAAGTACAAACAGATCACTTTGATGTAGCATTTGTTTACTTTCCGATATATTTAAGAATAAATACGAAGACATGCACAAGATTCTGGAATTAAAATTGGAAGACTATGGTTGTGAGTTTTTTTTTCATTCACAATTTTGTTTCTTTATAAAAATGAAGTGATGGAGTTAGTCTAAATTATTATGTTAAATTAAGAAATATATATGCAGTCATTTTAATCATTTTATTTTCATTGTATACTTGACTTAATTTATTTACCACTATTACCACTTGCAGCATTTTATAAAGAGCAGCTTTTGAGTAGATCTCTGCATTCAAGTTCATTCTCTCCAGCGGTCTTACCATATATCTGCATTATGCATAGCTTTGCAACAGGAGAATCACAATATCTTGTAAAAAATATAAACTCAGTGAAAGGAACTTGTCCAGGGTGCCTGTACTTTATTCACAGGTGAATTTCTATTGTCCATTATCATTTATATCTTATATGAACCATTCTGCACTGCTTGCCTCTAATCCCCTTGCTTGTTAAGGCGCTTAAGAGGAGAATCAGTTGATTTCAAGGCCTTTTGGAGTTCAAGGGCAAAGTGATTATTTCCTTAAAGGAAAAAAGATCACGGACTCATCACAGTTTCCAAAGTTCAGCTCTTTTTTGTTTCACTAATTAGAAGCCAGACCAAATGCATATCTGGAAGCTTTTATACAAGCGATCAGCCCTTTGCCCTGGGACCAATTACAGAAAAGTGTCTTTTACACATTACTGCCTGTGACTATCTAGTGTTCATACAAGCTGTCATGTTTCACCATGAGTCATGTTAAAACCATATAATCACATAGTTGAAGAGCTAATGATATGTTTGCTCTTCTCAGTTTAATTTACAAACATAACTGCACTCATATGCCTATGGCTTATCTGTAGCTTAAACAGGAATTCATGTAAATATATACATAGATGTAGACATGTTAAAAGGCATTATTTAATCAGTAAATGAGATCATGCTCTTCTGTCTGAAAACTGTAAGCTTCTATGTCTAATTCCTTCCATAGCAATATTTTTTTCTTGCAAAATGAAAGCAAAAGTTGTATGTATTTATAGAGAGATTTATTTGGATATCAACTTGAAACGTGTACTCTTTTCCTACACATTTTAGAGAGCTATTAATAACACTGGTTTTATATATATATATATATATATACACATATATATGTGTATATATATACACATATATATGTGTGTATATATATATACATATATATGTGTGTGTATATATATATATACATATATATGTGTGTGTATATATATATATACATATATATGTGTGTATATATATATATACATATATATGTGTGTATATATATATGTGTGTGTGTGTGTGTATATATATATATATATATAAACCTTTTCAACTGTATTAGTCTGGGTTCTCCAGAGATTTGCTACAAGAAATGGATTCGGCCGGGAGCAGTGGCTCACGCCTGTAATCCCAGCACTTTGGGAGGCAGAGGTGGATGGATCACGAGGTCAGGAGATGGAGACCATCCTGGCTAACAGGGTGAAACCCAGTCTCTACTAAAAAATACAAAAAAAAAACTAGCCGCGGGCGGTGGCGGGCGTCTGTAGTCGCAGCTACTCTGGAGGCTGAGGCAGGAGAATGGCGGGAACCCGGGAGGCGGAGCTTGCAATGAGCCGAGATCACGCCACTGCACTCCAGCCTGGGAGACACTTGCTCTCAAAAAAATAAATAAATAAATAAATGGATTCACATAATTATGGAAGCTAAGAAGTTCAAGAGTGGCAACCAATAGGCTGCAAACTCAGGAGGGCTGGTGGTACAAGTTCCAGTCCAAGTCTGAGGCCAAAGTTGGGAGGACTGATGTTCCAACTAAAGACACGGAGAAAGAATTCTTTTCTCACTCAGCATTTTATCCTATTCAGGCCTTCGAAGGATTGGATGAGGCTCACCCACATAGGAGAGGCCAGTCTGCTTTATTCAGTCTACTCATTCAAACACTCTCATAGATATATCCTAAAATAATGTTTAACCAAGTGTCCAGGTACCCCATGTCCCAGTCAAGTTGACAAATAAAATTAACCATCACACCACTACTACTATGCTGATCAGAGTCTTCACATTTATCACATTCTGGTGGTCCAATAATGTCTAATGTAAGTAAGTCATCTTTTAAAAGGGCTTAGATCTTGTTAGAGCTTTGAATATTTGAGCCAAATAAAATAACTTGCCCTTAAGAACAAGGCAAAGATACCGTCTTCACACAGTAGATTCTGTGGAATGAACATAGCTCTTTTACAAAGATGTCACTTTGAAATCTATAAAGGATTTATATTAAATGCCACCTGCATTTATCAACAATTCTACATTTTATTACTATCATAGAAACAGAATGAAACAGTAGTTACAAGAGACTGGGGAGGGGATAGGGAATAGAGGATGAGGAGAGGCTGGTCAACAGAGAGAAAGCTATATTCAGCTAGAAATAATAAATTCTGGTATAATTCTGGTATTCTATTGCACAGTAGGGTGACTATGGTTGACAATAAAATATAGTATAATAGAAAATAGGTTATAAGAGGCTTTTGAATGTTCTCACTGCAAGGGAATGGTAAATGCATGGGGTGATGGATTCACTAATTACCTTGTCTTAGTCCATTTTTGTTGCTATAAAGGAATAGCTGAGGCTGGGTAATTTACAAAGAGGTTTATTGGGCTCATGGTTCTGCACAAGAAGGATGGCACCAATATCTACTTTTGATGAGGGCTCAGGAAGCTTCCACTCACGGCAGAAGGTGAAGGGGAGGCTGCCAAATGGAGAGAGAGAGAGAGAGAGAGAGAGAAAGAGAGGGAGAGAGAGAAGGTGCCAGGCTCTTTTCAACAACTAGTTCTCAAGGGAACAAGAGTGAGAACTCACTCCTTTAAGAATGGCACCAAGCCATTCATGAGGAATCAGTCCCTATGACTCAAACACCTTCCACCAGGCCCTACCTCCAACATTGGGGATCAAATTTTAACATGAGACTTAGTAGGAACAAACAAACCCTTTCCAAACTACAGCATACCCCGAGTGGATTATTACATAACATAGATATGTACCGAAACATCAAACTGTATTCCATATATATGTGTTATTGCAATGTAGCAATTTTAAAAATAAGAAATTTTTAATTTCATTTTTTAGAAAAAGCCACCTAATTGTGACATTACAGGTGACTGTTCTCATTGAGTATTATTAATGATTAAGCGGGGAGAAACGTTACTCACCAAACAATTTTCTGTCTCCTCCACTAGAGAGGAGACAGATTATAGTTGATAAAGAAAAAAAGCCTCTTCTATCAATTATGGTGGCTAGAAAGTGGTTAATCTTTAAAGAGAAGAAAAAAATCTTTAATCAATGGCACACAAGTAAAAGCCATATCTTCCTAAAAGTGTCAAACAAGCATTCCAGGTCTTGGTCATTGTAGTACATGTCTCTGTCCATGCAACTTTAAGGCAACCCGCCTTACAAGAGTTTGGCTAGAGTTTTTACTAAAATTTTCTTACTTCGATACTGCAATGTCCATGTTTGTAAAATTAAATATTACTTATAAGGATCACATTCTGGCTTTTATTTCATATAGGCAGTTCCATATTCAGGGTCTGCTATTGTTTTAAACAATAAAATGTCTAATTAAGTAAATCATAGTTTATGGTGCTAATTGCTAGGGAATGCCAGATGAAATGAAAGGTGGTTAATTCTAAGTAGAGGGGACTAGGAGGGCTTCTGTGAGATTGTATTTGATCTGGGCCTCTAAGAATGAAGAGTTTTGTTTGACTGTGGAAAAATACACATAACATGAAAAATTCCATTTCACCACATTAATTACATAGATAGGATTTTTTAACAGAGTAAAGCTTTGAAGTCCAGGAATAGAGCACCTGCACACCATAACAGAAAATTTTGAAAGCACATGAATATTATTTATGAATGGCTGGGTGTGGAAAGTTTGGAAAACATTAGGTGACATAGGTAGTTTGATTTTCAAACTTACAATTTTGGAATTTATTTTGCAGACCATGAGGAAACACATGGCGTTTTTGTAGGATTTGAAAGCATGAAACTAGGAAAGGGCAGTCATCTTCTGTATTAGAGAAATTTAGGTGGAATTGGAGATACATGAAAGCCAAGAAGACAAGTTATTTAATAATATTGCAAATGGCCAGATGAATAAAGTGAAAAAAAAAGGCAATAGACATGATGAATATAATGGCAATACCCATGGCACATTAAATAGAAAAGGCTGTTAAGGAAGGAAGGCCTGAGTAAACAAGATTTCAAAATATTACAGAATTTAGGATGTTGCAAACTGAATCAAAACTGAAACATCAAGGAAACCTAGACAAAAGGTAGTTGCAAGAATAAAAGAGTTTCAAGAGAATTATGGCAGTCGATAATATCAAATTCTTAAGAGATTTCAAGTGGGCTGAGAGGCCTCACCGTCTTTTTATACAACAAAAACAAAAACACTGTTTCATTGAGTATTATGACATTCAGCTGGGCCAGAAGCTTCCCAAATCTAAGGTTTTGAACTTTGAAAATGGGAAGAATGATACTATTTAGAAGTCCAGAGGTAGGTCTAATTTAATAAAAGTCAAAGTAAGATAAGATATTGCAGTCAGCTCCGAAATTACAGGTTTAGTCAACATGGAAAAATGTATGTCACGCTTTACAAATTCTTTCAAATGACCCATAAATTCAGCATTAAGATAAACTAAATAGACAATATTGGATACCGAATACAGAATCTGGTAACAAATATCAAAGCTAGGTTGTTTTAAAATCACCACTCAAATCATGACAGTCTCTGAATCATAGATGTGGAAATAAGACATTGACTCAGAAATCAATTACAGAAGATATTAAAAAATATTTTGGGGAATTAGGGCAATGACAGAAAACAATACCAAAAAAAGTGGAAACCAATAGCAAATACCATATAAAATCTTATCAAGAATGACACACAATAATAAAAATTAAGTAAACAGGATCCCAAAAAGATTTCCTAATTTAATGTATGCATATTATAACTGAATTTAATATTTCTTGTTATTCATTTGCTGCCTAAATGTAAATTAATTTATGAATTGATTTATAAGCCAAAATAAAGGCACAGATTGCTTTAATATATACAAAACAGATGCTCCGAATATCCCTATGTGCAGATTTCATGTATACATGGTAAAGCTTGAGTTGTAAATACCCACTTAAGAACACCTATTCATAATTTAGGGAATAAGTTCCACTTAAAACCATAATTCTGCCTCTGTGAAATAAACAGGAAGGTAGTCAACACTGGACATTGTGAGAAAACTGCCAAGATTTAATAAGTGTTAACTCATCATGCTGCTGTTTTAGCAAATTTACCAGTAGGGAATAATCCTGGGAGAAGTGCATGGGGAAGCCGTATCTCAAACTGATAAATTGGTTATGTTCCTTTTTTCCCTCGCAGTGGACCTCAGGGAAGCCCGGTGACATCTCCACAGAATGACCATATCCCCCAACAATCACCTCCACTAAAACTTTAAAATCCCTGCTGAAACCACCCAATCCTGCCAAATTAGTGCCTTAGGTGGTCCCACTATACTTTTTAGATGCCTTAGAATTTTCTTTAGCCTGATAACTGAAGAATAATGAAGGACAACTCCTTATTTCAAATGGAGTCACCAGGATGATCAAGTGGCTGTGCCTTCTCTAATCTCTTAATCCTTCTCCCAAGGTAGCTTATTCATTACATGAGAGAACCCATTTTTGGCTATCCTTAGCACATGAAGGAACTACCCAGAGGAGGGAGTAAAGGGGAGGGTGGGGAAGCCAAAAGCCCTTTCCCTAAGAGAATCCATAATCACAGAATAGAAACAGTTGAAATGGCCCTGAAATGAATATGGCGTAGATGAGATAAACTGACAAGAAGAGGATGTTGGCAGCTTGGATCAGAGGGTTCAGGAAGATATGAATTATTTCAAGAAGTGAAAGTGAGTCGAATATGAATGAATGACTGCCTCAGGAGGACAAAGAGAAAGAAGAATCTTGGAATTAAAGGATGCAAACATAATCTTCAGAACAAATTCAAGATAAAGTTGATTCCTTTACAAATGCTATTTCTTTTTCTTTTTTCTTTTCTTTTCTTTTTTTTTTTTTTTTTACTTCTTTTAGAATTAGCAATTTTGAAACAGAAAATGAGGTGCAACTTTAGGTCTCACACCTTATACTCTCAGAGCTCCTCTCTATGCCAAGGTCCAGGGCCATGTGTAGACTATCATCTTTGCATTCTGGCCATAGCTCACTGGGGTGCAGATGACCAACTGGCTGAATCTAGACCAATAAAATTTTCCTCTTAGAAGTATGGAAATAGGACACAGAGCTGCTGGTAAGTTTCTGTTAATGAATTGGATTGGGAAGTGATGTATGTAAAACAGTAAAACAGATGCATGGTGGTACTGATTACCCATTTGCTTGTCTAAGCTGAGAAACTATTCTACAAAAAAGGATGAGAAAAATGAAGCAGTTGGGAAGGAAACAATGGCGAAACTTCTGAGGCTCACAGAAACAGTATGTTTATTTTGGTTTCTGGCTTTCCAATCCCCAGTTCCATGGAAATGAAATATGGTTTTACATCTAACCCTAGATGTTATGAGATCTAAAAAATAATCCCTTTTACTTTGTATATATTGGTTTAAATGGTCTTTCTTCCTTATAACCAAACAATTCCCAAAATATAGATGTAAATAATTTTGAAAGTTGCAGCATACATTTATTAAGTATACAGTATTTCAGTACAAAATATATATCCACTACACAATATTGCAAATTTGTTTTGGGGTTAAATAGGTTATTCTGAGATGTGCTCACCACCAGTTATGCCACTCTCTAAAATAGTGAGCAGGAGCCAAATCATGAAGAATACTAAATGTCATTCCTTAGAATATTTGAAAACCATTTGTAAGAGAGAATTATTTAAAACAAATCTTTTCTCTCTTGGGCATAAACATTTTCCTGCAATTAATTCCAAGTCCACATTTTCCATATGAATTTCAGAAAAGAAATAGCCCCAAATACACCCATTTCTAAAAATGAGAACGATTATATTATTGATACTTTTTTAGAAAAAGGTACTGACTTTCCCAAAGGCCGGTTCAGATGCTTAGGGTGACACAAGACTCTTTTGTGTAACAGCCCCAAAACTGAACATGATTCGTGTTTGAGTAAAGAAATATAAAATTATCAAAGCAATTAATTAAAGGCTGTCAGAATCAGAAGGTTTAAATAGTGTAAATTTCTAATTGGTAAAGAAAGTTCCTTCTTTTGAAAGGGAAATACTAAAGGCAGTAGAGTTATCTCATAATCAGTAGATATTAGTGTTGGATAAATATTAGTGTCTAGACTTCGGGTTACAGTGCACTAGTTAATTTGCTCCAAATTTCTTGCTGAAGACAACTAGAAAAGTTGGGTAAAATATAAAAATCTATTCATTGGTGAAAACAATAGATACACAGAAAAATCTTTTTAAAAACTAACTATATAAGAAAGAAAAGACAGATTTCCTTTTAAGAAACAACAATAAGATATACATCTAACTTCTCAATAGAAACATAGGAGGCCGAGGACAAAGGAATATATTTTTGAAAGGTTGAAAAGAAGTAACTTCCAACTTAGAATTTTATATCCACTAAAAACTGTCCTTTCAAAATAAAAGAGAAGTATAGCAATTTTTAGAAAAATATGAAGAGGGTTTATTATCAGCATGCTTGCACCAAAGGGGGTGCTAAAAGGTGTGTTTGGACAGAAGAAAACTAATGTAGAATCAAAGATCAGAGATCCAGAAAACAATGAAAAGCACAGATAGATAAATATTAATATCAACTGTAAGAAAAATGATAATAATGTCTTATTGTATTTTTATATTTAGAATTAAAATAAATTTCAAGAAATCATACTAACATGATTTTTTTTTTTTTTTTCACATTCCGAGGCTCACTCTGTAACCCAGGCTGGAGTGCAGCACAGAATCATGGCTCAAACTTCTGGACTCAAGTGGTCCTCCCACCTTAGCCTCCCATGTAGATAGTACTACAAGCATGCACTACTATGTCCAGCTAATTAAAACAAAATAGTAGAGATGGGGTTCTCACTATGTTGCCCAGGATAGTCTTGATCCTCCTGCCTTGGCCTCCCAAAGCACTGAGATTATAGGCTTAACTATCTTGCTTTGACTAAAAAGAGAGTCAGAGTACCAACTAGTACATCTTTGCTAATCTAAAAAACACATTCTCTGATCTCTAGGCTAACCACTAATAAAATAGTGAAAGGAAAAATCACTTTCAACATGGTAGGGGAGAAATTAGAATACAAAAATACTTTATAAGATGAAATATATACAGAGAGAAAAAGAAAGAGCATCAGGAAAAAATAGAACACACTTAGCAAAGCGATATGTTTAAGTAAAATTCTACCAGCAGTTATATAAAATATAAATGCACAAAGTGCTCCAAATTTAAAAACTGTTTCTGTCAGTATTAAAAAATCTCAACTAAATGCTGTAAGTAACATATCCATATTCTATCAAATATTAATAAGTTGAAAATAAGAATGGAGAAAGATATAACATGAAAATACTAACCATAAAGCGGAAAAAATACTCGTTTACCTATATTAATAGAAGGCATTGCACTTTAAGGCAAGAAAATTCAAGCAGCATAATAATAATAATAGGTTCAATTTATCAAGAATTCAAACTAGAACAAATCTAATAACAAAGCCTAAAATATATAGAAAAGATGTGAACAAAATTTGAAGAATAAAAGACAAATCCACAATTCTAGTGGAAGATTTTAAAATACAAATGTCAGTAACTAAAATCAACCAAAATCAAAAAATAATAAGCGAACTAAAAAATTATTATGGATGTAAAAAATTTTAATAACAACATCCACAAAACTGACCTCATGGAATTTTGTAGAGCCAATTCTGTGCATCCAATACCTTCAGAAGACATATTTTTGAGTACATATGAAACATTTCTGAAAACCATAGGGATGATAAAAACAAATTTCAAATAATTAAAATCAAGCAAAGAATATAATTTGACTGCAATACAATTTTTCTAGAAATCAATAAGAAAAAAGGAACTAGAAAACATACTTTGGAAAATTTAAAATAATTATTTATAACTAACCCACAGGTCAGAGAAGAAATACCATAGATTTTAGAAAATATTTTCAATTGAAAGAAAAATTTTAAATATCGTATACTGAACGTGCAATGAAAGCTACTACCTAGTGTGATAGCTATAACCCAGAATACATATGTTAGGAAAAAAAGAAGCTAGAATTCAATCATCTCAAAAATTTAGGGAAAATAAACCTGGCAAATTAAGCCCAAAGAAAGAAAAAGGATGAGAATAATGTACAAAAATTATCAGGTTAGGTAAAACTAATGTAAAATGGAGAAGACCAACAAAGCCAAAGTATGTTATCTGGACACACTAAAAAAAAAAAATTGAAAGACTTAGAGTAAGACTAATGAAAATGAAAGAGAGAAGTGAGAGTGTGTAAAAATGATCAGTGTCAGAAAGGAAAAGAGAGACATTACTACAGATGTTTTACACTTTTAAAAGAACACAGGAAATAGTATGAACATTTATTCTAATAATCTCTAAAATTTAAATTACGCAAATAATTTTTTAAATAACTAAATGGACACAAGAAGAAGTAAAAAAACTTAATCCGTAAATAAATCATCTCACAAAAAAGAAAAGGAAAGATGAAGGAAAGAGAAGAAGGGGTGGGTAGGAGAGGGGAGGGCAGAATAAATGTGAAGACCCAGATAGCTTTACGGTTGATTTTAGGGAAGAAATTATGCCAGTTCTACTTATGCTGTTACACAGAAGAGTGAAAGAGGAACTTATTCTCCAACTCATTTTCTTGAGGACAGCATAGGTCTTGTACCAAAATTTGATTAAAAGAACATAAAATTACAGTACCTAAATGTAAAAATTTTAGAAAACTGTAGTAAAATAGGAACATGATGGTCCACAGTAACTAATTTGGGCTCAATTTAGTTATTCAAAGTAGCTTTAATATTTAAAAGAAATCATTGTGTTCCAGGAACAGAAAATCAAACCCTGCATGTCCTCCCTCATATTTGGTAGTTGAACAATGAGAACACATGGACACAGAGAGGGGAACATCACCTACGGGGGCCTGTTGGTGGGTAGGGAGAAAGGGGAGGGAGAGCATTAGGACAAATATCTAATGCATGCGGGGCTTAAAACCTAGATGACAACAAACACACCACCTTGGCACACGTATACCTATGTAACAAACCTGCACATTAAGCACTTGTATCCCAGAACTTAAAGTAAAATTAAAAAAAATATATCATTGTGTTCACAACATTAATCATATAAAAGAGAAAAACTGTAGGCATATTTCATCAGATGCAGAAACAACATCTGGAAACTACTGAAATATGTATCAATAGTAAAATAGATAAAAATCATTGTGGTTTATTAATAGGTTGAAATATTACTCATCAACCCAAAATAAACTAATTGGAGTTACACATACACAAGGAATAAGTCAGACAAAGATAATTCTGATTGAAAGAAGCCAGGTAAAAAAAAATGCTATTTATTTCCATTTATAAAAAGTGAAAAAAATAATTAAACCACAGTGTTTAGGATACTTGCTTAGATGGTAAAGCTTTAAAGACAAACAAAACTATGATTATATAAGCATACAGATAATAACTACTTTGGGAAAGAGCAACAGGAATAGAAATTCAGAAGGGACAGCTTCTGGGATGTTGACCATGTTCTATTTCTGGACATGGGTGGTAACTTTTTAGTTGTTCATTTTTTGATAGCCATAGAGCTGCATACCTATGTTTGGTATAATTTTCTGCGCAATTTTCACCTATATTTTATTTTTAAAAGTCTTTGCCAACTGTATTCCCCTCACAAAACAGAGACATAGATTATAGTATCAAATGTGCATATTGCAAATGTTAAAAACTGACATTTAAAGCATTCTAGTAATTCATGTTCACTAATGCAAAACAGCACTTTTTGATCATCATTTATGATTTGCTTACATCCCAAGTAAGTGCTAAATCACTTGAGAGATGTGTAAAAAGTAAAACCTATATCCAATAGGAAGCCAAATTCTTATTTAAGATCGTGTTGCTATTCTGGACATTTGATAGTTTAGGAAACAATTACCTCAGTCATTGAAAATGTACCAAAAAATTTTGCTCGTGCTACAACTTTGAGAATCTATGCTTGAAGCATGGAACAGATAAAGGCATAGCAGATAATCTACAGTTAAATTATACTTGGGTGTATTAATTTAATTGTTAAAACAACAAAAAGAAAATCATATGCAATCCATACCACTCTTAATCAATTTGGATGTGCAAATACTTTATGAAGCACTCCATTCACGAGTTACATTGACACTTCAGATCTATCAAAACTAACATGCTTCTCAAAGGCGGAACATGTCCATTAGCTTTCTTTTCTTTTCTGTTTTTTTAATTTTAATTTTTATTTATTTATTTATTTATTTATTTATTTTGACACAAAGTCTCGCTCTATCGCCCAGGCTGGAGTGCAGTGGTGCAATCTCAGCTCACTGCAGCCTCCACCTCCTGGGTTCAAGTGATTCTCCTGCCTCAGCCTCCTAAGCAGCTGGGATTACAGGCATGTGCCACCATGCCCGGCTAATTTTTGTATTTTTAGTAGAGACAGGGTTTCACCATGTTGGCCAGGCTGGTCCCAAACTCCTGACCTCAAGTGACTGCCTGCCTCGGCCTCCCAAAGTGCTGGGATTACAGGCATGAGCCATCACGCCCAGCCCATTACATTCCTTTTATTACTTCTAAAACATCACTCCTGGATACATGTTAACTTGATGTACACTTGATTTTGAACAAACTAAATCGTAGGCAAAGTAGGGTAAGCATCAATACTTAGGCAATACTGAGAGAAGTCAGGAAAATCACAGATGAAAAGTGTAGCCTGGAAGAAAAGGCAGGACCATGCTAGGAAAACTCTAGAAAATACAGCTAGAAAATATAGTAGGACTAGAGAAGAGCTGATCAAAAATAGGGCTGATCCTGTCAGCTAGTGGACAGGACCAATAGAGAGTTCCACTAGAAATCACACATTTCAGAAATATTTAAGCTATAATTTATTTTGCAAAATTAACTTTAAAGGGGGGTGAGGAGTGAAAGAAAAAAGAAAGAAAAACAAACAAATAATAACATAAAAGAGAGAACTGAGGGAATCTAAGAAGTGACACGGTTTTAGTGAGGATGACCACAGGAGGCCGATATACTGGGGAACAGAAACAGGTATAAAATTATTTTAACTGAAACTAAACATAAAATCAACTAATTCCACACATGCATAATGATTTCTAACATTTTATGTTTTTAAAAGTTCTCTTCAATGTCACTTCAAAATTTTAGGGGGATGGGAATACTGTTTATTCCCATCCATATAATTATGGGAATAATAATTATAATTAAATGGCATCCATATAATTAAATCAATTCATTTGACCCTCTTTTTTTCACTTTTGTACCAATTCTTTTAGAACCATGAAGACACAGATCTGACCAACTTTGATTAGCCAACAGAACTTTTTTTCCCCTTAGTGAATGGAAAGATGGTTTAAAATGGTTCCCTGGCAGGAATAGATCAAATTTTTGAAAATAGCACATGGGAACCATGCAGCAGTACAGGTCAAGCCATGTCATGGCTGGCCCTCCAAGCAATCTGTTCCTTCAGCAGAGAGATTAGGGACGCGCTTGGTCGAGGGGCAGCAGAGGGCACTCCAGGCCAGAACAGGTTAAGTTGTGGTCACTTTATCTCTTGTTGTTGACGCAAAGTCCCGAGGCCATGGCCCAGGGTTTTCCTGCAGAAATGTGTTTACAAGCAGGTCAAGGACTTGTAGACAGATAACCATTAGCAAAACAACTTTTCTATTGACAACAGAGCAAAGAAAGGTGTGTTTGCAGATGAATTATCACTTGCTTCTTAAAGGAAAAAAAAAAAGAAAGTTCAATGAAATCACTAAATCCCAGCTTTCTTACCCCCAAGACTGAAATTTCTCAAGAGTGTAAGGAGAGTTGCTTCTTGCTTTTCTCCCCCCAAGACTGAAATTTCTCAAGAGTGTAAGGAGAGTTGCTTCTTGCTTTTCTCCCCCCAAGACTGAAATTTCTCAAGAGTGTAAGGAGAGTTGCTTCTTGCTTTTCTCCCCCCAAGACTGAAATTTCTCAGGAGTGTAAGGAGAGTTGCTTCTTGCTTCTCTCACAATTGCATTCACATCTTGCCAACTGCAAGTCAGTCTGTAATGACACATTTTAGCCTTCGCTGATATCTACAAATGATCCTTTTGGGTCTTCTAAAGACGAAGAAATGATTTTATACCAGAGTTAGAAAGAAAATTGGATAACTATTGAAATAGCATGAAAGCCTTTAAATCTCTCAGGCAAAGTTTGGGAGTGCCTTATTGCCGAGGAAAGTGAATTTTCAAAAATCAGCTGAAACTTCCTGGTTTGAACCTCTGTGCGATGACTTCTGAGCTGAAGGTATTTTTGGTGAAATCCTAAATTTGTAAGGACTAAAGAAAGAAGTAAGAAATAGACTCAATCCGCTGAGACAAGAGGGAGAAAAGCAAAACAAAACGAATCAACAAACTATAATAAATAAGTAAAAGACTTAAAATAAGTTTATCAGAAGCAACAGGAATAAGAAGGGCTTCACTAATGAACATGTTTCAAGCTTTGAAAACTGTAGCCTATTTCAGCTTGCCATGTGATGTAACTCTTGCATAGAAGCTGGGGGTAAAAAGCTTCTCATGGCATGTCTAGTCTTATGCTAAAGAAGGGCGCTCACATTTTCACTAAAGGAGAAAAATCTGAACTTGGGAATCTGCACATGGATAAATATGAGCTGTCTCATTAGAAAGATACTTCTCAATTAGTTTTCTTTTCATCCCTCTTTCTTTCGGCTCTCAGCCTGCTTACGCTCACCCACACAGACACACAGAGTCCTGCACTTGCGAAGGGTCAGAAAGGTTCCTGCGGATTTCTCTCCATAGAAGTCCTGACAATGTGGCATGTGCAGTCTCGACAATGACATGCCACTCAAAATCCCTCCCTTCAGATTGTCCCTCCCTTTAAAGGAGACAGCTAACGTGAATGAAACACTTTTTTCCCCCTGGGGACGTCTGACTTGCTTTTATTAACCCAGATACAAAGTGCCACTCAGAGGCCTTGGACAGTAGAATTCTTTATTCTCTTAACTAGCAATTCATTTGACCCTCAAGAATAGTATGAAAGCTCCATGGTTTTCTATATTTCTTATTTATTTTATGTTCCCACTGCTCCATGAAGCATTCTTATAAAAATATTGCCGTGTACCATAAAGTCTTCATATTAAAAGGACATTTTAAATGGTTTCATCTTAACATGATTCTGTCACTCAAATTGAAGAACTTTATGCTAGTTCTTTTCCAAGCTGTTAAAGATTAGCTTGATGTAGATAAGGCTATTCCCCAAACTCATTATCTGTCTTCCAAATGCACCTTAAGGACTCCTTAATAAAGTCAAGGTTACATGAAGAGTATTTTACTGAAAATCAGTGAATGACTATTAATAAATCTGCATTACAGATGAGTTATTTTGTCTCTGTCTCTCATCTTTACAATAGATGATCCTTCTTTTTTATTAGCTTTTTTTAACAATAAGGCTATTTCTTAATCTTACGTCATCAATGATTCCGTGATCATACTGGAGGGAAGTAGCTACAAAATATTTCTGCTGGTGTATAATTAAATGTAGGCCATGCCTTCTGCTCTATGTATTACACAGATATCTTTGACCTCTATATCACCCCAAAATTAAAACTCTTCCATACCCCATCTCCTCTCTATTAATACTAGCATGTTAAATACACACACACACACACACACACATGCAAACACACATACACATATCTCTTTCCAAAATGAGAACATGAATAGCTCCCATCTGACCACGATGTTTTGAGTCCTGCTAAAACAAAATCCCAGCCCCTATAATTAATATAGCAAATGCTTCACTGGCTCCTACAGGTCCAAAGGCACAACAGAATTGCAAACTTAGTAATTCCATTATGGTCCCTACCCCTAAGTAACTGGAGCTCCATCCCTGATGTTCCGCCCTGCACCACTATTGTTTATTCTTCCATTAAATTTTCATCTTCACTACCACACACAACAAATATCCCATGCTGCTTGCATAACAATCCCTTTTTTATTTTAAAATCAGGATTTCTAACTCCTGCACCTTCTCCTCCTTTTTACACCAAACTCAAGATCCCAGTATAATTTGGAATGTGGCTTTATTAATTTATAATAAGACAATAACAAAGGCAGCTCATAACGTAATATTTGTTCCTAGTGGAATTTTTACTAATTTGCTTTTATCACCCATAGCAAAGCTGTAAGCAAATCTTTTAATGTTTTCTGAGCAATAAAGAAATGTTTTCATCAGTTGCTCCTTTTAAACAAACCTGAGCCATATTCAAATCTTTTTGTTGGAAATTTTTACTGGAAATCTTCCAAGCTCTGGATTTCCAAGAGTGATTTTCTCACCTTTCCAATGTAAGTCAGATTAAAATAAAGTGCATGTGAATCATCTATATTTATTGATATTATTGGCTCAAACCCAAATCACAAACTGCACACATATAATCATAGTAATAGTGGTATAGGGAGGCCAACAAGATAATGGAATATTTAGAGGCTGCACGGTCTTGGCTTCCGGGAATTATATTAGTCACGTAATAATGCTGATAAGATTGCACCTCCATGCTCTTAAATCTGAGTAAATGGCATGGTTTTTCCCTGGACCACACCTTCTCAATAGAGAGGCTCATCTACTGTTTAGCGCCTTCCTGGTTGCCTGAGTTCTACAATTTAATGTAGAGCCCAAGATCATCAACAGCTATTTCAATGGGAGGGGACAAATCTGGCTTCATGTTATAGGGAAAGGGACAAACTGAAAATTAATCTCTTAAAGTATCTTCTGTTCCATTCTTCCCCAAAGATTCCGGTATATTTTGGTTCTGTGATTGCATTGAAGGAGGCTATTCTTGCCCTGTGCTGTATCCAGTGTGACTCAGTGGAGACTAGAGACCAAAGAACCTAAGGCTCAGGTGACAGCAATCCAGTAGTGTCACTGCCTCCTGTCAATGGCAGCATTTGCAGCAGTTTCCGAGGGTGTGGCTGAGCACGGATGCTCCTAATATTCACCACACAGCTCATTTCAATGACAGCGGGACTATCGGTTCTGATGAAGAAATTAATATCTCCTGGAGAAAAAAAGGTTTAAAAGACAGAAGTTGCAGATGAACCTAAAACTGAAAGCCCTTAAAATATTTTTATGTCCTGTAAAAGAGAATCATAAAAGCAGCACATGACATAAAGAAAATATCAATGACATTTTATATATGTTAAATTAGTAATAATGGGCACTGCATATCTTAACTTCCATTGGCCATCCTTCACTTGGTGTAAATTTTCAATACCTTCTTCTGGCTCCTGTGTCACTGAGAGACTTGGAAATTTGTTTTATCTTTTATTAGGTTGATGCAAAAGTAATTGCAGCTTTGCCATTACTTTCAATACCAAAATGTACTCTTAAAAAATTGACCATCCTACATACACTCAATGTCATGCTGATTTTATGACTCAAAATTATTGGCTTCCAACTTTTGAGTTACAGTGTGAATGCTGAGACCAGTCCTCAAGAATGTGCTTTTCCGCCAGGGTTCATGTCTGGCTCCTTGATCCATTTTTGCACCATCAAATGAAGGGTAGAAACATATTGCGGTCAAGGAACTACACTTTGTGTTTAAACCTGAATTAAAAATCCAGATCACCATTTGCTGCCCATTTTTATGTTCTATAAAAGTGCATAATAAAAGTAGCCCTTAAGATAAAGAAAAAATGATATATTTTATATGACTAATCCTATGATTCCATTTTCTGATCTGTAAAATTGGACAATATTACCAACTTCCAAAGTCCATTACGAGAATAAAATAAAACAAAATCAGCATCTAACAAATATCTCTCCTATGCCTTCTGTCAAAGCCAACAACTAATGACTCACCTTGCCCACACACAAACATATACAGACACAGCATATATGTAAAATAGATGTAGATGTATATACCAACTATTATACATAGTTGTATTAGCCCATTCTCACACTGCTATGAAGAAACACCCAAAACTGGGTAATTCATAAAGAAAAGAGGTTTAATTGACTCAGAGTTCAGCATGGCTTGGGAAGTCTTGGGAAACTTAGAATTATGGCAGAAGGCAAAGAAGAAGCAAGGCACCTTCTTCACAAGGCAGCAGGAAGAAGTGCTGAGCAAAGGGGAAAGGCCCCTTATAAAACCACCAAATCTTGTGAGAACCCACTCACTATCATGAGAACAGCATGGAGGTAACCGCCTCCATGACTCAATTACCTCCCACTAGGTCCCTCCCACGACATGTGGGGATTATGGGAACTACAATTCAAGATCAGATTTGGGTGGGGACAGAGCCAAAACACATCAATAGTGCACATGTACACTGTAGAACTTATGTATCTATATTTACATTTACTTATATATGCATATGCATATATACACATAATAGTTATATGTGTTACATATAGTTAGGAGCAAATTCTTAATGTTGCCTGAACATATCCCTAATTAGACCTTCATTTACTGGATCTTACACAGGGCAGTTAGGGGATACTGTGGCTTCTAGCACCTCCCAGGTACCTGAAATCTGAAAAACCTGATTTGCTCCATCAACACAAACTGTAGACGGCACAGATCAAAGTCATGTGCCTAATAAGCCATTTGGTTTCTCCCTCTATGATTCAGACCAAATCATTTCTCTCTGTAATTCTATATATAAAGTTAGCTTGGTATACAATATTATATACATTCATTTATATTATTGCTTTCTATATATTGGCATACATTAGGTGCATACCAATATAGAATTGGTGTCTCTACCTGATGAATTCTTATTTCTTCTTTCAGTGACTTTTTACCTCTGATAATTATTTTACTTTAAAGTCAATTTTATCTGATATTAATAAAGTAAAATAGGTGTTTCTCCAAATGGATATCCAGTTGCTCTAGGAATATCTGTTTTTAAAAAATTCCCTTCCTTCACTGAAATTGGTCAAAAATCAATTTTCTCTCTATACGTGGATCTACTTATAGTACTTCATTCAGTTTCATTTATCTACATGTTCATCCTTAAGACAAAACTGCAATGCCTTGATTGCTGTAACTTTATGAATCTTTAAATCAGGTAGTATAAGAGCTCCAGCATTATCTTTTACAAAATGGTTTTGGTTACATAGATTCTTTGAATGTACATATGCATTGTGGAATCAGCTTATTAATTTCTACAGCCCACCTTCTAGGGTTTGGAATGGGATTGTGTTTAACCTATAGATTAATTTGAGGATGATTGACATCTTAACAATATTGGACTTTCCAGTTCATTAACATGATACATCCCCATTCATATTGAGTTCTTCTTTAATTTCTCTTACACATGATGTATAGTTTCAGCATATAGATTTTACAGATGTTTTGTTAAATTTAGCCCCAAATATCTCATTGCTTTGGGGGCTAAAGAAAATGATACTGCTCTTAATATTTTATATTTTCCAAATGTGTTTTGCTGGAAAATAGAAATACAACTAAAATTGTATATTAGGCCAGGTATGGTGGCTCACTCCTATAATCCCAGCACTTTGGGAGGCCGAGGCAGGTGGATCACCTGAGGTCAGGAGTTCGAGACTAGTCAGGCCAACATGACGAAACCCTATCTTACTAAAAAATACAAAAATTAGCTGGGCGCAGTGGCAAGCACCTGTAATCCTACATACTTGGGAGGCTGAGGCAGGAGAATCTCTTGAACCCAGAAGGTGGAGTTTGCCGTGAGCTGAGATTGTTCCATTGCTCTCCTGCCTGGGAGACACAGCAAGACTCCATCTCAAAAAAAAAAAAAATGATATATTGGTCTTCTCTTCTCTGATATTGCTGAAATTACCTTTTTTCTAGACTTTTTGTAGATTTCATAAAAGTTTCTATGTATGTCATAATGTACACTGTAAATAACAAAGTTTCACTTCTTTTCTCCCAATATTTATGTCTTTTATTCCTTTTTCTTGCCCTATTGTATTGACTAGAACCTCCAGAAAAATTTCAAACAGAAACAGTAACAGAGAATATATTTGCCTTATTTCTGCTATTTGAATATTTCACCCAAAAGTGTGATGTTAACTGTAGGAATTCTGTAGATAACTTCTACATGAATAAGTCTTTTTTCTATGACAAATTTTTCAAGAGTTTCTCTTGAACAGGTATTCAATTTTTGCAAATGCATTTGTGAATCTTTTCATATCAGTGTATATTTATCTGTCCTTTAATCTGTTAATGCGTTGAATTGCACTGATTGATTTTTCAGTGCTAAACAACTAACTTTATATTTCTGGGATAAATCCCACTTGGACACCATATATTATGTTTTTTATATATGTCACGGTTTAATTTGCTAACATTTTGTTGAGGCTTTGTTAAGCCTATGTTCTTGAGAAAGAATGACCCTGCAATTTTCTTTTTCTCTTCTTTTTTTTTTTTTTTTTTTTTTTGAGACAGAGTATTTTTGCTCTTGTTGCCCAGGCTGGAGTGCAATGGCGTGATCTTGGCTCACTGCAACCTCTGCCTCCCGGATTCAAGTGATTCTCCTGCTTTAGCCTTCCTGGTAGCTGAAATTAAAGGTGTCTGCCACCACACCCAGCTAATTTTTCGTATTTTTAGTGGAGACAGGGCTTCACTACGATAGCCAGGCTGGTCTCGAACTCCTCACCTCAGGCAATCCACCCACCTCAGCATCCCAAAGTGCTGGGATTACAAGCATGAGCCATCGCACCCAGCTATGGTTTTATTTTTCACTACATATATGGTAAACTTCATCAGTGTTGCAGTCAAGGTCTGAAGGTTTATTTCATTTTAATTATTTTTGTTCCGTTCTTTGACTATGATTTCTTTAATAAATTAGTTATTCAGATTTTTTATTTCCACTTGTTAATTTTGATAGTATTTTTTCAAGCAATGTATTCATTTCATCTAACTTTTCTCTGCTATTGGCATAATGGTGTTCATGACATTCCATTATTCTTCGTCTTATTTTTTGAGATAGAGTCTCGCTCTGTCTCCCAAGCTGGAGTGCAGTGGTGCCATCCCGGCTCACTGCAACCTCTGCCTCCCAGGTTCAAGCAATTCTCCTGCCTCAGCCTCCCGAGTATCTGGGATTACAGGCTCCCGCCACCACGCCGTGCTAATTTTTGTATTTTTAGTAGAGACGGGTTTCACCACGTTGGCCAGGCTGGTCTCAAACTCCTGACCTCAAGTGATCTGCCCTCCTCAGCTTCCCAAAGAGCTGGGATTACAGGCGCGAGCCACTGTACCTGGCCCATAACATTCCACTATTAATCTTTAAATATATAAAGATTATATATTAATATATTTATATACATTTAATATTTATATTAATTTAATATTTATATTAAATGTATATAAAATCTCAGCGAGGACCACAGTTTTATTACTATTGGTTCTCTTTCAATCTCTTTCTCTGTCTTTTTCTGAGTGTCTCTTTTTCTCTTCGTTCATTTTTGCTGTGGATTAATCAATATTATTAATCTTTTCAAAAATTATTTTTTGACTTGATTTTTATATTGTTTGCCTATTTTCTGTATCATTTATTTCTGCTGTTATTTTGATGATTTCTTTTGCTTTCCTTACTTTGGGTTTAATTTGCTTTTCCTTTCCAGTTTTTTAATGGAGGAATTTAAAATATTGATTTTATATCTTCCTTAATTTGTAATATAAGCGTTTAAAACGATAAATCTTCATCCAAGTATTACGCTTATACTCTCACTGCATCTAACAAGTTTTGATAGTGTGCTTTCATTGCTTTTCAACCAAAAGTATTTTCTAATTTTTATTTGTGACTTATTTGTGGATTTATTGTTTATGTAGAGGTGTGTTAATACAATTCCAAATACTTAGGGATGTTTAAATATGTCTTATCACTATTAATTTCTAATTAAATGCCATTGTGTTTAGATGGTATAAATGGAATGATTTCAAACTTTCAGTATTTGTTAAGATATGTTTCAATGCCCAGTCTACAGTCTATTTTAATGAATGTTCCACGTGTATTGATTAGTGGTAGCATTCACTAGGGGCCATCTAGATCATGTTGGTTGATACTGTTTCTCAAATCATCCATATTTTTACTGTTATTTTTTTGTCTGCCTGTTTTATCAAATATTTAGGGTTGATAAAAATCTCAAACTATGCTTTGCATTTGTTTATTTCTGCCTTTATTTTTGCCAAATTCCCCTTCATGTATATAGAAGTTTAAAGATAGACACACATTTAGTACCTTTATTGTTCTCTGTGAACTTGACGATGCCTTCAACATTACAATTTTTTTTAACTTTTGGTAATTTTTTAATCAAAGTCTACTTTGTGTAATATTATAGCCACATTATGGTGTGCCATTTTTCACAGTTTTACATTCAAAATACTTGTTTGCTTATATTTTAAGTACATCTTATAAAAATACAGTTGGGTCTTCTATTAGTTTAAATCAATTTTTAAAAATTATACCTCTTAATAAGTTGTCTAGTCAATTTCTAATGTAATTATCAATGATTCAGTTGAGCTCTTCCATCTTGAAATTTATGTTTATTCCATTTCTTTCCTGCCTTCTGTTGGGTAAGTTGTGTATATTTTTGTATTCTATGTGTGGTAACATTTAGCTACATTTTTGTGCAATTTTTGTTGATCACCTTAGTGATGACATAAATTTTCTTTTAAGTAATCATGGTCTACATTCAAATAATTTTATATTATTTTTAAAACAATGTAAGAATCTTACAGCTATATAATTCAATTCATCCTCTCCCACTCTTTTTCTACTTTCTTATATTTTGTGGCTATAGACCCCACAATATATTATTATCATTTTTTGCTTTAAGCAGTCATTAGTTTTTAAAATATATATGTATATAAAAAATGAAGGCTCTACAAAAATAATTCTTTTATGTTTACCAAGATACTTACCCTTTCTGCTATTCTTCATTCCTTCCTTCAGTGGATCCTGAGTTCCATCTGCTATCATTTTCTTTTGGCTAAAATAATTTATTTTTGAGTACATTATAGTGTTGAATTGTAAATGTTTCAATTGCTTGAGATTTAATTTCTACTAAAAAATACTAAAACTCTTCCTGTGGAAAACTTCTGCATTTGGAATGAAAAAGGACAGTGTGGGCTGCTGTTTTTTCCTTTACCTTCTCATACAAAAACTTGGAAAGAAATGCTCCATTTCCCCACCACACAGAACAATGAAAGTTAGTCAGTGATATTTCAGATACCAGGATAATTGCTCACCCTCTAGGCATGTAGGAATCCCTCTGGCATATGGGAGAGCCCCTCACCTCTGGGTGGCAAATACCTAAATGCCACAGGGGTCTAAGCTGGGCAGAAAAGACATTCAAATGTGCCAGGTTGTGTTGGGCAAACTCTTTGTCTGTGCCTAGCAAAGACATATTTGCATAAGAAGTTAGAGGCTTCTTAGGAAATAATTTACCTGGAAGGAAGAAGAAACTAAACACAAACATCACTAGCCAAAAGGGGAGCTGGCTCCCTCAGTGTTTCCTTTAGAGAAGGAAAATCTAAAGAAGTTCATAACACATTTAGAGATAAGTGCTGACAAAAATATCACTGTGAATGTGATATCTGTAAGCAGGTCCTGATATGACAAAAAATGTTTGGTTTACAAAAAGATAAAGACGGAACTCTGAAGAAAAGACGGTTGGATTTGGCTGAATTGAAATGTGAACTTCTCTGTTCTAATTAAAACTTTGAAATTAACTTCAAGGTGAAATGAAACAAAAAAATTACATCCGAAAAGATCACAGAAAAGAATGCCTTTATTGAAAAATGTGTGAAAGCATGAAAAAGGGCCATTCACAAATGAAAAGAACATAGAAAAGAAACATAAAAGAGTGTTTTAAATGCCTGGTAATAAAAAATGGAAATTAATAACAATAGATACATTATTTCATTATTAATATTGGCAAAATGTTTTCATGATAACATCCAGTATCATGAAAGTCCATTCATGGATAAACTAAGGGACAAGTAAAACAGAATAATATTTCTGTGGAGCAAAATGGAGAAAGGTGTCACAGACCTTAAAGTGGTCCTATCTGTAGACCTTTTGATTGGACTTAGAGAAATATATATTAAAAACAAAAATTAAAAATATGCCCAAGATTTAAACTCAAAGTTATTAATTGTGGTTTTATTAATTAAGAAGAAAAATAGAGTTAAATGCAGTCTAATGATCTATAGAGTGGATGCCTTAATAAGCTATGGTTTCATTGATGAGATTCTAGGGAGCCATTCATAATTATTAAAAGAAAACAGAACAGCATAAAAGAAAAATCCTATAGTAATTGTTAAAGAAAAGGCAAGTTATAAAATACAATGATTTCATTTTGTTTTTTTTTAAGTATAAATATATCAATGTAAAAAGGTATTTATATTTAATCCTTATCAATATGCTAGTTAAATTCCTGGTACTCTAATGAACGACAAAACTATAATTATATCAGATGTTCATAGAAAATAAGGATTTTACTGGAAAATAGTAAAATGTACTACACTTGGAGCATAGAAAGTAATCTGTTGTGAAACGAAAGATACTACAGCATTAACAAATATCTACTTTGGAAGTTAACAATAGTGCTAATTTACTTTCTTCAATCTTCCAGGGAAATATTATTTTTAGCGCCCATTATATGGTAAAGGCAATATGTTCCACTAATTTTATGTCATTTACAGGTTACTCCTGGTTGGATGTTTCAACCCCTGTTAGTGTTTTGTGTTTTCATTTTGTTTTAACAGATTTCAGCAACATAAATGCCCCTCCCCTGGTCTTTGTACAAAGGCAAAATTTTGCATATCTGTTCTTTCACTTTTATATCAAAGGAGTGTAATTTAAAGAAATCTTGTCATTCTGCACTTGTTTAAGGATATTGAACTGAATCCTGTATATGTAAATAGGTTGTGGAATTTTAATTTTTGGCATAATGATGCAAAACAGTGTTATCTCAATACTTCAGTTGGCCAAGCTGGGGTTGGCAAGGGATTATTACACCGCAAAATATAAATCATGATTATCTGGGCAGACTTACAAATGATTTTTTTCCTCCCACTGTAATTTTATGTAATTTTCCAAATTTCTACAATGTCATCAGAAGAAGAAATAATGA
Source organism: Homo sapiens (assembly GCF_000001405.40). Lineage (NCBI taxonomy): Eukaryota > Metazoa > Chordata > Mammalia > Primates > Hominidae > Homo > Homo sapiens. Next base: position 95,772,268 of record NC_000015.10, read on the forward strand.
ATGTTATATAGGAACATATACACAGACCTGTAGTTATTGGGGGGTTCAATCTATTTTAATAGAAATCATTTCGTGGATGTTCTAGCTGGCAGTAATTGGGTGTTTCCTGCACGAACCAGAAGACACAGCAGCTTATAATGTCTTTTGGGGGCAATAGAAAGAGATAAATTTGTGTCTTCTATCCCTGAAAATATCATATTTGTCTGGTTTCAAGAAGAAAAGTGTAATGTAATAATTTGAGAAGTCAATAGCAATAGCCCACATAGGTATGCCCAATTTCATGGTGTACTTAAAGCTTGGAGAAATTATTTAACTTGATGTTGGCATAAATGAAGTTTGATGTATGAGTATGCCAATTCCCATTGAGATTACCATTTTAAGAAATAGGAATAAAAACCCAAAAGGGGGAAGAAAAAAAGAAAAAGAAAACATCCCTTCCTTTAAAGCAAAATTGGATTTTCAGCATTTTGCAGTTTTGAATTTCACATGAAGATGACCTTAAAAACAGTGACCATTAAAACAGTTGTTAGAAAAATGTATTATTTACACACCATGCACTTTTGAAATAGAGGTTACAGGAAGACATAATCGTACTATACAATGTAACCTACTTTGAAAGGTGTAGGCAGCATAGCAAAAAACGTCCTTACATCACACTTGTCAAGAAACAGAAGTTTTATTACCAAGGAATTTCACTTTTTGCTGCTTATTCTTAACACTAGCCCAGGGACTGAGAGGATTTGTTGATCTAATATAGATAGCGATGTCTTGGGTTTGTTCAGATTTATATGGACAGCATCTGGGGATCAGGAATTACATTTAAAATGTAATAAAATGTTCCTGTGCACTTTAACTTACAAATACTATACTTAAAAAAGTAAACATCAAATAATCTCAGGTATCTTTCAAGAAAATGTTGACATAGCTGAAGGAGCTCACACAGATATCTTTGAATCATTTCTAAGTAAACTTAATAAACTCATTTTCGTATTCTGTCGCTGTACAATAAACCATCATACCTGGGAGAAGAAGAGATACCAAGGCATAAGCTCTCATTTGCTCCAAAATGCATTTTTTTTCTAGTTTAAAAAATGTTTTTTCAAACACTATCAGTAAAGTCCATTCAAACTAAAAGTAAGCATTTATAAGGGATGATCTGTTACCAAGAGACCCTAAAAATATCAGTAATCACACGTAAAAGAGCCACCAACATTATTCTCATATTATTTTCCAAAAGTGTTCATATCATGGTCAAAGTTACCATTAGACTCTGATACTACAGAACAAAGGGACTTTCAGGATTTAAAATTGTATTTAAACCTTGGGACTAAAAATCCTCCTTCCAAAATGTCTTTGAAGCCAAAGCAGGAAATTGATTTCATTGCAATTTAAAAATAACTGAAATACATACATAAATAAAAACTTCATTTTTCAAGTCACAAGGTTGATTTTTTTCTTTTATAGCTGAGTGAGTGTTAAGAAGAATCTCTTTCTCCCATTCAAATCTCAATGCAGGCCGAGCGCATGCCTCGGGAGGCAGAGGCGGGTTGATCATTTGAGGTCAGGAGTTCAAGACCAGCCTGGGAGGCAGAGGCGGGTAGATCATTTGAGGTCAGGAGTTCAAGACCAGCCTGGCCAACATGGTGAAACCCATTTCTACTAAAAAAAAATAATAACACAAAAATTAGCCAGGTGGTATTGGCAGGCACCTGTAATCCCAGCTACTCCTGAGGCTGAGGCAGGAGAATTGTTTGAACCTGGAAGGCGGAGGTTGCAGTAAGCCAGGATTGTGCTACTGCACTCCAGCCTGGGAGACAGAGCAAGATCCTGTCTCAAAAACCAACAACAACAGCAACAACAACAACAACAACAACACCCTCAATGCAGTCAATATTTCTGATGCGTTTAGATTTATGACCAGACCACTGAGCATGCCACACTCTAGGTAGGAAAGTGGTAATGTGGGCTGGAAAGAAGGCTGCCCTATTTTGCACATTGGCAGAACCAAAAATAGGTGTCTGTAATGGAACCACCAAATTCAAACTTTGACAAACCACATTTGGAGAGATCATATTTTCAGTCAGGGTTTTTCACCTGAAGAACTTCACAGCAAAGTGAACAAGGACAAATAAACATCTTTTGTAATATTTTGAGGATCTTAATATTATTTTTCTTTTTAAATCACATTGGTAGAAGATTGTTAACTTCCAACAAACTGTTAGTGGTGTCGAAAGTTACTTTCTGACACCAAGCTACGAACTACCATTATCCTGTTCCAGAGTATTCTACTAATTTATTGCTGATTCTACTGGATTTAAAGGAAACAAATCCTACAAGGCTACGGTAACCAACACAGCATAGTACTGGTACCAAAACAGACATATAGACCAATGGAACAGAACAGAGCCCTCAGAAATAATACCGCACATCTACAACCATCTGATCTTTCACTAACCTGACAAAAACAAGAAATGGGGAAAGGATTCCCTATTTAATAAATGGTGCTGGGAAAACTGGCTAGCCATGTGTAGAAAGCTGAAACGATCCCTTCCTTACACCTTATAAAAAATTAATTCAAGATGGATTAAAGACTTAAATGTTAGACCTAAAACCATAAAAACCCTAGAAGAAAACCTAGGCAATACCATTCAGGACATAGGCATGGGCAAGGACTTCATGACTAAAACACCAAAAGCAATGGCAACAAAAGCCAAAATTGACAAATGGGATCTAATTAAACTAAAGAGCTTCTGCACAGCAAAAGAAACTACCATCAGAGTGAACAAGCAATGTACAGAATGGGAGAAAAATTTTGCAATCTACCCATCTGACAAAGGGCTAATATCCAGAATCTACAAAGAACTTAAACAAAATTACAAGAAAAATTAAACAACCCATCAAAACGTGGGCGAAGGTTATGAACAGACACTTCTCAAAAGAAGACATTTATGCAGCCAAAAGACACATGAAGGCCGGGCGCGGTGGCTCACGCCTGTAATCCCAGCACTTTGGGAGGCCGAGGTGGGCGGATCACGAGGTCAGGAGATCAAGACCATCCTGGCTAACACGGTGAAACCCCGTCTCTACTAAAAATACAAAAAATTAGCCGGGCGTGGTAGCGGGCGCCTGTAATCCCAGCTACTCGGGAGGCTGAGGCAGGAGAATGGCGTGAACCCGGGAGGCGGAGCTTGCAGTGAGCCGAGATTGCGCCACTGCACTCCAGCCTGGGCGACAGAGCGAGACTCCATCTCAAAAAAAAAAAAAAAAAAAAAAAAAGACACATGAAAAAATGCTCATCATCACTGGCCATCAGAGAAATGCAAATCAAAACCACAATGAGATACCATCTCACACCAGTTAGAATGGTGATCATTAAAAAGTCAGGAAATAACAGGTGCTGGACAGGATGTGGAGAAATAGGAACACTTTTACACTGTTGGTGGGACTGTAAACTAGTTCAACCATTGTGGAAGACAGTGTGGTGATTCCTTAAGGATCTAGAACTAGAAATACCATTTGACCCAGCCATCCCATTACCAGGCATATACCCACAGGATTATAAATCATGCTGCTATAAAGACACGTGCACACATATGTTTATTGTGGCACTATTCACAATAGCAAAGACTTGGAACCAACCCAGATGTCCATCAATGATAGACTGGATTAAGAAAATGTGGCACATATACACCATGGAATACTATGCAGCCATAAAGAAGGATGAGTTCGTGTCCTTTGCAGAGACATGGATGAAGCTGGAAACCATCATTCTCAGCAAACTATCGCAAGGACAGAAAACCAACCCGAATGTTCTCACTCATAGGTGGGAACTGAACAATGAGAACACCTGGACACAGGGAGGGGAACATCACACCCCAGGGCCTGTCGTGGGGTGGGGGGAGGGGGGAGGGATAGCATTAGGAGATATACCTAAAGTAAATGACGAGTTAATGGGTGCAGCACACCAACATGGCACATGTATACATATGTAGCAAACCTGCACGTTGTGCACATGTACCCTAGAACTTAAAGTACAACAATAAAAAATTAAAGAACTATATTACATTTTCTATACTTATATATCATATACATTTATATTACAAGATTATTGGTTTATATGGGTTTTATATTAGGCTCTTAGATATAAAAAGGAGTTTGACAGAGCTTATGTAGCCTTAGTTTTATTTTCTTTTAGAGAGAGAAAAAAAATTGTGGGTTTTGGGTATTAGGTTTTATTTTTAATAATGCGATTTTAAAGTTGATATCTTTCTGAAAAGATATTAAATGGTTTGAATTTGTATATAGATGTGTGTGTGAGAGAGAATGAAAAATGAGAACCAGATAAAGAAAGGACATAAAGTTCTCTTAGATTTTTTTCAATACAAAAGCAGTTTTCTGAATATTCTACAAAATTGTTTTTAATTTTACCACATGGAACTGGGAAGCCATATGCATGGTATATGGCTGAACTTTGTGTGGTTTGGAACACACAGACATTAAAGTAGCAGATTTTTAAAGCAGGGCTCACCATCCCTGAGTTGAGGGCATTTCTTCCAACATTTTGAACCAAACATGGATAGTTTGGCAGCTAAGATATTTCCCATTAGAACTCAATGAAATGAAATAGCTGCTATCTCTCCATAGCAAGCTGCAGGTTTCCATCTGTTGTGAGTACTCAGATGACTTCAAAGGAGCATTCTTATTTTTGAGCCCCTTTTGAAAACTTAAAAGGACATAAATAACTTCAATATGGTTAAATACTTATTTGGAAAACATGTCTTCCAAAGGTTTGTTAGCAACTTGCCACTCTATAAGTGGAAGAAAACAACCATGCCAATGTTATTTTGCATGGGACACCAATTTCTGCTAGGTGCAAATGAGTGTTGATGCCTTTCATTTATGCATCAAATTTTTATTGAAATCCTACTATGTGCCAGGCACAGTACCGAGCTCTTTTCAATTGCTCTGCCAGCAGAAATATGCAGCGTCCACTTGAAATTTACATCTATTCAGATAACAATGAAACACGAATTGATGATAATCATCCGGTGGATATAAAGATACATACTTGACCAAAAATGAATTCACTAACTGGAAATAAAAGAAACTGCTATTTAATTCAAAGAATCTTGGGAATTCCCATGTCCCTTGAAGCAAGCCTACCCTCCTAAGACAAAGCCGGCTGTAGGAGCTCTACCTGTCTTTGCTGCTATTACTCCAGTGTGAACAGCATTTTTGCCACTGTTGCAATCAACGTTGAGGGAATATGAAAGATGTCAGTCATGTTATCGTGTTCAAATCAGGCCACAATTACAATATACTATTTGTCGCCCGACACCAGTAATTTGCTCAACTAACTTAACTTTTACCTTAAGTAAGATTTTAAAACTTTGCATAACTATTTTTTCCAAAAATGTGGCCATCAATTTTTGCGTGAAAAATCAGAGTAAAACATATAATTATATTTGAGATTAGTATTTTTATATTCTGAGTACAATTGTTCATGGACATCTTTTGGGAGGAGATAAATAACATTTTTCAGATTATAAGTAAACATATGTCCCCAAAATAATTGGTAAATGAATATTTATTACTATGGACATTGTTTTGTTAAAGAAATGTTCAGAAACTTTTGATAGATTCCTCACCTGTCCTTAGCTTTTTCTAATCCAACTAACTGTAAACTAGCAAGATTTCACAATCTGAAAAAAATCTTTCTCTCAGACCCGTAGGTAAACTGCAGTAGCACTAATAGAATCAATGGACTTTAGATTTTACAATTATACAAACTCAATCCTCAAGTGATTCCAGAGTCAAGGCTATTATTTTTAAATTGCATGAGTGTTTACATTTATATATGATTAAATCCACTATTGTTTATCAATACTCAATTCTCCTTCAGTGCAGACTCACAAGAGGATTGCAGATCCCTGATCAGTAGAAGTGAGGCAAGGTTCTGAGATCACTCCTGGACAATGAAATAAAAATGAAAGTAATGTGCCTGGCTTTAGGAGGTATCTTTTCCATTTGTGTTGCTGTAACAGAACACCTAAGACTAGGTAACTTATAAAGAACAAAAATTTATTTCTGACAATCTGGATGCTAACAAGTCCAAGATCAAGCCTGCAGCATCTGGTGAGGACCTTCTAGCTGTATCCTCACTTGGAGGAAGGCGGAAGGACCACAGGGACCTACTGCCTTAACAATCCCCTTTATAAAGGCACCTAAGCCCAATCACAGGGGAGGAGCCCTCCCACAGTTTAATCACCTCTGAAAGGCCTTGCCTCTTAATAGTATCACACTGGCAACATTTGAATTTTGGAAGGGACACTTTTTTTTTTTTTTTACTTTTTCAAATGATATTTATTTAATTTCCCCAAAGTGCATATTCTGTTCTGATACACACACATACATCTGTGTAAATATAACTCCTCATGCAAAAACGTATTTTCATAAACATCTCTTTTGGTTACCAAATATCCAGGAGTCAGAAGGGACACATTTAAACTGTAGCAGGAACTATGGCACTTACTTTCTGATTTTTATTTATTTATTTTGTGTGTGTGTGTTGGAGTCTCACTCTGTTGCCCAGGCTGGAGTGCAGTAGTGCAGTCCTTATGGGTTCAAGCAATTCTCCTGCCTCAGCCTCCAGAGTAGCTGGGATTACAGGCACGCACCATCACACCCAGCTAATTTGTGTCTTTTTAATAGAGACGGGGTTTCGCCGTGTTGGCCAGGGTGATCTCGAACTCCTGACTTCAGATGATCGCCCACCTCAGCCTCTCAAAGTGCTGGGATTACAGGCGTGAGCCACCGCACCCAGTCTACTTTCTGATTCTTAATGGCGCTTACTCTTTTCCTGCTGCAGTAATCGTGGAAGCAAGTGATGATACTGTGGTGTCCTAAAGCAAAGCATCCTGGATCACTGTGCCAGCAGGTGGAGAACACCGCCCTGAAAATCTGCCTGGACTCCTAGTCCATTATGCGTGAAAATCACTCTTGCTGTGTGAAATTACAGATATTCTGAGATTGTTACTGCAGCAAAGCTAGCCTCTGCTCACCGGTAGATAAAGAAGATGCCCTTGGTTGCTTAGCATCTGCACTGAGGTTTTTTTAAGTCCCTCATTTTCTTGCCCTTCTTCTTACCCCCACATTTCCTTATCTTCTATTGTTGATAGAAAGAGTGGTTGGGTCTTATTAACTCAAGTAAGGTCAAAATGATGATACTTGAGTGTGGGAATGATACCAAGAGTTAAGGAGGAAAACTTTTCTACAGATCCAAGATATGAGAAATGGCACCAATGTTTCAAGGATGTTTCAAGACATAATTTTAAGCCATGAACAAAATAGTAGATGAGAATCTAGTTGATCAAAATTAACTTGATGAGAAAATATACACAGGTATATAGGTGTGGGGGTGTAAATATATATGTGTGTGTGTGTGTATCTATCTATATATATATATGTTAAGAGGAACATTAAAAAACACCTGATAAACTGCAATGAAATTCTGCCTTAATTACATCAAAATGTTATGGAATTTTAATAATCATAATTTTTATGTATTTATGATATTCTCTTTTTTCCCCTTGTGAGCCAAAACAAGATCAAACACCTTTCATTCCCTGCATTGGCTGCACTTGTGAGAAATATTAGTTGATTGGAAACATGGTCTCTATCAAGAGAGAAGTTACAAAGAAAGACCTAACACTCTCACTTAATGGGATTATTTTCCTCTTGAGTCGCATGCGGTATTTAAAAAAGTATAACATAACTGGATATGCTTTGTATCAGAACTTATCGGTAACCTGTATTTCTCTACTGATATGTTACCCATGAAAATTCAGTTCTACTCTTTGGGCCTTAGTTTTTCATCTGTGAAATTAGGGTATTAGACAAGATGATGTGTTAGAGCACTTCTCAACCCACAATACTGTTATATTGAGCCTACCTTTTCTTTATCAGATGTTTTTCATTTGATTTTTAATTATGATTTAATTCGGAAGATAGGGTAAGAAATTCCAGAGTGCTTAAGGTGGTATTATTTTTTCTTTCTTTCTTTCTTTTCTTTCTTTTTCTTTCTTTCTTTTCTTTCTCTTTCTTTCTTTCTTTCTTTTTTGTTTGTTTGAGAAAGAGTCTCACTCTGTCGCCCAGGCTGGAGTGCAGTGGCACGATCTCAGCTCACTGGCTCACTGGCTCACTGCAACCTCTGCCTCCCAGGTTGAAGTGATTCTTCTGCCTCAGCCTCCCAAGTAGCTGGGATTACAGGCATGTGCCATGACGCCTGGCTAATTTTTTGTATTTTTAGTAGAGGTAAGGTTTTACCATGTTGGCCAGGCTGGTCTTAAGCTCCTGACTTCAGGTGATCTGCCCACCTCAGCCTCCCAAAGTGCTGGGATTACAGGCGTAAGCCACCAAGCCCAGCCTATTTTTTAAATGTCTATGCATTGCAAGCATGAACAACAAAAGTCGACCTCTGTAGGATTTACTAAATGTATTAGAATAGTAAAGATCTATACGTACTTTGAGGACTTTTTAATTTTGTTTTTTAACTATTCTTAATTATTACATTATTAGGTGTCCTAGATTTCCCTTGCTTACTCCTCGGATAGTTCTTTTAAAACTGTAAGTTTTAGTTATAGCACATGTAGTGCTACAAAATTGGGGAAATTAAAATTGAAAATAAATGCAGGAACTTAATACTAGTCTAAGAAAGAGTGTCCCCTGAATATTTCTTTTTCTGTGCTTGCCCATTTATATGCAGGCATACATTTGCAGCAGTAATCATTTCACCGATAAAATTTTTGTGTTCTTCATTTTTTACTTGTCTTCAATAATAGTAATTTTCTTATATTGTTCTGCCTTTTCTTATTCATCTTTAGGGCAGGTTACACTACTTAGAACTACCTCTGAATCTGAAAATATTCTTACATGGTAGCAGTTTGTCCACTTTTTCCCCTTGTTTTTACCATCATTTTTCTTATACTGCCTTATCCAAATACAGATAGGAATTCCCATAACATATCAATAGCTATTTTAGATCTATTCCAATATATTCCAATATCTAACTTACAGATACATATTTTAAAAGGGATAGAAAAAATTAAAGTAGGTACAGATGGGAACAACAAAAATGATTAAAGCATGGGAAAATGGGACCTCTGGGGAAAGATAAAAGGACATGAGATTGTTTGTTCTTTAGAAAAGAAAACCAAAAACTGAGGGGTAGTTTTAGAAGGTTCATGAGGAATGTGTGGAATTATCATAAGAATGAATGTTTCAGGTTTTTTATATATATTTTGTAATAGAACTTGGATAAATGGGTTTACATTGTGATTAGGGTGGGCATAAAGATGCTATGATGGCATACCTCTGGGACACACCAATGAGAAACACTCATCAAGGAAACTTTTGAAGGCTATGAAATACTCAGGAGTTTCCCACTTCTAGTAAACAAGTATGTGTCTTTGTCATATGCCAGCTGTGAGTAGTTCCATTCAGGACACTATGTTTATTTTCCAGAGTATCATGTCTATTCTCAGTAATTATAGCCTCTGACGGATGCATCAATGTTGCAGACACCAAATATCCCTATAAAGAAGTCTTATCGCAATGAATACTGAACTCATCCTTCAAAACAGATTTAGTCTCCAAATCCTACTCTTTTTCCCTGGAAGTTGGATGCCTTCACATGCCAAGATCGCAGGAAGCACAGAATTCTCCCCACATTATTCCACCTGCCCCTCCATCTCTCTTCTTTCTTCAGTCTTGTAGATTTCACTAATAAAATCGTTTGAAGACCGGACAGTAAGAAAAAATATATGTATCAACTCGGTAATGTTTCAGGATGCTATAATTTTTTCATTGCAGTTTTATGAAAATTATTCTCCTGGAGTCATTTCTTGATCCCAATTTTAAGGTCCCTAACATTACTCACATTTCCCTTTGTCACAGGAAAAACAATCTTTTCTGCAAAGGCTGGGGAATTCTACTCATTTTTGTGTCCAAAATTGTTCCATTTATGCACTAAACTTCTTTGAAATATTAAAAGCAATAGGAATCCCATGGTTGTGGATTTTATAGCTGTCTACCATGTAGACCCTAGACTCAAACAACATGGGTTAAAATCCTGGCTGGAACACTGACTGGTTTGGAGGTACTGGGAAAATTTTTTTGTGATTCAGTTTCTTCGCTTGTCCATTTAAAGTCACAGTATAACTCATTTCACATCATCATGGCTTTACGGTAATCCCTTTTTCTGAGTCCCCATAACCTTCCTAAGCAATGTTCTCTAGTCCTGCCATTTTTATGGCAACATAAAATTTGCTATTTGATGTCCACTACAAACACAAACAAACAAAACACCAAAATTTTAAGTTTAATAGGCTACAGTGATTTAGCATGAGGATGCCCTTCACTCATTGAGCAGTGTTTCTTGGTTACTCATTCAATGTCTCTTCTCCCTTGCACATCATCAGCTACCCCACCTGCCCCATGGTATCAAGAAGCCCAAATGTTCCTCTGGTCTGAATGCAAGCCTACTGTGTCAAGCGTTTAGCAAAACATCCTTACTACCATTCTCTCCCTGTGAAGAATTTCAGTGCCAACTCTTAAAATACAAACACTGTGCCTATCTCACTATCCTAGGTTTGAGTTCCAGCTCACCCACTCTGTGGCTATGTGGCCTCTGTCACACCACCATCTCCTCTCCAGACATTAGTCTCTTCACCTGGAAAGCAAAAATTATAACACAAACGGTTTTAAATGGGTTAGTGCATGTGACATGTTCAGAAGAATATCTGGCAATGGAACATCCATAATACATTTTAACCATCTTATCCCTAAACTTAAGGAGTTATTATAATAATCAAATTACACTAGGTATATGAAAGAATTTATCAGTGGAAAATCCCTGAGTGTTATTGACAATGTCTTAACCATTATTGGAAGTCACTCCCTTTCCTGGGTGCCTCTCTGTGCTTCTGTATCCTTAATACAAGGATTGTTGTGAACTGTGTGTCAGTCTTCATGCTGCATGTGAATTCACAGAAGAGAACGTGGGTACTTTTGTTTTGCAAAGTTCCAGGTCTGCCCTGGGGAAAGGGGCTGGCCACGTCTCTTCTGTTAAGTTCCCTCACAGATATAATCCAAGTTCTAGATAAAAGATCAGCTGGCAAGGTCAAGCTGACCGGAACCATGTCACAAAACAAAGTGCAGAACACGTCTTCTTTTCTTTATAAGGTAATTGACAAACCAGTAAATGTTGTAACTAATCTAACTTGGACTTGAGAAACTATTGGGTTTCTATTCCTTCATTAATATCTCTATGGTCTTTGAGATGATTGCACAAAAAGTGACTTTAATAGGAAACAGGGACCAGTGATGTATTATTTATGTCATGCTAACCTTCCAGTATTAAAGATTAAAAATTTAGGAGAGGAAAAGTCACATCACAGGACTCAGAAGTGGATTTTAATGGTTCAGGACAGGCCTACAAGGCGTGTTGCTAAACTTTGAGAAACGAGGGGAAGAGAAACATAACTTGATGGAAATTCTTTTAAATACTTCTGATTTGGCTGTGAATAAGAAAAAAATAAAAATGCATCAGTTAATGAAGAATGAACTGTGGAAGCTGTATTTTAAAATTCTTCATTAAAGGCATGTCAGCAGGGTGAGATTAAATTACCATTTACTGAGTGCCTATCAGGAGCTAAAAGATTTTGTTAATGATTTCTGGTGTAAAATTAAAAAGAAACATGTGAAATAGATATTGTTATTCTCAGGCTACAGATGCCAAACTGAAGCCCTAACATAAAAATCTATCAAACAAAACAAAAAACAACAACAACAGCAATAGCTTTGTAACAGATGGCCTAGCACTCTTTAGCCAAGTTCCCTCCTCTGCCTGAGTTAGCTCCTTTGCTTCTGGTCACAACTGTGTCCTTGATTGTGAGTATCAACAGTCTAAAGAAATGCATGCTGAAGAAAGACCCAAGGGTACTGAGCAAATCATTCTACCCTAAATGATTAAGTTATTTCCAGATACAAGATCCTCTTCCTTATTCTTTAACTGTATCTCATTAGCAACTGGCTCATACACTGGACTCGAGTATGAAGTGGTCTGATTTGTACGGTGATGTGCCTGGGGCATAGTAGGTGATTAGCAAGCTTTATAATGTTGAACCTTTACGATTTCATCTATCTACCTTCAAAAATATGGATTTTAAATATACGTACACATTTTGATAAGTTGGAAAAATAACATATCAGAAGAAAAATATATCATTCTGACTCTGATAAACACTTTTAATTTTCTTGTATATTCTTCATCTATACTTTATGTGTATGTGTTTGGATCATAAAACTAGCATTAGACAGCACTGCACAGTCAGTCAGTAGAGCATGGGACTCTTAATCCCAGGGTCGTGGGTTCAAGCCCCACGTTGGGCGCCAGATGAAGGGGGCCAGCCCTTCCACACCTGTGGGTGTTTCTTGTCAGGTGGGACAAGAGACTGAGAAAAGAAATAAGAGACAGAGACAAAGTATATAGAAAGAACAGTGGGCCCAGGGTACCAGCACTCAGCATATGGAGGACCCATGCCGGCACTGATCTCTGAGTTCCCTCAGTATTTATTGATCATTATCTCTGCTATCTCGGAGAGGGGGACGTGGCAGGACAATAGGGTAATAGTGGGGAGAGAGTCAGCAGGAAAACATGTGAGCAAAGATCTCTGTGTCATAAATAAGTTTAAGGAAAGGTGATGTGTTTTGATGTGCACATACACAAACATCTCAGTGCATTAAAGAGCAGTATTACCGCCAGCACATCTCACCTCCAGCCCTAAGGCGGTTTTCTCCTATCTCAGTAAATAGAACATACAATCGGGTTTTACACCGAGACATTCTATTCCCAGGGACGAGCAGGAGACAGATGCCTTCCTCTTATCTCAACTGCAAAGAGGCCTTCCTCTTTTACTAATCCTCCTCAGACCCTTTATGGGTATTGGGCTGGGGGACAGTCAGGTCTTTCCCTTCCCATGAGGCCATATCTCAGGCTATCACATGGGGAGAAACCTTGGACAATACCTGGCTTTCCTAGGCAGAGGCCCCTGCGGTCTTCCATAGTGTATTGTGTCCCTGGGTACTTGAGATTAGAGAATGCTGATGACTTTTAACAAGCATGCTGCCTTCAAGCACTTTTTTAACAAAGCACATCCTGCACAGCCCTAAATCCATTAAACCTTGAGTCAACACAGCACATGCCTCTGCAAGCACAGGGTTGGGGCAAGGGTTACAGATTAACAGCATCTCAAGTCAGAAGAATTTCTCTTAGTACAGAACAAATGGAGTCTCTTATGTCTACTTCTTTCTACGTAGACACAGTAACAGTCTGATCTCTCTTTCTTTTCCCCACAGTGGCTATCTTCACATAGTCTATCATAAACATTTACCCATCTCATTAGATGATTTTTCATGGAGTGATTGTTAGCATCAGCAAGTCATTCTGCTTTTTCCATAAAATTTAATGTTAAGAACTTCACATTGTTTTCATTGTTTTCAAATTTGCCAATGTTATATTTAGTGGTTGGGAAACTTTCACTTTTTTAACTTACTTCACATCTAAGATTTCAAACACTTGATATATGTAACCAACTTAATAATGGATACCTAAATATTAATGCCAATATTAATAACTATTAAGTATTAATTGAAAAGAAAATATTACAACAATATGTAAAACCTGTCAGCCCTGGTGAATCCTCCTCTGTCCTTTTTTAAAGATAACTATCATGGTGAAGTCTGTGCAATCAGTCTGTGTCTGTTTCCTGAGGTTTTGTACACATGGTTGGATTCATTAATTACATACACCATTATTTTAGATTTTTTTAAAGTTATACACATATTGTCATATTGTATATATCCTTTCTTTTGGCCAATTTTTTAAAGATTTGTATATATCAATACATGTCAACACATTCAATTCATTTAGCACATTTTAACTGTGAAAATTATGTTATGGTATAAATTTTCCTACCAAATAATGTTGAACATCTTTTGGCCTTTTTGAGAATAAGTGTGAACATTTCTGAAGTGTAGGCAGCAAGAAGCAACAATGTGAGGCAATGAAGTACATTCTTCTTCAACTTTGATAGGTGTTACCCAAAGACTTTCTATATCAATTTAGCCAATTTCCATTCCACAAACAAAACATGAATTGTTCCTTCCAACAAATTCTTTGCCGACACCTGGCATTATTTGACATTAAGTTTTGTCATTTTTTATTGTAGGGCTTTCTCATCTTATCCTCTTAAGCATCTTTCTCGTCTTGTACTGTGTCACACACATTTACTGATGGCTATTATTTTATTGGCAGAGCAGACTTCTCCTCCTCTATGCTTCTTTTTATGTTTCAGAAGTATTTTGCCTACTTCCAGAACTCCAGGACCAGGCATGTTGGCTCACACCTGTAATCCCAGCACTTTGGGAGGCCACTTTTGGAGGGCGGATCACTTGAGCTTAGGAATTCAAGACCAGCCTGGCCAACATGATGAAAGACAGTCTCTACTAAAAATACAAAAATTAGTCAGGCATGGTGGTGCATGCCTGTAATCCCAGCTACTCTGGAGGCTGAGGCAGGAGAATCACTTGAACCTGTGGGGCAGAGGTTGCAATGAACTCAGAATGTGCCACTGCACTCCAGCCTGGGCGACAGAGTAGGATTCTATCAGGAAAAAAAAAAAAAGCTCCAGTTAGAATATTTGCCACTGTCTCTGACTCCTAGTTTGTACTGTGGTCTACAGTAGGTATTCAATAAGTAATCTGGAAGAAATGAATGAATGAACAAACAAAAAAATCATTGACATGTTATCAATTATCAATATTGATTCTTCCAACCCAGGAACCTTGCTATCTATTCATTTATTTACAATTTTTAAAAATTTCATTTTCCTGAGAAAAATTTTCTGACATTGTATGCCTAGGTTTTTTGCATGTTTGGTAAGCTTATTTCTTGAATTTTTTTACTTTGTGTTACTTTTGTAAATAGGCTCTTTTTTGGGAGGGATTTATGACTGCTTATTTTTCAATATATAAGGAAAGTACAGGTTTGCTTATATTTTATATATCCATACACTTTATAGGATGGCATTTATTTTATTTTCTTTACATGGCCAAAAATGACCTGCAAATAGTGATGTTTGTCTTCTTATTGCTAACATTTTGTTAGAATTGTTATCTCTTTTTCTTGTTATATAATATTGTCTAGAGATTTTTTTTCTAAATAAATTGTATTGCGAATATTTAAGATATACAACATGATGCCATGGCATATGTATAGATAGTAAAACGGTTACTGTAGTGAAGTAAATTAACATATCCATCATCTCACATAGTTACCCATTTTGTATGTGTGTGGCAAGAGCAGCTAAAATCTTCCTACTTCACAAAAATTATGAATATAATAAAATATTATTAACTATAGTCCTTATGTTGTATACTAGATCTCTAATATTTTATTTTTAAAGTGCTAATAGTAAGTCTCTTTATCTTGCCCCAAACTTTAATTGGAATCACTCCAGAGCAGAAAATAGAAGTTCAAAAATGACAGGGGACCACCTGGCAACAGAAATAGGTGACATCAGCCAAGTATAAGATTGCTGGTTTTGAGCTTCACGTATTACCATCCGTTATAAGCCCCCTGTGGTTGTACACTGCCTTTTACAACTCCATGGGATCCAAACCAAACAGTTGTGCCTCACTCTGCTCTCTTTAGTGCATTCCCCTTAAGTGCCTACATGCTTGTGGCCTGCTACCGATCATCTTAATGATGCTTTTAAAATTCCCTCTCTGCGTCAAATTTGCCTAGTTTTTTGTTTGTTTGTTTGTTGTTGTTGTTTTGAGATGGAGTCTCGCTCTGTCATCCAGGCTGGAGTGCAGTGGTGTGATCTCGGCTCATTGCAACCTCTGCCTCCCGGGTTCAAGCAAATCTCCTGCCTCAGCCTCTCAAGTAGCTGAGATTACAGGTGCCCACCACCACGCCTGGCTAATTTTTTTATTTTTAGTAGAGACAGAGTTTCACCATGTTGGCCAGGCTGTTCTCGAACTCCTGATCTCAGGTGATCCACCCACCTCAGCCTCCCAAAGTGCTGGGATTACAGGCATGAGCCACCACGCACGGCCTTGCCAAGAGTTTTATAAACCGTGTACCATAAGTGATAAAAATGTAATGTTTTTATTTTTGGCTTTTATCAATGCACTCAGGTATATATTTTTTTCTTATTTTAGTCACCAGTTACATAAATAATATTAATAGGTTTCTACCAGGTAGTCCTTCTTGTCAGTTTTAATTAAATTCTGCTCATACATATTATATTATTGTTATGTTCATACTGACAAATACAATAAGCTAGGATTGTATTTTGAAATTTTGCTTCTGAAATTTATGAAAGTTTATTAATCTTCATATGTGCACTTCGAAAAATGCTATTAACTTTTTAAACATGACATTGAAAGGGTTAACATCCTGTGTGTGAGTGTGTGTGTGTGGGTACACATGCATGCACATAAGCATGTATATGCCTGCTGAACTCGGCATTATTGGAATTATATACATGCGGAAATATGTTGAGAATTTTTCCATCTTTTTCTCTATTGCTATACCCTCTTTAATATCATATTTTCATTGATAAATTGAGTTTGGCATTCAAGCTATTTTGACCAAGTGCAGTTTTTTGAGTCCTTGTTACATTACTCTAAGGTTATTGACATATTGATGTTTACAATTGCAATTTTGGTATTTGGTACTTTTTGTTCAATTTTTTTAAGAGATAGGGTCTATGTTTTCCAGGATGGTCTCTGTTCTTTCTTATAAAACTCTGTTATGTTAAGGTTTTCAAATTTAATAATATTGATTGATAAAAATTAAAATGTGGGTTTTTTTAATTTCCCCAGTGTCTGTGTTTAGAGCCCCTTTTCCATATACAATTTAATATATTTTCAGTTTTTGTTTTTAAAATTATAATTCCTGAAGAGTCTTTTCCAAAATAATGATCAGGAAATTTATCTGTTTTAGAATTTTGAGGTATTTTGTCATCAGTACGATACATTTTAGTAAATTTTCTAAGGTACCTGAAAAAACATGTATTCTCTGATCTTGGAGAGTAAGTCTTAATACACTATTAAAGAATCGACATTCATTTGATAAATTCTTTTACCACAGTTGTGGTTTTATTACATATTTATCTGATTTTTTTTCTAGACTTCCACAGATTGTTATTTGGCTCTGTGTTTTTTTAGTAATATAAAATTACCTATTTAACATTGCATCCTGAATTTCACTTTTCCATTCCACTTGCGTTTGTTGGCATGTGTTATATTGGTTTTTGTGATACACTGTTAGTCTTTATTTTTATTTTCTTTATATCTTAGCATGATTCCTTATAGTTAGTGTAATATGCTTCTTTGACTCAAAATTAAAATATTTTCCATTTAGTAGAAAAGTTGAAAGCAGTCATATTTATCAGATTGTATTTGTTTTTTACTATAGTTTGTGAAATTTTCTGCTTCTTCTATTTTCTCTCTCTTTACTTTTCTACGTCCCTGCAACTGGTTTTTTCAGAATAGTATCACTTTATTTATATTGATTACTGTTATGATGATCCCCAATCTACTTGAATCTATTTTTCTCTAATTATGCATGTCAAGAGTCAAGAGCCATGGAGTTCATGCTGAGAAATTCAGTATGCCTTTTACATCTTTTTCCCATTCCTCTCACCAGTTGGCAGTTTTTATTCACATGATCTGGCATTTTACCTAAATTCTAATTAAGAAATCATTGCTTTCACATGACTTACACTTCATATTTTCAGATTTTTTCTGGCATAGATGTTCATTCATGCAGATCTTTTCATATCTCAAAATTCCCATTGTAATAATTTTATTTCGATCCATCTCTGGGGCAGCTAAGCTATATCTCAAGTTTATCTTCTTCTCCCCAAAACTAATTGTCTGCTGAGTTCATCATGGCAGCATCCTTCTACCACTTGCATTTTCTGTTTATAAATGGAGGAATTTTCTTTCGTTCTCACCTTTCCCGCACACTCAGCTTTCAGCTGGTCATTGCAATCTGCCGCACCTACCATACTCACCTGTCTGAGTCAAGAACTCATGTTTGTTTCCTTGCTTTCTCACAGGGATTGAAGCATTTTCTTCAGAGGTATCCTCTTTTCTCATGGGAGAGGAATTGTGATTCAGCTCTTTGACTCTCCTAAGTGCTTCATTCTGGTATTATTTGCCCTTCACCTACAGAAATTCTTCAAAAGTCCTGCCATGCTGATACCAATTCCCTAACTTTAAGTGTTATTGTCTGCATTCTGTATAACCTATTGATCGTTTTTATGTTGAGCTACCAAATAAAATCAATGATGCCCAGTTAAATTTGAAATGTAGACAGACAATGAGCAATTTTTTAGAATAAGCATGTTCGCTTCTTTCTCTCTAAATCTGTCATTCTTACTTCCAATGGAAATCTGTGCCATCTACCCAAAAGTATATTACTCTATTCGGCACATTTTTGCTTTCTCTCTTTTCTCTCTCCTTTCTAACTTATTTGCTTATTTAGTATTTATTATTTAGCTTATAAGAAATAACAGATGTCATATGCTGGCTTAGGCTACTAATGGTTCCATTGCCCCATGTTTAAATTAAGTATCAAATTCTACTTCACCCAACTGCGTACTGTGCTTAGATACTAGTGGAGAACAATAAACTAGATTTTCCCTAACAATGTCCATAATTGTGTGTTGGTCACACAGTTCTTTCTTTTTATTACAGCTACAGCTCTGAAAAGCTTTGCAAAGATCTAACATCATCAAAGGGAAGAGAGTACAATCTAAAGCTGAAATTATGAGCTCCCTCAAGCTGGTGGATCACACACACTGCTCAATAGATACTGTTGTGGCTTCTTCCATTTAAAATAATTCTGTGGCGCCTTTGTAATTGTTCTGTGGTGCTCTGGAAGACCTTTGTGCACAATGTGGGAATCTCACTCTTAACACATCCACAGTTAATAAGTCTTTGGCAAAGACTTATTAACTTTGCCAAACTAGCAGATGTAAAATGTTCTAACAAGATTTAGTTTGCATTTCCCAAATTATTAAATAGATTGAACATCTTTTCAAGTGTTTATCAGTTAACCTGATTCCCTATTCAGTGAATATCTGTTAATTTCATTTGCACATTTTAATAAGTTTGTCTTTTATTGTGGTAAGTGTTCTTTATATATTCTAAAAACTTATTATCCCTGTACATTATATATGATCAGATATATACTATCAGTGTATTTCTTACCTTTAACTTAGTTTATTTGTTTTGTTTTTTTACTAATACTATTTAAGCGAAATTCAGATTCAAGTAGAATTCAGAACTTGAAAACTCAATAGATTTCTTTATTTCATACTACTGATTTTATGAAGAGTAAATTGAGAGTGAAGATATATGTATCTAAGTTTAGCCTGTTGGTTAGTGACACAAAGAAAATTAGAAATTGGGTCTTTTAATTTCTGTGCTAGTGATTGGGAATCATACCAACATATTCTCCACTGAGCTCTGGTTAAAGTTGTATTCTTAGGGGAACAAAAAAAAGATAAGACTCACACCCTGCTAATTCACTGGGTCTTTTTTTTTTTTTTTTTTAGATGGAGTCTTGCTCTGTCACCCAAGCTAGAGTGCACTTGGTCTTGAATTATACATATACTGATTTTATTTTTTTAACAAAGGTTGCACTTAGGTGAAAAGTACCTTTTGAGAGTCCTCCTTTCTTCCTCTGTCTTTTCTCTCTGCTAGGTTTCATTTGATAGCCTTGAATGTGAATAAAGAATAAATACGGCTTTCCCGTACCCTAGGACTATCCTCTGCCTTATTTATGTCTGACCTGGTGCAGTACTGCTGACCTTGGAAAGTTTAATTGAGGCTAGAATTATATGGCACAGCTTGAGGCCACCTGAATTTAGAGGGTGTGACATACAGAAAGACACACACACGTTCACTGACAGTGTAAAGGCCTGATGAACAGGAGCATTTGTGTGTGTATATGTGTGCCTTTAGCTGCTGAAACGGCAGCAGTGGAAATAGCCTATTGTAAGTTTTTACTAGGCAGAGTTCTTATGAAACAATATAATATACCTACATTCCTCGATAATTAAAACACTGAATTCATTTGTTAAATAAATGCAGAATTACTTAAATATGGAAACTATTAAGGTTAAAAAAATAGGTCTAATTCAAGACATAACTATTCTATAAAGTATTTTTTAGCAATTTTATAACAGATCAAGTGCTTGATATATGATGACCCTTCCCTTATGTCATTAAAATAATTGAATAACATAAATCAAAGAAAAAGTTTTATTAATTGATTTGTCTTATATAACTATTTAAATTTTTAAAGCTATCATAAATGGCCAATTACCCAAAAATCATCTATTACATTTAATAATATTATGACCAAGACTATCGGTATGACTTGTACATGAAAACAAAGGTGTTGCTATTGAGAAGAAAAAATTATTTTTGTTCACTAATTAACTAGATTTAAAATCAATTGCATTCCTACCCATATATTCCCCAATTATTATTTTAGTACATGGTATATTTTGAACTATTTTACCATGAATGTTGTTGTAGATAAATCTGAAAATCAAAGCAGTCAATTTTCATTCATGCTACTTTTATCTAATTAAACAAATAATCATGTCATTATATTTAGAGACACTACTATATATCCTGAGCAATTAGTTAACAGCATGATAAAGCCCAAAAATATTTGACAAAATACTTCCATTTTGAACTACAAAAGCTATTTTTTGTTGTATCTAGCACAACTAAAACTAGTTCTAAAAATGATCTTTAAATAATGACTAAGATTAAATGGATCAATACATGATATTTTCATATGTATAAAATATATATGTAAAGCATATGTATGTGAAACATATATATGAAAAGGCCTCTAGACAACTTACCTTTAAATAACTAAAGTTTTAAGATAAAAATAATATTCTCTTTTTTTTTTTTGCATAGAGAATCTTATCCATATGTGAGCAATGCTCAGAATTTGTGAAACATGAAGGAAAATCTCAAGTTTGCCCACAGGGCATTCTAGATTCCCAAACGTAGAAGCTAGCCAGATAATTACACCCATATGTACCCATGTAAACTCATTCACAAATGAGGTTTATAGCTTCAAGTGAAACTCAAGATGTCATCAAGTTGTAACATAGCTTCGTTAATCTGTATACTATATAAAATTATTTTAAATTAATTCTTATAGTGACAAGATTTTCTTTAGAAAAATATTTCTCATACCATATACAGTTATGAATACATAAAACGTACAAATTAGTTTTAAAATTGAACATCAGTGGTCAAATTTTATGTAAAGAAAGTAAGGACTTCTGTCCATATCCTGCCAACAATTTAAGGTTTTGTAAATTTCATTTTGCTAAGAGGCCTTGACAAATTACATGACCCTAATAATTGTATTTTAATCTAGAAATCTGAATTGAGAAATAAAAATAATAAATTAACATTAAGTATGATAATCGGCACTTACACAGCACCATGTGCTGGATGCTATCCTAAATACCTTACACATACTAATTTAATTGATTTAGTTGAAGTTACTCATCAATCCAATATTTTTGCATGGGATAAGAAGGAATTCCATGTGACTATTCTGAGATAATTCTGAGGAAGATTTTTCACTTAAATAGTAAGAAACAGGGAAAGCAAGGTGTTCAGTCTTTATCCAACCTCACATTCATTTCTTATTCTGGACCATAGTACAGAAGCCACAGAGATTTATGAGAACCCTGTTTATAAGTGAGTAGAAATGTTCTGTTTATACCAAATCTTAAACTGTTTTCAGAAAGA
Source organism: Homo sapiens (assembly GCF_000001405.40). Taxonomy (NCBI): domain Eukaryota; kingdom Metazoa; phylum Chordata; class Mammalia; order Primates; family Hominidae; genus Homo; species Homo sapiens. Next base: position 95,794,198 of record NC_000015.10, read on the forward strand.
AAACTATATAGTTTAAAAAGTGACTAACTTTTTTAAAGTGATTAGAGTTAGAATTTCTAGATGTAATGACCCTCCAAGCATCTTAATAGTTAATTTGGGGAGATCTGGTCTTCATCCTTCATGTTCCACATAAGCCTGGATTCCTCAATGTCTTTTGTACACCAACATCTTCCTAGTCCCAGAAAACCTAAGATATAATAATACAAAATATTCAAAACTTGAACTGATTTTTGAATTATGACATTATATATGTCACAAGTATTCACATAACCTATTCCTGAAGGACTCTGGATTTGCTTATTGATAGCTATATTCACTCCTGACTTGATATCCAGAGCTATTAGTAGACTATTTATGGCATGGAATTTACAATGCTTATCTGTTGCCACATTCAATAGAAATCATTCCTGAAAGTTGATAATATTGTACCTCCATCCCCCAAGCTGGCAGAAACCCTAGAATAAAGAATTATATGAGGCTCATTTTTTTTTCAGTCTACTGAAATACATAATATGATGCTCTGAAATTATCTATAAATGCCTTAAAACATAAATTCAACTAGATGAAAGGTATATTTTCGCATATCACATAAGAACAAAAGATAGAGTAAAATAAAATGGCTTGAAAACCTACTATCCAAATGGAGTAATCTTTTCCTTCTGTGAACCATCCCAAGATAGATATAAACTGAGCTTGAGGGATGCAGAGGCTGACAGACATGCCATATTATGCAGGGATACATTTTATGACTCAGGGCTATTGCCCTCTAGAGATAGAGCAGACACCATGGTCCACTTCACCTGAGGCCACAGATCACACTCAAGTTGCAGGTCCCAGGGGTGCTGTCATCCCAGGGAACCACTAGAGTCCCTTTTTTGTCCAGATCTCAATCTCTATCCCTCCTCTGGGGTCAGAAGAGCCAAAGGCACTGAGATGATCTACATAAATCTATGCAAATTCATTGGGTGGGGCTGGGAGTTCACTTTATCGATTTAGGTCAATTTAAATTCAACAGCAGCACATGAAATATCAGTAAGATCCATTACTCACAGTATCTTGGGATCCTTAGAGAATTATCCTTAAGTGTGTAAATAAAGTCTATTTATTCAAATGATGAACTTTACTGAAAGACTCACAGGACTTCCATCTGAAGCTGCCACATCCTTAACATGACTTCAGCAAAGTGTATTTTTGCAACTCTGAATTGAATCCCTGCATTGATGATGATACCATACATTTATGATGAGTAATATAGGAAGAAAAGTGCTAGTCCTCGAAAGAATTTTTTTGGATCTCTTATTTATTGCATTTTAATAGAAACTCAGAGAAAGCCTTATCTCCTGTCATTTGGTTTAAATTCCACAGTACTTTTTTTATTTGACCAAATTCCCTTATCTCTTATTTCCTTGTATTCTGCTGTGCCAGCCTCCTAGCAGTTGATATACTTATCTATGGTTTTATAATAAAATTTTGGCTTCTACTGAGGGAAAAGGAAAAAAAAAAAACAGAAAGAAAAGGAAAAGCTGTTCCTTTGATACTAAATATACCAGTTGCCTGCATCCATTATATGATGTTGAAATAGGTGCCTGTTCTTGGCATATTTGGGAAGCTTTGGGAATTACTGCCTTGCATCCCACTTAAAGGTTTACATGGTACTACTGTCATAGCCTCCGATTTCTATACGGAACAGAAGACAGATACGGTGTACAAGTCATTAAAAAATGGAACAAAAAACAATGTAGACACACACACACACACACACACACACACACACACACACATCAAAATGGCCAAACAGAAATAAAAAGAGTATAGAAATAATATACATCTAGGGTTGCTTTCTGTTCTTTTTTTCCTTTCAGTCAAAAGTAAGCTATGACTTCTGTTTCAAAATTAAAGAAAAGCACAGTGTGCCTTCTTAACTTGACATTAATTATTTTACTTATTTTGATCCCAATTTGAAAATTAAAGAAAATTTTAAATCAAGTTAATCCAATATGTGACAAAAGTAGTCAAAAATCCAGACTCTCTAAAGTGGGGATAAAGTGTAGATTCTGATAGTCTCATAGTCTTCCTGCAAGGAGAAAGATAAAAACTCATAAACACATAAATGAATACTCTTAAGTAGTTGTAGACAACGACACTCCCTTTTCAAAGGGTTGTGGGAAGGGGGTTTTCATGCTGGTTATTGATCCAGTAAGAGCCAACAAGTACAAGCAAAGTGAAGCATCTATGTGCCAGATGTTCTCCTGGGTACTGGTTCTTGGAGCTATGAGTAAGATATCATCCTGATCTACAATTTGGAATCACAGCACCAGGCAATGTAGTTCATGTCTGTAATCCTAGCACTCTGGGAGGCTGAAGTAGGAGGATGATTTGAGCCCAGGAGTTCAAGACCAGCCCGGGCAACATAGCGAGACCTGGTTTCTAAAAAAAAAAAAAAAAAAAAAAAAGAAAGAAAAAGAGAGAGAGAAAGAAAGAAAGAAGAAAGAAAGAAAGAAAGAAAGAAAGAAAGAAAGAGAAGAAAGAAAGAAAGAAAGAAAGAGAAAGAAAGAAAGAAGAAAGAAAAGAAAAGAAAAGAAAAGAAAAGAAAAGAAAAGAAAAGAAAAGAAAAGAAAAGAAAAGAAAAGAAAAGAAAAGAAAAGAAAAGAAAATTAGTTGGGCATGGTGGCATGTGCCTGTAATCCCAGTTACTCTGGAGACTGAGGCGGGAGGATAGCTTGAGCCCAGAAGGGGGAGTCTGCAATAAGCCATAATAGTGCCACTGCATTCCAGCCTAGGCACAGAGCAAAACCCTGTTTCTACAATAAATAAAATAGAACAGAATAGAATCACCGCACCATGTGCCATATGTAAAACTCATCTGATCTCTGAACCCCACTTACCTGATCTGTAAAATGGAGACCGTACTATCTATTTTGCTTGAAAGATGGAAACAGAACCACATGATATTTTTAAGTTCTTGCTGAAATAGTTTTATAATTTGAGCTATTTTGCCTGGTTCTATGGACACAAATAACATTCTATGAAAAGATGGACTCCAGGTGAATCTCTTTCAGGAAACGACTTGGCTTTATAACAAGCAGATCTGGACTTCTATGATTGTACTGACTTACGGGGAACAAAAATACTAATTTTACGTCCTTTCTGAATCATCCCTTCTGTATCCACTTTGCCGAATTTGACACTAAGATGCAGTTATACTGTGTAGAAAATGCACAATTTGTTTGCTCTTAGTCAGGAACAGTTTGGTGCCTCCCCAAAGCTGGGGTTTTGGAAACTGACAAGCCGCCACTTTTCACCAGCAGTAAATTCACCAGAACTTCTTTGAATGTTCATAAGGAAGATAGAGGATCTCCTTCTCCTTCCTTGTCTTTGCTAACAGATGTTTTGCCTCTGTGACAGAGTACAATAAACCTGTGAAATAATGAAGGCAGAACTCACAATGAAACACCGGCTACTTTTGAAGGGAACAAACTGATGGGATTATTTCCATGATATTCAGCTGTGACAGAATGTGACAACTATACCTTTATACCTTTTCATTTCCTATCCGGCCTCCAGGAAATGGAAGATTTAGTATCATTTCGCACACTTTAAGTCTGAGAAACTACTCCTTATGGCTTCTTATGAGTACTAGAGGCTGGAAAAGAAATCAAGTTGCTTTAGATTTGCAGCAAGGATTTGTATTAAGTTGCTTCAATTTGCAGTGGAGATGCTGGCGGCACTTTGCAAATATTGTCACCATTGACCTGCAAAGGTTTTACATCTAAACCTTTGAGCATTGCTTTGATGCCAGCAAATGAGCTGTTTTCAATCCGTGTTCTCCTTTTTTTTTTTTTTTTTTTTTTTTTTTTTTTTGCTATTTTGCCAGGTTCCAAGCTGAGACTGTCAACATTACTATAACTTGTGGTCTTGCACAGCCTTCAGTTTAAAACAATTTCCATGCACATTTATTCAGGCCGAGACACAAGCAGGAGGTCCCAAGGTGGCAGGTTCTTGCATTACTCTAATCCAGTTACCACTGAGTTAAAATGCTTTTATTATAGTCTCAAATCCCTGGGAGAAAGTAGGTATGACAAGCCAGGGTCTGCTTATTATGTTTTAAACCAAGATTGACTCCAGGAAATAGTAGCAAGACTGAACAAGTACATTTTTACATACTTCACTTCTTCTGCCTTTCTTGGTTCATAATTTTAATTCTTCTTAATTTGAATTCTCTTCAAGGTCTTTCGGCCTACGATGGTGGAGATTTGGAGAGCAACAATATAAGCAATAATTATAAAATAAATTACTTATTTATTCAAAGTCCTTTGAAAACCTTATGTGTCTTGGGCGTGCATTAACCGACCCCTACCCCCTACTCAACTAAGATATTTTAAAACTGTCTAAACCTGTTCACCTATCTACTGGTGAATTATTAAAAATTAACTGCTGCCTTAACTGCCTCCTTAATCATTGCAGATGAACATGCTAAATCAAATATTTAAGGTACAATTTTATATAATGCAACTTATTTATTCAATTAATATTTATGAAACAGCTACTTAAATGCAGGTAGTGTGTTAGCGAGGTGTCTCAAAGGAGGAAGGGTAGGCATAATACCAGCGTTTTGAGCTTACAGTCTTATTGGGGAAATTTGACAAGTAAGCAAGTAATTTTAATAATTTAAGATACATACATGCTAGAACAGGAGAAGGAAAGAAGTGCAGAAGGGAAGTCTCAGGACTTGTAGAAACCCATCTCCCAGGCCAGACATGAAGGCTTCCTGAAGGACTTTTGCCTTGGATTAAGCTAAGGGGTGCAAATGTGTTTTAGAGGAAGGACAGACAGCTTTCATGCAGCATGATTAGCTATGCAAAGTGGAGAAGGGCTGGGAAGGATTTAGAAAGATACCAGAAAAAGGAAGATAAAATAAGGGTTACTCTGCCAGGAGCAGTGGCTCATGCCTGTAATCCCAGCATTTTGGGAGGCCGAGGCGGGCAGATCACCTGAAGTCGGGAGTTTGAGACCAGCCCGATCAACCCCGTCTCTACTAAAAATACCAAAGTAGCTAGGCATGGTGGTGCATGCCTGTAATCCCAGCTACTCGGGAGGATGAAGCAGGCGAATCGCTTGAACCCGGGAGGCAGAGGTTACTGTGAGCTGACATCACGCCATTGCACTCCAGCCTGGGCAACAAGAGCAAAACTCCAAAACTCCGTCTCAAAAAAAAAAGTTACTCTATTCTAGTGCATCTACCTGCAACCTCATTTGCCCAGTGTTGCTGCGGATGAGTCAATTTTCTGAGTGACGCTTACACCATTCAATTGTCCAAACTCGACTTTTGTGTCAGTCATAGAGACATTTATCTTAAGGCATCACCTCATTCTTTGCCTTATCAAACAGTTCACCCTGATAATTTTTCTGCACTTGATGTCTTGTGCAAGAAATGAGAAGAATGAAAGTGTCTTATATTTCTACCTAATGTGTAATATGTATTACGCCATAGTAGTATCATAGAAGCTACTGTGAAAATATCTGCCTTATAACATTCTTGTAGTTGGACATCCTGTATGTTCAGGTCAAGTTTTCGCTAACAGAAACCCAGAAATACAGTGGGCTGAGCCTTGAATTTGGAGTGCTTATGTGAACTACAATCAAAACCTTCAAGTTTGTCACCATGCCATTATTAATGGATGTTTAACACCCTGCTAAGCTGCTCTACCACTCAGCTGTTTTCTTAAACTTGGTTGAATAACTGGTATTCTTCCTGCTCACAAAGTCTTTGTTAGTGTGCATATTGCAAAACCATCCTAAGTAAACAGTCTGTGTCATCTGTATTAAAGGGAAGTTATGCATGGATTAGTGTATAATAGCATGGGTTAGGGAGAAAAATGAGTCACCAAAGTAGCTGGTTCAAAGGAATAAATCACTAAATCATTATCTTGATGCCCGACTTAGGAAGCTTTAGCCCTCAAAGACATAATGTCTAAAATATAAAAACTACTGTATAAAGCCCAAGGCCCATCACTGTAGTCTGGTAGTTTATGATGGAAGACTATAGACTGTGCCTACACTTAACAAAACACAGGATTTAGAAGAAAATATGGAAAAAAGTATGATATTCGGCAATTTTTTTGCTATCTGAGGGTAAAAATCAGAAGCCATTGCCATACAAAATATATAGTAGGTAGGAATAACTTGCATTGCATATCAAGTACAGAAATATTTGGAAGCATCTTCCTGAAAAGGTTTTTATCCATTTATTGTATCCATTTTCTGTACATGGTGCAGAGGACACGTAAGATATACATGGCATCAAGAACATCACAGTCAGAAGCAGACTTTATGGATGTATCAAAGCCAATTCGTTACAAGAGGCTGTCTGTGGCACTGTTTTGAGAGGCATCCTGAGTACCGTGGTATCTACGGTATGCTCAGTGCTCAGCAGGAGAGTGCTGTGATCAGTTGGCCATGTCTAGCTGGGATGCTATGATGGAAGTGAAGACCTAAGTATCAGGTGTTTGACAGCAGCAATGAAGGTGAAGTGATAGTCATGTAAACAACGGTGTACAATAAAATGCAAATATAGAAAAGCACAGGAGGTGCTGTGGGAACCCAATAGTGGTAGGGTGGGTCAGGGAAGGTTCTAAAGGGGAGATGATACTAGATTTGAGTCTCTAATGGAATCAGGTGTGCATCAGGTTGATGACGGTGTGAAAGCCACTCCCAGGGAACACAGTAATACACACAGACAGAAAGATGAGAAGGAGCATGGAGCGTTCAAATACTCACAGCAGTTTAGCATTTCTAGAGGAGAGCGGGCAAACCGAAGTTCCCATGTCCAGTCTGTTTCCAGTTCCTGTTGACTTTAATTCCTAAATATTTCTCAAACTTATTTCCTTCTCTACATCCAGGCCACCACCCTGGACTCAAACTTCACATTTTACCTAGGCTATCACAGTGGCCTCCTGACTGCTTTTTGCACATCCACATTTTACTTCTCTATTTGTTTCCTTATTTGTTTATTCATTCAATGCTTTCACTGAAGGATATTTTACATATTATAAAACTCATTTATTTTGAGTATACAAGTCACTGGTTTTTTAAAGTAAATTTAAAGTGTGTGCAGCCATTATCACAATCCAATTTTAGAACATTTCCATCAGTCCAAAAAGATTTTTTGTGTCCATTAGCAGTAACTTCCCATTCCCTCCTCCAACCTCCATCCTGTGGCAAACACTAATAGATTCTCTGTCTCCACAGATTTGCCTTTCTGGATGCTTCATATATATGAACTCATATAATAAGCAGTATTGTGTGTCTGGCTTCCTTAGCATAGTGTTTTTGAGGTTCATCCATGTTGTTGTACATATAAGTACTTTATTCTTTTTTCTGGCAGAATAGCATACGATTGTATGGATATATCATATTTTATCCATTCACCTGTTGACGGACATTTGGGTTCTTTCTACTTTTGGTTATTATGAATAATAATATGATAGACATTGACATACAAGTTTTGTGTAGACATATGTTTTTATTTCTTTTGCTTAGATACCTAGGAGTGAAATTTCTGGTCATAAGGTAAATTTAAGGCATTGCCAACTCTTCAAGAGTGGCTTTACAATGTTTTATTTCCATCAACAGTGTGCACAGTATTTCCTTTTCCAGTTTTTACTCCACACTGTTACCAGAGGGCTTTTTTTTTTCAAAATTCAAATATATCATATTATTTTTATGGCTCTAAAAGATTTCATTGGATTCAATTGTCCAAACTCGACTTTTGTGTCAGTCATAGAGACATTTATCTTAAGGCATCACCTCATTCTTTGCCTTATCAAACAGTTCACCCTGATAATTTTTCTGCACTTGATGTCTTGTGCAAGAAATGAGAAGAATGAAAGCGTCTTATATTTCTACCTAATGTGTAATATGTATTACGCCATAGTAGTATCATAGAAACTACTGTGAAAATATCTGCCTTATAACATTCTTGTAGTTGGACATCCTGTATGTGATGTGAGTAAAGCACCACATATTTAACAGAGCCTATGAGGTCCAGGTAAAGGCCTGGTCCTTATTTACCTCTTTATGTCTTCATATTCCATCTTCCTCTATATTCCAGCCACACCAGCCTCCTTTCGGTTCTTTAAACATAACGCATTCCCATAACAGAGGCCTTGCAAATACTGTTCCCAAGCCTTAAATGCTCACTCTGCCTCCCATTTCCATTTCTTCTCCTCCTTAATAATGCCTATCCCTCCTTTGGATATCAGATCAGATGCCTTCTCTAACTCCCTAGACTGAGTTAGATTTCTTCATGACGTACCTTTGCATTTTATTTATCTTGGTTTACAGTTGTGTTTTTATCTATTTAATACATCTCTCTGCCAACAGAACCTAAGCTCCCCAAAGAGGGGATCATGCTAGCCATTGCTCACAATAGCTCATAAGAAGCCTTCAGTAAACATTTGTTGAAAAAATAAAAACAGCCCAGAATCGAGAGAGATGGTTGGAGAGGTGGTGGTGGATTGGATCATGGAAAGGTCTTGGACATTTTGTGAAGGGATTTGTACTTTATCCTGTGGGTGATGAGCAGGTGAAGTACCTTAAGATAGGTAGAGACATAAATTTGTGTTTGCATCATTTCATTTCAGTTTCTTTATGAAGAAAGTAAAGAAGCAAAGAATAGAAGCAGAAAATGTACTTAAGAGGTAGGCACTGAGAGAAGGGTTTAGATTCAAGAACAATTATGACTCTCAGTTTTCTAGCATCAGTAGATGAGTCTAAGCTATTCATTGAAACAGAAAGAAAATGATTATTGTATAATTTAATTTGTGAGTCTAGTACTCAAAAAAGGATCTAGACTGTGTATAAGTAGCCTGTACAGGTTATCATGAAAACCATTTTCACCTATGAGATAGAGTAGAAGAATAAGCCAAAGATGGAACCCCGGTGATCCCAACATGTAATGAGTCCCAAGGGAAAAAAAAAAAAAAAAACAAGAAACAAACATGAAAGAACAGGGAGTGAAAGGAAGAGAGCTTTAGTAAGTAAAGTGAGGATCACCATTTCCATATGCAGAATGGGCTTTCAAACACAGACTACAAAGACCCATGGTTTTAACAGGAAATAAAAAGTAGGTCAATAGGATTTTATCTACTAAATTGTTGAAACTAGCGCTACAGAATGGTTTCTGATTAATTTTCTGTGAGTTAGTAAATGCTTTATTTTGGGTGCAAATAAGAGTTTGTTTAGGAAATAAATTAGAATTTTTTAAAGAAAACTGGAAGTGAAAAAGCAAGACTTCCTAATTCTGCCCAAGTTTCTGTCTGTCTTTCTTCCTTCCCAATCTGTTTTGACATCAAGACTACCTTGTTTTGTCAACTGTGCTGGAGACAGATAAGGATGGCAGGTATGCAGCTTAGTATTCATTAAGTCTCAGGTTGTCTTGACATCTGCCAATAGCTAAAACACTTTATTTTTAAGTCAGAATTATCTGTTCATTCACTTTTCTTGCTATTCAAGTTTAGTGACACTGCCAAAAAACACCATCACCAATGACAAAACTGAATTGTAGGAAAATAGCAAATGCATTTTTAACAAAGTCAAATTAGCTTTTGAATTTTTCTTTTTACTTTGTATTTACTTGTAAATTACTTTTACAAAAAAAGTATTAGACTAATTTAATCAAGTTCAGATTTAATATTGTTTTCTTATAAACTCAAAAATTTAAAATCTTACAGCCAAAAGAAGGGATAATAAATTTAGGGTGGGACTCCATAGACATTTCAATAGCTTACCATAGTTAAGCAAACCTTTACGTAACAAACCTAAGTACCAATAATGTCCTCATAGTTTGGGAAAATCTCTTTAAAATCTGAAAAAAAAGTTGATATTTCAATGACAAATACTATTTTAATATAGCTGCAAATGGTAATGTTATCAATGTACTGCAAAATTATATTGGTAATATCTACTGATTTTTCAGCTTAACAGAATATATTAATTATTCATTAGGTACAGTATAAATTAGATGGTTATTTCTAAAAATCAATTTTTTTAATTTTAAAAAATCTTTCTTACTAATATTTCTTACTTTGAGAATTATACTCTTGAAAGAAATCATTTTAAAGTGTTTCTGAGGCTTAATTAAAACTATAGGCAACTCTCAAAAATTGGAATACATATATTTTAACAGTTCTCTGTGAAATGAAATTTAGATTTAGATTTTTAAGTGAAATAATTGGAAAACTAGGCAAAAATATGCCCATATACTTAGTCAAAGATTTTTTCTTCATCCAGCCATGGTCTGAGAAGCAATGCATATATGACTAAAGATTTCATGTGCAAAAACCAAATTACTTCAGAGTGGATCTCTCTCTCTCTCTCTCTCTCTCTCTCTATCTCTATCACACACACACACACACACACACACAAAAGCACCCAACAGCTATTTAAGCAGCAAAACTAAAGAGGCTAAGATTCCAGAGATAAGGGAAGCAGAGAGAAATCAAGCTCTCATTTGACATCACTTTTCTCCTAGAGGCAACTTCTGATTTCCCAAAAACAGTTGATAAGCAGAAAAGAAAGTGACAACTGAGAAGCTGGGCCAAGCTTCCAGTCTTTTGTAGCTGGGGTGACAATATTGGAGACCATAAGGTAAAGGGCCCCTGATAAACACCCAGGGTTCTCAACTGGGATCTTGAAAAACATAAATCCTAGCATTAGACAGCAACTAAAACTTCTTTCAAAGACCTCAGCCTAGCTTTAAACACAACTGATGCATGAATTAAATGAAAGTATTATTCCCTTTTCTAAACTGCTTGTAATGCAAAATAAAAAAGATAACACCTCACAGAAAGAAGATAATACTTTTCAAAGCTTTAAACTGTCTCCATTTTTTTTATACATGACGTCAAGCATTGAATTTTAAAAAATGAATTAGGTACACTAGGAAAGAACTCACCAAAATCCAATAGAATATACATACAATAAAAACAGGCCTTAGAAAATTCTGATATTGGAGTTACCAGTCATGAATTTTAACACAACTATTTTTTAACAGTTAATACATTCAAGATCAGTATCAAGATATTAGATTGAAATGTTAAATGAAATTTAGATGAAGAAATAATCAGGAAAAATCCTATAAGTGAAGAATAATATAACTAGAATTAAGAACTCAAATGATGGTACAGCCAAAGAAAAGATTAGTGAACCAGAGGATTGGTTAAAAGAAAATATCCAGACTGGAGCACAAAAAAGGAAAAGAATGAAAAATACAAAATAAAACAAAAATAGTATGAGAAAGATATAGAGCACAGTAAATATGTTTAACACATATGCAATTGAAGTGCCAGAGGCACTTCAATTAGAAGTGAGAAGAGAAGGAAGAGAGAATGGAACAGAAACCATCATTGAAGAGATACTAAGGATTTGTCAAATGTGATTAAATAAATCAACCCCAGACATGATAAATACAAAGAAATGATACATGTGTACATCACGTCAAAACTTCTGACGATCAAGAGCAAATAAATCATCTTAAGAGAAGTCAGAGAAAGGACAGACATCTTCAAAGAAGCAACAGACTTCTCAATAGAACAACAATATGCATAAAATAATAGACTCAGATCTTTGAAGTGCTACAATAATATTTCTAGCGCCCATACAGAATTGTATACTATGTACTTCAGTGAACACATACTTCATGAATGAAAACAAAACAGACATCTCAAGCAAAAAGAAAAAATTCATTGCCGGCATGTCTGCACTAAAAGAAGTATAGGCCAGGCACAGTGCCTGTAATCTCTGCACTTTAGGAGGGTGAGGTAGGTGGATCACCTGAGGTCAGGAGTTCGAGATCAGCCTGGCCAATGTGGTGAAACCCTGACTCTACTAAAAATACAAAAATTAGCCAGGTGTGGTGTCGGACACCTGTAATCCCAGCTACTAGGGAGGCTGAGGCAGGAAAATCACTTGAACCTAGGGGACAAATGTTGCAGTGAGTTGAGATCGCATGACTGCACTCTAGCCTGTGTGACAGAATGAGAATCCATCCACAAAAAAATAAAGTATAAAGTTCTTCAGATAGAAGAAAAATGAGTCTTGATGGAAGCATTGAAATGCAGAGAAAAATAGTGCTTTGTGATTAAACAAAAATGATTATGGACTACAATAATGTCTTGGTAGATTCTAAACATAGGCCTTATTTAAATATATGTCATCTATGACACAACAACATCTATAATGCACATAAAATGTGTACATTAAGTTGAAGTATTCTAAGTTCTTTGAGTGGTCCAAAAGTTGTTAAAAGTACTATTTTTTATTAAGAATGAATGTAGCTATGTCTAAGTAATCATGAACAAAATAATAAAATAATATATGAGAAATATGCTAACAGAGGGAACATGGAATATTAAAAATAATATAAAAGAAGGCAAAAACAGAAAACGGAGAGAAAAACTGAGCAGATAAGTAATAAGACATAAATATACAGCAAAACATAACAGTAATACTAATAATAAACGTTCCAAATAAAAGATGTTTGTCAAGCCTTAGGAAAAAATTCTATATGTTGTTTACCAGAAACACACGTTAAATATAAGAAAACATAAGAAAATAAAAGAAAACTAGTGTAAATAATGTTAGATTTTAAGATCTAAACATAACTATATATAAGGATGTTTCATGATGTTAAGATAATAAACCTATTAAAAAGAAATAACAATTAAAAATGTGTATGCATATAATGGTGTGGCCTCTACTTAGGGTGCCTGAAATGACAGCACAAAGAGGAGAAATAAATGTTAAAGCATCTCTTCTAGTTCTAATAGAACAACAAGACAAAGTCAGTAAAGATATGGAAAATTTGAACATGATTAGCCAAATTGTCCTAATTGATACAGATGGAGAACATTGTATGTAATGATTGAATTCTTTTCACATTCTTTTCCAGTGTATGCTAAACTTTTACCAAAATTGCCCATATGGTCGACTAGAAAGAAAATCTCAAAAATTATCAAAGCTTTGAAATCATTCAGGGTACATCTCTAACTGTGGTGGAATTAAACTAGAAGTCAGTTTTGTAAAGACTCACCTTAAATAATGCCCATTAATTTGTAAATGAAGCGAAACACTTTTCAACTACATGTGGATTTAAACACACACAGCATAATTTTTTTTTTTTTTTTTGAGATGGAGTTTTGTTCTTGTTGTTAAGGCTGGAGTACAATGGCAAGATCTTGGCTGACTGCAACATCTGCCTACCAGGTTCAAGCAATTATCCTGCCTCAACCTCTCGAGTAACTGGATTACAGGCACCTGCCACCATGCCCAGCTAATTTTTTTTTATTTTTAGTAGAGACGAGGTTTCACCATGTTGGACAGGCTGGTTTTGAACTCCTGACCTCAGGTGATCCACCCGCCTCGGCTTCCCAAAGTGCTGGGATCAAAGGTGTGAGCCACTGTGCTCGGCCAACAGTATAATTTTAAAATCTATTTAACTAAATGGCAGTGAACATATGAGATTCCCAAACTTGTGTGAGGAAGCTTACATTACACTGAGAAGAAAAAATTTGGCCTTACCTATAGGTTTTAGAAAAGAAGAAAGCCTGAAATTTTTTTAAAAAAAATCTTCAAATCCATCACAAGAAGTTAGAAATATAGTAGAATATTGAGCCAAGGACAGTAGAAGGCAGGGAATAATGAGTAGTAACAAGTGAAATAACAAAACAAACATGAAAGAATTAAACCACCCGGTTGTTGCATATTTGAAAACAGCATCAAAATTAATGAAATCCTGACAAGATTGATCAAGAATAAAAGACATGATAACCAATATGAGGAATAAAAATGAGAAATGCATACAGATATGCACCAAAAGGCATGTTTAAGAATGTCATGGAAACATTATTCATAAAAGTCCTAGAATGAAAACCATCCAAAAGCCCACCAATAGGAAGGGTAAGTAAATTACGAAATATTCCTACAGCGGAACACTATACAGCAATGGGAACGCAAAAAGCTTCTGCACATCTTGTTTAGTGGATGAATCTTGTGAATGTAATGCTACACAAAAAAAAGCAGACATGAGAGAATACCTACTGTATGACTCCAATAATATCAGTTAAGGGAAAAACTAATCTACTGTTTCAGAAGTTTGGTTTTAGACATTTTCTATGGTTTTAGAAGTTTAGAGTGGGAACAGTAAGTACTCTTGACACTGGGAATATCTTGATCTGGGTGATGGTTACAAGGGTGATTTTTGTGAAAATTTGCCAATATAATCACTTATGATTTGAGGATTTTTATGAGTTTAAGTTATGCTTAAAGAAAAGAAAACCCTTTAAGAAAGAAAAATGATCTAGAGAACTATGCTGCTTTTAGTGTGAAATGATAACTTTAATTGCAAAAACTAAGAAAAAGTGTATAAAATGTATTTGGCAAAATTCCACCTCAATTCACTCACCAAACTGTCATTCCAATTACTTCTAAACAACATTATAAGTATGATTTTAAAGTCAACTAAAGTATTATTGAAATGACTGTTATAGAAAACAATGCTTTCGTCTATGGCCATACCAGTCTGAAGACACCCAATCTCGTCTGACTTTGTAGACAAAAACAAAGCTTTTGAAATATTTTTAAAACTCCCATATTTGCGATTTGTTCATTTAAAAAAAAAAAAGGCAATGTGTGGACTGGACGCGGTGGCTCATGCCTGTAATCCCAGCACTTTGGGAGGCCAAGGCAGGTGGATCACTTGAGGTCAGGAGTTCGAGACCAGACCGGCCAACATGGTGAGACCCCATCTCTACTAAAAATACAAAAAATTAGTGGGGCGTAGTGGCATGTGCCTGTAATCCCAGCTACTCAGGAGGCTGAAGTGGGAGAATTGCTTGAACCTGGGAGGTAGAGGTTGTACCACTGCACTCCAGCCTGGGCAACAGAGCGAGACTCTGTCTCAAAAAAAAAGAGAAAATGCAATATGTGATGATGGTTAAAAAATTACATAATTCTAATTTTATATATATATACGTATATATGCATGTCCGTATAATACATGCATTGCATATGTTTATATATTTATATGAATGTATTCATATTCATGTGATAGATATGTACTGTACATATATCCATGTGTATACATACTCAACTATATATACATATAGCACAGTAACATGCCACATTCTTTTCTGCAACTTGTAATTTTCATGAAACAAACTCTTTTAAAATTGTTCATGTCAAATGATTAAGACATCTTTCATTTTTTACTGATTTATTTTTTGTGAGGTGATGGGACTTTAAGCATCTTCCTCAGTGTCTGGCACAGAACTATCATTGATCTTCTTTAATTATGTGTTTAATCCCATTTATCTCCATTCCACCCTAGTTCTCACACCCCTACTCTCTAACCACAAACAATCATTCGTTTTGTTTGGATGTTTATAGCAAATTTGGTATCGCTGTATGCCAACGATGTATTCAACATTTAATTTACATGCATTCTTAATTTACATAGATAGTATTTGTTATACATCCCATTCAACATCTTACTTTGTCCCCTCCACACTTGTTTTACATGCCTATTTCTGCATGTTTTCTCTTCTGTTTTTACATGGTACTCCGTGGTGTACCTCACCATTTTTACCTATTCACTATCACAAGAAGAGGCATCCAGATACTGCCTCGAACTTCTCACACCACAAATAACACTGAGAGAAACACACTTACACATGTCCTTATGTAAATCCCAATGAGAATTTTCTTTAGTAAATATGCCTAAGAGCGAAACCACTGGTTTTTCTAGTATGCACGTATTTAATTTGTCTAAATACTATCAGATTGCTTTCCAAAATGGCTGTATCAGCTTGTTTTCCCACCAGCAGGTCACCAGGGTCTCCGTATCCCCACGTCGCCATTCCTAGTAGGTATCACCCAGCTTTCTACATTTTGACTTTTTAATAAGTAAAAGGTTATGTCATTGTTGCTGTAATCTGAATTTCTCTAAATTGCACAGTTTTAGATTTCCACTTAGACAAATTGCCTATCCACATTTTAGTCTATTTTTATCTTGGGGTATCTTTTTATGTTGATTTGCAGGAGCTTCTTATATATTCAATGTAATTTTTGGTCAATTTTCAACATTACAAATATCTTCTCTTATGTTGTCATCTGTTCCTTCACTTTATGCATGTTATTACTAATCTGAAATCTTTTAGTGTCATCAAATACAGTTTTTCTTATGGTCTGTGATTTGAATGTTTTGTTTAAAAGTTATTCAATGTCCCTGAGTCACAAAGATTTTTTTCATTAATTTTCAGTTTACCTTTTATATGTTTACGGAACATTTGTGTAACTTACATGGAATCGATGTGATATAACTGCTAATCGATATTAACAGTTGGTTCTCCCTTATTCTTCTTAATGGATACATAATGTCACTTCAGAAGAATACACTTAAACTTACTTAGCCAATATGCAACAATGACAGTTCACATGATTTTTTTGACATTATTATTATATTCAAAAATGTAAGGAACATCTTAGAATTGCCAGAGCAATGTGTATGTATTTTTTGTTCATTGGCTTGTTTGCATCAATATTACCAAACTGCCCACCAAAGTACGGTTTTATCTGTGATGTTTAATAAAAGTATATTTTATATTTCATAGGTATAAACTTATACACAATCAAAAATTATCCATGATTTGGCATTCTCTTGTGATAATAAAGATTCTCTTGTGATAATAAAAATTCTTAAATTATATTTTCTTCCACCAGCCATGCTGGATAGTCAGATTCTGCTTTTACTTGAGATCCGTATGTTTTTCTTGACATTTCTTGATATGTCATATTATACTTTATGTAATTTTCCACTTTTATAAAAAAGGGGAAGGTGGGGGTGGAATGGTGACAAAAGTGTTACCAAAAAAAAAAAATCTCTTAAAAATATAGTAGTTTATAATTAGGTTCCTCCCTATGGCAAGATACACATGAAAATGAATATTTGAACACTATACATTAAAATCAGAAATACTACTTGCAAAATGATTACCCAAACCTAATCATAATCTCAATTAATTTTTTAAGTGTTTGCACCAAAGGGCTCTTGCCTTATCAAATGGAATGATGATCATTATTACCAAATATTTTGAAGGTACTTGACTATAATTTTGGCCCCAAACAAAATATTTGCTGAAACCGAAAGGATTTAGCAGTTAGTTCTATTCTGAAAGACAGGTTTTAAATTATTTTGTGGAAAAAAAATATGCTTGACACATAAATATATCACTAACTCATTTTTAAGCAAAATTAAACATTTTATTTCATGGCGGGAAAAATCTCCTGTGTGAATGAAAAATTTAGTGACTGGGCTAAAATGAGACAGCAATGATATATTTTTATTTTAGCAGCACGTTGGCTAGGATGTGAGGAGACAGACACTGTCATTCATTGTTGGTGGGGCTGGAAAACAATACAAACTCTCTGAAATACAACTGGGCAACAGTATCTAATACATTAAATATAGGATGTCGGTTTAAAAAACTCTGGGGTATTTATATAGGCCGGGCGCAGTGGCTCATGCCTGTAATCCCAGCACTTTGGGAGGCTGAGGCGGGTGGTTCACGAGGTCAGGAGTTCAAGAGCAGCCTGACCAATATAGTGAAACCCTGTCTCTACTAAAAATACAAAAATTAGCTAGGTGTGGTGGTGCACACCTGTAATCCCTGCAACTCGGGAGGCCGAGGCAGGAGAATCACTTGAACCCGGAAGTTGGAGGTTGCAGTGAGTCAAGATTGCACCACTGCACTCCAGCATGGGCAACAGAGCTAGACTCTGTCTCAGAAAAAAAAAAAAAAAAAAAAAAGAAAAGAAAAAAAAAGAAAAAAGAAAAAACCCTAGGGGGTAGTTATATAAATAAATGTTCTGTTCTGTGGTATCATCAGAAAGAATATTTACACATGTGGGAAAAAAATCACTAAAATTTGTTAGTGAAAAAAATGAGTCTTTATAAAAAATGAGCACTTTCCACATTTTGCTATTTCTTGTGCTCTCCAGTGATTAGAAAGTTACACATCCTGCAGATTCCCCTATTAATATCAATCATAAAACAATATTTATAACCCAAAGTATGTTCACTCGATCATCTTGCTTTTATTTTCCTCCTTCCTTTGTACTTCTCAGTAATTTCAGATTTGCAGTGTAGATGATTATTGATAAATTATTTTTACTTTAGTAATCTCCCCTTGGAATGATTATTTTTAGCATGATCATTGTATCCTTTAACTATATTTTGCCTGTAAGTATGAAACAAACTCTAAGGTTTATGAGTTTCATTTGTTTCTACTTTTCCATCATATTCTCTCAGTTCTTATGACTGTTATTTTTATTCAATTATTTGGTTGGAATATGTCCTTAAGTACTTTTTTTGACCAAAGTTTCAGAATGATTTATTTTCTGAGACCTGTGTGTCCGAGAACATTGTTTAACCCTCATGCATGAATGAGTCATGGCTTCCCTTTGTTTAGAAGTCTTGGATCACAATTTTTCATCCCCAAAAGAGAAGGATTTATGAAGAGAAAACATTTATGCCAAATTTACCTCTTCCCCCTTTCTCTGTTACCTTCTTTTTCCATGCTAATATTACTAACATTTTTCATTTTTAAATTCTGAATTTTCATTCGAATTACATTAGATTTAATTATCTTTCCTCTGATATCATTTTACCCAGGCACTCAGTAAATTTTTTAATCTGAAGACTCACATTTTTCTTAATATCAGGAAAATTTTCCTCTATTATTTCCCATTATTGTTTCTCCATCTGCTCTATCATTTTCCTCTCCATTTTCAGCATGTACTCACATACTGAGATGAACTATTTGTAAAACGATTTGGTCTATTTCTTCTTCAGCTGGGAGGAAGTAGTATGTGGAGGTAGAAGTGATGTTTGTAGTCAACCATCTCTTAGGGGTGGGATTAAACGTAATTTTGGAATTAAAAAAATTTTAACTGCACGTTTCTGAAGATGTCAACAAACAACTTTTGTAATAACAAAAAGTTATTTTCATAAATGAAGAAAGCCCTAGAACAGGAAGGTGTGTAAAATCTACAAGAGTCGCTTTTCATTTCAATGATTAGTGACCAACCCCAGCCACGCTATTGTGAGTACTTGCATTTCACAGTCTGAGTGAGACATAAGAGCCTATAAATGTTTTAATAATGACAATAATTATGGTTATAATAGCAGAAAACAAACCTGTGAGTAAAGCTAGAGAAAAATCGAGATTACATTGCCTGAAGAGATACTATTAAGGTGAGCTGAAAAGGAAATTTTTCAGTGTAAGAGGGGCCTTTCATAGTGAGATCATATATTCCCTGCATGTGACATCAACCCCTAAAAGAAAATTCAAGATACCATAGCTTTTCCTTGACAATAGGTATTAGATTCCAGAAACCTCCCACAGTGGAAAATTTGGCAATTAAGGAATCTATGATTGATGTGAAAATAAAACTGGAATAAATCTCTGAAAACCCTCAAAAATGTACTTAACTACAATAAAATAATAGCATGGTAAATGAAGATATGGTTGAGATATCCAAACCTTAAATTAATAGTAATTAATGTTAGGCTTTTAATTTCCATTTATTTATTTATATTTTATTTTATTTATTTATTATTTCATTTTACTTTAAGTTCTGGGATACCTGTTCTGAATGTGCAGGTTTATTACATAGGTATACATGTGTCTTGGTGGTTTGTTGTGCCTATCAACCCATCATCTAGGTTTTAAGCCCCGCATGCACTAGGTATTTGTCCTAATGCTCTCCCTCCCCTCTCCCCACCGCCTCTGACAGGCACTGGTGTGTGATGTTCCCCTCCCTGTGTCCATGTGTTTTCATTGTTCAACTCCCACTTATGAGTGAGAATATGCAGTGTTTGGTTTTCTGTTCCTGGTTTCCATTTATTCTTTCTAACACGTAGAAGTATTTTAGAATTTACCCTTAATTCTCAAAACATTTGTAAGGTAGTTCAATTTTATTGCAATAGACATATTACAGTGATTGATTTTTTTCCGGTGTGAGTGTTCTTGCTATTTCTTGGTCTCCTTCAAATAGTGATGTCTTTTGGGTTCTATTATCTGAGATTTTGTGACTGATCTTCCCAGCCCCCACCACCTTAGGTCCTGCATCCATCAGCATTTCTTGAGTCAATTTCACCTTTTCCCTTCTTATAGATTATTCCGGAGTGTGGCTGTAAGGGATATCTTCACTTTTCTTCTTGCCTCTTTGTGATCTTCCAGTCTTTTTCTATAACAGACCCTGCCTAGCTAGGCCAGGCCATTCAGCCCCTGCCCAGCCAGTCCAGTGTTATTTGTAGTCACTGCCCATGAATATTTACATAGTCTTTGCTCAGGCCATTCTCCCTGCTACATAAAGTGCATGATCAAGTGCATCACGTAAAGCCGTCTCATTGGGAAGGTCTTATGTCACCACTATCTTTCAAGGCTACCCTTGACTATGGCTACAATGCAGCCAGCTGTCCATTTTAGCTTGGACTGCTATACTGAGATAATCTACCTGTTGATCAACTTTGGTAATTTATTTTCCTTCCCTCAGTTTGTTTTATGGGACCCCCATAGGGCCATCAGTGTGAATTGAGCGAGGGACACAAGGCTATCATGCCGCGTACTCATGCCCTCTGGTTCTGCTTGGGCTCAATCTCAGCTGTTCCATTTCCATTTTGTGATAGATTATTATGATGCTTGTCTGGCTTGATGAACTGATGACTCTGGCAGAATCCAGCTCATAATAGAAGGCCTGGATGCATGGTCACTTATTCTCAAACACTCCTTCCCTCCCAGGGTACAGTGGGATGATGATGCACAGTTCTTCATTGCAAATGGCTTCTCTTTGTTGCAGAACCCCAGGGCTCTGCACTGAGAATCCCCCACTGTCATGACCTCATCTCTGCATCACTTTCCACCGCCGACACATGGTGCACATGGCAGGGATGCCTGAACGCAGCCTGCACCTGGGGCAGACCCTCTTCCTGCTCCAGGTCCCACTCAGAATGGACAGACTGTAGATCACAGAAATAATCCTAGTTGTGTGGAATTTGTTATTTTGATTACATGTATTAGGCAGTACCATTATTCACTGCCTACCTATTTCATCCCTTAGAAAACTGTTCCTATTTCATTGTATAAATGATCTCCACAATTCTCCGTGGGTCTGTCCATCTTCCTCGTCACTGTGATCTTCTCAATCATTACAAATTGCTCCTGGATGCTGGTGGTTACGTGTTACTGCCTGATGTCTATTGCTTTGAGACACCATCATCCCCACTGCAGAACAGAACTTTCACAAAAGTTAAAGATGCAGGTGCCTGTCTCATCAGCACATGTGCAGCAGCCCTGGGAATGCTGAGTCGTCTGGGCCTTGCTGAGGAACATAATCTTCTGGTGGGTCCCCTGGCCTCAAATCTTACACCCTCTCCAGCATAGCCTCTGTGCTGAGCCTTTTAGTCCTTTCTTCTACCATCTGCCATAGCCATTGAACTTTGGATCTTCACCCAGCATGGGGGCCAGCTTGTTTTCCAGACTTCTAGGAGCCATTCTCTCAAGAAGTTTTTGTTCTTCCCTGGTGTTAAATCCCATATATTGAGAGCATCCCCATCTTATGTCTGGACACCTTAATCAGGCACCCTCAAAATCCAGTCCATGGGAACTGCCATGGTTTCCTCCAGCACAAATGGTTTTCTTACAGGCTCCTTGGCATATCATCTTCAACAGGCTTAGCACATCTCAAGTAAGCTGTGACTTAACTTTAGTTTTGGCTTCGTAGCCAGGAGAAAAGGTGGGGCACCTCCAGAGGTGGGCTCTGTGATTGTTGCAAGATTGAGAACTCTGCAGTGCCTCCCCATGCAGTGGGAAAGCTGGCTCTCCGTAGAAAGGAGGGATCCACCTCTTGAGGCTTTGAGGAATTGGAGGGAGCCCAGAATCTGCAGGGTGCATGAGGGAGGCTCACTGGAGGGGGGCTAATGCCTGTGAAAGACAAAAGGAAAAAAAAGAGCAAGCGATTCTCCTGCCTCAGCCTCCTGAGTAACTGGGATTACAGGCACGCACCACCATGCCCGGCTAATTTTTGTATTTTTAGTAGAGACTGGGTTTCACCATGTTGGCCAGGCTAGTCTCAAACTCCTGACCTCAGGTGATTTACCTGCCTTGGACTCCCAAAGTGCTGGGATTGCAGGTGCCACTGCACTCCAGCCTGGGGGACAGAGTGAGTCTCCACCTCAAAAAAAAAGGGAAAAGCAGAATTTGGCAAGGAGACCCTCCTACTGCAATGTAGATCTGACAAGCTATAGCCAAGCCAACAGGGAGCTCCAGTGCAAAAAGTGCCCATTAGAGGGCCCAGCCTTGGGCAGAAAACACCAGGCCCTAGTGCCTCTGCCACGCTCAGGCACTGCATAGTCCTGTGTGAAAGGAGCATGAACTCAGCTCAAAAGCTGCAGTTGATCCTGAAGGTGCCGTATTACAAGCTGTCAGCTAACTGCCCTCCTTGAAGTGAAATGACAACTCCTTTTTTGGAGGAAGATCGCAGAGACCACAGTCCATGACTACCATACAAGCAAGATTCTCTCATGATGAGAAACCTACAAGAATTAGGAGTTAGTAAGGAAATAGCAAATTTGTGAGTTACGTCATGTGTTTAATCCAGTACATATGATTTTGAGAGTAAGACTGAGCAAAATCACCCAATGCATTGTTCTTTCTTTCTCTTAGGAATTTATCACTTAATTCTTCACCAATTAAATACACACTCACATAATTTAATCACAGCATAAACATAAAAAACAAAATTTTCTTCAATATTATTCATTCAACACCTAGTATTCTTTAGTACTATATATTCCAAAGTTCTATATCTTAAACCACAATGAGATATTATCTCACCCCATGTAAAACGGCTATTATCAAAAAGACAGAAAATAGGTGAGGTGTGGTGGCTCACACCTGTAATCCCAGCACTTTGGGAGGCTGAGATGGGCAGATCACCTGAGGT
Organism: Homo sapiens; assembly: GCF_000001405.40. Taxonomy (NCBI): domain Eukaryota; kingdom Metazoa; phylum Chordata; class Mammalia; order Primates; family Hominidae; genus Homo; species Homo sapiens. Next base: position 95,817,259 of record NC_000015.10, read on the forward strand.
CAGGAGTTTGAGACCAGCCTGATCAACATGGTGAAACTCCTTCTCTACTAAAAATACAAAATTAGCCGGGTGTGGTGGTGCATGCCTGTAATCCCAGCTACTTGAGAGGCTGAGGCAGGAGAATTGCTTGAACCCAGGAAGCGGAGGTTGCAGTGAGCCAAGATCGCGCCATTGCACTCCAGCCTGGGCAACAAGAGTGAAACTCCATTTCAAAAAAAAAAAAAGAAAAAAAAGACAGAAAATAACAAATGGTGGTGAGGATGCAGAGAAATGGAAACCCTCATACACTGCATACGCTGCAGGTGAGAACATAAAGTAGCATGGCCACTATAGACAATGGTATTGAGGTTCCTTAAAAAATTAAAAATAAAACAATCATATGATCCAGAAATCCCACTTCTAGGTATATATCTCAAGGAAATGAAGTAAGTATGTTGAAGAAATATCTGTACTCCTATGTCTACTGTAGCACCACTCACAATAGCCAAGCCAATCAACCTAAGTTGTCCATCAGAAGATGAATGGAGAAAGAAAATGCAGTAGATACATACAACGGAATGGTACTCTGCCATAAGAAATAATAAAATCCTGTCATTTGCAATAACGTGGAAAGAAATGGAGTACATTGTGCTAAGTTAAATAAGCCAGGCACAAAAAGACAAATCTTGCATGTTCTCATTCATATGGGGGAGCTAAAAAATGGGATCCCATGGAGACAGTGAGTAGAATATTCAGTGGTTAATGGGCTGGGAAGGGTAGCAGGCGGTGGGTAAAGAGGAGCTGGTTAATGGGTACACAAATACAGTTACAAGAAACAAGATCTAGTGTTTGGTAGCACAATTGGACAACTATAATTAACAATAATTGTATATTTCAAAATAGCTAGAAGATTTGGAGTGATCTCAACAGAGAAATGACAAATATTTAAGATGATGGATACATATTACATGTTTGTCTCAAAATATCACATGTACCCCATAAATATGTACAACTCTTATGTATCCATGAAAAATAAAAATAAAAAATTAAACCCATAAAAAATTACACCTAACTAGGACCTTAGTGATTCTCAAGTAAACTCTCATATTTTATAAATGAGAAAAATGAAATTCAGCTCAATTAGCTGACTGTAAGTGGAAAACACAGTTCTTTGGGTTTAGAGTTTCTATATTTAGCAAATAAAAATATAGGATTCCCAGTTAAATTTTAGTTCCAGATAAGCAACAGATAATTTTTTAGCGTAAGTATATCCATGCAATATATGGGATAAACTTATACTAAAAAGGTATTCGTTGATTATGTGAAGTTCAAATGTAACCGGGTGTCCTGTAGGTTACCTGTTAGTCTTATCCACGCTTCAAAATCACCGTGTCTCCTCACCACTTATAGTTCCTACTCCAGGGTTCTCTGAGTGTGCTGCAAATTTCTGTTGTGACTAAAACCGAAAGACTGGAGCCGGACTACAGAGGAAAGATCACTAAAGAAGCAGCAGTGGGAAAAATCTATGCGTGGCCTTTGTAAAAAAATAAAAATAAATTACAAAAACTATGTTATTCAAGATACACGCTGATCAAATACTCAATGCAGTGTGCCTCGCTAGGGTGCTGAGCCAATGCTTCTCACACTGGGAGTCATGACTCATTAGTGGGCTGAGAAACCAAATTAGTAGGTTGTGAGAAGCAATTTTTTTTTTAATAAAATGGAAGAGTATGCCAAGCACAATGGCTCGTGCCTATAATCCTAGCAGTTTGGGAGGCCGAGGCAGGCAGATTGCCTGATCTCAGGAGTTCAAGACCAGCCTGGACAACACAGTGAAACTCCATCTCTACCAGAATACAAAAAATTAGCCAGGCTTGGTGGTGTACGCCTGTAGTCCCAGCTACTTCAGGAGGCTGAGGCAGGAGAATTGCTTGAACCTGGGAGGCAGAGTTTCTGGTGAGGCAAGATCGCGCCATTGCACTACAGCCTGGGCAACAGAGTGAGACTCCGTCTCCAAAAAATAAATAAAATAAAATAGAAGAGTATAGAACAGCAAATGTCATCATGTAATCACATATAGTAAGAAGGACTATTTTGTGAAATTTTTGTTTCCATTATATGTGTCTATGTGTACTAGATCAGTACCATGCTAGGCCCGCTGAGTGCTGAGAACAGAAAATTCATCTGAAATCAGCCACATGAACTGACAATTGTTTTCTGGCTTGGGGAACTCATTTTCCACAAAATCTCAAAGCCTAGGGTCATACTAACCGATAAAACAACTGGCTATAAGACACTGCCTATCCCCATCGGAGAAAAAGAAAGGGCTCTAGAGCCACAAAGGAGGCCTCTAAGAAGGTATAAACATGAGATGGTGGCCGGGCATGGTGGCGCACACCTATAATCCCAGCATTTTGGGAAGTCTAGGCGGGTGGATCACTTGAGGTCAGGAATTCGAGACCAGCCTGGCCAACACGGAGAAACCCCGTCTCTACAAAAAATACAAATAGTAGCTGATCATGGTGGTGAATGCCTGTAGTTCCAGCTATTTGGGAGGCTGAGGCAAAGAATCGCTTGCACCCAGGAGGGAGAGGTTGCAGTGGGCCAAGAATGCACCACTGCACTCCAGCCTGGGCAACAGAGCAAGATTCTGTCTCAGATTAAAAAAAAAAAGAGAGAGAGAGATGGCAATGCATCTCCAAACTGGATGTTAAGATCCATTGGACAATTAAGGTCAGGGAAAGTCAGGGTGGAGCTTGGTGACTACCGTAATCAAATCACATGTGAACTAACCTTCCACATGAACAACCACCATTTATTTTAGTGTGAACACATCAATTCCTTTGGGCTCTAATTCTTAAACACATAGTCTTTGAAAAAATTCCCTTGGAATTCTATGCTCCTAAACAGTTCAGCAGCACAAGCTTTCATCTTACATTTTATTTTTTTTCCATGAGACAGCAAAACATGAAATCTTGCTAATGATCTTTTAAAAGAATATGCTGATTATAAATACTGGTTTTGTCTTCCTCACTGGAGTAACATTGTAAAGAAGAACAAGATAATTATAAAATGGAAAAGATTCAAAACATGGAAAAAGGTTCCAGTCATGACTTACTTGTCCAGGAAGCACACTTTCTCAGACACTCAGTCTTCATAGTACCTTTGACCAGAGAGACAGACAAGTCTTAGAGCTCACAGCTACCAGCCAAGATAAGAAAGGAGTCAATACTCATTTCCCTATGATCTTTTTCCTTTCACAGAAAAATATGATATGTTGAGGAATTTTTTAGTTATAAAATGTGATCAAGGCCAGGCACTGTGGCTCGCGCTTGTAATACTCACATTTTGGAATTCCAGGACAGGAGGATCACTTGAGATCAGAAGTTCAACACCAGCCTGAGCAACACAGCAAGACTTCCGTGTCTACAATTTTTTTTTTAATTATCCAGGCATAGTGTTGGTGTGCACCTGTAGTCCCAGCTACTCAGGAGGCTAAAGTGGGAGGATCGCTTGAGTTCAGGAATTCAAGGTGGCAGTGAGCTATGATCCCACCACTGCACTCCAGCCTGGGTGACAGAGCGAGATCTTGACTCTAAGAATAAAAATTTTTAACGATCAGACGAGAAGTCACATTTTTTTCTTTCCAAATCTACCACATCTGATGTGGTGAAAACATAACAAAATAGTGCGAAATTGCATCTGGACACAGTGCTTTTCATTTGTTGTTTTTCTTGTTGATGTTTGTTTTCACCTTAAAAAAAATCCCAACATTGAAGCTACATCAAAGAAAAACACCTGCATTCTAGGTATCTGTCCAAACCTATTCGAAAAATAAATTTTAAAAAATTCTCTAAATTACACATTATTAATTACATTGAATCATGCATACCTTTTAATTTAAAGCACTGACCATTTGAAATATCACAAAGGAGTGAAATCACTGATATGAAAGGAAAGTGAAAAAGTGCAACTGTTCTTTATATTTTTGGACATTATATAAACAGAAAAGGATCAAAAGGGGTCCTTGTGAAGATGTGATGGTCTAACCCTATGGCCATAATGTCTCTGGGATACATCTTAACCTTTTAGAATTGTTCTCCTTTTTAGGGAGCAAAGGCAGTGTTGACAAGTTAAAGCAGAAAACGGAATAGCTCCAGTCTCCAATTTTTCAGTGCACCTTTAGAGCTGAGCATTTTTTACAGAGGGTAACTTCACATTTGCCCAAGAAATAATATCCTAGAATATGAATAAGAAATAAATATCCTCAGATTAATGCTATATAAATACATTTGCTATAGGTTTCATTAAATATTCATGATACACGCATGTACAGGTCAAATTACCTTTAAATATTAAATTTCTTTCCAGTGGTGGGGAATTTCAGAATTATGCCTTGTTCATAAGGAGCAGAGATGGAACCTGTGCATTACTGTCTGCTGGTAAATTCAGCTTCTGGTTTAACTGGGCCCCTAAGGTTAGAGGGACTTCACTCACAAAACTGTGAAATTGCCCCAAGTGTCTTGTCTCTGTCTTACAAATCTCAACTGGAACTTAAAGATGTACTAAAACCCTAAGTATTTTACACATATTTTAAAGAAGAAATGGACTGTTTGGTGCCTTGTGCATAATATGCCGCAGGCACATTACACAAATCTCATTTAATACAGCCAGACCACTGGAGCAGGAAGTATTATCCTTCCACAATATGCAAGTGATAAAAGAAAGGTTCAGAGAGACATCCTAAGTTGCGTGAGATCACAAGAAATAGCAGCATCTGGATGGAAACCTGGTTCCACAGGGCCCAGAAGATCAAGTCTGTCATTGGTAATGTCAACTGTCACACAGGACACCATGGATCACAAGGTTTTCAAATCATTAACAACTTGAGGAAGTCAAGCTTTGGAGAGCATCCCCCATCCATGTACTGAACTGAGGAAATGCCCTGGGGGATTTGAGTCAGTGTCAGTCTATGGGGGTGACTCCCATATTGGTTCCTAGGACCCACTCCCACTGTTCCTACCATTGAGACTTTTGCTGTTTCCCTAAATGAGCTTTACATAGCGTTATGGAGCCACTTGGAGAGTATGGGAATAGGCCTTCAGCATACAAATTTAAACATATTTCTAGGTTGACCCAACCATTTATCATCCAAACTAGAACACACTTTTGAGAGCTATTAATAATTATGCTGGGACAACAGGTGTAAACCAAGACTGTCCCAGGCAGAGTGAGATGAATGATCATCTAACCTATACCCCTTTATAGAGCCAAACTATTTCATCCTTCATACATAAATATATTTTAGAAACTTTATTATTATCTTGATTAAAAACACAGGTGAATTGTTTGTATATTCTAAAGGGGTTATCGTGATAAATGTAAAAATGTTAAGTATGCCACAAAATCCATAAGCCTGTTTTCCAATTCCTTATTTTCTGATATGCCAATTAGCTCAAAATAATTGGAAATGGTACAGAACTCCTGGAACTTCAGAGAGGCTCTGTCTACGTCCCTAGACCTGACCATGTCCCAGGTTCTATTATTACAGGTTAAATTACCTGGACATTCCCACTTCTGCGTCACTTCAAACTCAGTATCAGTAAAAGCAAACTCCCCTGAGTTCATCTTCCCCTGACTGTGCAGGGACATTAGGTGACTACCTGTCCTCCTACTGTCTTAGGGTCCAACACCTGGCTGAGATATCACAGTGTGACACTTTGCAATTTTCCAGCTACAAGGGAAGAAGAAGAGGGGAGAGATGTAAATGAGAGCCAGGGCCAGAATCCCTGTTTGGTGGCACGGCCCATGGCCTCTGCTGTCTGTGATTTCTCACACTCCACAGGGCAGGGTGCACAAGCTGCAATGTCAAAGAGAACTCCAGGAGCAGGGCGGAGAGCCAGGCACCTGAGCCTCTGCTGGCAACGTGGAGAGACTCAGGGAACTGGCTTCTGGGGAAGGGGAGGTGTCAAGGATGCATGCTGCTTTCCCATCTGACACTTACCTGCACACCATCTGGAACACCTACTCAGAGCCGGGAAGACCCGTGGCCTCTGGGGGAAATGGGAGCCCTCCGCTGCAACCCCATAGACCCTGAATTGACGGATGCCTGCTCTGAGAGAGCAGCGGCAACTGCCAGGTTATACAATCCCACCAGGATAAAGACACCCTTCGAGAACCCTCCCCCAGGCTGTGATCCCCAGTGGCTGTTTAGGAGGCCTCCCCTACAGCTGCCCCCTTCTACCTGACTGAATGCATCCCTTCCCACACAGGCTCTCACATCAATGCTGGTACACACACACACACACACACACACACACACACACACACGCACATCATGTAATGTTCCTACAACTTTAAACCCGAGTCTCACAAGATTGTAAGGTCCCTTTTGGTGCAAAGTACACCCTCATAAAAAGCAAAAATACTAACAAATAATTATGCAAATGATGATCCTTACTGTAAGAAAAATGCAATTGGTGCCCTGAGAAGAGATGAGACATGAGAGGCATCAGTGAGTCCCATAAGGCCATGAGATGATGTCCAAAACTGCAGGCAGTCACTTCTCTGATTATCCATGTGGTAGCAACAGAGTGGACCAGGCCCCTGATGCTCTTGACCAGCCCCTCTGGTCGCTAAGTGTGTCCCTTATCTGCCTGGTCTACCTGTCTTGCTGGTCTCCATGTTAGAAGCAGGTTATTATAACCCATGAGGGAAACTTGCTGGGTCCCCATACCATTGAGTGTCCATGAACCACCCACCAGGCTGCCACATGAGGACAGAAGAAACTTCTGTTGATCAAGCCACTCCATTTCAAGGTCTCTCTGTTACAGAAACAAAACCTGCATCTAATTAATACAGTTGATCTGCACAAATTTTTATGTTACATCTTGAAAATGGGGCATTGTTATCCCATTCTACACACAAGGAAGCTGAAGTTCAAAACGTTAACTTACCATCTTAAATCACATAACTAATAAAATAGCCCAAATTTAAATACTTTTTAGGGGCAAGGCTGCATTTGGGAATTTTGCTTAAACAATTGAATATTTGTTCTTAACAATCACGAATGAATATTTTCCAATTGTTACTGAAAACCACTTTTGTTTCTGGAAAATACAGAGAAAAGTAGCCAGTATTCAGTGACCATCAAGTTTCCTAACTGCCATAAAATTAGGAAATTGTTTACCAAGCAGAATATTGCTTGTGAAATAAAAGTGAGTAGTTTCTTGTATTTAAAGAGGCTTGTAGCATATCTTAAAATAATTGGTGTTATCTTTAAAAATGAGTTATTACAGCATCAGAGCTGAGAATCACAGAGAATCACAATGTTGACGGCCTTGTCTGGCAAATAGACTACTTATGTAGGAATGTTTTTTTAACTCCATGACTAAATTTTTGTATTCTCTAAGACTAAATTATTTTCTTCTCATAGATTTCTTGAATACAGAATCCCTGTAAGATTTGTCTTTTTACCTACAAAACTACTCACACAGTTCTGAGCATGCAATAGATGCTTAAAATGTTCTTATTCACTTAAAGTGTACAATATTCCAATGATAGTTCTAGTCTCTGAGAATCAAAAGCACTTGCATGGTGTTTTACAGTTTATAAATCACTTTTATAAATGATATTTGAGGTACAATTACTATTATTATCTTCTATGTAACACATAGAAGCTAGAGCTGAGAAAACTGTAAAGGGTTTCCGAAGATGTCACGGCTTTTTAATGCCCTGTCTCGATAAGCCGTGTGTTCATCTTTTCACACCAGATCCTACAATCGTGCTTGGATGCCATGGTAGACGTTACAGAATGAATGGATGCATCAATCAATCAGTCAATCAACGAAACCATCAGAAAATGAGCAGTAAAATCATGTTGTAAAGCAAGCAGCTAATTGGGGATCAATGCCAAAGTTATTATTTATGTGTTCTTAATTATTTTTTTCAGACAAGAATGAGGCAGATGAAAACCATACGCAAAAACACAACAAATAGAAAAGAGATTCCACCAAAAGCAATCATCAAGAAAATGTCTCCAGTGAGATTCCCATTGTTGTGAAGGGGCGTGTAAGTATATTTGCACTCAGACAGCTTCAGAAGTGCTTGCCTGATGAAAAGGACTCACCAAGAGCTGAAGAGTTTGGCATCACAGTCCAAGTGGTTCCTTGTTGGCAATGGCCATTGTCATCATAAGGCTGGATTTAACTTCAGAAGTACTGCATGCCATCTGGCTCCAAAGAGCAAATCTATTTTTATAATATCAAATTTGCAATAAGGGAAAACTACAAACATGCTCAGAGTTGGATGAGCTTCCATTTTTAACATGACTGACTTTCACCAGTCTTCCTGGGGGCCCCAAACTGGGTGGGCTCTTTTCCTCTGCTCCAGGCCTTATCTGTGTTAGGTTGTATGATTAGGATCCTAAAGTCACTGAACAAACAGGGTAGGAGTCTCCATAACAGACCTTTTGTTCATATACATTTCACTGGCTTTCGCTGGAGAAGTCAGAGAATGGCTATCATCTCCACACTAATAATATCCTTCAGTAAATGATAAAGTCAAGTCCAAAGTAAACTGAGAAGCTTTATCAGCATGTCAAAGCTATCCCCTTACAGCTCTGTACTTGCCAACTGTGCATCCTTTTCCGAGACAAAGACTTGATGCACATTAAAAGGCACTTACCAGAGTGGGTGTTTGTTTGCCAAAGGAGAGCAGGCTGCCCTCTGATTCCAGGCACCCCGGTCGTCACTCTCATCAGAGGAAGGGAGGTATACTTTACAGCTAGACTCCTTCCTTGATGATCTCCTGAATCGAGTCAGGGGGAGATTCAGAGCTTCCTGCCAAGTTATTCCTTCTCTTTCTCCTTGTTAATATTAACTGATGGACTTCTCAGAGGGACAGTGTATTTCTCACTGTGAGTAGAGAGAACGCTGTGGTCGACCAGTTACTCTTCCACCCTGTTGTCAGAGAAGATGCATCAAAAGGGATTTACACACCCAGTTAATTCTAACAGATGGCCCTTCCCCGGTATTCTGAGAGAAGTTGAAAATCAATCCACATTTCTCTCCAATTCCAAATTAGGCAAATTAGCACACTGGCCTTGATTTTTGGTAAGCAGATTTAGCAAAATGGACACAGTGAAAAAGAGGAAAGATGTAAAAAATTTAGAAAGGCCTATCTCACTTAAAATGCTGTGCCTCTGCCCATACGTTTGATATACAAATGATGCTTATCTATAAAGCAGTGAAAACACTCATCATTTTTTTCTTTCCTTTCTTTTTATGTGCGTGCGTGCGTGTGTGTGTGTGGGTGTGTGTGATTTATCACCCTGTGTCCGGAAACGATGGCTGTATACATGCATATGCTTGTATAATTTGCACAAATGAATATGTAAATACACAGGATACATACATTGTGCATACATCACACACCCAAATAGCATGTGGGTCTGTGTAGCCAATAACAGGAACAATGGGATGCTGCCTACACCAGGAAACAACAATATGTTGCAGGTTTGCTTGGCTTTTTTGCAACTGTGGACAAACATTCCCCCAGGAGTGGATGGCTCAGGGAAGGTGTGATGGGATATGAAGCCTTTCGTCATAAAATCCCCATCTAAAAATCCTGTCAAAATTGATAGGGACAGAAGTGTATATAACACTGTTGCTGTGTTGGTTTCATTCCAAACACAGCATGCTTCTGAATGATCTGTCATTACCATCAGACCTGAAGAAAAGAAAAGCATCCGAGAGAAACCTCTCATTGCCACCTATAGGCTGCAGAAGGAAGGTCCAGGTGACAGCTGCAAGGCTCTGTGAAGCAGCAGGAGGAGATGTTCTGGAGGTCACCAGTTCATAGTCACATTTCCACCACCTTCTTCATTCTTTCAAAAAGCATTTCTTGTGCCAGCATTGGGCTAGATGTTGAGAAGAATGCAAAGGTGAAGAAGAAACATATTCTTCATCTTTGGGAGCACATGTTCTGGGGATTGGAGTGAGACCACTGCAGAGCCAAGCACTTTGATAGATGCTCAGGACAAAGGGGTCGTCCTGGAAGAGGTGATATTTGAGCCCTGGTATGCATTTTCAAGGGCCAGTAGAAGTTTCCCAGGTAGAAGAGAAGGATTGCTTTCCAGGTTGAGAGAAATGGCATAAGCAAAGGGGCATCAGCATAGAAAATACGCAGTGTATTATGGGAAATACAAGAAGTTCTATGTGCAACTGGAAACTTGTCTTCACTACATGTCCGGGGAACAGTGTAGCCTGAGAAGGAAAATCAGATTATGAAAGGAAGAAAGCCAGACTCTGAAAGGCCTCAAGTGCCATGCTATGGTATTTGGAGTTTATCCTACAGTCAAGATCGCCTCCTCTTCTGAGCCTACATTATCACTTGGTTGTGAGACTAATGCTGACCCATTTGGGCTACGTACAGAATCACTGGGAGCCTGACCAACAAAGCAAGAAACAGCAGATTGAAAGAGACAACAGTACGCAGTCAGGGTTCAAACTGCCCCAATGTTCCAAATCATTAGTTTCTACAAAAGTAAATTCTACACCATTCAGAAACTTATTCAGCCAGCATTTGCTTCTCTTAAATGGTTTGGAGAAAATGAGAACCTTTATTATCCCACCATTGTAACTACCATATTTTGGGGTGTCTAACTCTCACTTTTTCCTTCATTGAGAACTTTCCCTCATCCAAGGAAAGGCCCCTCAGTAGTCAAGTGTGAGTGTTACAATCCTGCATCCCTGGACACAGGATGTGACATTATCTGACCAACCCCTCGTCCAAGTTGGCCAGTCGGGTTCCCTTTTAAATGAACTTCCTTACATTAACAGAGAAGTACTGGGAGCTGAGTCAACTAATGGTGTGTCTCCAGAGGGAAGGCTGAAAATTAACTGCTCTTTGAGTTCAATTGGTTCAATCCTTCCATGACACTTTCAGTATCTTTCCAATGAATATTCTTTTTTTTTTTGGCTTAAACTAGCTCAAGTTATTTTCTGTTGATTGCAAACCAAAGATATCACTAATACAGTTTGTTTTATTTTTACAGTTTATTACTGTTAATTAACAAAAATCTTTTCAGTGACTTTCCCTTGACAAATAATGATGCATTCCCAAGAAAAATCTCCCATTTATTTTCAGAGCAATAGCATGAGAGGCCAGAAAACATCCAGCCCAAAATTTGATTTTAAGTTCCCTGAAGAAAATGACTACATCTTGCATGTTTTTGGTATCACACCTGTACAATACCCCTGAGTAGCAACTAACTAGCTATTTCCATCGCTCAACCACTCACAAAATGAAAGACATCATTTTTTATGAAAATTGTGGCCAGGTGTGGTGGCTGACACCTGTAATCCCAGCACTTTGAGAGGCCGAGGCAGCTGGATCACGAGGTCAGGAGATTGAGACCATCCTGGCTAACATGGTGAAACCCCGTCTCTACTAAAAATCCAAAAAAAAAAAAATTATCTGGGCGTGGTGGCGGATGCCTGTAGTCCCAGCTACTCGGGAGGCTAAGGCAGGAGAATGGTGTGAACCCGGGAGGCAGAGCTTGCAGTGAGCAGAGATCACGCCACTGCACTCCAGCCTGGTCAACAGAGTGAGACTCCGTCTCAAAAAAAAAAAAAAAAAAAGAAAATTTTAAGACCCAGTAACCTACAAGAAAGAAGATCCTAATACCAAATTTTAAGAATAATAGAGGTGTGTTTCTATGTAAAAACATTTCTGTGTTTACGTCCATTTGTGTAGAGCTGGCTTTATCTGGTTCATTAGCATGCCTAAGAATGGCCACTAGCATTTTGCATCCACCTAACACCTGAAAGAAAATGCTGAGCGGCCTGTTTAACATTGCCAACATCTTCATAAATGAGTCTGTCATTTGAGCTGAGTTTTATTCGGAGAAGACATTCAGGAGCTCTCACTGTGGCTCAGTATTCCAAATGAAAAGCTTTGCTCATCATTAAGAACTCCCTCTGCCCTCCTAGCCTCCCTCTTCCTGAGCCGCCATCTGGGTAGAGATGCATTAGACCATTGCCAAAAACTGCTTCTTCCAACAATAGGTGTCACTATGTGACAGCATCCATAGATTAAGCTGTTACTTCGGGGTGGTGACAGGGCCAGAATAAAGGGTCCTATAGACTTTAGATTAGTAGAGATTGAGATGTGGTGGTTGAGCTGTGTATGGTTTATATTCTAACCAAACTGATTCACATGCGCCCTAATCTCTGCTGTCTAATGAGCCCCTGTGATTGGGGAGAATCAACAGTGAACATCTTGCCAGTGTCCTGGCAGTGCCTGAGATAAAGAGCTTGGAAAGGCTTTTACTAAAAGGAGCTGTGAAACAGTTCAAGTCAAAATGCAAGTTTCAACTCAATATTCTCACCAAGGAACAAAATATAAACAGCTATCACCCATTGTAATGATTAATTCTCCCGTCTCATTGTTGGAAGGGTTTCAGTTCTGAATCTCCTTCTCCCCATCAGATAGAGCATGAGATATGTTGAGAGGAGATTGTTAAAGCCTAGTCTGTAGAATTTTATCTGGTCATCTGAGTCACTCAGAAAGCCCCAAGCGCTCTTCTTTTACATGTATTATAATAAAACAAATTATTCTGGTGTCACAGACCTTGAATACCTACTAACCTTGATAAGCACTTACATCTAAACAAAAAGAAAATCAATTTGCATTTTCCTTTCTGCTGGCTAACATAATGCTTCATTTTACAGTTGCCATTAAGGGTTATTGCTATCTTTACATACCACATTAGGCAGTTTGTGTCCATTGTTCATGCATAGTTCCATCAGAATGTTTCAGGTTGAAGGCATTTTCACAATGATGCTGCTTTTGTCCTGCCCCAGTGCTATTATCTTGAAAGTGTTTATCCCAACAGATCTCTTCAAGACCTGAAAACTGTCCTCTGTGAAAACATGTCAGTCATCACCTTCACTCACAACTGGAATTAACAGTGCTCAAGGTCTCACGGCGCACACACACACACACACACACACACACACACACACATACACACGGTTGGCTTACCTGGGTGGCCAGACATGCAAAGCTGCAAAGCTTCTTGAATTGACCTTAATGAATTAAAACCTGCACAGGCAGAAGAAATCTCCTGAAAAAACCATAGATTTCCAAACCGTCTCACCAGGCTGACAAAAGTTTCAAACCATGCCAAGCTCAGCCTTTGAATTAGCATTTTCTCTCCTGATCTATGGCCTCTTAATTTTCTGGGGCAGAGGAAGCAAACCGCAGGCATTCATTAAGCAAACGTCTATGTATGGGAAGAAATGGGAAGCATATTCCTTCTGAAAAACCACAAATACTTGAGTTAGAACAATTGAGAAACGGTCAATGGCAGGTAGAATAACACAATTATTATAGATGTAACCTTTTGGGAGGTAAAGACAGAAAGTCTTAACCTAGAAAGATAGATGCACTCGATGAAAAAGAATGACCAGCCAAGACCCATTTCACAATGTAAAGGCATAGAAGGAGTGGTTGCAGAACACCATTCCAACATTGACAAATAGCTTGGTCAGAGATCAAAAATGAAAGCGTAAAATATTGATATTTTAAAATTGAGTTTTCGTAATAGAAAAACACAAAAGACCCATTTTCTCTAGGCATATTTGGCAACCACATTTCAATGTATATTCAGCTATTTTTTATTCTGTATTAGTTCTGTACTGTTTTTATGCCTCATTCCATTTTAAATCAATAAAAAATATTTCTGGAATATTTTTACATCTGTGAAAAAGAATCTGGAATGCTGAATACTTAATCTCTGTTACTGATTAGTCATATTGTTTCATGAAGGGACTAGATTCTTAGATCCTACTGGATAGGTACAGCATCTTTAAATTTAGTCCAGGCCTTGTGTGAAGTAGTTAATGATGATGGAGAAGATGCTGATAAATAAAAATAGCATAAACACTGGCAGAACTATTGATCCTCGGAATATATGGCCATCCTCCAAAGAGCTTAAAATATAATAACACTTTACTCAGAAACTATACGCAGGTACTTTATGCACAGCCCAGTGAAAGAGAAGAAAATACCTACTTATAAAATACAGAAGTGTGGACTCTCAGGCAGTATCTAGAGTAGAAGTCCTGGAAAAGAAAAGGTGAATGTGGTCTGGCACCTGTGTTTTTGTTTTTGTTTTTGTTTTTGGAGCCAGGGTCTCACTCTGTTGCCCAGGCTGGAGTGCAGTGGCCACCATCTTGGCTCACTGCAACCTCCCACCTCCTAAGCTCAAGCGATCTTCCCACCTCAGCCTCCCAAGTAGCTTGGATTACCAGTGTGTGCTATCACTCTGGCTAATTTTTGTATTTTTAGTAGAGACAGGGTTTCACCATGTTGCCCAGGCTGGTCTCGAAATCCTGAGCTCCAGCGATCTGCCTGCCTCAGCCTCCAAAGCACAAAGTACTAGGATTACAGGCGTGAGCCACTGCGCCCGGCATCCTCGCACCTGTTCCATAGAATTTTACAATCTGGGATGAAACTGACAAGAAAGCAGTGAAAACACATAAGTGCTCAATTTCCCTGTACAAGATTGAAAATCATTTCAATATTACTGTCTTGTTAATCTTTGTGATTTTCTTATACAATTGGTGTTATTTATCATCTTAGTCCACACTGGGACATTTTGGGACTCTGGGAGATTGCCTGAGAGTTAAGCAGGAAGTCTACGCATGGAAATCCAGTTCCCTACTCTTATAGCACCTCGCATGAGGGGGAACTGTGATTTTCTGCAGTGCCTCCATAGCAGCATAGACCTCATGGGTATTTCTAAGTTCTTTCCAAGCATGCAGGACCCAGGAAAGCCTACTCGATTTAACTGTGCTTGCTGCTTCACTTCTAAGCTCCACACAACATCACCAATGCTCATTAAAATACTGGAAGAATATGGCCGGACGTGGTGGCTCATGCCTCTAAGCCCAGCACTTTTGGAGGCCAAGGCAGGAGGAACACTTGAGGCCAGGAGTTGGAAACCAGCCTGGCCGACACGGCGAAACCCCGTCTCTACTAAAAATTCAATAATTAGCCAGATGTGGTGGCACACACTTGTAGTCCCAGCTACTGGGGAGGCTGAGGCATACCAATTGCTTGAACCTGGGAGGCGGAAGTTGTGGTGAGCTGAGATCGTGCCTGTGCACTCCAGCCTGGGCAACAGAATAAGACTCTGTCTCAAAATAAATAAATAAATAAATTTAATTAAGTTAAATAAATAAAAGATTGTAAGAATATTTATAGAATTCCATAAATAGCAACGCAAATAATCTGAAGACCAAGCCATTGTCATTGAGAAATTTCTCCACTTCCGCAGTGCACCCTCTCATTACAGTGCCAAATTAAAATTTCCTAAAGAAGATGGGGAAACATTTATTTTGGTAAAATGGGAGTGATTTTTTTTTTTTCAGAAATAAAAATACTCTTATGATGATTGGTAGCTCCACCTAAAGGATTTTAAAGTAAAATTTAAAACAAATAAAAATTGTTTAGGGACGAATATTTGTATTACCCAAAGATTTTTCTTTTCACAAAAGAGTTCCCTACAGAATTCTTCTAAGTGCTGAACTCCCCTGGTGCCTTTAAACGGTTGTTTACAGATCATTAACTACTCACAAAAAGGCTGGTGCAGAAAACCTGCCAAAGTATGAGAATCTCCCATTGAGGAACCAAAATTTAAGAGAATGCTTGAGCGACAGAATTCAGTTTGCCAGAAATAAATTTTCATAATGAATTTTGGAATGCAAAATTATATGCAAGTCAACTTTATATAGAATTTCTTCCTTGCAGGCAAACAGAACCCAAATTTTAAGAACATTATTTTTAATGTTGAAATATTTGGGCATTATATGCAAATATTAAAATTTGCCAAACCATCACTCAAGTGTTGGTATTTAGGTGGTTTCCAAGTTTTCTTAATATCAATAAATAACACTATTGTTAACATCCTAATTCACAAAGCTGCATCCACATTGCTGCTTGATTCCTTAGTAGTGCTTGCTTATAAAAGTAGAATGGAGGGATAAAATGCATGCAATTTTTAATGTTTTTGATACAAATTAATCAAATGCTTTTTAGACACGAGTTTCCAAAACGAGTTTTCTTAACCACACTGCCATATTACTGAGTCTTCACCAGAGGTGACTGAACATTTTGAAAATGGCTCCTAAGAGTTTTAGTTGAAAACATTACTTTCTGTTGCTTATTTTAAAATAGTTTGATTACAAATAAAGTTGAACACATTTATTATCTTAATTATTGCTTTGTATTTCCTCCTCTAAACTAACTGGTTTTACCCTTGCCCTCCAGCTGGGATTCTCAGAACTTTTCTTGCTGATTTGTATGTGTTCTTCACATATTAAGGATAATAATTTTCCTTTCATGTCAGTTATACATATTTTCTTCTACTTAGATGTTTGCATTTTAATTTTGTTAGTGAAATTTATAACATGTGATTTAGATTTTTTTCATCAGTTTTGATTTAGAAAGTCTTTTTCCCAGAAATTACACCAATAAGTCATCTGTGTTGTCTTCTATTGTTTATTTTTATAATTTTTAAGTGCCTTTACCAACTGGATAACTAGAGCCACTCTCATGATCTTTCTAAAGCCGTTTTCTCCTTCATTGTGTAGAAATTATAACTATTTTGCCGAGTTCTCAGCATTCTAAAAAATGATGTTTGAAAGCTCTTTGTCCTTACAAGGTGATAAAAATGAAAGTTCAATAATATTTATGATGATAGCAGACAGAATCTGGTATGCCAAAAAAAATTCTAACATATCTTGACAAAGCGAAGCAAAACAAAGTGCATCTTTAGTAGCTTTGAACAACATAGAGGTCAATATGCTTTGGCTGAATGCAAAATAGCTTAATTTTATATGAGTTTCGCAACAAACTTTATGATGACCTTTATCCTTTAGTTTTTATTCTTGTTTTTTTTTTCAAAAGTCTCCCTGAATAATGTGCAATAAGAGGTTGTTAGTCCTAGAGATAAACTGATTTTCCTGAACTCTTTGCACTTCTGACCTTGGGAAAAGGTTTTCTCCCCCACAATCCACCACCCCCATTCCCCTCTCACTGCCAAGTTTAATATGGCTTGGACTGTCTTCTCATATCCCCAGCTCCTATATGAATCATTTTCAGCACTGAGTTCTGATCATTATATACAAGGTCACTTTTTAATTAGAACAATATAGTAAAACATATGCTCAGAAGATAAATGAGGTACAAAGCTAGCTGTGCTACAGTGAACCCTTTTATTGGAAAGCCTTAAAAATAATAAGCGTCATGTATAGTCCAGGGGCCTTTGCAACATATTTCAGTACAGCAAAGTGCCTGCCATAGTGAATGAATACCCTGTTACAGTGAACAATCATTTGGCAGCACAGGTTATTTTAATGGACATATCACTTTAAACGAAGCCTTCGCCATCTGTTCTGCCCTCTAATTACAGATGCAAAAAGAACATAATTCACAAATGCATCATAAAAAAGTAAGATATAAGTGATTTAAATGCATGTGTATCTTCTTTATTCAATGCAGCATGCAGCTGTTATGTTGTTTTCATGTTTCAAACACAAATGAGTATAGAAATCGCTCTTCTCTGATGGAGTGAATTTCCTGTTACAGGACATTTTGGGGTGTAAATAAATGTAAAAGCGTGTGCTCTCATAGCACCTTCACATCAAATGAGAGGCAAAGCTATTCCGTAATGCACTCTGTGATCTGCTACCACCTGTGATGAAGTGTTAAGTTTGTGTTGAAACCTAATCTTCAGTTGATTTTTTATTAGGCTTCAGCATTTCAAGAACTGCTCTGTTAAGTGTTCTTTTCTAATAACCAAATCATGTAGGTGGATATGTTATAACAAAGAGATCCTCCTTCAGAATAAGGTGAGTACACTGGTCACTCCAATATCAAAAAGTCCAACACTTGGCATGAGCCCATGTATTTCTTATAAGAACCCTTCTGAATTCTCAAGACAAACTCCTTGAAAAGAACAAGCAAAAAGGTGGAACTCTTTACTTTCCTTCTGATGTCTTGATAATATTTTGATTCCTTCGTGGATTTATAATTTAAGGAGTACTCATTTGGAAGAGAATATCTTAACGTGCAAGCTGCAAGGTGAACTTAACTCCTCAAGGAAATCTGTAAAACTTCCACTGTTATTTGGTACTGATACAATCTCAATGTTTCTATTGAGATTATATACACATATTATATACACATATATACACATATATACACATAAAATTATATACACATAATTTTACCTCTTAAAGAAAAAGTTTGTTAAATTCATTCTACGTATGCTCAGTTGCCTTTCTAACAAGGAAGTTAGATTGTAAAATAAAATGTCAATAAGGTAAAATATTTACTTCTTTGGACTTACTGCTTGGGCATGGCGCTGAAAGAAAAGAATTAACTGGTGAAGAATGCAAACAAATAGCTTTAAAAGCCATGCAGGTTATTTAAAATTCTATGCTGTAACCCTGTCAGTGATAAGAAAATATTGTCCTGCAAAAGTTTTTCTCTGAGCTTCACTTCTTCTTGATAAGAATGATTTATACTTGCATAGTCATTGCTAATAAACAGGTGATTTGAAGGTATTCGTTGAGTAGTTTAAAAATTCATACTCCCCATCAATCCAATTTGCATTTCTAATTTGCCTAGTAACTATTCTCTTTTCACAGATTAATCAGAACTAAACAATAGTAGGAATAGTCTAAATATCAAAATTGTAATTATTACATTCAAAGTGTATAAATTTATAAGACTGTATATTATATATGTATGCATTATAGCAAATATATAAACTTGTAAATGCATGCATTATTAACATATATATGTTTACACACAGCAGAGATGATATTCAGCAAAGAATAACTCATCCAGATTGACTATTTACATGTAGCAATGCTTCCTATTGATCAATGCCTATGCAGACTGATTGTTAAATATTTGCATGTTCCCTGTATACACCATTTATGAAGAATTAAAATAGAAATAATTCTAACCAAGTTTCCCCTTGAAGGATTATAATAAAGTAATCTTTATATGGTCTTTCAAATTCTGAAATTTCTATATTGAGTCTTGTAATTTTTCGAATACTCAGAAAACTGTATATTTTAAAACCCCAAACAGAAACAAATTTGAGTGTTAAGGTACACAAATTCATTTTCAAACCTACTCTTGAGTTTGTGCTTTTATGAGACTTAGTTCTAGTTGATGCAGACCTTATTTATGATTTCTTTTGATCACACATTGATTAAAATCAGAAAAAAACAATGAATTTATTATATCAATAATTCTTAAAATAGCTTGGTAATAACTATTACTTATAAAGATTACCACCATATCTAAGAAAAAACAATACACAGTCAGTAATTCTCATCAAAATCACCTGAACACTGCTTTAGGTTTCAACGGCACTCTTGTTTAAGGAAGTACTTTAAGAAAGAGGAACACTTCTCTACTCCAGGGATCCCAAACCTCAGCCAGCAGCAATAGGAGAGTAGTAAGGATAATGAATTAAAAATAACATGTATTTAATCATTTTTAACCTTATTTTGAGTTTGTATTTCTTCCACCTTTGTCTGATTTTCAATTAAAAAGTAAAGGGTGAACTAGGAAGACTCATGTTGCCTCTCTTCCAATGATTTTTATTTTACTTTTATGAAGACTTTCTTTTAAATCTCTTTTATTTTTAAATTTTATTGTATTATAGGCAATAAATTTTACTAAAAAGAATATGCATTACAGGAAAGTTGAACTGAAAGAACCACGTGCTTAGTGATTGCCACTGCACCCAAAACGCTACATTAGGTTTACTTCAGGAAAATTCAGGAAGAAAACTACCAAATCAATATTTTTGAACATGCAGCTTTTAGGACAGGAATATCTCAACAGGTATTATTAAAATTATAATAGTTCTCTTCATACAAATATGTGTTATTTACCCTTGGAAAGAACAAATGGATCACTAGCAAAGTATGTTTTATCCTAAATTTGTTTTTCATTTAAATCACAAATAACTTCTCTTTTGTAACAGTTAATTACATTTAATTTGAAGATAAAATTATTTGTGAAAAAAGTTGCTAATCAATCATAAATTCAATTTTATTTCACACATTTCAGAGCTATTACTTGTTAGTAACTTTCAAGTGACCTTTAAAATAGCTGTATTTATTGAATGGAATGTGAATGGAATCCACTTTTGATCAAGGATACTGAGTGAAGGCCACATAGGAAGTGAGTGGATGTGTGTCCATGGAGTCATAGATACTTTTTCCAAGAAGAGGACCCTGCATCCTCCCCCAAGAAGAATGTCGTATATGATATATGAGAAGTGATGACACTAGTTGTATATTAATAAAATACATCTGTCTTTGCTCTGGGAAGATTAGGTAAATCTATTATTATAAATCCTCCTAAGACCACACAACCAAGGGCAGTATTGATATTAGTACTGAAACTAAGGTCATCATTTTGGTCACTGATATCCAATGGCATTTAAAGATGTGTGGACATGAGTGATGACGATGATGATGATGAGGAGGACAATGATGATGATAGTGAATATGGCGATGGTGATATTTAACACCAATATAACATTACTATGTGCTGGACTCTGTTCTAATTGCTTTACTTTTTTTTTATTATTTCATTTAATCCTCTCAACAACCCTGTGAGAAAGTCACTTGACGCATGAAAAAGGATGCACTACCAGGATGAGAAAATCTAGAGAATAGTAATACTTCTGTGAAAGTCATTCACAGCTTACACCAGCTCACCTATACCAGCTCTAATCCTTTCCATTGTAAATCAAACTCTGCTTAGCAAATACTTTTGTATAGGATAAGTAGGGAAAAACAGGTCCAAAAGTGTTTCTTAATAAATTAAAAATCTGAAAATAATATTATTATAATTATATTGACATATACATCGTGTATTGCTAAGCAACCTAACTCCCAACAATCAAAGTAGCAGCTAATTCAGAGTATATACCTAGAACTGTAACAATAACAGCAAAAACTGGAATGCAGCACCTTTGTGCTCAGAATTACAAAAGAGAGTTCATTTTCAATCAACATGCACTTACTATATGAAAAGCACTGGATTAGATGCTGTGGAGCAGAAAAAAGAATTAATACCCATCCTCAAGGAGCTTACCATCCAGTTACAAGCAAAACCTGAACTCACAGAACTATAAAAATGTAAGACTAAAAAATGTAGCATTTCTCATTAACTAAGTGGAAAATACCAAATCACTTTCCTTTACTTTTATCACCTCTTTTACAACCCTTCTCCCAACTGGATGGCAGTCATCCTTCTGCTGGGCTTTCATAATTCTCTGGAGCTCCTTTAAAATATGTGCTCCTTGTACTGAACCTGCCTGAATCTGTTTTCACATCTGTGAAATGGGATACTGAGGACCAACCCCCACTGAGTTATCGTAGAATTAAATGGGTCAATGACAATAAAATGCTTAGGATATTTTCTGGCACATGAGAGCTACTCAATCAATGATAACCAGTGTCAATATTATTATTATTATTATGACTACCTATGTCTATACCTAACTTTCTGACCAGATTTATCATCTTCATGTAATTTTGTTCATAATTCTAAGAGCTCCTAGAAGACTACATTGAATATTGTATCTGTTTTCTCAAAGGAAAATAGTGAAGCATATGGTAAATCTTCATGGTACAATTAGGATCTGGAGGAAAAGTGTTTACTGGGCTCATAGAAGGATCAAAGTGGGATTGCTGAAGAATGTCAGGTGAAATGAATGAGGGAATAGAAAGTATCTCAGTCTGGGTGAAAAAGCAAGATGAGGCATAAACCATGGAAGCATAAGAAGAAGAGAGACAGTTGCAGCAGGAATGATATTGGGTAAATGATAAAAAAGGGAACTCAGAAGGTTATTGCAGTAGTATAGGCACAAAAATCTGAGAACTTTTATTAAATGGGGCAACAAAAATAGAAAGGATAGAATCAGGTCATAGATGGAAGAAAGAGTCAATGGGATTGAATCATTGTTAACACATAGGAAGCAAGAGAGAGAAGAAAAAATTCAGAAGCAAGGCTCAATTTCTGAGTTTAGACAACAAAGACAATGAGAATAATACATATTGGAAATGAAACAGAAAGCAGAGCCCCTCTCCACCCTTGCTTTTGTTTCTAATCAGTGACAGGAACTGAGTTTCAGATATGTTAAGTTTGAGGTTTGCAGGATGTCAAAGTAGACGTGTTTACTAAGTTATTATCATGTGAGGTTGGATCAGTGAGGAAAAAACAACTAGAGAACGAGAAACAACAACTAGCTCCCTAATTCAACTGAACTTTGTCTGCATAAAGTTGGCATCAAGGTGCATAGATAATCATAAGCTCTTAGCAGAAGTCTCTTGGTGCCAGCATCAGTGAAGAGAGGAACAAAACCAATCCAGCCACTCTTTTTCTGATGATGCATCTACACCCTTGGTTCTACTTGGTTTCTCTGCACAGAGGGAGTTCTTCCATCTTTGGATCTAAAAACAATATCTTTTCATTTTATCTGCAGCAATAGTCTAGCTCTCAGAGACAAAGTCAGTGAGAAACAAAGAAAGGCCCTCGCCACTCAATTCAGCTCCCAGTACAAAGACCAGAGTCACAGTGGTGTCCACAGCCCGCATCGGCATAAATACAGATGGACTGAAATACGCATTTTACCTAAAATAAAGGCTTTATACCATGCAAGCAAAAATAGAGGTGGTTTTTTTTCCCCCCAGAAAGTAAGACCTTCAACAAGCCAGAACACCACTGTTTATTTTAAAGAATTTTTAAACTCTGATTCAGACTATGGACGCCAGGCCAATTGCTGAATCCCACGGGGGCATCTGCATGCTGAAATCTCTGCCTGGAAAGTCAGTTTTTAATGGTGCTGTTACAAAACTATGTGTCCTCAAGTAGAACTACAAAAACTCCAAAGACATATTAATTCCAATTCCACGACACAGGCCTAAAGATAGAGTGGAGGAAGTGCTTGGTCATGTACACACATCAAATTCACTGGCCTTTCTAATACCTTCAGTGAGATTATACTCTTTAACATCTGTTTGTTTTCTTAACCACGTTCTCATTTGTTTTCCATGAGTACTTACGATTCAGGTCACTGTTAGAACTTAGGGAGTAAAACAGAAAGAAATAATCACTCAGATTTAAGTCTAGTTTGCCCATTTCACAGATAAAAAAACTGAGGAGGGGGTGCTAAATGGTTACCCAAGTTCAATTAAAAGAGCATGAACTAGAACTGAGGTCTCCCCAGAACCCAAATCATGAATTTTCCCAACTGCCTTGTTTCTTTTCAGGCAGAAGAGCTCAAAAGGAAAACACTGAGGGACCTTCTCACCTCTAGGTTCTGCAGGATAACCTGTGGTGGAGAGTTCTTCCTACGTGTTGAGTCAGAGCACAGGGAGTGAATGGGGTGGGGAAGAGAAAGAGGAGAAACAATTTCAATCACTTTGTGTTTGTGAGGAGAGCTACTCAGAGAGTTCCCCCTCTATTTTAGACATTGGTTGGCACTGAAAACCTGTGGAAGCATGGGCCCTCTGGGAAGAGTGGGCTAAAAGAAGCATCCAAAGACACAGAAAAGCATAGCAAATTTTCCAGTAGCTCATGCCGCAGCATCACATGCATATTCTTTTGAAGCACCCCTAACCTCTTCTCTTTCCTACACCTTCAAACTGGAGTTTCTGTCTGATCATATTCAGCTGTTTTTTCCTCTGCTACAAAGAAGCTCAGCACTTTCATGTCTGAGTTGCCAAGTGACACTCTATGTTTGAGAGCCCAGAAGAGGATGGAACTCAGGCCTTGAGAATAGGAAGGGGGCAGTTGACTAGGCAGAGGTAGATGGGCATAATTCGGTCCACGCTGCCGTCTCCCCAGAAAACAGACCTGAGATATGGAGACGGGGGTGGCATTCGGAGATAACTAGTAGGTTTTTGGAACAATCAGGTTCTACTTAAGGATAAATAAACATAAGTATATCCTACTCATAATGAATTCCAAAAGTAATAGACAATTGTTAAAACCCGCCTTCTTCAAATCATGAAGCATGTACCAGTAGGTCAAAATTATTGCCAGATAACCATTTAAAAGCAAGCCACGGTAAGTTCAAAATATATACTCCAAGTTCATGAAGAGATGCATCAGTTATGTATAGTATTCTCCTAAAAAGAAGGTTAAACTGATATGAATGGGAAGCCGGTCAGTACTTTCTCTACTTTCAAGAAATTTGTTTTCCCAAATTGCAACTATTCATTTTTCTGTGAAAAGATTCATAGAAAAAAAATCCAATCTCAACCATTTTCTCATCAAAGGAAACGTCTTTAAATCTTAGCCTCAAGAAATGATCTCTAGAATGAGATTGTAGCAGAGTTGTATACAATGGAGTTTTAAAAATACCTCGGATCAGTAACTTTATTTTTTTATTTATTTTTTTATTATACTTTAAGTTTTAGGGTACATGTGCACATTGTGCAGGTTAGTTACATATGTATACATGTGCCATGCTGGTGCGCTGCACCCACTAACTCGTCATCTAGCATTAGGTATATCTCCCAGTGCTATCCCTCCCTCCTCCCCCTACCCCACCACAGTCCCCACAGTGTGATATTCCCCTTCCTGTGTCCATGTGATCTCATTGTTCAATTCCCACCTATGAGTGAGAATATGTGGTGTTTGGTTTTTTGTTTTTGCGATAGTTTACTGAGAATGATGATTTCCAATTTCATCCATGTCCCTACAAAGGACATGAACTCATCATTTTTTATGGCTGCATGGTATTCCATGGTGTATTTTTTTGAGACAGAGTCTCACTCTGTTGCCCAGGCTGGAGTGCAGTGGCACAATCTCAGCTCACTACAACTTGTGCCTCCAGGGTTCAAGCAGTTCTCCTGCCTCAGCCTCCTGAGAAGCTGGGATTACAGGCGCACGCCAACAAGCCCGGCTAATTTTTGTGTTTTTAGTAGAGACAGGGTTTCCCTATGTTGGCCAGGCTGGTCTTGAACTCCTGAACTCAGGTGATCCACCCACCTTGGCCTCCCAAAGTGCTAGGCTTACAGGCATGAGCCACCGTGCCCGACCAGGATCAGTAACTTCTAAAGGATATGCTCAAATGACACAATGAGGTGCCCATCAGTAGAAGGAAGCTCCAACCTTGTCAGCTTGACAGGGGAATGAAAAAGAAAATTCCGCCAGTTGTTAAACCCAGCTAACGTGTGATTGATCTGAGTTCGGCTGTTGGTGGTTAAATAGAACTCCCCTCTGGCGTTTATGTCTCAGTTCTGACTTTGCTTCAGCCTGACCATGAGGGGTCTATAAGTATTTGAGCCTCCACATTTCCCTTGTTCTGCACCTAAGATACTTTTAGATTGCTCTTTAGAGCCTGAATGCTCTAAGCTCTTGGCGTCCACTTTGACCATGAAGAGCTCCGACTGCAGACAGATGCTTATGACTGGGGATGGCTCACATGTTATCTTCCAGATAGTCTCTCTAGAGAGAGAAAAGGCAGAATCAGAGTGGCGTTCTGCAGTCAGAGTAGTTAAGGGAGTTAAGGTGGCGTTCAGGCAGGGTGAGCCTCTGTGCAGCCGATCTAACTTGGTCATAACCCATCAAGCCCCAATGGTGAGTTCTGTGTTCAGTATTTCAAATTTTTCCTTCCCTGACACTGGAGGAAATAATACAAAAACTTGTTACCTATGCTGATGCCCAGCCAAATAATGAATAATTATAACAACAATCTCATGCAGCGGACCACACACCTGATCAATTCCTCCCTTCAGCACAAAGGATTCTTGAATTCTGGCATCTACTCCAGTGCTTGTTTTAAAGTCATATTACCAAAAAGCTCTCAGGGAAGCATTTTACTTTCTGGCTTTGTGATAAACAGAAAGATACCACAGTGGTTTTTAAAACTCTTTTAAATCATACAATTCTTCATGTTTTCAGTCTTCCTTCCTGTGTGCATTTTCTCCCTCTGGGGCCATTTCCAAAGAACTCGAGAAAACGAAAGAAACCACTGTGACCAAGCTGGAATGCATGAAAACCAAACCATCTCCCCAGAGAGGATAAGGAGCAGATCCCATGACTCTGCACTTGTCCTTCATCTACCCTTTTCCCTCAAGCCACATGTCCACTCCACACCCTCATCAGGATCCCAGCCCAGTCCACCCTTACTCCCCAACTAAAGGGAAGATAGTTCTTTCTCCTGGGGCCGTGATGTGAGGCCTGGGAGGAAATGTTGTCTTTTGGGAAATAGCAAAATTGTGTGACTACATTAAAGTCAACACTATTTATCTTCACCTCTTGTCCTATGGGCTGACAAAGGGACACCACTGTTGGGCCCAACCCCCGTGCACAGCTGCAATAGAAAGAAGGCAGGGACTGGTACTTTCAAGTGTCAGACCTTTTGTGCTGACTAGTTTATGAGGCTGATGTCAAGCACTGCAGTCAATGAAGTCTTTGTCCTAGGTGTACAGGGCAGGACAGTGGAAAAACTGTCCTCTCTCATATCCCAGGCCCATCCATCTTCCCTTCACCCTGTTTCTCAACTTTCCTATCTCTTAAGCTGACGGAGAGAGGATCCCTCCTGGGTTAATGTACTGGAAAATTGCTCTGCATGTATATGAGGAGGTCCTTTCCAAATGAAAGAAAAAAAGAAAGAAAAAAAAACTGGGAAGAAGAGTCGTTTTTCCCACTGAACTCGTTGGCCTTATGCTTGTGGGTCTGACCCTGATTAAGAAAATCTCAATGTCCTGCTAGGAGGTTTATTGTGAAGTTTGGCAGAACGCACTTCCGATTGAATTTTTTTTTATTATTTGTAATCAGAAAGTGGTTTTGAACAGCTCCCATCACCCACCCCACCACCAACTACCCTGACCTCAAGTGTGCACGTGTGCACACACATGAACACACACACACACACATCCAAGACCTTGCCTTTGAAGAGACTCCATATGCTTACATCCAATTCACCTTGGAATAATCTATTCTCCTCCATGGGGCTGGTTTCCCCAAGGCAATTGCATATAAATAGCAAACAGATTGTTTTCATGCAGTTACATGGAAAGTTAGACTGCATGAACTTTGTTATGCATGGAACCCAGAAGAGCGGGTGTTACGTGATATCACTCGATTATTTTTACTTTTTTTCTAGCTAAAAATAATATCCTCTATTTTCTAAGCTTCTTCCCCCACTCACAGGTTTTATTCCTCTATGGGAGGCCTTAGGTTAAAACAAAAAGTCATGCTAGTGGTTAAGGCATCAAGTATGTATGCTTCTGAAATAAAAGCTGGCAGTGGCACCAAGGGATTTTATAAAACCCAGCTGAGTCCTTCCAGAAACTTCCATGCAAAATTTATGGGAAATGGAAACACATAACCTGAGTAATTGTAACCAATGCAAAATGTGTGTTTTAGATGCCAGTAGACACACAAATGTTCTTCTGGGAAATAAAAAAAAGTAGTGGGGGTTTGGGGATTTGGGGGCAAGTGAGGATTGTTAATGGGTAAGAAAACAATAGAAAAGATGAATAAAACCTAGTATTTGATAGCACAACAGGGTAACTACAGTCAATAATAATTGTATATGTTATAAGTTAAAGAGTATAATTGGATTGCTTGTAACACAAAGGGTAAGTGCTTGAGGGGATGATACCCCATTTTTCATGATGTGGTTATTATTTACTGCATTCCTACATTAAAATATCTCATGTACCCCATACATATACACACCAACTATGTACTCACAAAATAATTTTTAAAAAAATAAAAAGAATTTAGCAGCTTAGTGCATTTTTTGTTGTTTCACCCCCATTTTCCAGTAACTACTTTATGATTTCATTAATTATTAATTTGGCCAGAGACATTGGAAATAGGGCATTTTACACATTTAAAATGTACTTATCTTTATTTATAAATCTGTTTATTTTCTCCTGTCTTTGGTGACAGGAGAAAATAAAACCTAAGACTTTTAAAGGATCATAAAGAGCATAAAAGTGACTCAAACAAAAAAAGGTCAATAAAAGAGTGAAATCAATGTTCACCGCTCAACCTCCCGTGGATGGTGAGTTCTGTCCTCGTGTTGAGTTTAGGACATCAATGACTGAGGCAAAACACCACATCAAGTTATAATCTCCTGACGACTGAATGATCAAATTGTCTCTCTTGTTAGGAAGTTTGTTACACAGTTACAACTGACTTTTTATTCTGTTGGCGATGTGAAAAGTTGACAAGTTTTTGTGAAATGACTCCATTCTACCACACAAAGCAGTTCCTGGGTTTGTTCTTCCTCTCTTAATCTTTCTCATTCTATACTTCTCACTAAGATTTTTCCCCATAGAAATCTAATTTTCTTTTCTGCAGTTTCAGATGCTGCTCCACTGACAACCATGGGGCTCATTTAAATATTTAGCAAGATTATAAAATGAAATGGGGTGAAGCTGACAAATCACACCCAGGAGAGGGCGGGGAGAGTCGTTAAGTCAAACACAGACGTTAATAGGAACCCCTAATCTCTTAGCCTGTCCCCTTTTGTGGAAGGAGGTCAGAAGCACTTGGTCCCCAGGCCGGCTCCCTAAAGACTCTTAACAAGCAGATGTTACTGTAACATGCTCAGGGAATCAAGCATAAATATGACCCTTGACCCCGGTTGTCAGCTGATCCACTGAGTCTCTTAGAAATATACTCTTAACTTTTCTAAACTCCCACTCTTTCCCACCATCCCCCTCCGTTTCGCCCGGCGCCTCCGCCTCGGGTTTCTATGCCTGTGTCTCCAGCTTTGGAGCTTGCACAGTTGCTCTCAGTGTGACCTTTCTCTTCACAGAGGTCAAAGGCCCGAGACCCTAGGCTGGCCTCTTTTCTTGCTAAAGGCCAGCTGATGAATCATTCCCAACTTGAAGGGAACAGAGGAGAAGGGAGGGCTCTGAAGGCCTTTTGAGAGAAACAACTGTGGCCTATACATCAGCACTGATGCTGTTCTGACACTTTGAAAACTCACGTTCCTCTCTGGGAACCACAGGGAGAAGGGAAGAGAGGAGGGACAGAAAGGTCTCCCTCACTAGGATAGAATAAATAGGAACAAGAACACAACACCAGGCTTCGGGGTTGTGTAATGGGACACTGTTCAGGAGAGAGAGAGAGAAATATAAACACTCTTCAACACACACGTACGAATCCTCCCTTAGGTTTCAGTTTTCAGGGTCACATTTCACAAAACAAGAAAAAAAGTGTGTGCTTTTCCCCCACTGCAATGAGTTTGGTCAAGAGGATTTTGATGAACTATTCAGAATTTTCTTGCTTGTAATTTAGAAAAATATTGGTGATTTAATTTTTAATAATAAATTATGTATATATGTCTCCTTTAAGACAAACCCATCATGGTAGAATGGGGACGGAGGGGTTGGAAGCTATGACAGCTGCCTAAATTACCTAGAAGGCTTGAGATTCTTTATTGCTCTATTTTTTCTATATATAATGTTCTGGTTTTGACTTTTAATCTGTGAGTGGTGGGTATTTTACCTGCAGTCATTTAGAGAGTCTTCAGTAGCCTACAGGAAAGGTAGGGTTTGAGAATGTCACTGTGGGGCACAAAATGCAGGAGGCTGATTCAGCTGACTGTTCAGGCCCCAGCGTGAAAGAAGCCCTAAGACAGTTCCCACGAGGAGCCCCAAGGGAGCCACACTGCTTGGACCAGGACCTGATTTTGCAGTTTGGAATCCACCAATTTACAGGTCGTCCAAGAATTAATTGTTGTGATTCTCTTTCACCTTTTCTTTCTTTTTCTTTCTCTTTCTTTTTCTTTTTTTCTTTCTTTCCTTCCTTCCTTCTTTCTTTCTCTCTCTCTTTTTCTTTCTTTCTTTCTTTCCTTCCTTCTTTCTTTTTTCTTTCTTTCCTTCCTCCCTTGTTTTTCTTTTTCTCTTTCTTTCTTTTTCTTTCTTTTCTTTCTTTCTCTTTCTCTCTCTTTTTCTTTCTGTCTCCTCTCTTTCTTTCTTTCCTTCCTTCCTTCTTTCTCTTTCTTTCTTTCCTTCCTTCCTTCTTTCTTTCTTTTCTTTCTTTCTCTTTCTTTTTCTTTCTTTTCTTTCTCTTTTTCTTTTTCTTTCTGTCTCTCTCTCTCTCTTTCTTTTTTTTTTTTTGTTTGTTTGTTTGTTTTGCTCTTATTGCCCAGGCTGGAGTGCAATGGCGCGATCTTGGTTCACCACAACCTCCACCTCCCGGGTTCAAATGATTCTCCTACCTCAGCCTGCCTAGTAGCTGGAATTACAGGCATGTGCCACCACACCCAGCTAATTTTGTATTTTTAGTAGAGACAGGGTTTCTCGATGTTGGTGAGGCTGGTCTCTAACTCCTGACCTCAGGTGATCCACCTGCCTCGGCCTCCCAAAGTGCTTGCATTACAGGTGTGAGCCACTGCGCCCGGCTTCTCTTTCACCATTTTAAGAAATTCAAAGAAGAACTAAGGAACAAGCTATGCTCTCCAACATAGTGCGGGTTTGGAAAAAAATTTGATTCATATCGTCTTATCAAAACTTTTTAAAAATGGCCTTATATTAGGCTTTGCTAACGCCACATTTCTTGCATTAAATTGACTTTAGTAAGATACAAAATTAAAAATAGGAATATTTCCATTTGCTTAGAAAATATGTTAATGAATAGAAATGCTCTCGCTTCCTTGCTTTTTCTTTCCTTCCCTTTTTGCTCCTTATCTGTTTCGTTTTGTTGTTGTTGTTGGCGGCGAGGAAGTGATCAGGGCATTGACTAAATACTGGAGATACTGTTTTCTAGATAATAGTATTAAAAAATATAAGCTGAGAGAATAAAGAAATTATTTATGCTCAGAATCTCTATTACTGGACAAGGCAGCCCAGAGATGATACCTCTTCCTAATTTCTATTATGACTTTCCATTGCTTTCATCTAGGTTCTTAAGATTTTATGTACAAACACCCAAACACTGAAGGTTATGTTCCCTTGCTTCTTCGATGGCATCTAACTCAGGACTTCTCAAACTTGGCTGATCATCAGAAACACTTGCTCATTTCTAAAACATGCATATTTCTGGGCCAGATCCCATTTTTATTAAATAATTATATCTGTGGATTTTTCTAGAGAATTTATGTACTTTATACATTATCCAGGTGATTCTTTTTGAAATTAATTTATTAATTATACTAAAGCACACATTAATGGTGTGCAAAAAGAGGTTTTGAAATATGTATACCTGTGGAATGGCTAAACCTAGGTAATTAACATATGTGTTATCTTACTTGCTTATTTTTTGTGGTGAGAACACTTAAAATTTACTGTTTTTCAAAAAACGCAATATGGTACATTATTAACTACAGTCAACATGCTCTACAATATATCTCTTGAAATTATTCCTCCTATCTAACTGAAATTTTGTGTCTTTCTGACCAAATATATCTCCAATCTCCTACCACCCCCATCCCAGCCCCTGGTAATCACCATTCTATTCTCTGCTTCGAAGTTACACTTTTTTAGATTCCACCTAGAAGTGAGATCATGCAGTATTTGTCTTTCTTTGCCTGGCTTATTTCCCTTAACACAATGTCCTCCAGTTCCATCCATGTTGTTGACAATGACAGGATTTTATTTTTTCTCATGACTGGGTAACATTTCACTGTGGTTATATGTCACATTTTCTTCAACCGTTCATTCACTGATAGATACTTACGTTGATTCCATGATCTTGGCTGTTGTAAATACTGCTGCAATAAACATGGGGTGCTGATATCTCTTCAACATACTGATTTCATATCCTTTAGATATTTACCCAGAAGTAAGATTATTGGATCATACAGTAGTTCTACTTTTAATTTTTTCAGAACCTCCAAACCGTTTTCTGTAATGACTATAGTAACTTACATTCCCACCAACAGTATATAAGTGTTCCCTTTTCTCCACATTCTCTCCAACACTTGTTATCTTTCATCTTTTTTATAATAGCTATTTGAACTGGAATGAGGTGGCGTCTCACCCTGCTTTTAATGTGCACTTAGATAATCTGATGAGTAGTGATGTTGAGCACTTTTTCTTGTATTTGTTGATCATGAGTATGTCTTCTTTTGAGAAATACCCATTCAACCTCTTTGCCTATTTTTAAGCAGGTGATTTGTGATCAGCTAAGTTTGAAATCCACTCCTCTAAATAACTGCACAGAGATCAATTGCATAACCATGACTGTAGGAAGATGTATTATTTTGCTGGGTACAGGCTGTATATAAGTCATCCCCTTATATTTGGCTGAACTTTCCAGAGCCACAATGTGAGGACTTAATTACCATTTAAGATTTCCACAATTAGCTCACATCCTTAGGATTTCTATTCTAACTCTAAGAGACTTCCTTATTTCAGTGTATTAAAATAAAGATCTGATCATGTCTCCATCTTTTTTATCTTAAAGAGCCGATTGAAGCCAACTTGGCATTCTTCTTCATATCACCTCTGGAGAAGAAAAGTCTCAGGAAATAAAGTTTCTCCAGCCTAATAAGCCATTTGTTGCCATCAAAATGGTTTCACTATTAGATCACTGAAAGGACAATGGCTTTAGGTCAGTTTACTAAAAATGCATTCCCTGAAGGATAGTGTCCCTAGTTTTCCCAAATGTACCACTTTAACACAAACTTTTTACAGGTTAATGTCATTAGCGGTACTCCCCACTGCACTTGGCTAAAAACGTTACTATGTTACTGTTAGGATTTTTTTTTTCCTCTTAGGCAAATGGCCTCTCATTCAGGTGTCCTAACCTGAGCTTCAACTCTCCATCAGCACATGTCAAAACTTTTCCTCCTTCTCCCTCAGGTTCATTTTATTTTGTCTTATCTGTACCCACTATTTCTTTAGTATCAACTAACTTGGACACAACTCTGATCCTGTTATTACTGATCCCATCAGGAAGACACAGGACTATCACACTTTAAACTGTATATTTAACTACGTCGCATAGCTGTTCACTTATTATTAAGTAAATCATAATCACACAGTGCCCTAATTTACTTATTTACCTAATAAGACTTTTAAATACCTATATACCTGAGTTTTCATTCTACTAGAGTAGATTAGGCAGTATGCAGATAAATATACAAGATATTAAATAGAATGTGTCATGACATAGGTGCTAACCAACTTTTGTGGGAGCTTGGAGGATTATTTGACTTATGTCTTAAGTAAGATGTAAGAATTGAACCCACAAGGATGTGTATAATATCCCAGTAGAACAGATAAAACAAAAGCGTGGAGGCACAAAAGGTGTTCAGGGAAAGTCAGCAAGTTTGAGTTGCCAGTCACATGAAAGAGCACAAGGCAGAGGCAAGGAAGACATGATTAAAATGTAATAATCAACTAGAACTGAAGAAAGGTGAAACAAAAATACAGGATCAGATGTCTCTTGATCTATTATGAGGAAGGTATCCTCACTGACTCCTACTAATGTACCAGAATCATTTATTTTTTTTTAGGGTGAGGAACATCCCAGGCTCACAGCTTGAGGGCCAAATTATTATTTATAACTTCCAAAATCAGTTCAAGTCCTTACACAGAATTTTTGATCCTCTAACCCATAACATTCCCCACTGATGAGTTAGAAGACTAAAGATACAATCATGGCTTCCTTGCTTCTTGATATTAGAGACTCAATTCACAGAGCGTACCCTGCCATGTCTTTAGGCTCAATCTCCACATTAAGCAAGCCACACTGACTTTCTATAATGCCCTCCTGCGGCAAATGCCAGCAATGACAATCTGCTTGGCTATTACAATTTTTATTAATTCAATAACTGGGCATTATGTTTAATATGCCATTTTATAAGTATGGTTAGAGTTACTCAAACCTTAGAAGCTGAAACTGAGTATAATACTGATACTACATGAATTTTGGCTTAAAAAACTGATGACCCATATTAACAAATTTAAAAGAACAGAAATCATACAAACTATGTTCTCAGGCCACAATGTAATTAAAGTAGAATTAATAACAATAGAAATCAGTATTTGAGAATTAAACCACAAAACCAAATCCATAGATTTTTAGAAACCCATATGTCAAAAGAAGTCATGAGAAACTAAAACATTATTTAAACTATATGAAAATAAAAATACAACTTACCAAAGTTTGTGTATAGTAAAAGCAATGCATGAGGCAAATTTATAGTATTCAATGTATTAGGAATGTATTAGAAAAGGAGAAATACTAAAAGTTAATAACCTCAGCTTCCATTTTAGGAAACTAGAGAAAGAAGAACAATTTAAGCAAGTAGAAGAAAAGAAATAAAACTTGTAACAAAAATCAGTGAAAATGAAAACAGAAAAAGAAAAAGAAAATTAACTGAATAAAGAACTGGTTGGTTCTTTGAAAAGTTTGATAAATAGAGAAACCTCTAGCCAAGCTAACCAAGAACTAAAGAGAAATGACACTAATTACCAATATCAGAAATGAAAGAGGTATTATTACTACATATTATATGGGCATTAAAAGATTAACAAAGGAACAGAATGAGAACATCTATGCTCACAAATTTCCTACCCTAGATGACAAGACTGATTCACTGAAAGGCACAAACTGTGAAATCTCCTACTAAAAGAAATAAATGGAGTGTGTGAATATCTCTACATTTATTAAATAAATTCAATCAATAATTAATAGCCTCAAAGAAAAAGCACCAGGCCCAAATGGTTTTACTGGCAAATTCTATATAATATTCAAAAGGAAACAATACCAATTATCCGCAATCCTTTCTAGAAAATAGAAGCAGAAGGAATACCTCCCGACTTTATTCTTTAATGTCAGCATTACCCTAACTAGGTAATTACCATCATCCTAATCCCAAAACCAGAGAAAGACAGTACAGCATAGGAAAATGACAGACCAATATCTCTCATGGAAATGGGCACAAATCAAGAATATATAAGCAAATTAAATTCAACAATGTATAAAATAATTATACATTGCAACCAAATGGGATGTATTTTAGGAATGCAAGGCTGTATTGAATGATTTTCAACATTTGAAAATCAATTCATGACATAAATAGGCTAAGGAAGGAAAATCATATGATCATATAAATTTATGCAGAGGAAGCATTTGACAAAATCCAACAAAATTCATGATAAAAACTCACAGTAAACAGGATTAGCAAAACTAATTTGATTTTTTAAATCTACAAAAATTCAGAACTAACATCATACATAGTGGTAAAAGACTAGACATTTTCCCCTTTGAGATCAGGAGCATGGCAAGTATGTCCTCTCTCACCCCTCCTGTTCAATATTATACTGGAAGTCCTAGCTACAGCAATAAGAAAAAGGGGGAAAAAAAGAACAGTATAAAAATAGGAAAGGAATTGGGTGTAGTGGCTCACGCTTGTAATCCCAACACTTTCGGAGTCCAAAGCAGAAGATCACTTGAGACCAGGAGTTTGAGACCAGCCTTGACAGCATAGCAAAATTTTATCTCTACCAAAATTTTACAAAGGAAAACTTAGCTGGGCATGGTGGCATGTACCTCTTATCCTAGCATCTCAGGAGGCTGAGGCAGAATAATACCTTGAGCTCAAGAGTTCAAGACTGCAATGAGCTATGAACACACGCTGGGTGACAGAACGAGACTCTGTCTCAAAAAAAAAAAACTTAGTAATATTAAAAATAAATAAATAAACAAGTAAAACTGTCTTATTTGCAGATGACAGGATCATCTATGTGGAAAAATCCAACAAATCTAAAAAAAAAAATCCATAAAACACTATCTCTTGGAGCTAATAAGCAAGAATAGCAAGATCGTAAGATCTAAGATCAATATATAAGACTAAATTTCTTTTCTACATATCAACATTGAACAATTGGAATTTGAAATTTATAAAAAATATAATTTACAATAGCACAAATACAAAAAAGCAATCAAGACTAACAAAATATGATACAAGGCCCATATATAGAGAAGAGCAAAACACGATGAAAGAAATCAAAGAACATCTAAGTATGTGGATAGATAATACATATTCATGGATTGGAAGATTTAATTCAATAATATAAATTCTTCCCAATTTGATTTAGGGATTCTACACAATCTCAATCAACAATCAAAATTCCATCAGACTATTACAGAAATATTGAGAACCTGCATCTAAACTTTCTGTGAAAAGGCAAAAGACCTGCAACAACCAACATAATTCTGAAAAAGAAAAACAAAGTTGGATGACTCACACTATCAGATTTCAAAACTTAATAAATGCTGCTGCAGTATTCAAGCAAGCATGGTATTGGTGAAAGAACAGATGCATAGAGCAATGAAAACAGAATAGACAGCCCAGAAAGAGACCCATACAAATATGGTCAACTGACTTTTGACAATGCTGCAAAGGAAATTCAATGGAGAAAGGAAAATTTTTTCAACAAATGATGTGGGAATTAGATAGATACAAATTTCCTATGCAAAAAATTCCAAATAATGTACGTAAGAATCCACACTCAAAGAGATGGATTCTAACTCTTCACACCTTTAGTGTGTGAACTATTGTGCTATGCACAATATTGTCTTCCAAAGAGTGAGAAAAATAGAAAGAGGAGAAAAATAACAATTATACAGAGGAAAAACCTGACAAGTCATGTTGATAGCAGATATCTTTGATATGACATGATGAGAATGGCACTTCATCTCTGTAGTATTCCTTCTAAAAACTATAATTCCAGTGGAATAGTAAGAATAACATCAGGCAAATCTCAGTTGAGGAGAATTCTACAAAGTATCTGACAAGTACTTCTCAAATCTTCGAGGTCATTGAAAAGAGGAAAATCTAAGAAAATGTCCCAGCCATGAAAAGCCTAGAGACATGACAATTAAATGTAATATGGTATAAGAAGGACATTGGATAAAATCTGATAATGTATACTTTTTCTTAATAATAATGTATCAATATTGGCTTATTAATTGTGACAAGTGTATCACACTAATGTAAAACATGAATAACAGGGGAAAATAGAGGCAGGATACATGGGAGCTCTCTGCACTATCTTTTGAATTTTTCTATAGATCTAAAACTATTCTCAATTAATATTACGCTCACTCTCTCCAAGCAAAGGATAAACTATTGTGTGTTTTTCCCTTGGCCAGTCTCATGAAGCACTCACTTTATTTTTTTCCACTTAATAAAGAAGTAAATGCATAACTAACTTAAAAGAAAAATTTTAATTAAAAAATAATTTAACTGACGACCAAATACTTAACCATGGTGACCCTACCAGATAGTGTTCATGAGAAGGCTTCCTGGACACTAAGCTGATTTCCTAAATAATATCCTTCACACACAAATAAAAAAGCAAGCTATACTTTTCTATTGTTAACCAGAAAAAGTGCCTAAAACCTTTCCTTTTCAACATATTCCATTTTCTCATTAAAACAGAAAAAGCAGGACATTAGCAGTTAAAAACGCCACCTTTATTAATAAAACATTCATTTTTTAAAAAAATAGAGAAAAAGGAGAAATGCTATGGATACCTAAGGAAGCATGATTGCAATATATTGAGTCCTTTTTGTGCCTATTAAGGCTTTTCAGGATAAACACAGTATAATCAGGGGCTCTACTAGAGTTGAGAAATTTTCATCAATGCAGTTTGGTCATTTAAAATTTTTCCATTCACTAATAACTTAGAAAGTACATTCATTCATTTAACACAGTTTCCTGAACACTCATTTTAATGCAGACAGGCAGTTTGAGCTTGGTATTAAAAAATAGAACCAGACAAAATTATGGATCTCCAATAGTTCCTAAGTGGAATGCACTGTAATGAGTAGGATAAAGTGCACAGAAAAGGGGATCCAACGCAGGTCCCAAGGAACTGATGAGCTTGGAGGATGAGGGGCACTTTGGTCACCGGGAGGCCAAGAAAGACGTGGGAATAAAAGATGAGGGCCCTTGAGCTGCATTATATCACCCAGACCTCACCTGGTACTCAATTTCCTCTTTAGAGGTAATGTACAAACTATGTGCCGACTAATCCCCCAGGGAAGTTGTCTAGTTTTTCCTCTTCTGGTATGGGTTATAATTATAACATACAGGATGACTTACAGGAGTGCCGGGTCCTCAGGCAGCAGTGATGATCAAACATATACATTTATTTGAATAATTATTTGCTTCTTTTTCTATACGTGTAACTTTGGAATGAAAACTGTATATACACTATCTGTTCAAGACACTTTCTGAAGATATTGTAGTGATTATGAATTATGAATTTGTTTAAATAAAACTGTTCTTGGAGGAAATATGTAAAAAGTTGTTGAAACATTTATATCTTCTGACATAATAGTTGTGCTTTTGAGAAAGTTTCCTCTTTAATTAAAGGTAAATTAAAGTTGAAAACAACTGGAAAACTTCATCATAGTAAAAATACTTTTTTGTCAAAAACCTAGATTTTCATTTCAAAAAGATTAGCTAATTACATTATTATGCTATGTCAAGAAGCTGTCAAAAATCTTGTTTTCACAGATTATTAAAGACATTATAATACATCATGCTATGATATTAAATGGAATCAAAGGAGTCATGTAAAACTATAATTTCAAATATATACACAAATATATAGCAGAAAATGCAACAAAAGGAAATGCATCAATAATTGAACAAGAGTTCTACGAGTAGTAAGCAAACATTTTTAGCTCATATTTTCATAATGTGTATTTTCTAAACCTTTTCCCTTGAACAGGAACTACTTTACATTTTCCCCATAATAAAAATGTTACATATGTCTATAAAACATCATATTTGATATGCTTTTTAAAATTGATTTACTCAAAAGAAAGCAATTATTCAAAATCAGGACTCTTGTATGTAGCTGCTGTAAATCAAAAATTATTTTTTCAATCCACAATGAAGAGACTGATGTTTGGGGAAAGTGCCATCTTTGTTTTTAAAAACATGATTCCTGGTCTATTTCTTGGGTAGGGTGGCCATGAGGACCAAATGTGCTGGTGTGTCAAGTACTGTTATTGTTGTTAATATTATTATTCACTTGATGTAAGTGGAGACTAATATATTTATCCATGGGTTCTTAGCATAACCAGAGTTACATATTTATTATGTGTTCTGATTAAATTACTCACCTTACTTTGATTAATTTCAAGATATTTTCCTATATTCATAGGAAGTATTAAAAAGAGTTATCCTGTTCAGTTTTTCATTAGTTTCTTGTCAGGTTGCAACACAGACTTTAATGAATGGAAGGGAAATAAAAAAAAATGAAGAAGATCTTTTTTCACAAGTATTCAGTCCTGACAAAATCGCTTTGGAAAATGAGTTTCACTTTGTCATTGCCCTTCCTTCTTCAATCTCACACCCAGGCCGAAGTTCACACACTTTCTTTGATCTGCTCTTTTGAGCAAATCTGAAGTGAGATGCTATTTAGAAGAAACTAATGAGAAGGTATTTGTCAGTGAGAACAATTGCCAGGCATGGCAACTCCACCTGCCAGCAAGACTCTTGCTAAGCTGGGGGCCCTCAGGGAAGCCGAAACACAAGCTTTGACCCTCTCTGAAGAACTGGCCTTAAGGTGACTGGACCCAGCCCATTGAACACAGCTGCTTAGACTGTCACATCAGGGTTAAGAACAGAACTGGAAACAACTTTTCAACCTGATTATGACCTAAATAATACTCATTAATAATTGTCCCCATTCTTCCAGCACATACTTTCACATGGACATCTATTTTATATGTCAAAGGCTAGATTATCTCCATCTTCCAGTTAAGGTGTTTAAACTGGTATGACTCGAAGAGGACAGGACGTGGGATTCAAATCTAGACTTGCTGACCCCAAAACCCTTAATATTTCCTATAGTTGAATTTTCTATTGAAGGAGTCTTCCACATAGGAGGGATGGTTATGGACAAGCATCTCCCATTCTCCACCATTTAGCAAACCCCATTCATATGAGAGAAGGAAAATGAACTGGTGCTGGGTGAGGGACCAGGAAAAGGAGGTGCAGATGGTTTATGCAGGAGTCATACTGTGTCACGAGGTCAAAAGTTAAGAATGTGGCTTTTGTTATTTATGTTGTGGGATCCAAAGCGTTTCTTGAATTGTGCTTGGGAAAAATGAGAATTTCCAAGCTGTATTTTAGGGAGCTGTGTGGAGAGCTGCCTACAGAAGGGCAAGACTTGAGAATTCAATTAAGAGATTAGTGTGAACAGAAGAGCATCAGGTGGATCTGAACCTGAGCCTTCTCGGTGGGAAGGAAAAGCATATGACAAACGAAAACAAATGACCAAGGTTTATTGATAGGAATCAGTGACAAAGTAAACACTGAGGCTAAGAGATATATAGAAAAGAAAGAGGATCTCTGAGACTCCATACCCATGAAACTGAAATGAGGGTAAAAATACTATAAGAAAACTAGGAGGTGGGGTGAGGAGGTTATAATTCTGTTTTGGACTGGAATTGATTCCTTTAAAAAATTATAACTAAGAACTGGCCCTCTAAAGATCAGTGAGCTGTAGAATGCTTTGATATAATTTTGGTCATAATCTCTAATGATACTGATTTACAGGGAAAAATATAACATCAGTCATTACAAGAAAGCCTGACTCTGGCTAAGAATAGTTCTAGGCTCATGATGGGATTAAGCAAGAAAGGAACTCTATGTACTTAAAAGTTGGATATAGCTTCATGGGAAATGACAAACACTTGGGAAAGGACAGAGAGAAGCAAATCCTTGGGGATGCAAAATAGGATCAATGAAATTCTTTGGTTCTACATTTTTAAAACCCCATGAGGAAAGTGGGTAGACAGCTGGTTCTTTAAAACATAGGCTGAACTTTTTTTCATCTAAGAAAGAAAAACTATACTTGCCCTTAATTTACCCTCAATAAATCCATAAATAGAATCATGCATGCCTTTTACTAAAGTACAACTGTCAATAAACATGTTAACATTTAAATTTCCATTTCTTGAATATCATTCTAATACAATAAACACATCAATCTAGTCAATGTTGTTTCCTGATCTGAACAAAAAGTATAAGAAAATAACGTGGATAGTAAAGATTTTTTTGAATAATAATAAAGTGTGTGCATTTGATAACTGCATGCCTATGTATATACTTTTCTTAAGAAGGATCACAGAAATACATTAAGAAATGTTGCAGTCAGTCACTATGATTTATTGAAAAGTTTCCCTTTACAGCTTGTATTGACTAACACTATCAGAGCATATGATATGCCTCTCTTTCAAAAGTGTTAACTCATGAAGTTTGTGTGGAGTTCAAAACAGTATTTCTCCTTTGATCAGCCCTACAAAATCCAACCCAAAAAGAAGCTCATAAAATAAATGAAAACATGAAGACAAGGACTGTATCTTCTTAGAGTAGGCAAAGATCTGCATAAGTAATGCATACACCTAAAAAGTGTTAGGAGGTTCTAATTCTATATTTTTGGTTAATATCTACATTCATGGGTTGCTATATTAACACACGCATCACTTCAACATACAACCGTTTGCCCCATGCTGATGCATGGAGGTTGTTCTTTGAAGAGTTTCTCTGTAGTCAGTTGACAACCCAGTCTCCCTTTCTCACGGAATTTGTAATATTCAGACACTCATACTTAGGAGTTTATCCAAATTCATTAACTCAATAAAAACATTCAAGAAACATTTATTGGGTACACATTATATAAAGCACACTGGATGAATTAATCTCTTAGATGACTTATACCTGCTTGTTTAACCAAATAAACTCACTGGAGGGATGTGTAAAAATGGTTCAACTAATTCCGCGTGTAGAAACAGTAATGTAATCAATACCTGAAGAGACCTAGATGTTTAATGTCAGTAGACATAATGATCTGGGAGTTTTACACAATGATCAAACAAGTTTTAGATTATTTGTTGTCATGAAGGCAACTGATAATGTGTCAATGAATCAACTGTACAGTGGGAACCTGGAAAGGAGACATTTGTTCCTGAATATGCCAGTGGTGACTGGGTGGGCATACATTAGTTCTTCTCTGATTTGACACGTCCCCCAACAAACTGTAAAACGTACTCTGATAGGCTTACACTGCCATATGGCAGGAGAAAACTGCCTCTCGTATTAAATGTCACCAACACGGAATATTTCTGTTATATAATAAAATATGCAAAGTATATAATGCATATTCTTTAGGTGAGATTATAATCACTGCCGGATTCATATTGTTTCTATCAGTTTCTAGAGTTCCTTTCTATTATAGTTGTTACTTTCACTCATTGCTTCAAATATTTATTGGCATATACCATGTTCCAGGCATTATATTAGAAGCTGGGGGCAGGAAGATGAGAAGAACATGGGAGAAAATGATACATTAGCAAATATCTCACCTAGTACGCTCCTTACTATACTGGAGATTCACACTTGATATTCTGGGAATGCAACTATGAGAAAGACAGCGTTAAGGAGAGCCAGAATGACTTCGTGTTTCCAATCGTCCTTTTAGAGGTAAGACTTGGTGAGCCCAGAATCAATCACTGGGTTGGAGTGTGGGAGAGAGGGAAGTGGACTGGCCCATCCTAGGTTCTTAACCAGATAGTCAGTGACCAACCTAGCTCTAGAATGTAGGCTTCAAACCCAAGTGTCATCATTTCAGGTTCAGTGTTATTGCTACTAAAAAACCATACAGATCCAAACTACTTAGAGTGAGCAGTGTTTTATCTATCAGATTTTGCATTTATCCAAAGTCTTCAGTGCCTTAATCCAAAATTATGTGAGAGCTTTGTCTTTCAATCTTCCTCCTGGGGTTTGTCTTTGTCTTTCAATCTTCCTTCTGGGGTTTTGCACAGGACCAGTCATAAAATATATGCTCAAAAAATGTTTGTTGAATGAATAAATGAATGAACTGCGTAATGCAGGCACAAAGCAAGTCTGTGAGAAGGTAGGTAGGTATGAAGATAGCGGAGAGGGAGATGTGGTTACGGTTGTCGTGCTTAGAAACACTTTTCAATCTCTCAAATTTTTCCAGAAATCCATATCTAAAGCTGATCCTTCAAGAGGTGTTATAATATTCACTTTTATTACTGTCACTCAAGATTATAATACACTCGTTGATTTTAACCCTTGTTATCTGCCAATCCCCATTTCCCAACTAAAAAATTAGAAGCTCTTCTCTTGTCAACTAGATATTAAATTCTAAACAATCACAAATAATACAGAAAAGTCAGCACCAAAATTCTGGCAGAAGCAAAACCACTGGTACCTACAGCTAAAAATGTGAAAGATAGGGCCAAAATCTAGATGATGATGATGACGAAGATGATGATGATGATGATGATGATGATGATGATGATGATATTATAAATAAAAAGACACTTTGACTCAAGTTTTTTCACTTTAGATCATGATATTTTGGGGTAGTCAAAACAACTGACACTTGCATACTTTTAGTATTATTTCAAAGAAGTCACAATTTCATGTCCTCATTTTCTTCTCCTTAACCCATTTGAAGAAATGATAAAACAACACCATCAAACTAAGTCCCGCAAAGAAAAAAAAACTTCTCTGGGAATCTTGTGCCTTCCTCATTTAGTCATGTTACAGATTGGGAATTGTCACTTGAAAAAACAGTAACTTTTTTTTTAGTATTGGTGTTATTGGCAATATATTTCATATCAATTAAAATTTTGATTGGTCTAAGTTTTTATTTTTTTAAAATTTTAAAAATAGCTGCTGAAGAGAACGTTACTTTTCCTCACTCTTCACATATTTGTGTTGTCAATAATATTCTTCCTTTTTATTTACTTAAAACACTTTGATAATGTTTCTAAAGACGCACAATATTTTTCTTATCCCTTACTCCTATGGGGAAACATGTTTAAATCTTCCAGCTAGAATTTCTTCAGCTCACTTAAAGAATTTCACCTTCTCAACACCCTTGCATTTAACTTAATGTTTTTCAGATTTCCAAACTCTATTACCACAATGCTATACAAATAACCATAGTTCAAGGGTCAGCAAAAGGGACCTATTAGGTGAAAGGTTGAATAACTTGAAAGAAAAGAGTTCCAATTTTAAGAAAGAGGTTTAGCAGGTTTGGGACCTCTTGTGTGCTGGCGCGACTCCATCCATTCTTATTTTGGCTCTCCATCACTAAGGTGTTAACTTTTTAGCTGCTGGGGATTTGAGCTTTATTAGGTTTTCTCCTTCCATTTACTTATTAAGCTTGAGGAAACATTACTTCATGGCCAAAACAATATTTCAGATTTTATGAATCAGCTTGCCTTAGGGAAAGATTGAGTTAAATTTGTACCCTAAATTTGTTCTCATATTTATAACCAAATTAATTCTGTAAACATGATTCTTAAAAAACACATTGAATCGTTCAGGTTAAAACAGATGTTACTCATCCATATTTAAAAAAAAAAAGCCCTCAAATGTGATTCTTTATGTGTCTACTCAGAAGGAGAAGGAAAGAAAACAAGCATATTCAAGGCAAACGAAGGACAGAGCCACAGTTTAATCACCACATTTAGATTCTTCTCTTCCTCTTCCTTCTTTCTTTGAGATTTCGACAAAGAGGAGAAAAAAATTTTGCTGAATCTGTTTTTAAAGACTAGATGTCTT
The DNA here is from genome assembly GCF_000001405.40 of Homo sapiens. Taxonomy (NCBI): domain Eukaryota; kingdom Metazoa; phylum Chordata; class Mammalia; order Primates; family Hominidae; genus Homo; species Homo sapiens. Next base: position 95,861,903 of record NC_000015.10, read on the forward strand.
GCCCATGACTTTGAATGGAAAATAACTAGCTAACAAGTTGTGAGAGAGCCACAGACTAAAAAGAGAAACAGGCGCGCAATAGGTTTTTACAGAGATGAGAACATGGAAATTTGGCACCGATAAATGTATTCACCCATTCATTCATCTATCTATTCATTAGGCAGTTATTAAGTGAGGCCCCCAAATGTGTAAGACACAGTGCCAGCTACAATAGGTGACAGGCTCTAAAGAAAGAGTCCTAGGAGATTGGGTGAATATAAGGTGAGAATTTATTTTACATGGTTGAGTCAAATGGACCCTAAAGTACAAAAAAAGTTTCTTATTTTTAGTTGTATAAACCAGGGCTGTAACAAGTATTACAGGACCACTATCTAGGTTAAAAAGAATGTAGAATGAGATTACCCAGGTTAAACCATGGCCTAGATATGTACATCCTGGGTTTGCACCCCCAGACGGTCATCAGCTCTGCCAATTTCTACTTGGGGTTAGAACAGGAGCAGCCAGTGGCCCCTCCGCAGCCTCACGATAATCCATGGGGCCATGACTAAGTTAGACAATTAAGTCATTGTCACCACTGGGTACATTTTCATAATACAGTTTAACAGTAGAGAAAGTTTCTCTCCACCCTACAAGCTGAATTTTCCTTTGACTAACCCCAGAGATACAGGATGGTGACACTGGGGTTCATTTTGTCCATCCAGAAGACACCTATTGTGTTCAGACTTTTAGAGAACATTCTGAGTTACACTTTACATGCCCTTTCTCACTTTATTTTCTCACTGTATTACAAATCCTTGTGTTTATGTCTGTCTCCCCTTTATAAGTACCACTTAGGTATATGGGCTTCTTTAGGGCAAATACACTGTCTTACTGCTTTTTTGATCCTTGAATCTTAGCACACAATAGTGAGAGAAGTTCAATATCTTTAACTGTATATGCCCCAGAGGAAGTAGACAGCAACTTTATAAAAGGTTTGGCCGTCTAAGGTAACTTCAGAATGGAGCGTGCCTTATGAGTATCAGACAGAAGCGGAGTGTTGGGGCCATGCCTGTTCAATGGAATCAGTGAAAATGCAGGTCTACGTTCTCTTGGTTATTCTAGATCTCATCAGTCCCCAGAAGGTGTGCGCTCAGCTTGTGCTTACCAGACATCACCAGGCTATTATGCAGATGGAAACCTGCTGGAACAGTGTTGGTCAAACACTTTTCTGAGAGGTCAGTCTAGGATCAGACGTCGGGGAGGTAAGATGAGAAAGACTGCAGTTTTTCCAGCACTATCTTCTCAGAGTGGCCAGGGCAAACCTGACTAATGGAGGAACTTCCAACAGTAGGCGTGGGCAGTCACTCCCCAAGAACCAAGCCCAGCATTTTAACCTTAACCACTGAAGAGGAAGGAGCAGCTATTACCAAATGTACAAGATGACCTTATATTTACCATGAATTATATTCCTGGGGAAGGCATTGTAGTTCAAAAGGAGGTGAGGATAATCTGATTTTCCCATGGAAGCAAGGCTTTAATGGGATTCTGTGTCGGTCCAAGGGTCTACTGCTTGAGGACTTACAGAAATGACAGCAAACACCACATTTAATTAAAAGCATAACACACCTGAGTGCTATAAGGTGCAAAGCTTTCCAAGGTGTGCGGAAGCTGTTTAACTGGGAGCGTAATAAGAAGTTCTTTAACTTTTATCCGATTGTATTTCTTTAAGAAAGCTCCTGCAGAGGATAATGGAAAAACATGGAATTTAAATAAAACATTCAAAGTTGACGATGGCAGAGAAGCTGTGCAAGACAAGCAGAGACAAAGGCATATCATGGTGCAGAAAACCCCAGCAATACCATAGGCACAATGCCCACTGCAAGAACTGCAAGTAGTGGCACAGATGCAGTTGGCCACACAGTTGATATGTAAATCACAGTCTTAAGCTTAAGAAAACCATAAATAAAAGCACAAATAATATTCATCAGTGAGAGCCCATGAACAAGAAATCCAGGCTCCCCAGTGCTCAAGTTAAAAGATCACTGTTGGCAGGGCACAGTGGCTCATGCCTGTAATCCCAGCACTTTGGGAGGCCACAGTGGGTGGATCACCTGAGGTCAGGAGTTTGAGACCAGTCTGACCAACGTGGTAAAACCCCATCTCTGCTAAAAATACAAAAAAATTAGCCTGGTGTGGTGGCGGGTGCAGATAATCCCAGCTACTCGGGAGGCTGGGGCAGGAGAATCACTTGAACCCAGGAGGCAGAGGTTGCAGTGAGTGGAGATCGCACCATTGCACTCCAGCCTGGGTGACAAGAGCAAGACTCTATCTCAGGCCAAAAAAAAAAAAAAAAAAGGAAAAAAAATCACTGTCTACTTTTTCCCTAAAAGAGAGAGAAAAAAAAGGGGGATGCACAAGAGGGGGAAGAAAGGAAGAAAAGGAAGGGAAGGAAAGAAAAAGGAAGGGAAGAAAATTAAAAGACCCTCTGGCTAAACATCCCAGGTTCCTACTTCCTAGCAAGGGTTTCTTTGCTAGAGTTTCAAAAGAAAGAGGTAAATGAAGTGTGGGGAGAACACAGAGGTGTCAGATACATTTCCATAAAGCTGTGTGTATTTTCAGAGTATTAAGCTTAATGTGGTGAGTGCAGTGAAACAGAAAAGAATTTCAGACTTTAGAGCTGTTAGTAAACAAAGCTAAACAAAAGATGAAAAAAATTTGCAAATGTGGTGAAGACAGTTGAAAGATGTCACATGTTTCTCTATCTCTAGTGTGGTTTCAAAATAGACTAAGAGGGCCAGGTGCGGTGGCTCATGCTTGTCATCCCAGCACTTTGGCCAGGGTGGATGCATCACTTGACGTCAGGTGTTGGAGACCAGCCTGGCCAACACAGCAAAACCCTGTCTCTACTAAAAACACAAAAATTAGCCAGGTGCAGTGGCGTGTGCCTGTAATCCTAGCTACTTGGGAGGCTGAGGCATGAGAATCACTTGAACCCAGGAGGCAGAGGTTGCAGTGAGCTGAGATCATGCCACTGCACTCCAGCTTGGAAACAGAACAAGAGTCTGTCTCAAAAACTAAAAATAAAATAAAAATTAAAAAAAGAATAGGAGCAGAGAGAGAGAGAGAATCAAATGGATGTTTCCTATAGATTCCAGTTGGATCAGGAATCAGGAAAGCCAATACAATTGAATCCTTCCTTTTAGATTAATAAATCAATATTTGTCCAAACTCTTTGAAACAGATGATGTTTTCCCATTAAATAAGTAGGACAAATTATAAATTATATGAGACAGTAAACATTCAAAAATAAATACAATACTATAATTTAATTTCTTAAGTATATTTTCCACTTAGGTTTAAATCGTGTGTCCTTATGTGTGTGATCTTTCCACCTCTGTCACTACTTTTATTCTAGTCTTTGGAGAGAAAGGAAACATCCCGTATGGATGCAGTCTGGCTTCTGAATCCAGAAGGCTCACATCAAGGATGATGCTGCTATATTGTTGTACCAGCATAAAAGAAGACATCCAGGTGGTGTTGGCAAAATTACGCAAGAGGTTAATTTCCTCTTCCTCCTGGACAGACAGCCAGTCTGCCTCTCTCTTCTTCCCTTGAAGTTGGCTGTGGCCATATGACAGTGATTAGACTAATAGAACTTAAGAAACGTGATGTCAGTCCTAGGCAGACATGGTCAACAGAATTTCAGACTTTGTATCTGTTAGTAAACAGAACTAAACAAAAGGTGAAAAAACTTTGCAAATGTGGTAAAGACAGTTGAAAGATGTCACACGTTTCTATATCCCCAGTGTGGTTTTAAAAAAGAGTAAGAGGGCCAGGCGTGGTGGCTCATGCTTGTCATCCCAGCATTTTGGGAGGCTAAGACGGGTGTATCACTTGAGGTCAGGTGTTCAGATTGTTCAGGAACAATCCTCCATGCCCTTTCTCCTGCAGCAGCCCTGGCACCTGCTGAAGAAGTGAGAGCCACATGCTGGAAAGCACCAGGGCCTCTGACAGACTTCTGGAAGGACACCACCTTGGAGAAAAGTCTACTTCAAACTTATGTGACTGACAAAGAAATCATATTGTATGAAGCCACTGACATGGGGAAGAATTGCTATTTACAATAGCCATGATCACCATAAACAAAGATAGTCACCCCAGCAATTCTCCTTGTCTTTTCCCCCTTTTTTACTACCAGAGGGTTTGGGTCCCTGGTGCACATAAACCTGACGAACTCCAAGCTACTGAGCCTCCTCACTGTTGCCAGGCACACACTCTCATGTCTGATGCCTGCCAGGTAGGCACTGCATGTGGCAAAATCACTTTTCATAGTCCTCACAGCATCCCCATGATTACCATGTTAAGATCAGTGAAATGAGATGAAGAGATACAACAGACTGTGTAGTACAGACCTCTAGGAGACACAATTCACATCTAAACAATGCCTTCTAAATTTGCTCAGTGTACAACCTGCACAACCAAATGTCAATTGCTAGGTAATGTCAAGAGGAAATCTCTTTATCTGCTGTGATATCTTTCCCATCTTCAGTTCCTAGCAATTGTTCTCCGCTTTCTCCTTCCTGAAATCTCTCACTCCTTGGGAAGTTTCTATCCTATTAAGGAGCCTTGTGGCACAACTTTCTTCCCACCATAAAGTCTATTTGCCGCTGGGTTGCTAGGGTCAGCTCTGCCATGCCATCTAAAAGCCTATAATTCACTGAAATGGAGTTTCTCATTTTTTCCATCCATTAAAATTAGTTTCTATTTATCTGAAGCAAAAATTTCAGTAGGGGATTTATTAATAACTCTCATCTAACCTAATAAAGATCTTTCAGATAAAGACTGTGGACCAAGCAGGAGGAAGGCACAACAAAAATTTTAAAAGTAGGCATGTTTCACTTAAATTATCAAAATTTTAAAAGAATGAAAAAATGAGACATGACTTATCTGTGTTAGCTCACTCCAATTTCTGAGGCAATCGACTTCCCCGTTATCTTCTACAGACTTGGCCTCTTACAAAGTTTCTGGAAATTTTCCCATTGGTCACAATTATCCTCAGTGTGTTAGGGCCATGCCTCATTGCAAATTTCTCCTACATGATATGAGGGTTAAGGGGGGAAAGACATCCCCTCCTGTAGGAAAAAACAAAATGTGTCAGCTTGGCATTTTATTTTAGGCATTGCTCAAATAAGAACTGTATATATTCCAACATAAGTTAAAAGGTTCTAGTTTATTTAATTGCTATGATTAGGAAGGTGTAGTTAAACAGAACCACACTAAGAGAGAGTATGCGTCATAAAAGGATCAGAAGGAATCCTATGCTGGGCCTCTGGCTGCTGGGAAGAGTCAGGGAACAGCAGCTCCCATCCAAATTCTCCAGCGCCACGCTCAGTGGCGGGAGATTGGAAAAATGACCGTTTGTCGACAGGCATCTGGAAAATGTATGCTTTGTTGTCAGAGATCACTAGAGATAACTGGATGGATCATCAAGGTTTCCACTAGGTGAAGTGCTCAGTGTTTAATAACAAAGGAAAAGGGAAATGCATGAGAAATATTAAGTGATCCTCTTACTTGGATATGACAAGGCTTTACATCAAGTTCTCGTTTAACTGTGTTAAGCAAGAAAGACACTGAAATATTTCTTTTTCCCTCTTCTTTGTTAACAAACTGACTGAACTGCTAACATTTACTGAACACTTACTAAGTGCCAAATGCTACACTAAGTTCTTGGTAATCATTATTTCATTTAATATCAGTCGATCAAACAATGTTTACTGAGAACTTACTATGGGAGAGGTAGGCAATAATGAAATGCAAAAGGGGAATAAAAGAAAGATGCAGTTCCAGCTCTCCCAAAGCTTGTCAATATAACTGGGGAAATAAGATGTATAAGCACACACATGGGAAGAAGTACACATTAATATATTACTGAGTGACAATGACTGGCAGGAGATGGAGGGAAAAACCTGGATGGATGGTTCTGGCCAGTATATAGAACCTTCCACATATGAGAACTTTGGAAAGAACAAAAGTAATCAGGTGTGAACGCAGTTGGGGAAACAGTGCTCCCCGCAGAAGGCTCAAATAATTATGGAAGGTCTTGAACACAAGTGAAAAAGCCAATGATTATCATTATGCTGCATAAATTCACAAACCTAGACCGTAACTTTCAACTTTTCACGTTTTCCCTTTTTCCCACACACAAATTTACCATATAATTTTTTTCAGTGATATATTGACTAATATATATACACACACACACACCAGGAGTATTTGTTTCCACATTTGGCTATTTCTAAATATAAAATGAATCAGATCACTGTCTATGTTTTCCTTTATTTTTAGCCTAATATACTACTTATCTGGAAATCTTGAATTTAAAAATATATATCCAATTTTTAAAAATCGCTAGATATTTGAGACCCCAATATAAATCTTTATGTCGTACGAGTCAGCTTGTCATGACAGTTTTTTATTTCACTTAAATGATGGTATGAGCCGGGGTGGAGCTGAGATTCCCATCACTATGTATATAATTAGGGAATAGGTGTGTGTTAGGTAAATACCTTATGTATATATGACTGAATTTCTAATTTGTTGTATAAAAACGAAAACTCTTACCTTGAGGGATAATTACTACAACTTCCCTGTGAGAATAAAATACCACCAAGCAGCATACCTCAGGGAATAAACCTGCATCACACTTTCATGAAATCTGCACACAATACGGGTCAGATGGTTAATGAAGCCATAAACTATACTATGTCTGAAGTACTAAACATCACCTTCTGCAGTTGGCCTCTGTGGTTAAGAGAGCGGAAGATGTTTATTACCAGAAGCCACCCCTCTCGCCTTGGAAGGCACATTCAGAGCCAGCTCTTTGTAAATAAACATACAACCTTTGCAAAGGTAATTTAAGGCTGTGCCTTAAAGAAGATCCTAAGAATGCAGGCGAGAGAGAAGGAAGATAAAAAATCTCATGAATAAAGTCGAAGGCTGCAGGCTAAGGTGGTTATTAAGTCCCAAGCTGTTTTTCCTTCACTTTTCCTCACCACTGAAATAAAAACAATTATTGCTATGATGCTCTAAAATTAGAACACATTTGTCGTTTTTAATGGCAGCTACACTCAACTTGAGCTCGGCAGTAAAAGCAGAGAGGCAAAGAAAACACTTGTGCCCTGGGCCTGCCCTCTCCGGGTGTGGCAGCCTAGGGGGAGAAGTATCAGCCCACCTGAGTCTGGGTTTGTGCAGAAACTTCCCTGGCGGAAAAGGCGTCGTAAAAGGGGTTTAAGAAATCCCACTGGATGCTTTCCCAGAGCCTTGGTGTTACGGCGCTCAGCTCCAATGCACAGACTGCGCTACGAAGGCGCCCTGCGCAGGGATTGGCTGCAGCACCCAGGTAGGTGAGCTCCATTATTCTGGGTGCCACCTTCTAGAGAACTCTGGAAGGCTAAACAAGCTCATCTCCTGCCTTTCTCTACAGCTACGCGGAAAGACTTGCCTAAATAATGAATTACTAACGACCGAAAGCCTTTGTATTACTTTAAGGGGAAAAAGTCACAATTTGTGACTGGAGTTAGATTACCAATGTGAAATGGCCATTTGCGGCTTTTATTCCGAAAATGGAAGTGATTCAACCTCCTCCAATCCATGTTTTCTTCCATTTATTTAGGCATCTCAGCCAAAAAAGGTTTGGCTGATCCCCTTAATTACTGAGATAATTGCCTTAATTCTTTCTTCACTTTACTAATGTAGCTCCAGCTTTGAATCTTAAGCTTTATCCATTAAATCCTTGTAATTGAGAAAAAAAAAAAGAAAACTGGGTTTGACCTGATGAATCCTAAACGTTTTAACAATGTGTTGAAGAGCCAAAAGAAAGATGATAGATAGACAGATAGAGATAATTTAATCATATACTTGAAGTAAAAATAGATTTTCAAGGCAGAAATATTTTCACACATCTCCCAACACAAGATTTGAGATTGCTCAAATAAGAAAATTCATTTTCTATCAAGTAAATCTTTGATTGTAATTACAAATAATTCAGAATTCCACCCAGGGTATGTGTGGGGGGTGTGTGTGTGTGTGTGAAAGCTTAGGCTGAGGGATGTGGGTTATGAGAATCGAGAGCTGTGGTTTTACATCGTCCCTGTGTTTTGCACGTATTTGTGGATCACAAGTCTTCCTTGGCTGTGAATTCTCATTCACTCTCCTGCCTTCTACCATCATGCAGCGAAGGCTGTTCCAGCCAGGGATGCTGAGAGACAGGGGTCATCCTCTATTCTATCAGCCCACTAGCCTCCCCTCCTTTTCAGAATAAAGTAGCAAACTGCTGGCTTTTAGTGTGGCCCCTGTGGCAATTCTGAGAAAAGGACCAGCTTTCGTTTTAATGTGATTGTAAAATGTCTAGAGATGCTTAGCTATAAGGCACTATAAAAGTTTAAGATATTATTGTTAAAAGGACACAGTAAGGCTATTCATGGCAAAGGTTCATCCGAGTGCAAAAGCACAGGGGCTGAACAAGTAGGAGGAGAATTCAGGAAGGTTTCTGTTGTTGTTGATGATGTTTTTATTTTCATTTCCAAGCCTTTCTGTCAACAATTTTACAGGCTACAGCTATCTGAGGTGCTACAAATGGGGGCTTTACATCAGCTTTTCTTTGTACAGGAAAATTGTAATTTAATTGAACTGAAAAGCCTAGAAGTATACATCATCCACAGAATAAGCAAAGGTTGCAAGGTGAATTTATTAAGCCACAGATAAAACATCATGTTCCTTATTCTGGCCCTCAATTCTTTCTGACTTTGCTTCATTCCTTAGACATGCTGTTTTGGTGATTGCAAATGCTTTTTAGACCACATCTTTGCAAATATCTATATGATGTGAACCCTGGCAGCTTGGCATTCCATGACACTTCCTTCTATCTTAAAAACACTGCCTCAACACAGTGCTTCTGAATTTGCTACAGCAGTGGGGTAGAGAGGAGAGAAGAGAATATTGGCTCTTCTGTACTTTCACCTTCCAGTAGAACACATGGGCTCCCCTTGCATTTCTTTGGCCAAAGCAAATCGCACAGCCATGGGTGACTTTCAGTAAAATCCTTTTGTATGGTTGGGCAGAGGAAGAGAACCAGGAACATCACTGAGCAACAGGAACAACTACTATGGGAGGCCACACAGAAGAGGGAAGAACAAGGCAGATACAGAACAGACATAGATGAAACCCTGTGCAAAGACCCTGCGTGGGGATGGAGCATGGAAAGGATTGTAAACCATGACAGGAAATAGGTTTGGAATGGCAGGTAGAAGTCAGATGGTGCAGTGTCCATTACACTATGTTCCCTACGTTTAGCAAATATTCAGTAAATATCCACAATGTGCCCACTGTTATTCTAGTTACTTCATTCAATATAGCACTTGATCCTCACCAATCAAATTCCACATTTTATTAAATCTAAGATCCCATCCACCGTAAATCAAACCCTTAGTGTATGTATTATTAGGCAAGAAAAGAAAAAAGGAAAAACCACTGCCAATGAAACTATGGAAATACACTTTCTTACCACTTAGAATGCTTATGTTATACTTGAGAAGGCTCTTATAAGACCCGAGTATTTCTGTCATCTATCATTCTTGTGTATGTATATGTGTGTGTGTGTGCTTGCCTATATATGCAAAATAAATGACTTAAGAAATTCCTAATACTTTTTTACATTCAGAGCATGACTGTACTGAATCACTTATTTACTCCAAATCATTGATGTCAGTGTCGGAGTCTTCACTTCCAGTATTGCACTCTATGCCGTCACAGGGCAAATGCCAAAACTGGGGTTCAGCCCAGGAAGCCACACGGGTTCTTGGCTTTGCACGGGAAGAAATTCAAGCAGGAGCCCACAGAGTAAAGTGAAGACAAGTTTAATAGATTAAAGGAATACAAGGGTGGCCACTCCATAGCAGACAGCCCCAAGGGCTGCTGGCTATTTTTATGGTTATTTCTTGATCGTATGCTAAACAAAGGGTGAATTATTTGTAAGTTTTCCAGGAACGGAGCTGGGAATTCTGGGAACTGAGAGTTCCTCTCCCTTTCAGACCATATAGGGTAACTTACTGTGTCCGGAGTTGGCTCCTTCCAGTGGGTTCGTGGTCTCGCTGACTTCAAGAATGAAGCCACAGACCCTTGCAGTGAGTGTTACAGCTCTTAAAGGTGGTGTGGACCCAAAGAGTGAGCAGCAGTTAAGATTTGTTGTGAAGAGCAAAAGAACAAAACTTCTACGGTGTGGAAGTAGACCCGGGCAGGTTGCGCTGCTGGCTGTGGGGAGGGGGGAGTGGCCAGCTTCTTTTATTCCCTGGCTTTGTCCCCGCCCATGTCCTGCTGATTGGTCCATTTTACAGAGCGCTGACTGGTGCGTTTTACAATCCTCTTGTAAGACAGAAAAGTTCTCCAAGTCCCCACTCTACCCAGGAAGTCCAGCTGGCTTCACCTCTCATTACAGATGTTGCCATGGCATTTGTAAGCTGTCATTACACTGGTGCCAGTTTCCTTTCATATCCTAATGTATTATAATTAGCACATAATGAGCAAAGAGAACAACCAGCGGTGGCTGTCATCACCATCTTGGTTTTGGCAGGTTTGGCCACTTCTTTACTGCATCCTGTTTTATCAGCAGAGTCTTTGTGACCTGTATATTGTGAAACCAGGCCTGCCGAATACCTATCTCAATGCCATAAAGGGAGATGGTGATGAACTCTTTTAAGAAAATAACTATGCACCACCAGTGCTGGACTCCCAGGCCAGCTCTGCAGTAATGAAGACGCAGCCTGCTCTTGACTCCCACTTCAGGAATGTTGCTAAGCATGCTTGATTTGTCATCTCACCCTACTCTCTCTCCCTACCTATTTGGTTTCTAATAATTAGAAGGGAGCTCACTATAGTTTCTGACATTTTTTTCCAAGTCATTAACAATCATTCTGCTAGTTTTGAGGCTGAAGATTTTGATGTTTACACATCTGCAAGCTGAGGCAATTAGACCACAACTGCCACCTGGAAAGCCATGATTATAAGATACCTTCTATGGTAGGGCACAGTCTGCTTTCAAGATTGTTAAAATGTGAGAAAATACTAGAATTGAATAAATATGGTAGTCACGTGTACTGAGTCCTTACTTGTGCCAGACATTGAATTAATAACTATAGATTAACTCATTTAATCTTGGTAACATGTCAAAGTAGATGTATCTACCTACCTCCAGAGGAAGAATTTCCCAAACCGAGGCTCTTGATAAGAAAAAAACTATAATCTGAACCTTAATTTGTCTAGTTCTCAGCGTTACAATATGAGGCTGTGGGGAGAAATAATCACAAGCAATTTACAGGCGGCAAAGGAAAACTCAAGGCTGTTGAGTGATTTTGCTTACTCTATGTGGCAAAATTGGGATTATTGTTCAATATTCTTTTACTTGGCCTATGAAGATGCAATCTAGATCTATGCTGTATGTAATTACAACCTACATTTCAGGTCTGGATTGTAAACCTTTCCCAAATAGAGAAATTGAACAGGGAAAATATGGTTGTGTTTTTCCTTTGGGACTTGTTGCAATGGCAATGCCAAATACAGAGAGTTACAAATACCTTTCTTCTTGCTGTCAAGAGGGTTACCTTGGTCAGAACCCCAAAGGCACGTTTCCCCGTGCTCCATGGTCAGGGTTGGGGTGAACACAGTATGCCCAGGTGTGAATCTTCTGTGAATTTCTCCGGAGTCTCTCAGTGTCACTTATATTTGGCTCACCTCTGACCCACCTTCTAGAAGGCTAGTCCCCTTCCTGAATATATACTCCTTCTTTCTGGGTCAAATGTAGAGAGAGTGAGGAAGTTAATTGGATCCTGGATATCCTTGTAAGGGTTTTTGACAGCTTCAGCTATTCCACAATTCCAGCCCACCGTTCACATTGCTATGAAATGAATACTTACACCCAGTGGTTAATCTATGTTTCTCCATTAGATCCTATCAACAAGGTGAAATTACCCATTAAGAAAAGCCTACCTTGAGGTGAAAAAAACATAGTTTTTCTGCTTCTGTTGCAAACCCCCACAGGAAACTGATGAATTCAATTTCAAACCCAAATTGAGAAATTTAAGCTCAAATTCCATTTCCTTTCAGCTCAAATTAGACATTTTTATGCAAATAAAATGAAATAAGGGCTTAAGGATGGTTTAAAAAAAAAAATTCACTGGGTATTTTGGACACCAAAAATGTTAAAAATAGTAATAAAAGAAGAGTTCAATGAGTTAAGTGTAAATAAATCAGGAACATATGGGTCAAATTTTCTTAATATACACTCGGGCTTAAAATTAAGTGAAATGTACAAGGAAACACTTTTTCTGGTGGTGATGAAACAAGAACATTTGAAAAGAAATTGGCAATATTTGAGAAATCTCAAGTACAGCCAATTCCGCCCATCTCTTGGTGACAAAAACCTGGAGACCATACAGTCATCATTAGGGAAGGGATACAGTGTCCTAATTGAGGACATTGGAGAAAGAATTTTTTTTTTTTCCGCAGAGCTTTAACTCTTATGTGTACATAATTATTTCATTCTGGTTAAAAAAAAGTAGAGACATACGCTAAAAATGTTCTGACTTGGCTTCTCATGGTATATTAAAAGCATACTGTAGAGGAACAGACTTAAAGTTTGGGGGTTTAACCCCAGGGAGAGAAAATTATGGTTCTTTCCATTTATCCATGAACCCTGCAGCTGGTAAGACTGCACTCTGTTAGTAATTACACTGAACAGATGAGGGACTTTTTAATTTTTTTTTTATTTTGACCTGCAGTTAAACAAAATTTGCTTGTTTTATTTTTGGTTTAAAAATGATGAGGCAGCACCAACCCCAGTTTCACCCCAGAGCTGTTGATTTTTCCCCCTCCTTCCTAATTTGTTTCAGACTATGAGTGCACAGAGTTCCATTTTAGTGGGAAACATTTGCTGCCAAGACCTTCAGGGGTTTTATCTGCAGTTTATTTTGTTAACTACAAGTTTAAGATTGTTGTGAGTTGTTATTTTTTTTTTCTATCACACTTTGAAACAGAAAAGTTCATCTTTTGCTTTTAGGAAACAGGTTTAAAACAAAACAGAGGGAAAGATGAGTTTGGAGTCTTCTAAAAATCAACAAAGGACTGAAACCAATGGTGGCTATAAAGAGGCATAATAAAATAATACAAATGAATTCACTGCCTTAAAGGTTTAGCGCATAGTACGCACTCCACTCCCACCCTTCCCGTTGTAATTCAAATTTAACACTAATAAAAGAGAGGAACTAAAGATAATTGGCTAGAATCAAGCATTACATATCAGGCATTTCACAAGCTGACCCAGCTAAGCAACTGCAACTCAATGCATTTCAACTTACGAGTTCAGAACAAAAAACAATGGTTCATGAGGTGGAAAGAATGTGGTACAACACCCCATGGCCCTGGCTGGTATTTATAAAGTTTTGGCAAAATTTCATAACAAATTTTAAAATAATGTGAAAGTGGCCTGTTTCCGGTTTCTACCATGCACCATGCCCGTCATGAGGATGTTGTGGTTGGGGCAAATATCCAAAGATTTGCCTGGCAACAGAAATGGAACAGACTGACTGCAAATAATCCTCACGTTTGCACAGTGCCCTTTGCTTTTATGTTTCAAAGACCTTTCACATAGATCCTTCCATTTGATCTCACAAGAAGCCTAGTAGACCTGGCTGGTGTTGTTTTGCTGCTGATGAAACCAAGATAAAGAGAGATGAGAGACTTGCTCAAGGGCACAAGTCAAAGAGGATTATGACAGAAAAATTAAACCCATTTTTCCAGCTCAAGACCAAAGAATTCTCCATTAATATTTATATGGGGAATAGCTACACCAAATCCTTTTTTTTTTTCACTCCCTTTTCCCTCCTCTCTATAGGTCTTCTACTGTCTGTCACTACAGTCACACAGGATTTCGTGGGTGTCCCCAAGAGGACAAGTGGGACCCCACTGGATAAAGCACAGCAAATGAGTAATCTGAAGCTGACACACCTTTCCATAAGAACTATTGCTCTCAATTCACTGGTTTATATTTTTTCAAAACAGGAAAAGAAAATAATCCAGTTTAAAAACCAATGGAATCTTTGGCTGCTATCATTTAAATCCAAAGTAAGCTATCCAATCTATAAAATTTAGCCAAATATATATCTTTGTCCATGATGTGCATCTTTTTCAAGTTGAAATATAAGACGCTATGCCCCTTGGGTGAATGGCACTGCATCTGAAGGGCCCACGGTGTACTGGAAAGAATAAAGGCTGTGGGCAAATGTTTTACTCCTACCGCTTCACAGTTACGCAACTTGGGAAGCATTATTGAACCTCAATGAATCTTAGCATCTTCTATAAAATTGTTCATTTAACCTTCAGAGAATTCTCGTGAAGACTAAATCAGACAGCACATATAATGCATCCACAAAATGTGAGCCCCCTTTGTTCTAGTCTTTTAGACATTCTCACTCACGGATGCTCAGGGAGTTCATTCTATAGCTTTGGTTTTCAGGATGTAATCCTGGCCTGTAGTTGTATCTGTGTAACTGTCCTTTGGCCAAATTAATTATGGTGTAATTTGCACGGAGTAAAATGGTGCAAGGTTGGAAAATGCTGTAATGCAAGTTTTTCCCACAAGAGACCTGACCACCCATTCATTGGTGGGTTGTACTAAGAATGCGGGGGAATGGGCCAGAGATAAATAGGTGGAACCGGCACTACTTAATTCCTTAAATATACTATTTCATTTAATCCTCTCAACAACCTGGAGTGGAGAATTAAGCAATTATATAATTACACAGCAAATAGATCAACTTAGATAGCCAAACTGAGCAATTAGGACAGAAAACATTATTAACTGAGTTTGTAAATGAATCCTTCAGGTATTTATCTTCACCCTCTGCTTCTCTTTGTTCACTGCAAATTATCAGCCCTAGAATAATTTATTGGGTTAACTTAATTGGCACTAAAGCCCAACCAGATAATTCAGGCCTAAAGTATTCACATTGTCTTTCAAATTATCCCAGCATTAAAAGAAGATTTCCCCTTCTCTTGGCCTTTTTGCGTGGGCTTCATCTACAATGGGACACCATAAAATTGTGAGTGTGTGCTCTGCCTGGTTCGTCCATTCTTGGGGTTAGAAGGGAGGTAAAACAAAGTATTCCAGTTTCTAAAAGATCAATGGCCTTGTAAGAGTGATGCACGGTATTAGATATTTTAGGGCTTTGAGCCAAAGGACTCTCTGTAGGTTTAGATGTAGGATTATTCCAGGATCCTTAAAAACTGAAAGCTTTTTTGAAACTTGGCATGCAGTAAAGCTGAGAAGTTAGGTTAAATATGGAGCACATATCCACGTGGGGCACCCACCTAAAATATAAGCAGAATCATCTATTTAATATGACCGATCAAAGTTGAGGTTTTTCTCAAAGGTAAATACCATAATACAGTTCTAGAAGAGAAAAAACAAGTTAGAACTAAAGTTATGAAAACTAGGCCGGGCGTGGTGGCTCACGCCTGTAATCCCAGCACTTTGGGAGGCGGAGGCAGGCAGATCACAAGGTCAGGAGATCGAGACCATCCTGGCTAACACGGTGAAACCCCATCTCTACTAAAAATACAAAAAAAAAAAAAAATAGCCAGGTGTGTTGGCAGGCGCCTGTAGTCCCAGCTACTCGCTACTCCGGAGGCTGAGGCAGGAGAATGGCATGAACCTGGGAGGCGGAGCTTGCAGTGAGCCGAGATGGAGCCACTGCACTCCAACCTGGGTGACAGAGCAAGACTCCATCTCAAAAAAAAAAAAAAAAAACTAAAGTTATGAAAACTAAAAGCATTCCCAATATACTCATCATCATTTTATTCTCCACCAAATCCTTTCATTGCCTATCTAGATATTGTTTTTATTCTTGATGTATACTGGATGTAATACAAAGATAATATATAGATGGCTAGTAATACTTCTTTGAACTCTGAAGGCGATTTCATAAAAGAGCAAGACAAGACACACTGATAAATGCAATGAGGATTTTATATGTATGTATAATTATATATATATGATTGTGTGTATGTGTGTGTGTGTGTGTGTGTGTGTGTGTGTATATATATATATATCTGTATAACTGTCCTTTGGCCAATTTAATTATGGCGTAATTTGCATGGAATAAAATGGTGCAAGGTTGGAATATGCTGTAATGCTGGTTTTCCCACAAGAGACCTGACCACCCATTGGTGGGTCATAGTAAGGATGTGGGGGAATGGTCCAGATATTATATAGAGTGTCCTTTGAGAGCTCAGTAAAATTATAATCAGTGCTGGGAAAATGCAGCAACCAACATAAGTTTTATGCAAAACAAAACTATAATTTGATACAATCTTGAAAAGCATTACTGTATTGTATAACCATAGATATTTAGGACTTTAGATAACTCTTTGCCATTTTGAGGTTCTGGTTTTGAGTATTTCTAGGGCTAACTTACTTTCCAGATTAAAATTAAGGCAACAGGGCACTATTTGGTTGAGTATCCACTTAACGTTGGATAGAAGGTGATTCCATCTAGAAGCATGTCACACATATGAGCTTCTCCCAAAACATATCAGGTACATGCCACAAAGAGGCAGGAATTGGGCCTAGGATTTAAAAATAGTACTGCCATGTTTTCTCTTCTTCCTCCAATTGTATTGTCATACACACATTGAACAACTAAAGGGTAAAGGAGAAGGGACTCTAGATCTACCCATTTTGACTAATCGTAAATTGGATCAGTTCAGTCAAATTTTTTACACACAAGAACAGATAACATCATATTTAGTCATAAAATTATTTTTTCTCTGCTTTACTAAAAAAAAAACCCAAATGACAGTACATTTTTCATGACCTGTGGCTTGTTATAATTTGAGTTTATTTCAGCTCTCTGATCAAATTCATGATGGAGTATAGCTTTTTTGGTATCTGCAGATGTACAAAAAAAAAGGAAGCTTTTAAAAATGGAAATTGTTTTCTATTTACACAATATATGTATGTTTAATAAGAAGGAAAAAAATAGTTTACCCACATTTATAAGTGAGGTTTCCATTGTGCTAGTAATGAACTCAGTACATTAAATGTTGGCATATTCTTCGTTCACTTGAAAATTAATTATACAACATACTCAAATGTGTACACTCTGCCTGCGTGTACACAAAGTAGGCATTTAAAGAAATCACTTGGCTATTTCAGACAGAAAAAATATTTAAGACAAAACTTATTAAGGAAAAGTAGAGAATTATGTTTGAATTATTAAGAGAATTGTGGGCTGTTCATTTCTTTTTTGTGTGAGTAGAGCCGTATTTTAAAAAATTCATGTTTCCTTATGATCAAGTTTTCTTCCTTTGCTCATATGTGCTTTAGAGATGATTATAGAATCTGAACCTGCAGCATGTTACCACAAAAATTTAAGACTCATTCAATGAATTTCATAATATCCCGATAGTTTTATTCTTTCCTGTCTCTGAAAAACATGTTCACTCTCAGCGTCTACCACACTCTGTATCATCAAATTGATAGAGTGTTTTAAAAATTCAGATGAGGGTGGGTTTGCTCTGTGTGCGTTTGTGTGTGTGTGTGTGTGTGTGTGTGTGTGTGTGTGTGTAGTTCTTGTTTTCCCTTTAGAGATGAAGAATTTAGTTTCTGTTTCTGTTTTAAATTTTATTTCCTTAGAGGGGACTGGAAGCTGTAACCATCTGAAAGTTACAACTACAAATGTGAAAATGAAGCCAAATCCAGATATTCATTTAGCATGAATCCCTTTTCAATTCCTGCTAATTGGCAATTGTAGGTGGTCTTGGTAGAGAGACTAGCAGTTGAACAGGAAAGAAATCACCATTCTCAAAGTGAACCTGCTGGTTCCCGTGCAGTGTCACGGTAACAGGACAGGACTAGGTGGTTCAGCTAATTTCCTGAATATACTGCTGCTGAGGAACAGAGGGGATTTGAACTTTGCTATTGGGATACTGTCTGTCACCAGCACCAAGTTTAATTCCAAGAAACCGAAGGAAACTATGTCAGGCCCGTCTTGAACCATCTTTCTGATTCACAGCCAATTCACAATGTTCCATGAAGGGTTTGCAATAAAGAGTAATATGTTGGGGAAATTAAATCATGAATTGGAGCTGTTAATTACACACACATTGGTTTAAAGCTGAAGCAAATACTTCTATCTGCCCTTTGTTGCACATTTTGCATGCCTGCCTGTTCCTCTACTGCTGCTGCTCGGTCTGTTTCTCTCTAATCTACGCCTCAAACACTTCCCCTACCCAATTCCAGGAGCTAACACAAATGTAAAATGTAAATTGTGGCCTAGATTGCTGCTACCGGAGTGTGGAGAGAGATGCCAGATTCTGTAATAGCCTAGATGTGTCGGGGATCAACTTCCAGGTCCTTGCATATTGACAAACTCTTCTTGTATCCATCACTTGGGTTTCCTATCGAGTTGTCTTCTTGGGCCAATTATGTACATTTCCCATGTGTTTTTCTTGGCATACAGAGAACTCTATATTTGAGACCGTGAAGCCAACTTACTTCACATTGAAACTTCCTTCTCTTTCACTTCCCTATGATAAAGCCTGAAGGATAATTCTGCCAATATTTTCTTCCAGCAATAATCAACTATCTTACTATCTGTAGTAAGTAGCTACTACAAAATGTTATGGCACAATTGACAATGACATTATACTACACAAACTTTCACCTCTGTCCTCAAGACATTTTTACCAAAGAAGGGTTTTGATTATTCTGAACTCTAAGACTACTTCAAGACAAAAAGGAGGGAAGAACATGTGCCAAGACACAGATGTGCAGACCCAGTGCTGCCGGGAGGATGGGGACAAGGAAGACATCAATGTGGTGAATGATGACTCAGGTTAGGGATGGCAGGAGAGGAACTGAAAAGAAAGATTGTGTTCTAACGATGCAGTAAAGAATCTGGATCTCACCCAGTAAGCAGCAGAAAAGGCTCAAAGGACATTTTTTCTCCAGAGACATTATCCATTGGTTTTTTTAGGGAAAACAAAATAACACCTGGTCATGCTATAGAGCATTAACTGGGGAAGAGAGAATGAGTGAGAGAAACACTGTTGCAACTATCAGAGCAAGAGATGATGGGACCTAGTTTAGGGCAGTGAGAGTGTGTGCGTGGAGTGGAGGGGGCTCATTTTGGAAATCTTTCTGAGGCATAGGCAATGGTACTTAGTGTTCCACTGATACTATGGGTAAAGGATGAGGGGTCAAAGTGGAGAGTGACTTCCTTAACCAAAGGAGGACAAGAAAAAGAAGCGATGTTGCCGAATGACATTTACAAAAGTGTATTTTCTAGTTGCAAGGAGTCTGAGATACCTACGGATTCTCCAAACAGGATACCTATAGACAGCTGAAAATACAAGACTGGTTTTACACAGCAATGTCAGAGCTGAAGAGACAGGTGATAATCACAGGCATGAATGTATTGAAGTTACTGAGGGACTACAAAGTGAACATAACTGGGAACAGCACCATCAAAACGATCAGCATTTAAAGAGCAGGGAGTGGGAAGAGCCAATGATTGAAGCTGAGACTAAACTAACTGAAGAGAAAATCAAGGCACAATTCTTGCTATAATATCCGAAGAGGGAACTTGCGGCAGACGGACTGGAGGGTGGGTGAGTATCAAATTGAATTTTGGCTTCATTTTATGTGTGTGGAATCAGGACTATTAAATGGAAGAAGAGACATAACAAACACCAACAGGCCTAGGACAATCCCGGGAACCATAGTTTAGCGATCTTTTCTAAGCGCCCTCTGAACTCTACTACATGAGGACTATTTGCTAATCCTGGGCTTAGAATTAAGAGTGTGTAGGAGTGTGTAGACTCCACTGTTCAATGGCAAAGTGGATATTGCCCCTTCTGACAGTGTTTCCTCTCTGAAAGTGTCTACAACCCAAAACATGCTTTGGCAGACAGTATGTAAGGGTTCCCATCTTAATTGAGAATGCTGTTGTTTATTTAAATAAGCAAATAAACTGGAGCATTTCCAGATTCCTCATATTCTTCAGACCATGAAAATGTACTCAGCATTGAGTTGAGGAAAGTGTCCTCAGCTTAAATAATAAATAGAATTACATTGGTTTTGCGTTTCATGTAAAAAACATCAACCTGACCTTAGCTGGGGTTCTTTTTTTCCCCTTACTTTTATATAATAAAAGTATATTTTTACTTTTATTTATTTTCTATTAGCTTGGGAATTCTGGTGACTCTGGCTGATGAACATCAAGTCAGAAAATCATTACTTTGGCCTGTACTGAAAAGTACTGTTATATCTATGGTGGCTACTTCTGGTCTCAAACTAATGCTTTATTTATTTAGCTGTTCATTTTAAGAACATGAAAAGCATGTTTTAAAAACCCCAAAATTAGCCTTGGGAACAGATGAATAAATATGAAAACAATTTATCCTTTTAACAGCCTAATAAAATATGTTTTCATTATGCTAACTGACCCTGATAAATTCAATAGCCGTCAGTTAAATATATCCATCATCCTTGAGAAGTATATCCAAATGTTTGCTCATTTTCTGATCCTCAGTGAGCCTTGGTTGGATGATGATCATTAATTGTGACATCTATAATGTAATACTTTGCTGGCTTTCATTTTTTTAAAAAAATGGTAAGATATCTTTTCATTTCAAACAAGAAAAGCTTTGAAATTCTCCTTCAAGCCATTTTGAAAAAGCCAAATTTTGGTTTAAGCTCATTTGGTGTTTCCTTGCTCTGTTATTTTAATCTTTCAACAGCCACTTTAATTCCCTTTTACTGTTACAGAACTAATGGCATCAGTTTTGTTTTCTAAGTAGGTAGCACCAGGTACTGACTGACTTGCCTCTTACTTGGAAGGGACTGCAGTTGGGATTCTGGACCTTCATGATTAGTTGTGGCAACCGGATTTTTCTAAAGATGCCCAATGGATGGCCTAAGACACAGGAGTTCAGTCTGCTCCCCCTTCTGTGTTTCAGGAGGGTAAATGAGGAAAAGAGGAACTCTGTAGGTCCGTGATAACCCAAGTGCCTCAGATTGCCTCTGGAAATGGGCACATCATCAGGACTCTAGGCAGAGCGAGCCCTCTGATACCCAGACCAGGGCAGCCACCCTCCCTCAGCCAAGCTGGCAGGCCTTGGGAACACGGGGCAGGGAGGCATCATGGGGGCATCCCCCACTTAGCAGATATTTACGAATACCTAAACATGGCTGATAGGCAGACAACCCACGAGAGCCTACGGAGCCATTTCTGGTTCTTTCTTTGCTACCCTGTCACATGGTTTCATCTTCCGCCCCTCCCCCACAGGGCACTGCTGCTCCAATCTCTAAAGCCAGGAACACGTGCTCTTGTTTGCACATCTGGCCTGGGCAAGCCTGGCTCCAATTTAAAACCTGCATGTTGGTCCAATTCCATTATTGGACAAGGAAATTCTGTTAACTGGTGGGCTCATTTGCATGTCATTACCCAGAATGCCTACCCCTCTCACAGATGTTTCCCAGACATGGGGTGGAGGAAGCTTGGGGGAAAGGTGACGCTTTGGAGACAAACAGAGAGAGTTGTGTATATGTTACTCAAAATTCTTTTCCCTCTGTGTTGTGTCAAGAAATAAAATGTAACATACAAAGTTATGAATTTTTATCTAACTTCGAGAGAAGCTTTTCACCTGATTTTCAGAAAATTTAAACATGTTGAAACCAGAAAAACTCCCTACCAGGGAATGCTCTATTAATCCATTCTGACAAAAGAGAGTTCCACAGACTTCCATACTGTCTTTCCAGCGTTTGCCATAGAACTTTCTTTTCCTTGAGTATCAGAACACCTTTTTTTCCTAATGATGTTAAACTGAGAAAAGTATGGAGAATCTTAGTGGAACTAAATTTTGATAAAAACCACAGTCTGTTTGGAAGGCTTGAAATTGAGTAAGTGGCAGTCACACCGTTGTGGTTCAAATCTGAACTCAGCCACAATGTAAACTTCTTTGGGAAGGTTTTTGCTATTGTTTTCTGAAAAATAACCAAAGGGGTCTGGGCAACAGCTGCAGAACTGGGCTCTGGGCAAACACACACAAATGACAACTTAGAACGTCCACAGTCGAAGATTTCAAGATTGATTTTATTTACTTGCATTTTACAAAAAAAAAAAAAAAGTGGGGGAGGAATGCTTCATTCACAACAGAGAGACTTAAAAAATAAAATAAAATAAAAACTATAATTGCTCTGGGGACTGAAGTTAAAACGCAGGTGTTTTGAGGGGAACATAAACATTTTTTCCTAAATGAGGCGTTGAGGGCTGGGAGAAGGGCAGTAAAATTAGTGGAATTACTGCCTGATTTTAACCAGATGATTGCTGCAGTTGGACACCAGCGAGTTTTCATTAGGGACTCTAATTTACAAGCCATTCAACACATTCCAGTGGAACACAACAACTCCCCCAGGTCCTAAAGAATGCCAGCTCTCCCATTTATGGCAGAGATGCTGAACCGCAAGGCTCTTAAAGGCCAGCATGACTACGGAATGGAGCCCAAGCTCTGTGAACTAGAGATGATCACATTGTCTCCCCAAATGAGATCGTCCCAGGGAACCAACTTCTGACACACACTTCACCCTCCGTTTATACACATATGGTCTCTCAGTGTTGTGCTAGCAGAAATGGTATGTCAGGAGATGTTTATGGGATGTTCAAGGAATGTTATTTGTTTGCACGTAACAGAGTGGCTTCCAATTTGCAGCTGTAACATAATATCTAGCCTTGTTTGCTTCAACACTTATGATTGCTGGTTATGCAAGCACATTTGATAAATAATTTTTCAATTTTACACAGGATTTGCATTCCTGTTTGGAGTCAGGATTTCCATGGTCTACACCTCATGTGTTGCATGTAGACGTTCAAGGTATTTTTATTGTGATATGTCAGCACACAGAATTGGAAGGCATGTCACAAGGTCAGGAGTTCGAGTTCTGTTGATAGTCTCAGACCTCTTCCAACTTCAACAAGGTCAACAAGGTGAGAAATTGTATGTAATCATCCCAAATCAAGCTCATTTCCTAAGGATTAAAACATGTGTCTCAGTGGAACATCAAGAACATCATTATGTACCCTAGAAAACAGACCAGGCAGGCCTAGAGCAGTTTAGATCTAGAATACACAGGAATAGAAGTCTGGCATTTATAAAGCATTAGAAGTACCAATCTGCACAAAATTAACACAACGATAACTGGAGGAGTTGACAGAAGTCACACAGGTAAATAATGTGGAGTCACAAAATCTCTACAACTATACAAAGTGGGCTCCATTTTGCTGGGCTGTGATCTAGTTGCTAAGCACTGGTTAGACATGGCATGACATTAGGAAAAGTTGCCACCGTCCATTTATGAAGTCATATTTTGCATGTGGTATCTAAAAAAAAATTAGCCCCTTTGGTGTCCTGCAGATATTATGCAAATGTATTCTATCTTTTCGTGATGACTGGTGGAAGGTGATAAATTCTGTGATCTAGAGAACAATTGATGCTTATGTTTGTTTAGATTTTAGCTGCACGGGATTCTACATTGCAGTTGAAAATTAATTAAAGGCTGTTTTCCACACCCACCAAATAATTCTTTGGTAATTGGCCAAAAACCATAGTAAACAACCAATTGAGAATCTTTCTGGGGTACCAAAACCTCAGAGCCTTATTTTTTAAAACCTTTATATGGCTATCCAGTTTCCAAAAGAAATTAAAATGTAATAAATAGCTAGATAGGCCATTTAAAAATAGTCACTTTCTATAATTCATGGCTGAGAATGATTTGTTTTTTGTTTTATGTGATGTTGGGGTGAAAGAGGAAGTTAAAGTTTTCCATTTTTTGGTTTCTCCCATTCTGTACTGAAGCCAAATAGTTTCTTTTCTAATCACATAAAAGTAATCATTCACTATCTTTTATAAATTTTTCTAAACCTGACTTCTAACTCATAGGCAAAGAATTAGTCTATTGTGATTTTCATATTTCCTCATAAAATTATTGATGAATTTTAGTGAAAAATATAAATTTTAGAAAGTGAATTTTGGGACTATCATTCACCTGCTACAGATGACAAATACCATTAACTTAAGAAAATTATCAGATGTCCACTAAACTCTGAAAACAATTGAATGGTCTGGCAGCTGAAGTTATTTTTAGGCACGAAGAAAAGTCCTAGGATAGTCTATGGGATAGTTTTTAATCATATTTCTAGAAAGATATTTAAAATACTTGCTAAGACTTTATCCCTTATGGTTTTCACTGATGCATCTTTGCATTTTGTTCAGCTAAAATTTAAATCCGTGAAGATCAATACAAAAAAGGAAATTTCAGCTGGGTGTGCTGGCTCA
Source organism: Homo sapiens (assembly GCF_000001405.40). Lineage (NCBI taxonomy): Eukaryota > Metazoa > Chordata > Mammalia > Primates > Hominidae > Homo > Homo sapiens. The sequence continues at coordinate 95,886,326 of NC_000015.10, forward strand.
CGCTTGTAATCTCAGCAGTTTGGGAGGCCGAGGCAGGTGGGTCACCTGAGGTCGGGAGTTCAAGACCAGCCTGACCAACATGGAGAAATCTTGTTTCTACTAAAAATACAAAATTAGCCGGGCATGGTGGCCCATGCATGTAATCCCAGCTACTCGGGAGGCTGAGGCAGGAGAATTGTTTGAACCTGGGAGCCAGAGGTTGCAGTGAGCCGAGATTGAGCCATTGCACTCCAGCAGCCTGGGCAACAAGAACGAAACCCCGTCTCAAAAAAAAAAAAAAAGAAAGAAAGAAAGAAAAGAAAATTTCAAGAGCTTTTAAACAATAGTTATTATTTTATTTGTCATTTTAACAATTGCATTTTTGGATTAGTCAACCAGGCTTTTAAGAAGTCTGTAATTTTACATTTCAATATAACTATATTAAAAGTTGTCCAGGCAGTGACTTCTACCACTTTGGTATTTATGTTGCTAGATTTGGAAACTGTTGCTTTCATAGAATATATGCTGTTCTGTAAATGTTTTTCTTCTTTTAACAATATATTAAAAGCACTTCCTTGTGAAAGATTCTGAACCAAGATTGCTAATAGCTTTAAAGCTATTTCATTATATATATAAATCCCATGATATCCTGTTGAACTTTGGTTTTGGATTTTCACTATTATGGAAATAATACTTGTCACTTGCCATGTCATGGGAAAAATACATTGTAACAGATATTTTACATTTAGTCTTTGTTTATACTTCCGATTATTTCCTCAAGGTAATAACAAAATTTAAATTTTTAGATAAAGTGTATGCACTTGGTTAAGCCTTTTGATTTGTATCAACAAATTGTCCTCCAGAAGTGTTGTGCTACACCAATTTTCATACCCATCAATAATGTCTAGAGGGTTTTGGCCCATTTAGGGCTTTTTAAAATCTTAATATTTAAAAAGAATTCTACAAACACTTCAGAAATATGTTCTCAACAGAACAGGCTATCAATTCAGTTTGATCAATAGTTATTTATTATGTACTTACTTTTGGTAGATTCTGTGTTGTTCATTTATGTCACACAGCATCATCCAATACAATGCTTATAGGAATCCCATGAGACATGCTCTGTCCTCACCCTCATGTTATAAGAAGTGAGAGGGCAAGTAACCTGATCAAAGTCACACATCTCGCATGTAACAAGGCCTGACCTTGAACCATAGTCAGTTTTACATCAACATGCAGGCATTTAATTAGTACTAAACTTCCTGCTTCTATCTTGCACTGTTAACTATCCATTAACCTAACACCAAACATTTTGCTCTACCACGCTCTTCGGCTTTTCCATGAATAGGCTCATAACCCAGGATAGAGATGCTCTTCCTGAAAAGAATGTCAAAAAACTAATCTCCTCAATCTCTAGATTCATGTTTTCACACCCTTAAAATTTTCGCTTCGGCCAGGGCCTCTACTAGATCCGCATTCTGTTCACACCTATAAGGACCTGCTGAGCACACATATCCACGGGAGAAACAAACACACCAAAGAGGCTTCTGCCAACAGCACTCTCCAGGCTGCTGAAAGAAAAACACACCACCAGAGGCAAAGGAATGTTTAGCCCCAACTGTAAAATGGAACTTTCCTTTTCTCTCCCATTTTCAAAGTTGTTAGCCCTGTGTCATGGTTGATATTTCAACTGTATCCAAATGTATGTGCAGCCAGATGGACTATGAGATTATTACGATTTGATTTTCAGATAAACCACAAACCTGGATGAGTTCATGTTATTCCAGATGCATTATCTCCTAATCTTCAGGAAGAGGCTCCTTCAGCGGGAAGGAGCATGGCAGGATCTTCCCTGAAAAAACAGAAATAGCCGTGTCTAATCCCTGCTCTGCCTGGAAAGGAAAAGGCTCACCTACTTCCCATGTCAAGGCAAGAATCAGAATTCCTCTCAAATTCTTAAAACATTGCAAAGTAAAGACAGATACTAACTCTAAATATGATTCATGCTCAAGTTATTAAAAATGGAATACATTGTACCAGAAGGAAAATGGTAAACAATTTTAAATTCCAAAGGCAAGGGAATGTTTTTGGTTTAATAACCAGAGTATGGCTTCAACAGGAGCTTATGTAGTATACACACCATAATTAAATCTAATTCAATCACCTGAGTAATCAAGTGGTTAAGCGAATAAACTAAGTAATCAATCGTAAAAGTGATTTGCTGTTTAGAAGAAAGAAGTTGTAATATGTGTGCCAATATTTTTAAAGAATAAGGAATCTCAGGTCTTCAACTCTGTCAACAATTATTAGCATTGTTTTGTTTCAGTCTTCTTATTTACAGAGTAAAAAGACCATTCATTCATTCAACAAGTATTTATGGAAAGCAGCATTTTCTGAACATGATTCCTGCACTCAAGGTGTTTTACAATCATGTGGCCTGCCACTTTATTGAAGATGTTTTAGGGAAAACAATTAACTTTTGACAAAGTTCAGAATTATTCAAACATAACATAAATGGCCAATGAATCTTTTCAGAGAAAGCATAGTCTAGTGGATAAATATTTACACTAGTCTGCCCCTGAGTCTTACAATTTTTCTATGTCCATTTTTCCTCACTCTGTAATGGTGGGCAGACAGAAGGTGGGGCTAGCTGACCTTCAAATTCCCTTCCAATTTTTATGAAATACAATTTTTAGTATTAAGTGAGTAATCACATTGTGCAAGGTGCTTACCTGGATATAGCTCAGTTCTTTTTCTGATTGCAAGAACAGAGCAAGATGGAACCATGAACTGCTAAACGACCCATGGCAATTTTTAAAGGATTCCTCAAGCAGATGGTTCTCTGGTAGTTCTTACAGCAGGAAAAGCCCCCTACAGTTCACAAAAGAGTCAAGTTGCATTCTTCCAAACTGTCCTGATTTTGCCGATTTGCACAATCTAATAAAATCTTTCCATCATATTTCTCTTTTCCATTTGTGGACCACTACTCAGTGAGTACATTTATTATGTGTGGCTAATAATTTACTTTTTTGTTCTTTTTTGTTGTAAAAGCGTCATATTAACTACCTTTTGAGCGCATGAAAATGCATATTCGAAACATTGCTGAGTTCAGATTGATTGAATTTGACTGTGACCTTAGTGAGCCATTCATTTATTCAACAAGGTTTGATTGAACATTTACCATCCTATCACTTCAGCCCACACATTGGACAACCAATCAGAGTTATCACACTTCTTAGGGCATAAAACAGATACATATTCATTAAGTTACATATTCCCAGTCCAAATTAGCTTGACCCAATTCAAGTCTTCCTTCAGATTTTTAGAGTTCTTGCCAAATCGTTTTCCTATTCCCATTTTCTCTTCACTTCCCATTGCCCTCTTGTCCTCAATTTCTTTTGTGTTCATTCTCTCTCTTCTTCTTGTTTTCAGTTTCTGTCTTCTCTTTCACAAAGTTTTCTCACTTAGCTATAATGTATGTTTAATAATACACTATTTCATTATTGTGTTACTCAAAATCCTCAAGCCACTTTATCTCAAGATGCAAATACCTAGACCTCAGGTTCAAAGCTAATAATCTAAGACAATTCAAATGTCGAATCACATTTCAAAATATTTTCTTCCTGTTCAGCCATACAAGTCTCCTTGTTGTCCCCTGAATACACTAAGTTCTCACTTAACGTCAGTAGTAGGCTCTTGGAAACTGCAACTTTAAGCAAAACAACATAACAAAACCAATTTTACCACAGGCTAATCGATAGAAAAAAGAGTTTAGTTTCTATGGTATATTTCTAGTCACAAAAACATCACAGAACTTCTAAATAAAGACTCAAAACATTTCCAATATTAAACATTGAAATGAATGTGAGCTACACATACATTTAAGAATGAGTAATAAAAACAAGTATGATAATTATTTACCCAATTTTTGGTGAATCAGTAAATGACAATGGCTGTAGTGGTGGTGGTTAAAACAAGGAATAAATGTTCGTAAAGTGCAAATTGAAAGGGGCATGTCCCTGCATCAAGCAGTTCCAGAACAGTCACAAATATGATGAGTCCCGTTAGCACTTTCTTACCACATTGCTTATTGTCATGGATCTCTATGATTATTGCAGGTGAATGTATTTACTCACTAATTCACTTTCCAACCAAGTTATTCTAGTTCAGGGTCTTGGATGGCCAGAGCCTATCCCCCACAGCTTAGGGTACAAGGCAAAAACTGACCCTAGATAGGATGTCATTCCATCACAGGGCGCACTCACCCACACACCCACAGTCACTCACACTGGGCCCATGTAGACACACCAGTCAACCTAGTGGGCACAGCTTTGAGATGTGAGAGGAAACCAGAGTACCTGGAGAAAACCCACGCAGACCTGGGGAAAACATGCAGATTCCAGAGAGATGGTGGCCCCAGGCAAGTATTGATTTTTTTTCTCATCAACATTGTAACAAAATACTGTTAAAGGAACAGACATTATTTGAGGACCTGCTGTATGTTGTGTAGAATCCCACCTCCATAACTTCATTCACAATAGTCTCCTCGCCCAACATACCATCTTTCTTATCTATGCCATTCTTCGAAACTTGACAAACTTCTAAACTGAAATAGCAAAGCTGATCACCTGAGTCCAGGAGAGACCAAGCTGCCCTCCATATTCCCATGACATTTTTTTTTGTCTTGTTCATGGCATACTAGATTGTACACTTTCTTGAATTTTTGCCTTTTAATATGTTTTGTTATTTCAACCAACACAGTGTATCTTTCCCAAGTCATGCATCTAGCAATTGGTGAGACCAAGCTGTCCTCCTTATTCCCATAACATTTTTTTTTGTTTCGTTCATGGGATACCAGATTGTATACTTTCTTGAATTTTTGCCTTTTAATATGTTTTATTATTTCAACCAACATAGTGTATCTTTCCCAAGGCCATGCATCTAGTTACTGGCATTCCAGGATTCAAATAGTTATTAGGCTGGTTGCAAAGTACAATTTTCCCACTTATGAAAAAAACAAATGAAAGAAAAATCATCAGTATTTAAAGACTAATTTAAATGGGTAGAAAGAGAGATATGAGCACCACTAACAGAAAATAGGAAAGACTTTTTATTAGTCTTGGGGTCAAGCTCATTGTTAGAACTGATGTGCATGAGAGGAGAACCTACAAGCAGACATATCAATTGGGAATTTGGAAATTTCTGATCAGAGCTCAGGAATAATAACAGGCCCAGATATTTAAATTTGGAAGTCATAATAATAAAAAATATGAGATTTTAATTTTGGAAGTGGGCCTGGGAAGTAACCATCCAACTGCTTTATTTTCTAGATTATACACATATCTATATAGAGGTCACATGTGAAAGATCAGATACGGTCATTGAGAAAGCTAGGAAGGGCAAAGGACTTTGCTTTTTAAGAAAATCCATAATTTGAGAGCAAAAGGAAGATAAAGAACCAGGGGAAAGAAAAGAAAAAGCCGGCTGGGTGTGGTGGCTCACACCTGTAATCCCAGCACTTTGGAAGGCCAAGGCGGATGGATCACTTGAAGTCAGGAGTTCAAGACTAGGCTGGCCAACATGGTGAAACCCTGTCTCTACCAAAAAATACAATAATTAGCCAGGCATGGTGGTGCATGCCTGTAATCCCAGCTACTTGGGAGGCTGAGGCAGGAGAATTGCTTGAACCCGGGAGGTGGAGGTTGCAGTGAACTGGGATAGCACCACTGCACTTCAGTCTGGGCGACAGAGCGAGACTCTATCTCAAAAAAAAAAAAAAAGAAGAAGAAGAAAAGAAAAAGAAAAGGCCAGGATAGCTTGAGGTCATAACAACAGTAATATTTGCTGATTTTAATATAGATTTTGTCATCTTTGACTCCTATTTCCAAACCCCAAGCATTGCATATCGACAGGTACAAGGTCATCACCACTATATAGCACTACAGGTTTCCGAGGCATGACACAAAAGACATTTAGGCAGTGACTGATGAGGATTTCTTCAACAATCTTTTAAAAACCAAGAGTGATTTAGTAAATAAAATTTATTAATTAATGTTAATTAACACTAATGTATATATTGATTAATTTTACGGATTACAAAAAGACAAACATTAGAGTTTTGGCAATAAAAATAAAATAAAAGCCTCTTCCACCTTGAAACTTTTTGATGCCATTTTTAGTACTCAACTGCCTTTTAAGAAACATTCTGGCCAGGCGCGGTGGCTCACGCTTGTAATCCCAGCTCTTTGGGAGGCTGAAGTAGGTGGATCACGAGGTCAGGAGATCGAGACCATCCTGCCTAACATGATGAAACCCCGTCTCTACTAAAAATACAAAAAATTAGCTGGGCGTGGTGGCACCTGCCTGTAGTCCCAGCTGTTTGAGAGACTGAGGCAGGAGAATCACTTGAACCCGGGAAGTGGAGGTTGTAGTGAGCTGAGATTGTGCCACTGCACTCCAGCCTGGGCAACAGAGCGAGACTCCATCTCAAAAAAAAAAAAAAAGAAACATTCTAAAATGCTTTCAGCCATGACAGTCTTATTGTCTTTCTTCCCCTGAATCAGAGGTGACTGGGAAGATGTACACTTCCGCCCTACCCCAATAGCTTTCCCAACAGTTGACTTCCAAGCTCTTTGGGTGTTGAAAATCTGGAAATGTATTTCTGTGATCTTTGACAATCTCAACTAAAAATCAATGGGTCCAGTTGCATCCTACATAAACTTGAGTTGTTACCTGAATGCTCAGCCATACCTTTCTCTGAGGCAGCCTTCTGTGGCACCCACAGTAACTAAAGAATGTGCTATAGCATGACTTCTAGTTATCTAACCAATATTTATTTCCCTCTTCTTCCTTACTATAAGATCCATGAATTTGTTTCTGGTATTCATGTTCCCAGTTCAAGAGACAACACTTCTCAGCCTTTCTTACACAAAGAGGTAGCCATGGTACCAAGTTCTTGACAAAATAAAAAACATAAACTGTAGAGTAGGGCTTGGTGGTGGCATCTAACCCAACAGGTGTGCACCTGTTTTCATTTCTTGCTTTCCCGTCCTTCTGCCTGTAATGCAGACATGATGGCTGCCACTGCAGTAACTCCTTTTGAACCATGAGCTTATCCTGCTCTAAAGATTTGGAGCAAAAGACAGAGTTGGGTTCCTCTTGATTTCATGCAAGCACCATTTTGGGTGGGAAAAAAATATATCAAATCATTTAAATCACTTAGTTGTTAAAGTCTCTGTTACTTGAAGCCAAGCACAAATCCTAAGTGACACAGCTAATACATGTGTATGCCTGTGTGTGTGATACCACATGTGAATGTATGTCTGCATATGTGTATGTATCTATGCATAGGTGGATAGGTAATAAACAGATAGGTAGCTATAGAGATGGAGTCTTCAAAGTCTATTGTGTCCCTCTAAGTAGTTCATATTTGTTAAAAAAAAAAAAAAAACAACAAAACCATAGACACCATTGTGAAATCTTCCAAAATCTGTGTAGTGCCACTCTTTATTTATCTAATTAATTAATCAATTAATAGAAACACCGCAACTGCTAGGAGCCTTAGCAGTTTTATTTTTCTTTAAACCAACATTGACAAAATATGATCCATTGATTACTAGTCTTGCTGAAATTTCCCCAAACACTAAATGAATTCACTAGGATTTGAGGTTTATGGTGTGTATGAATCTCTTGGAGAGAATCTGCACTGGAGAAACTTGTTTAACTTTGTCTTCTCCTAACTTACCTGATTATAAACCAACTTTCTCACAAGTGAAACCCCAAACTTCCCACAATGCAAGTTATCAGCAAAATGTTTGGGAGACGTGATTAGATCTCTTTTAATATCCGACAGGAAAGCACACAGTATTTACTAAGTAATTGTGTTCTGGAAGTTTCTCCACAGAAGCCAAAGGAGATGAGACATTCAGGGAGGAAGGGTCTTTTTGGTGACCACATTGTCAAAATCCTCCTCATGTAGCTCAAGGAATGTAGAGGTTGAGAAAACACCACTGGTGCTGCGAATTCTGTGTTTGATGTTACTGTGGCCTCTAGCCTAAGTTCAAGCTCATTTGAGCCCCAAATATCCTTTGGCTGGTCTCCCTGGCCAAAAAAAAAAAAAAATTCTAGTGTCTTCTTTGGGAAAGGATGAAGAAATTTTAATAATTTGCATTTTGGGTCATCTTGTCTGCAAGTTTTCTGCACAGATGAGCAACTAAAAAGTGGCTGAGGAGTTTCTCTGTCTTTCAGATGCCCCGGTTTGTACTTGGAGTGCTAGTTAACCTCAGCAAAAAGTTATTGTCAGCAATAAATATTTACTTTTCAAAAATATCCTGAGGAGACTGGAAACAATACGGGCAAATCTCTCTGGTACTGTTTTTTCATTTAGAGATGACAAAAAGTCTAGGGAAAAAGTGACAGTTTTAAGGGCATTAAAAATATCTAATGCTTTAGGTTTGAAATTGGCAGTGAGCCAGGCCCTGTCTTAAAGGGAGAGGCACTTTATTATACTTTCTAATTCTTCCAAAGTCTGTCTTTAGGATATATGAGCTGCCTCTAATATGACTACTCTATTCTCATCCTCTAGTGGTATACTCTGGTCTCAGCTCATAAATTGAAAATTGAGGATCTGTAAATCAGGGCAGACTATTTCAGAGAGCCATTGTGAATTTCCAGTCAAATCTTCCAGTTTATCTTAAATATTTCATCTTAATGTCACCTTAAGAAAAATCTTTCATTCAAGTAAGTTACAACATCGAGTTCTAAACTGATTACACTTCTCCACTGACCTTCTGCTAGGAGACTGCTTTTTGTCATTAATGTCATTTTTGCTGACCTATTGTGGGACTAAAGGGAGATTTTTTTGTTTCCAAAAACACAAATTGACTAAAACCACATAAAGAATAGGAACTCAAATGTCAAAAGTGTACTAGCTGCTTTGTAGAAAGAAGCAATTGAAAAGATTGCTTTCTGTTCATTATTTGCTATTTATATTTTTATTGCCATTTTTTTTTAAAATGACTGGGCTAATAGTCACAGTATACTGTGGTCTGAGGTGATTGACTTGGTTTACACACTAAAGCATCTATTTCGAATTAGTTGCCAAACATCTGTTGTAAAAATTAAGTTTATACCTTCTAAGTATATTCATAAATACATGAAATTCTGCCAAGTCTGATTGCCCTTGGATGGCTTTTAAAAAATTGCTTTGCTCATTTTTCCTTCTTTGGAACCACTGTTCAGCAGGTTAAATGGAGTTGAGGAAATTTTCATGTCTATTTGTTTATACAGGAATCAACATATTCCACCCTTAACTCACCCACTAACAAGTCTGATGTTGAATTTTCTTGTCATTTGATCTAGCATTTAATAACCTGTCAGCTGAAAGGGCTTTAAATAAACATTTTCATATAATATTTAATGCAATTCAAGGGTATGTGCCCTGAGGCTAAAGATGAACAGACAAGGGTAACAAGCCCTCCTCCTTGGTAATACATGTGCATTTCTACACATCCTAATCCTTTAGTCCTTGAGACTTACAGGCAACAGCCTTGGATCCACAAGAATCCAAAAATACATAAGGTAGTAATATACTTTATGATTCCACTTCCTGTACTAGAGCCTCTTAATTGCTGCTCTCCACTCTCTAGTCACCTCCCACCTACAATAAACAGAGAAGCTAGCAGTAAGGCTATTCTATTTTTGCCAAAATACCTTGACATTAAACTTTGAAAGTTGTCAGGTAGCCAGTTTTCCCAGAAGCAACAATCTCACGTGGGTCAAGGTTGGAGCGGTGGATTAACTAATTAGTCCACACCAGGCCTGAGGACAGAAGGGCAGCTTGAGAGCAGCATCAAGTCATGAAATCCCAAAGGACTGAGCTGAGTGGTACCATTCATGAGTGAATTGGTCCAGTATAAGATAATAAAGAAGAGGGCAGACTAATGCCAAATTGGAATGCTCATACTCCCACCTCCTAAATGCATTTAGTTTCAAAGTTTAAAATTACTGTACCAACCAAATCAAAGAAAACAGAAGAGAGAATTTGGTTTGCCAGTCTATGAACCTGGTCTTCACAATGCACATGTATTAGACCAAAGACTATAAAATGATAGCTGGGCCGGGTGCAGTGGCTCATGCCTGTAATCCCAGCACTTTGGGAGGCCGGAGCAGGTGGATCATGAGGTCAGGAGATAAGAGATCATCCTGGCTAACACAGTGAAACCTGGGCTCTACTAAAAAATACAAAAAATCAGCCAGGCATGGTGGCAGGCACCTGTAGTCCCAGCTACTTGGGAGGCTGAGGCGGGAGAATGGCATCAACCTGAGAGGCGGAGGTTACAGTGAGCCCAGATCACGCCACTGCACTGGAGCCTGGTGACAGAGCGAGACTCCGTCTCAAAATAATAATAATAAAATAAAATGATAGCCACCTGGCCCAACCAAAAAACACAATAAACATTAAAAATGAGATGTTCAGAGAACATCGTGAGCCGTCATCTCCTGCAGTGGGTTGCTGTTTTTCTGTGCTTTCAAGTGAGCATCTATATAGAATTCAAAAAATGGAGGCGAGACCAGATTTAGATTATTCTGTAGTTCAAAAGTCAAGCTGCTTACTAGTTGCATTTCCATTGAAAAAGCCACTGACATTACCAGAGAATACATAGTGCACTTTTAAAAGTCAAAGGAAATATATGAATCAGAAAAAAATGGCAGTGGATTATCATTTTTTTGTCATCCAGTTTTCTGAAAATCTCCACAGGTTTCACCCCACCCTGTTTGCTCATTATTGGTATTTTCCTTTATTATCACAATGTGTTTTCACTCCTGTGAAATTGGGCAAATTGAAAAAACAAAACAAAACAAAACAAAAAACCTGCCTCTCTCTTCCCTCTCTTGAAGTTGCAACTACCCTACCTCATTATACCTGAGCGGGAATCACAGAGAAAGTGCTCAATTCATCTATCACCTGGATTTCCACTATGAACTCTGCCGTCCTTTTTATTCTGGGGAAAATATTTTTTAGAATTCATCTCAGATATTGGATCATATTTCCTTTTGTTACTCATGTTAAATATTATTGTAAATTTGTGTTAAAAAAAGGTAAAGTTATGGTTATCTAAATTCAACCAACTCTAAGTTACATAAAAATCAATCAGAGCTAAATTGCGAAGATATTTAAACAAACATTGAAAATTTCACCAGACTTACAAGCTCATATCTTATTCCACAGGTAATTATCAAAATTCAAAAATTTTATATAAATATCAACATGGGCGATGAAATAAACTATTTCCTCCTCTACTAGGTAGACAAATAGTTTTCCCCCTAAAAAAGAGTTGGACGTAGTCCTTATACTGTTCCTTACTGGCAAAGACAATGTCTATTTAAAAAGAGAATCACTATCCTGTAGTTGGCCACTTCTAGTGTGACTGCTAAGAAACATTTTCCTTCTCAACAAGACTACTTAAAAGGAATGCGTTAGTCTAACAGGCCTTGATATCTCACCATGATTACAGAGAGCACTGATTCACACCCCACAGAAAAAGCCTTGAAGAATTCAGGCCTCCAACTCATGAGTTTGATAGGCTGTGTTTGCTTCTGTAAATACATGACGAATTAGATCTGTCAAGACTTTCATTCTGTAAGAGGAGCAATAGTACCACAACTTAACACTGGAGCTTAATAATGATCCTGGAAACTTCTACCTTCCTCCTTAAGCACAAGTAAGTGTTGAGCTAATAAAAATACAAGTCTCCAGCCTAGGCACTATGGTTAAACCCCATCGCTACAAAAAATTTGAAAATTAGCTGGGCATGGTGGTACCTGTAGTACCTGTACCAGGTGGACCTGTTAGTCCCAGCTTCTAGGGAAGCTGAGGTAGGAGGATGGCTTAAACCCAGGAGGTCGAGGCTACAGTGAGCCACGAGCATGTCACTGCACTCCAACCTGGTTGACAGAGCAAGACCCTGTCTCAAAAAAATAGAAACAAAAACAAGTCTCACTCCTCACTCCTCAGTTGTACATTGCCCCACCAGCGATACATTCCAGTTTCAATTGTGAACAGTTTATTCAAGATCTTTTCTCTTTGTTTCTTCCAGATTCCTAACTTCTGAATTTACTTTAATAACATTTACATTAAAAATTGGACTAAAATGCCCTACTTTAAACACAAAATGCATGTTCTTTTGCTTTCTTCTCCATAGCTGCTTGTTCCCTTATCTACATTGAATTGAATCAATTATCATTCCACTTTCCCAGTATGCTGATTCTCCAGTTATCACAGAGCTAACTTCTTCCTAGAGAAGATCCCAGTACTCATCACTTAGAAATGGCTTTAAAATCCAAAAAATACCTGATGTCCATCACACCCAAGGCTCTGTATTCCTTTATAAAAACATGATACATTATAAGTCCAATGTACCACACCAACAACCCATGAGCTATAACATGGGGCCACTGGCAGAGAATGCAGCAGAATCACTTTTATTAGGTTTTGCCTCAGCAGGAAGGAGCAAAGTGACCCCCAGATGCAAAACTAATGGGCAGTGAACAAAGAGGGTAAGACCGGGTTTTCCTTACAAATCAACAGGCTCTTGTTCCCTGGAATTGGTATCTGCCTCACATCTAACTGGCCAAAGTGTTATACCTGGCTGGGTTTAATTTGTTATTTATGTCAGCTTTGCATATTTGTAAGGTTCAAGGGTTTATTGCCCTGGCCTGACCTTGCCAAGTCAGAGTTAACATGTGGTTCTCTAGTAGCAGTTTCTTTCTAATAAACTTTACTTGAAAGAACATGTGTGATAGATTTTGCTCATGATTAAAAAGAACAGTTCTATGTTCATTGTTCCCCAATTTGGTTTTGAAGTTCTGTTGAAAGTCACCTCTGAACTTAAAAAACAAAATCCAAAATATTATTCTCTTTTAAATTTCATTGAAGACCTTTATTGTACTTTGTGTTTTAGAATGCTGCTTTATGACTGTTCTAAAAGATTAATGTGATCCTCTAAAACCAAGCTAAATAATATATTTCCAAATCGTTCATAAGATTTGGCACATAGTTTAATTTTGGTTATGAGAATTGGTAAAGTTCAGTAAGCAATCTCTAGTTTAGAAACAAGAAATTATTAGTGTGTGTGCATACACACATAAACATATACATATATACGCATATATATCCACATATATTCATACACACACATATATAACACAATATAATACAATACAGCAGAGTGAGTGTAGGATAGAAGATAGCAGGGTTAGTGAAAATCGTCCTTAATTTGCTTGCTTAGTTCCCTACCATTATTAATGTATAGAGGAAAGGTATGTTGAAGATAGAACATATCATTCGGATCCCATTTTTTTTTTTTTTTTGAGACAGAGTCTCACTCTGTCACCCAGGCTGGAGCACAGTGGCACAATCTTGGCTCACTGCAGCCTTTGCCTCCTGCGTTCAAGCAGTTCTCCTGCCTCAGCCTCCCAGGTAGCTTAGATTACGGGTGCACGCCATCACACCCAGCTAAGTTTTGTATTTTTAGTAGAGATGGGGTTTCACCATGTCGCCTAGGCTGGTCTTGAACTCCTGACCTCAAGTGATCCACCTGCCTCGGTCTCCCAAACTTCTGGGATTATGGGCATGAGCCACCATGCACGGCTGGATCCTTTACGGTAAGAGCCAACATCCATAACATTAGAAATTGGCTGCTGGAGGGGGACTCCCAAATCTAGGATGACCTGATTTGTCTGGGTTTATCCGGGAGTTTCTTAGTTGGAAAATTAGAAGTCTCATCTCTCAAGAACTCCCTCTGGTCCAGGCAAACTGAGATGATTAATTATTCTACAGTCCCCATATCTACCTGGCAAGGTTTCTGGCTCCATTTTCTTTTAGTTGATCCAGGGTATCTATTAAATGTAAACATTGTCTTCAAAAGCTAATGGACAGAAACATTCATCAAAATCTAAATAAATTCATTGGCCTGTTCATTGGAGTGAAAATGAATGGAACTTCAACTTAACCTGTTGAAGACAACAAGAACACTAATTGTCCCTTTTAGTTCATTTCAGGATGACAAAATCCGTTAACTCGGATAAAATGCATCTTAACTATATTAAACTCAATAGTTTTAAAAATTTTTATTCTTTTTTAATGCTTTTCTGCTCTGCTTTTGATTTTGAAACCCTGAATCTTCACGAAGTCCTGGAACAATAGCAGAAGTGTCATTGTTTTCCCATCAAAATCTAGGTAGTAGAGAGCAGGAACCCAATTTGTCTGGCCAATGAAAAGATATGAGTAGTTACAGCTTGTGGGGCTGCACTGTTGGTGAGCATTATTCTTCTCCAGGAAAAATAAATGAGAACCAACTCACAGCTTTATACACAGTTGTCCTCATACAGTCCTAACCTCAGATTACTCTGTCTTTTTGCTTACGTGTAGAGAAACTTTCCTATTTTATCTTATTATTTAAAAATAAAAATATGATTAAAACCATGATAGAATCTACAGTACAAAAATAGTCAAATTAGTTCAAAGTTGTGTGATCTGGGAATCAAGAAGAAAATATCACTTAGGAGATATTTAGGCGATACGTATCATAAAACACATATGAGATATATATATATGTATATATATATTTCCCTATTTATTTGCAACAACTGAACATAGGAAAGTGAGAGGTTGAACTGAGAAAGAAAATAATTATTTAAGTGGGTTTGTGTTTCAAAACCCCTAAAAAGTGTTGCAGGGGTATCTGAGGATTATTGTTTTTCTGAGATCTCTGTTTGATATGAGGACAGCTATGCCTTAACAGGGGAACAACTAGGTAAGGCAACCTCTCCACGTCTCTAGCCCTGCAACTTGTGCTCCTGTGGCCTCATCTCTCTTCTGCTCTGCTGTTGCTTGTTTCTGTAACTCCAGTGTAATGCAAATGTATTTCCTCAACAGAATCCTACACTTATAACTCTGTGTGTGTGTGAGAGTGTGTGTGCGCACACGCGTGGGGGTGTGTGTGTGTGTGTGTGTGTGTGTGTGTGAAGGAAGTGGGGCGAGCACAGTAGGGAGATGAAGAGCTAGATGTGAATTGGACCATAAGTGCATTATTGAGGGTTTATATCTTCCTTTGAAGTATACAGCATTAGCCACTGTCAGGGAGAAGATACCAAGCCAGACAGTAATTGCAATAATGGAACAGACAAATGGTCTATGTCCCCATTAAAGTCATCAACACCTCTAATTTTTGAAAGGGGCTTGTTTGAAATACAGTAATTGTGATTATGTTGTCCATAAAGGCTATGGGCGATCAGCAATTGTCAGCATGCCCAGTGCCTTTCCAACATCCTTCTGGACAGAGATAACTAAATCTGAACGCTAAAGCACAATTTATTTCTGAATAACCTTACAGAAAGGGTGTTTTATAAGGTTTAAAAATTTAATACAGCATCTAAGTAACACCTTTCCTTTGTAACACTTCATTTTTTCGGATTTTTTTTAAACTCTCTGCTTTCAAGTCCTCTAATATGCAGCATTTACTCGAAAACCAAACAGTTCTGGCATTCTCTCTTCCTCTCAATGCTCTGCCCAACCCTTTCATAATTATGCCCTTCTCTGTTTCCTTGATATTTCCCCTGGGCACTTCTGTCTTTCCTATAAAGTTCTCCTCTCTCTCCTCAGCTTGCCCTTCTTCTTCTGAGCCTTGTAATTGTGTTTCAACAAGGTCACACTCAGAAAACATTGACAACGTCATATCCACAGAATTCTGGATAGAGAAATCCTCAAAGTCCGAGAGAGAAAAAATAAGCTTTTTTTTTTGAACAAATCCTTAAAGCATTTTCTAAGACCCTAAGAACTTAATTCTGGTGGTAAATATTTTGCTCTGAAGGAAACAAAGACACAAGGAACACCAGTTTAATTTCAGAGGCCACTGGACATTTTGAACTGATTATCTTTAGAGAGGACCATGTGCCATGAAGTTCTTAGTTCATGCTGAAGAATGAAATTGTTTCCATCAAGAGGAGTTGTGTCACATAAATAATGTCAATTAATGGAATAAAAATAATTTGAAGTGAAATGTCATCAGCTTATACTGTTACCCTCCTTCTAAATAGCTAGCACTTAATCTAAGAATAACAGTTTAAACTACACACCATCTACTAGAAAACCTCATTATTAACAAGAATTTTTCATCCTGATTCTCTTGACCTATCGAAAGCCAAAACTCAACACGTTGCCATTTAATCTTTAACAAGGTCCTAGGTTATTGAAACCAGTATGAAATGAAATTTATGGGCTAACATTTAACTGTTATTCTCCACATCTTCCCAGGTTACTCTCCATTCTGGGGAACCATCTTTTATTAGCATGAGTAAATATATAAAAGCCCACTGCTAAAACACTTAACAGATCTTCTCTGTCAAGGCTGTGAACTGCAGTGTCCACTCCATTTGGAGGTCCCTGCTTCTTTTTTTCTTCCTTTGTTTAAAATATGCTGACCACACAGTGACCTCTCCTAACCTATCAGTCGAAAATTACAACCAGCCACACAAACAAGCAGACCGGGGTCAGAAGGAGCAGGATCTGCTAAAAGTTAGTAATCATACATTAATTCCCTGACATAATTAATCAAAATGAACCACTGTTATCTAGCAAGAAACCTTTAACCTATTACAAAGGGGTCAATTTGCGAACCACTTGAGCCTGGGAGTTTGGTACAAATAGCATACGCCCTTCATCCGGGATGCCCTAAGTAGGGAAAAATGCCTTTGAAGTCCCAAATCTACTAGATTTAGATATAATTTCATCAATCAAGTTAAAAGCCTGCCTCCCTCCAGAAGGATTTTGTGGAGCTCTGTCAACCAGCTTCGTTGAGTGGTGACTGAAAATCCATTTGTAAGGTATTTTTTTTGGACACGAGTCGACTAGAATAGGTCCGACCTGACAAAAGAGGCAAGAGTTTATCAAATTGAAGAGGAAGAAGGAAGATGTGTGGGGCAACTCATTTTCCCCTTGCAAGAAGAGTAGTAAATCGGATGTTTGTTATGCACATGAACTGGTATATGCTTCCATTTTCAAGATTAAACCTGTCAGGTGTTTAAAATCGATATTTACATGGTGCAGGCACACGGTAGGAAAAAAAACAGAAGAATTAAAAACGGTTTCACTGTAATTCAGGGGAATTTTTTTGTAGTTTTGCACATGTATAAATGGAGCATTGGCCTTCAGTCATATTGCAAGCACCCTCCCAGGATATGCGTAGGTGTTCATTTACAGAAAACAGATAAGCACAGTTTTGTTTGTATTCCTCTCACCATTAATTTCTAACATCCCCAGAGATTGAAGGTGTTGCCAAGGGCCCCAAAATACCTTCAGCTGAAATTGTTACATCACTAATGTGCTTAGAAACTTACATCTATCATATCATACTTTCTGAGTTGGAAGACATCAAAAACCAAAAAGGATATATTGTATTTTGAAAGGATTTATATGGAAATACACATGCCTTTTGATAGGATCAAACATATCACATATTTCAAAACTGATGATGGTCATCAATTTCAGAATTAATGTCTGGCAAAGCATTGACACTACTCTTACCATGGTTACCTGAGAAATTGATCCGGATAGGAAGGCCCTTGCAATTATTTATTTCAATCCTGGGCCATTTCAAACAGTTTTTCAGTGAATTGCTCTGTTTTCTTCCCACACATTCGACACATATTTCACTGAATTTGATCACTGCAGTGGGCCCAAGGGCACTTGCTGGGAGGTTCTTCAATATGGTGAGTACTGTCATATAGAGCTGTGGATAAGGCAACTTGAATGATGCATTTAATTCTTCCTAACCAGTAGATACTTGGAGGTATTGTATTATTCACCTTGCTATTTCAGTCTTGAATCCATTTTAGAGATGAAAAAATGGAGGCCCAGAGGGATTCAATACTTTAGTCAAGAACACACACACCCAGTCCAGGAGTGGTGGCTTATGCCTATAATCCCAGAACTTTGGAAGACAGAGGCAGGTGGATCACTTGAGGCCAGGAGTTTAAGACCAGCCTGGCCAACATGGCGAAATGTCTCTACTAAAAATACAAAAATTAGCCAGGTTTGGCGGTGTGAGGCACAAGATTCATTTGAACCTGGGAGGTGGAGGTTGCAGTGAGCCGAGATTGCACCATTGCACTCCAGCCAGGGCGACAGAGCAAGAGTGTCTCAAAAAAAAAAAAAAAGAAGAAGAAGAAGAAGAAGAACACACACCCAGTAGCACCTGAACAGGTATTCAGATAAAGGTCAGTTTGTCTTCATATCAAGTTCATTTTTTTTTTCAGAAAGCAACCTTCAAAAAACAACAAAAAACAAACACAAAAAAAAAGCTTCTGTGGAGATGAAACATAATGAGAATCTGCCAGAACAACCCCTCCATTTTTCTCAGTATAACTCACTATCCAGAACAAGAAAAAGAAAGTATCTTTCCTCAACCCCCACCTAGTAATTTGCTCAGCTGGAAACAGCAGCCCTTCAAATCCATTCTACCCTCTGAGCTCAAGCCCTCCTGGCCCTGTTTCTGTTCCTGAGACATGTCAAGTTTGTCTCCTCCTCAGGTCTCTTCCCCACTATGCACTCCCTTCCACCTGGAAGGCTCTTCCCCTCACTAGTTGCTTCACCTGGCCCCTCTACCACTTGCCGGTCTCAATTTAAGTGTCCCTTCCTCAGAAAGGCCTTCTCTGGCCTAGCTATCTGAAGCCATCCTTTCCTCCTACCCCCAGCCACAGCATAATCACCTCATTAGGCTTTGTCCCCAGCCTTCTTCACAATCCCAAGTGCACTGCTTGTTTCATTTATTTAACATATCTTTCCATCTCATCTCCCCCACCAAGTGGTGGGATCTTGTCTGTCTTATTGTGGTGTTCCAACTGCCTAGCACGGTGCCTGAGTGCAGGCGGGAATGAATGAATAGCTTCTGGCAAGGTCATGCTCTGACTTTGGAGGCTAATTCTTGATTCAGCTGTGGAAGGAGCAACTATGGCTCTGGGAGTTTCTGTAACTTGGGAATGGGCAGCAAAGAGACTAAATCACCTCTTTTGGCAAAGTTGTAAGGGATTTCAATCCATGGACTTCCTGTTCAGCATGAATATTAGGGATTTTTGCTCTCCTCCAAATGGATCTCTGAAGATGTTGGGACCATTTGTATAGTTTATTTCTCTTTAGCAGAAGGCCAGGTGTGTTCTATGAATTCAAACCTGTTTCAAGAGTACATGTAACAAAAAACACAGAGGTTGCCTCCTGGTGAACGGCCCCAACATGCCAGGATCAATTTTCAGGTCCCCTTAGCAACCCTCAAGAAACCGCTTGTTGTCACTCTGCAGATGAGGACATAGAGGCTCAGTGAGGAACAACAGTTCCTGAGAAGTAGCCTAACTCCAAATACCATGCACTCCTGCAACCCTGTGCCATCTGGTCATCACACAGAACAAGGAGACAAACAACACTAAATAACATATAAATGCTAGATGTAAATAAAAGACTTCGCAGCACACGCTCATGAGTTTCATCATTTAAAAATAACCAAATATGTTAAAGAGTCTGGCACCTCCCTCCCCCCTCTCTCTCTTGCTCTCTCTCTCTCTCTCTCTCTCTCTCTCTCTCTCTCTCTCTCTCCATGTGATGTGCCTGCTCCCCTTTGTGTTCCACCATGAGGGAAAGCTTCCTGAGGCCTCATCAGAAGCTGAGCAGGTAGATGCTGGTGCCATGCTTCTTCTACAGCCTGCAGAAACATGAGCCAAATAAATCCCTCTTCTTTACCAAAAGAAAAAAGAAAAAAGAAAAGAAAAAGAAAATAACCAAATAAAAAGCACTGATGATTTATTTTAGATAATAGTAGATCATATTTAGTAACTATCATTCACCCCAATAAAGAATACAGAATTACCCACTGTTAAGTTTGACTGGCTTGAAAAAGAAAAGAATACAGGCCAGGGTGCGGTGTCTCATGCCTGTAATCCCAGCACTTTGGGAGTCTGAGGTGGGCAGATCACCTGAGGTCAGGAGTTCAAGACCAACCTGGCCAACATGGTGAAAACCTGCCTCTACCAAAAATACAAAAAAAATTAGCTGGATGTGGTGGCGGGCGCCTATAATCCCAGCTGCTCAGGAGGCTGAGGCAGGAGAATGACTTCGGAGGTGGAGGTTGCAGTGAGCTGAGATCGTGTGATTGCACTCCAGCCTGGCTGACAACAGTGAAACTCTGTCAAGAAAAGAAAGGAAGGGAGCAGAAGGGAGGGGTGGGGGAGGGGGAGGAGAAGGGGAGGGTGAGGGAGGAGGGGAGGGGAGGGGAGGGGAGGGAGGGGAGAAAGAAACTGCATGCTCCATTTCAAAAGGACTGACTGACAGCCAAAAGTCATGTCGTCACTGTCCCATGGTGACCAGTCTTAGGATGCTAATGGTTTTGTAGGCAGAGTGCTTCTCCTTACACATCCCATGGGTCCCTCACTTTCTGTCTGTGAGTGTGCAACCAGGGGCTATGAACAGAGTGCCTTGAAGTCACCTACCGGGGTGACTAGCACGAGTGCATGAGAACCCTGACTCACAGAAGCACCTGGAAGCTCTTCTAAAACTACTACTTTAAGCACGAAGATGAGGAAAAACCATGGCCATCCTCTCACTTGAGACTCTAACATCACACCTGTTCCAGCGGCTCCTAACCTTCACATGCCCTCTCTCCCAGCCAGCTCCCCAGGAGCCCAGGTTTTAACTGGGCCTGGATTTCCTTCCCCAGTAGACAACGGTGGCAAGCCTCCCAAGCCTTCCCTTGACCTGGGAGGCTCCTCATGTGCTACTGGTCCCCACACATTTAAAGCTCAGTCCTGCCCGGGAGACTTGGAGGAATGTGATACCTGGGCCACCCTGCTTGTCTTTCAAACTGCAAGGCAACATTGTTGAGAAAATGTGTGGATGAAATACAATGCTCAGCGACCTGTGCCTCCACAGGGCTGTCCAAACAGCAGAATGATGCCAAACTGGCCCACGCTCACAGAGCCGGGTGACAAGAGAGGCAGTTGTGATCTTGTGAGCAGTCTGGGGATTCAGTCTTGTTCATGTCAGGTACTTCCCAAGAACGCAAGGCAGACGACATGATTTTATAAATTTGCAAAAGCTTCACACCTTGAGACAAGATCCCAATTGTACAGTGGATATGCAAGGAAAAAAAATCTGGAAAGAAACTCGAAAATTACTACTATTCTCAAGGAAGATACAAATCTAGGCCAAAAAGGCTACTTATTACAACCAGCTCATCGGAGCCCTTCTAAAAATTTCTCGTCACATGTTCACCCTTGACAAGGAGTAAGGGAATTATATTAAGTTAAATTTATATCTTCTATATTCTCCCACTGAAACACTTTATTTTATTTTTTAGTAACAATCTTGGGTATTTATTTTACAAAGTCATTAAAACCAAATGAAGGAAGCTTGCTGTTAACTTGTGAGAAGCTTTATATATGCTGTCGGAGAAGTTCTAGCCAGAAGAAATGTTTAGCACCTCACAGTGGGTCATGGCTTTAAAAATTATTAACATAAGTTGCCAATATAGTAAGTACACCAAAGAATAAATGCTTTCTGGAGACAGAGGTCAGGGGGACTTCAAAACAATTTCAAAACTGGCTCTTAAGGGGGTTTCCAGCAAGACAGTTCATCATCCCAAGAAAGACGGTGAGATACTGATAGGGGCTTTTGCTAGAACCAAAAGAATTTACGTTTAATTCCACCTCTCTTTCAACTGGCTGTTGGACTTTGAGATGGCTACAGGGCTCTCTAAGCCTGAGTTTTGCTATCTGTAAAATGGAGGCATTAATATTTACCTTTGAGGATTGAGAAAACTAGACGATATGTGTTGCACCCAACAAGTGGGGACTATTGTTTTATCCCTGAAAGACTTAGCCAGTGCAAATGCGGTGCAGTTTCATGTCTCCGAGTTGCACATTTCTCTGAATGGAATTCAACTTCTGACTCTCCTGGGCTACATCATATTGCTCTGATTGTTCAAAGATGAGGACTTTGGATTTAAAGCTAGGTTATAGAACACAAAGGGAATTCTTCCTAAGAGGAATCGACTTTGGTTATTAAAATACTCTTTTTTCTAGGGCAGCTTTACCTAGGCAAGATTATATGACCCCCTAGGGTGCCTCCAATGATCTCTGGAGATATTGGAAAATTCTCAAGTTATTCTGAAATAAAAATTATTTTAAAGTAAATTCACTTGGGTTTTAGAATTTGCATGTGCCCTATATGGGCATGCGTTTTCGGTTATGTGACAATGCTATGGAATGGAGAAAAAAATGGTGTGCCGAAGTTCCAAAAGATTGGTAATCCTTTTTACATATGGTTGTGAATGGCTCTCTTGGTTTCTCATTGTAAGAATTCCCACATTCTTACAACCCAGTAAGTCAAAGGTAAGGTCTGTTATGAGGCTAAAAACATCAGAAAAAAACCAGGGGCTTGTGCAGGTGTCTGTGCATCTACTTAAAATCTAGAAGTGTTGGTTTTTCTCACTAAGTAGTGGATAATCATCAGAGTGAGCCTCGCGTTGGCCTTTCACCAAACCAGTGTGCAGAGGAGGAAGCAAGAAGATCTCGTGTGCACAGCCCTTCCCTTTTCCTTCTTCCCCAGGGTCCTTCGCTCAAAGCATTCCTTGGTGTCCACCAACACACATGGGCCCCCAGCCCTACTTAGTGTCTAGTAGGATGACTGTTAGGATGACTGTTCAGGAAGCAACTTCCAGCTTCTCCCCAGGAATGCTTAGCCCTTCTTTCAGAACTCTGCCATTCACTGGCCCCAAATACTGCTAATTAAATCCAGGACAATTCAGAAAATCATGGAAATGCCTTCCAGAAATAAGAATGGGTTCTCCTCTTCACTCCAAAGATGTAAATTTCAAGCAATTATAATCTACCTTTAAAAATTAATGCAAAGCACGTAGATGTTGGCCAGGTTTTTAAAAACCTATAGATGCTGGTTAGGGAGAGAGAGAAGAAAAAAAAAAAAGAAAAGGAAAGGTAAGAAAAACAAAGAAATGGAAAATGACTTCCCTCCAAAGTCTCCTTTCATGATATAAGCAAATCAACAACTTCCATCAGTTGACATGATTTCCAAAATGAAAACATTACTGACTTGGTCACTTGAAAAATCCACTAAAGATCATTCTTTTTCAGACTGGTAAGAGCTAAGCAGATTTCCTATTTGAAATTGTGCTGAGAATGTTCTATTGTCAGTGCCAGAAGCTTCTTGTCCATATACTGGGTCCAACCAGTTTTAAACGTGGTGGGCGATACAGGGATTTTAGAATTATTATCATAAAAATCAAATGCAAAGCCAGATGGCCAGTGCAATGGAGAGCATTCGTTTTAGGGGTGATCATTTGTGGAATTTCACAGGAAAATCTATATGCGACACAAAAATATTATGTGTCACATTTCACCATCTACTGTGTTGAAAACACAAATCTATGTTTTCAAGGGAGGACAGAAGACAGGAGCGGTGAAATGTGACACACAATATTTTTGTATTTATGAAGAATGCTATAAATTGAGTCTCCTACAAAACACTGGTGATACTCAGTCAACCTGGGTTGCTGTTGATCTGAAAGTTTCCTTCATTTTATCTATCAAAGAACCCTTGCATTTTTCCTGCCACAACCAAGTCTCCTGGCTCTTCCTGGTTTGTGTCACAAGTTCAATTAGGTTATTTAGACACTTTGGACATTTAAATTCTTTGTTTGTGTATGTTTAAAATCAAGGAAAAATGTCATGGAAGGTTACCAAAATCCATGTAATTTACCCAAGAAATGAGTCTACTGGGTAAATACATATTGAGGCAATTTTTAAAGTCATATTTATTTACTCTACACACCTCAGTCTGTGGAATAAATAAATATTTGAGCTGTGCACTCTGTGTCTTAAAGCACCTCATGAAAATGTATGCTGACACTAGATGTGCAAGAAGAATCTCCTTTTAAGTTTTATATCTGAGCCATTTAACTTTGGGGGATAGAGAAAAGGAACAAATGGAACCATTTTATAGGGGTAATTACCACATTCTATACCCCCACCCACCCCCATCAAAGCATATTTAAGATGAGCAGCTGAAACTCACCCCAGTTTTTCCCTTTTATTTTCAAAGGCCATCGACTGCACCAAAATGTGTACTTTATAATTAATTCCTTTCAGTTATCTCCACACCTCCTTCTCCAGCAGGCATCAAATCATTTCAGTAGGGTCCGGTCTCAGAGTTGGATGTGTTTACACGGATGGGTCTTAAAATCTGTAGTTTCCCTTCTTTGTTCTTCTCTGGAGACCTGGGAGTAGTACCCTTCAGACATTTTATTGATCTTTCTTCCCCTTTGGCTCATACATGCTAATTGTACCTCTGTAGCAAAACAATCTTATTATCATGTTAATTAGTGGGAGGGCTGTTGAGGTTTTCCACTTCATTACCTACTAATTTCAAGATAAATGAATCCACAGGTTACTAAGTAAATAAGGTCACCTATCAAGCACTTGTAAACGTGTTTGTGAACAGGGAATGGGGAGGCAGAAGGAAACCTGTTTGGTTTTCAAATGAGTGGGCTGGTGGGGCTTAGCTTTCGGATGGAGTTGAGAGTCCCATCAGGGTGGCCCTGTCCCTGAACTCATTTGTAATGAAAAGGGAACGTTTGCCATCCACCTGGTTTCCCAGTGGGGCACTTCCTCGGGAGCTCTCAAAGGCCTCTTTGTAGCCGAATTCATTCTGTGCATTGGGCGCTCATGGCCACTTTTGTAGAAAAAGCCAGAAGTGAGGTTCACACTGGGCAGGAGAACTTTGAAGCGGGAGGCCGGTGGGTGGTGCGATCGGAAATCACACTCTTCGCAGCTTCCCAGACTTATTTCCATCTTGGGCCGGATTGTTCCTAGTTTCTCCGGATTAAAAAGCAGAAGAATTAGTTATGAGGGAAAATGAGAAAATCGAGCCTGCCAAAACCCAAGATTTTTAGCGGATTTCCTTAAGGCAGAAGGGGAAAACAATTGCTAGGAGAATCTTAGCTACAATGCCAAAAACTAAACAAAAGGATGAATGGGAATTATTTTCTTTACCCTTTTATCTGTCTTTAAAAACAGTCACAATATTCAAACAGGACTTCGTTTTGCTTTTTCATCTTCTCTTGATGCTGGTACCTTAAAAAAGAAATTAAAGGGGAAAAAAGTTGTATATTTTTATCCCCTAGGAGATTCTCATCTTGTGAGCTTTCTATTTTGTATGTGGAATCTCCAGGGGCATCATTGTCCAAAGATCTAACTGGCATCTGAAACACTGAATTCTCCCTTCTTTTTTTTTTTAATTAAGATAATAAATTGGTCTTAAATTATCCCTGAAATCAGACCAGTGTTGATTACAATGGGGCTCACGCTGTGACAGCTCAAGATGATGTTATTTTTATTCCTTTTCAACGAGATCTTAATCTCTCCCTGCGTGTAAACAAATTGTCACTGTAACCTTGTTCTCTAATCTCCCAGTCAAAGACCTTTAAAGCATTGGGAGATAACAGATCAGGCCAAGATTTCACCAGCTCTTCAGCTGGCGCGGATAGGCCACCTTTCACTCCCACCGGCTGAGTCTTTAAACACTGAAGGAGAATTAATAACTACATCTTACATGAAAAGCTCCACGGAAACCTTTGAAGGCCGTATATGTTGTATAGCTGGAGTCCCGAACATGCAAGCTGCTGGTCTGGATGAGAAATGCCTTTGCTACCAGGAGAAGGACCTGAGCCAGCGGTGGGAAGGGGACTGTTAGGGAAAAGGGACAAGAAGGAGAGACACAGAGAGGGACATTCAGAGACAGAGAGACAGAGAGAAACTGCCCTAGAAATAGAAAGAAGGGGAAAAGAAAATCAGAGAGACAGAGTCGAAGTGGAACAAGAATGAGGGTAAGAAAAGGGCTACCAAAAATGGTCCACCCAACAACTGGTAAAAGCAACCGGTGACAAACGCCACTTTGCTGGTATGAGAAAACATTCCAGAGAGTGGATCAGATTACCTTCCCAGCCATTTCAAAATATCCCTGTGTGACTTTCTATCGGAGAGTCCTCTTTCATGCCATGAAAGGGAAATTCTGCAAACATTCCCAAACGCTGGTGAGCAACAAGTTACTAATGAGCTACCTAGTGAACCCCAGTTCAGAGACCTCAGATACATGGACGTGTTTGTTTTAAAACCAGTTAAGAGGCATGTCTAGGGTGCGGCAGATCTTCAGCAATGATTCTGAGGGAATGGGCAGCTAGTAGTACCAGGCGCCTGGTGAGGAGGCTGCAAGATTCTCTTCCAAGTCCTCTCCCCAGTCCCCAGCAGAGCCCAGAACTGTCCGCCACTTTCAGACTCGCTCATCCATCTTTGGGTCTTCCCAATTTGACTTCTGTCCTGTGACTCCCCAACCCTTCCTTGGCTAATATCATTAAAAACAGGACAGCGAGCCTTAATGGGTGATTTTCTCTTCAATTAGTAGAGGACTTTGATCACCAAAAGTGGTGATTCAAAGTAGGAATAAGTTTAGCTCTGGGTTTGCCTTACCTCTAATGAATTTTTCTGGAAACTCCATGAATTTCCACGAGCCAGCATTTTTTAGTGGAAAGGTCATGGACTCTGGTTCAACAGTGTGACCTTTCACAATCTATAAAATGGGGAAAATAGTAACATCTTTCCCTTGGGCTACTGCAAAAATTAGATGAGTTAATGTAAATAAAATATAAAAGGCATTATCTGGTACATTAAAAAATAAAATAATGCTTTTCAATAAATAAATTAATCCTTTCAATAAATGTTAATTATCACTTCGTACAGAGCACACCAGAACCTAAATTTAAGTACCATTTGTCATAGAGCAAAATCGTTTGCTTTGAGGTACGAGTCAACTCCTTTGCCCTGGCAGAGAAATAGGTCACTTATGGGAGGAATTGCTTGGTGATTTTCAGGTGTGCTGTGAAAAATCATGCTGCACATATGAAATTTCTTCCTAGGTCAGGGCTGCTTCTTCCTCCAGTTCCTCCAGAGACTTTTTTTCTCTTTAAGAAACACTGGCTTTCATAATATTAGGTGATGTTTAAGTACCTGCTGGGTATTAGTCTGCTTAATTTTATTTTTCATTAAGTCAAAGGATTTGCACATAATTGGTTTCCCTCCGGGCTTCCATACCCACCTGTGGTTAGCAGCCACAACTGTGATATAATGTCCAGACAAAGGTGGCTTTGCTTTTTTTTCTTTCTTTTTTTTTTTTTAAGCAACTTTTGGAGGCTTACATCAGTTCATTGGTTTACTTCATTTTTTTGACAATATTTATTGCACTTTTTCTGAATATAAGAGTAATATGTTTATTAAAGAACGTTTGGCAAAAGACACACACATATATTTCCTACTATTTATTGAACACTTATTATTTGCAAGACCCTTGTAAAGCTTAGTGGCTTGCAGGCATATGCCACTTAATCTTCATAACAATTTTGTGATGGAAATACCTTACCCAAGACCACAGAATTGTAAAAGTGACAGAGTCCAGACTTAGAGTAGATCTGTCTTTCTCTAGAGGGTGTAATTTTTATCCCTACCTATCTGTGACAGGTAAGTAAACAGGCAAGGAGCAGGCAGTTATAGAAAGAGGAACATTAAAACCAACATATCCACTCTTTATCCACTGTGTAGGGAGGGGGGATGGTTTCCTTGTAAAGTGAAGTATATTGAGGCATTTGAGTCATACTGGTGGATAGGATATGTTTTATGTCAAATATGTGAATGTTAAAATCCTGGTCTCACCACTCATAAAGTGATAAGACTTTTATTGTAGTAAGAGGTTAGATAAGTTACTTATCCTCTTTGTTTGCTATTTCTTTATCTATAATAAGACATTTAATTCACAAAAAGTATAGAAAATATTTGGCATAATAACTAAAACATGTAAGCACTCATTACACATACACACACTGTACATATACACATATTGCAAAGTCAGTACAGCACTCTATATAGCATCCACTCCATAGCATACCACGTCAAACTCATTATTACATCCTGAATATTTCCCATTTCAGTTAAGATTGTTTTAATAGCAATATATTTTTCTTTCCTACAATTTCACCATAGTTAATTTAATTTAACCATTCTTTATTGTTACACATTTAATTAATTTCAAAGTTTTGCTGTCTTGAAGAATACTTCATTGTATCCCTCCCAAGGAATCATTGAGCATCTTCTGCTCTCTTAATATCTTAAAATTGTCCTAAAAATCACTGAGTAAAAATGTGCTTATTTTCTAGGCTTTCTATAAATACAACCAACTGGGCTTCTGAAAAAAATGCAAATTTGCACTTCAGTAAGGACATAACAAGCATTTTTTTTGCTTTGGCCAATAAAAAACTAAAAACGTAATTTAAAAAAATCTATTTGATAATTTAATTTCTTTTCCCAAAAAAGTATTTCTTCCATTGCCATTGTAAGTGAAAAATTTTTTGATGTTTCCTTTGGCTATCTCTATAAATTTTCTGAATTATCAAATTATGTCCTATGTTCTATTGGTTACTATTTTCTATTTGTTTATCTACTTAATTTTTAAGAACTCACTATAGATTATGATTTTCAAATTAAATTGTATAATATTTAATTTTCATATGTACATTATATAGATATTTTAATGTTAATGTAGTTTTTTATACTTTCTTAGTTTCCATTTATACTCAGAAAAGAACTAGAATATATTCATCCATATTTTCTCTTAATGGTTTCATTATTTCATTTTAATAGTGACTGCTAATTGAGTTTAGTTTTCCTTTTAAGGAAAATGTTGACCTAGGACCTATTACTACGTTCTTGGTGATGTATATACATTATCTCATTTAATTATAACCCTCACCCCCAGCCAAAAAAATTAAAACAGTAAGGCAGCTGTTAGCACTTTTCACAGATGAAGACCTGGACTTGCCCAGAGACCAAAAAGAGTGAAATGGATCAGTTATAGGTCAAATTTAGGTGTGTTTAGTTAAATTAAAATGAGAAGAAGATAGAGTTTTGAATCATAAAATTGACCAGTGTCATTATCACTAGAAAGTGATAGGTAGGAATAGGAGATGCATGGCTCAAGAAAAGATGGAAGAATGGATGAATGGATCAATGGATGGATGAATGAATTAATAGTCTAAAAAGGCAATTTATCAGCCTGACAGAAATGTCTTTCCCTGCTTGGTAGACCATTAGTCTGGTTTAGCCTACAGTCATTTCACAATCCTCCAGCCTCCAGATAAACTATATTATTATGGTACTACTCAGGAGATTCCTGGGGTCAAAGTGACTGGCATGGATGAGAGATTTCATACTTCCTACTTCCTAAGACCAACAATTCATCCTTTTATGCCATAGTCAGTCCACCAGTGAGCACTTTAATTGGATGTTTTGTAGAGGTTAAAAGCAAGGGCGTATGTGGCGGATTGTCAAAACCTGAATCTTAGCCTCCTAGCTTTGTAACTCTGGCCAAGTTACTTAACCTCTCTGTGCCTCAGTTTTATCACTTGTAAAATGGGGCTAATAACGCTTAAAGTCTCAGGTTTTTTGTTTTTCTTTTTTGCAGATCAATTAATTAATAAATGCAAACCCTTCTAAACAGAGCCTGGTGCATAATAAGTGAAAAATAAATGTTTTTAGCTGTTATTATTATTTTCTTCTATGCTAAAGTTAAATGTGATATGTAACAATAACTTTCATAAACAGTAGGAAAATTGCACAGGGATTTTCTTGGTTCATTAACATGACTCTACACGCTTCCAAAAAAAGTATGAGGACATAGAAATACCCCAGTGGTCTATAAATAACCTTGAGAATTCAGTCTTTTGGGACACAAGATGTTCTCAGGTTGTGTAAGTTATACTTAAACATTTTCTAAAAGAACTAGCCACAGTGCAGTTCACACAGGTCACGATTTTCGTACTTATCAAGATTGCTTCATAAATATTATCTCATTTTGAATCAGGAACAAGTTTTATAATGAATACATCTAAATAGGCTTTGGCAGTGCTTACATCGTGTTGGAAAGTCAAAACCTAAAAAACCAGATTATTCAACATCATTGTAAGCCTCTAAACCCAAATGTCTGACAGGATGCAAGTGTCTGTCTCTCTGTGTGTGTGTGTGTGTGTGTGTGCATCTGTGTGTGTGCAGTGTAGACACAATCTTAAATTGCCTAATGTTGGAAAAGCAGACAGTGACAACAGAGGCACAATGATAGATAGCCAACACATTTACACACCAGGAAACTTTATTTAGAGAGTCACTGAGATCATACATACGGAAATGTTCTTCTCTATCTTATCCCATAGAACCTCCACCATCCACTCTGCAGAGAGTGCTGCCAGTACAGGCAAAAAAGACACCCACACAAACAAAAAAGGCCTGAGATAACCACAGTTTGAAGTCTACAATAGAGAAATGTCCTATCTCTGGATAAGCAGGGTCTGTGGTGACTCCTATTTTTCTTCTCAGATTTCTGAAATCTCTTCCCTCAAGTGTAATCGACATTTTGCTCCTTCCACCCGCCTCACCATCACCACTATTCCAAACAAACACCCAGGAACTTTGACAGTAAGAGAATGATTGCATTGGTGAGAAGCTGGGTGATAAGTCAATTTACTCTAAGCTGAAAAAAACCATGGGAGTCACAATGTCCCTTGTTAGTGGTTTAATTTATAAAAGTACAATGCTTAATCATTTAATAGCTTCATTAAAACAACACCAGAAGAAGGTATAAAAACAATCATCCATGTCTTATAAGAAATTGATTTCTTTCTGGTACTTCATACCTGCCAAATTGAAAATATGTA
The DNA here is from genome assembly GCF_000001405.40 of Homo sapiens. Lineage (NCBI taxonomy): Eukaryota > Metazoa > Chordata > Mammalia > Primates > Hominidae > Homo > Homo sapiens. The sequence continues at coordinate 95,917,174 of NC_000015.10, forward strand.
CTAAAAAACTTACAACCACTCAGATGACAGCCAAAGGGAAAGTGATGACAGTGAGTCCTTGTATTTGTAATTTAGCTACAAATACACCTATGTTTATTGGAACATGAAAAAAGCTATCAAAGAAAAAGACAGTTTTAACAAAAGAATCTTGTGTGTTCCCATTTGAAGAAAAGTATAGTACCGTGAAAGTCAAATAATGTATGTTTTAACTGTGTCATTTAAACAAACAGATGTTTAGAACATGATGTGATGGCTATAGGAGGTGTAGGGGAAAAAAAACATTCTAGACTAGTGCACACCATTGTCCCATAAGAGAATTTCACTTTTTAGGCAAAATCTCAGAAGATTGGATATACGAACAGGTTGCTTTGGGATAATGGAAAATATGAGCTCATTAGCACCAGGTTTGTTATTTGTTCTACAACAAAAAAGTAAATTACAATGCATTAGTGGAGTTAGTGTTGTTTTTAATGTGCATGGGGATACAATAAAACTTTTATTAGGGAAGTGTGATAGTATGTTTGTGCTACAGTATCAGCATCCTGCTCTTGTACAACAGCCAATCATGTGGCCCAGTGGAACATTCTTATAATGATGTAATAAAATTTGACTCTGATATTGTAAAATATGTTTATGGTAAGGCTGTTGGGATATTTTTACGCAATCTTATTAGAGCAGGTGCCTAAACCTATTATATTTTGTAGTCCAATTTCAGTGGAATTTTTAAAATGTCAAATTTCTAATCTGGAGTTTGAATGCTGAAATGATCACGTTATGATGCAAAATGTGATCTGCAGCCTCCCCCTCCCCCAGGCCTCATGGATATGAGATGGCACGAAATTGCCATCTTAAAGCAGAAATCTAATCGAGAGTTTTCTCAATGAACACAATGCTATTGGCTATACTGCAGAATTTGTCCCACGGACGATTGGGCATTAAAAAAAATAGTAACTATAAGTACATGTAACTATTTTTTTCTGGGTCCTCCTTATTGAATACAGTGTATTCTTAGTTATTTTTCTTCTCCTGTTGTTCAACACTTTTCTCCTCTGGCTTATCATCACTTTGAGGCCCCAGCAACATGCATCAAATAATGCATGTCCACAAAAGACAGTTGGCCAGGAAATCTAAGGACAATGCTTGGGAAAGAAAGAAAGGCCATCTATCCCTAAGCTTTGGACTAGGACCTAGGTTTATAGAACTCCTCTTATTCAGAATAGCGTGAGTTGCTCAAAAGTGGACATTGCTGATTCATGTTGGAGAGGTGGAGATACGGTCTTTAGTGTAAATAATTGTGTTTATTGAATAAAGCACAATGAACCTGTACAGGTTACAAGGCTAATAGATAGCAAGAAGAATAGGAAGGGTTCAAAACTCTTCTTAATTTTTAGACTAAAATGAGCCTAGAGCAGAATTTTCTGAAGTGTTTTTCCTAGAAGATGTGCTTCATAAAACATATATCAAAGCCAAAGAAATTTAGACAACTTTGCATATAGTACTAATTATAGTATTATTTGCTGGGCACATTTGCATATTAAAGGCTCTGAGAAGTTCCGCGGCAAAAACTTTGCATTAATAGCACTAATTTTAAAACCGTTTGATCATGTAATTCATTTGTTTTTGCACAGTACACTAGAAAGTGTTGTAACTGAGAAAAAAGTATAGGCAACATATGTGGTTAGAATAAAAGATTTAAAAAATGTTTTAAAGATTGTGGTTTAATTATTCAAATAATTAGTAATATATAATTTTAAAGCTTGAAAGGGCCTATCTTCCTTGTCACTTTAGGGCAGTTTATGTTTTAAATAATATTTGCTAACTTCTTTCATTGAAAACACTTCATTAAACCAATTTTGTTAATTATATTTCCAAAAGGCAAAATGCTTGAAATTTTTTACAATCAAACCTAAATTAATTAAGATCCTTAGGGGATTAAAATTCCAGTTAATTAAATTTTTTAAACAGAAAATTAAACAGAAAAGCTTTTTTGTTTCAACTTATTGGGAATTTGTCTTAAATGTATGGGCATGTTTTCATATTTTACAATGAATTGCTCTCGATTATAATTAAATTTTGTTCCATCATTTAGAATTTTACACAATACCTCTGAATTATCATTCTAAATATGATTCTAAAGATCTAGAGGACTGTGGTAGTAGACACTCAACATGCAAGAGATTAAGTTGAATTGAATTGGTAAGGAACTTGACCCGACTTGGGTCACAGGTCCATCACTGGTGAGCCTGCATATTGAATTGAGTGTTGAAGTGAGGAGCTGTCCTACTATATAAATATCATGATTCTAAAGATCTAGAGGACTGTAGTAGTAGACACTCAACATGTAGGAGATTAAGTTGAATTGAACTGGTAAGGAACTTGGCTCTCACCGACCTGACTTGGGTCATAGGTCCATCACTGGTGTGTGTGCATATTGAAAGAATGTGTATGTGAGGAGCTGTCCTACTATAAGCACATAGCTTGGGAGTGGAAAAATGCTGATTCACTGCCCTCAAAGAAGATAAAATTGGCATTATGCTTGTACACACACACACACACACACACACACACACACCCACAGCTGATTGATACAGTTGCTTTATTAATTGGTTGTAATCCAACTTGTGAGACTTTATAATTTGCTTATGTTTTTCTACAAAATTTAGATACAGGACTTTTTGGCATTGCTAATCACAAAGTATATTAAATTTTTTAAAAAGTAAGGGGCTGAATTTTGTTCATAAATGAATTGCAAATATTTCAACATAGGGGAATTCAAATATTTTTAAAAAATTGATTTCTCTATATAGCAGGTGTAGGTTATTAACTATATGCAACATTCTACCTCTGTTTGATCACTTCATTGTGCCTGCTCTTGGGCAACTGGGTATAGATAAAGGCATATGCAAGATATTCCAGACCTCATTACAACTATGTAAGGATGTCCCTTCCAGAGGGAATGGGCGGAGAGTATAGATGAATCAGAATAAAAAGATTTCCTCTTCATACACACACAAACATACTCTGTGCCCATATCAATAGATTATTATGCATAGAGTGAACATGGTTATCTACTGCAACATTAATACAGTAGAAAGCTCCCTGGCCTTGGAATCTGAAGGTCTGAGTTTTAGAACTTTTCTTTGGCAAGTCTTTTCACTTGGTCTCAGTTTTCTCATCTGTAAGATGAAGTCTTTTTAACTACCAGAAGAGCTCTAAGTGTACAATATTCTACAATAACTTTATATATCCTGTCACATTTCCCTTCATGTATTAGCTTCTGGGAAAATCCAAATGGAATTTAATATTGGTTCGATAAATAACAATTATACATGAGCACATACTGATGTCTAGACACTAAACTTGACAATAGAGATTCATCAGTGAACAAAGTTCCTGCTTTCATTGAGTTTGCATTCTACTTAACTCACAGAAATATATCAACCTACACTTTAAGAATAAAGTTTGTATCCATGTCTAACACAGTTTTGGATTTCTTTTCTATGTGATTTCATCTACTTCATCATTTAATTATCTTTGTTGTAAACAACCTCAAATAGTCTTCAGGAAAGCAGGAAAGGTCTTAAATAAAAATAAATAATGCTCTTGGACACTATGGAGAGCAACAAGCATGTCTAAAAGCCCCAAACTTAAGAATAAGTTGAATAAGAATAAGAGAGACTCCTGGAGCAGAATTGTGTTATGGGCAATGCATCTTCAAAACAGGACACGTTTCTTTAACTAGTTAGAGTCTTTAATGGAAGAAAAGAACAGGAAAGTCAGGGAATAGTGATTTTGACTCACACCACTGAGGAAGGTCATTAGAAAGAAGCATCAATAAGGCTTTTTAAACCTTTCCTACTTGTAACACACAGAGCCAAGCTTATAGGAAAACTGGAACTACAAAAATTACAAATGGCAACGCTATTATTTGGCACATAGTTGCCAAAGGCATTCAATATAAAGATTTTACAGAGGTGTCAACTGATACATAGCAAACACACAAACAGTCTCCAACACTGTAAAATAGGCAAGGAAAGCTAGGGCAAAATATTAAGTATATAAATTATATACATACATATTTTTTGCGATACAGGCTGGGGAAGTGCTTGCTAGGCACTGTAGTTAAAATGAGCAATAAATACCAGGGCTAATGCTGCCAATGTCTTGTTGGGCATGGGTGGGGAGGGGGGGGTTCCATTCAATATAGTTTTGATTTTCCAGTCTGTGGTTCCAATTCACATTTTGGAAAATGAAATGGTTAGAATATTTCTTGCTGGTCTGTTATACATTTAAAACAGGTTTCAATGCTCTCTCTCTCTCTCTCACCATCAGGACTCATTTGAGGAGTCAGACATGTGAAAGAGAACATTGACTGCTTTTTAGGATCAGCCTCCTCTTCCACCCAAGATAAGGCTTTGCTGCAGAGGTCAAACAACTGTCCTTTCTCCTCCCCAGGACATTCCTGGGGAGGAGAAAGTGAAGGCACAACCTCACTGGTGCTGGAAAGCATTGCAACAGAAAGAAGTGGTTCACTTTCTCTAGGCATCATTCCACTTTCTGGGAAACACAAGCTTGAATTGGAGTACAGTAGTGACCTTGCATTGAAATAGCACACTCTGTAACCCTGTCACAGCCAAGGCAATGAAACGATGACAATTTCCCGTTTAACTTTTTATATTCCTATTTTGTTTTACTTTACAAATCTGGTGAGAAAACACCATCTTCCTTTAAATTCAGGTAAAAGAGATGTCACAGATTAAAAATGCAAATATTGGGGAAGACGCGTGCAAATGACAGAGACTTAGTGGGAAAGAGTGAGGGAGTAAAAGCCGGAGGACATCCTTCTGTGTGCTAGCTATTTACTCTGGATTTTTCCAGTCGCAAGAAGAAAATTACAACGTGTATAATGAATGCCAAATAGAAAATAAAGTCATTTTTATTTAACTTTGGGATGAAGGTAATCTTCGTATTTGTCTGCCAATGTGTCTTTGATTGTGTTTTATTTGGGCTAATGTTAATATGAATCAATGAGCTCTTAGAATTCATCGAACTCCCAACTCTCATTTTGCAGATGGAGAAGCAAAGTCAAGTTAGGGGAATTACGAGACTGGAGCTCCAACCCAGGGCGGTGGCTTCAGTCAGAGCTTTTTCCATGTGGACTGAGACAGCACACAAGGGCTCAAGCAGGGAATGCGACCTGGACACTCTGGGCAGGGCTTGGGAAATTTTTTTAGCTTGAATTTTAAATAAAACTTTAAATTTCAGATGCGACCAATGATACGAGCAGCAGGCTGTTAAGATCACAAACACGGGGCAGGAATGGTTCCCCGAGCGGTCAGTCCTCCACAGACATGCCTCTCTCTCGAGTGTTCCCCCAACTTGATGGTCTGTTACTCCAGGCTGCAGCAGAGGTTCATGGTGATATCCCTTCCCTGGCCACTTCCTGTAATTCTGCAATTTGGGCACAAGAGTCCCCTACATACCTGTGCATGCAGCCTTTCTGCCTGAGCACCTCACTCACGACAACATGCTTATATTTGTACAGCTCTGAGTACTTTCATAACTACTCCCTCATTTAAAAGTCATCAGAACAGCTGAGGGCAGACAAGGACACTGAGGCTCAGACATGGAACTTTACACTTAGAACTACCTTTCTGAGCTCTGTCCCTCAGCCTACTAACTTGAACAAATATCTTAAATAGTATGAGTTCAATAAAATGAAAAAAGACAAAGTTACCTCATTTACTACCACTAGTTCTAGAAAGGCAAATGTTATCAAGAATAATATTTTATATAAAGGCACGGATTTACAAAGTAGATAAATTTGAGAGCAGTGTATTGGACTGCAAGAGAAACCCAACTCCAAACCACCACACCTTTTAAAAAAAAACAGTCACCCCCCTCAAATTTTATCCAGTTAAGGGAAAAAAAATCTTAGTTTACTTACAACTTATGAGCACATTTGTTATGCGAATTGAAATATATCTGCTGGGGCCGGGCACGGTGGCTCATGCCTGTAATCCCAGAACTTTGGGAGGTGGATCACGAGGTCAGGAGTTTAAGACCAGCCTGACCAACATGGTGAAATTCCGTCTCTACTAAAAATACAAAAATTAGCCGGGCGTGGTGGCGCGCATGTAATCCCAGTTACTCAGGAGGCTGAGGCAGGAGAATCATTTGAACCTGGGAGGCAAATGTTGCAGTGAGCCAAGATCGTGCCACTGCATTCCAGCCTGGGCCACAGAGCAAGACTCCATCAAAAAAAAAAAAAAAAAAAGAAAGAAAGGAAAGAAATATATCTGCTGGGGTTTAAAGAAATAAAAAATTATTTTTTAAAAAATATATTGAGTACCTTTTACATAGCAGAGCCTGTGTTAGGTTTTTTGGTTAATGAGAAAATAAGTCACAGTCCCACCTGGGAGACTTCACGACCCATTTACTTGTCTCCATGAAGCCATGTACTAAAGCCGCTGTTGCAGAAATATCACAGGATGCAGATATTTACAATAAGGAAAGTCTCAGGGAAAAAAAAGGCTAATAATGAAGGTGACGTCAATGGCTAAATATTCATCTATAATTATCAAAGTCAGTTTGCGTAGGCGATATACCTGCTTATCGATATGAGATAAAGCACTTTTAAAAAAGCATATCAGAAAGCAAGTCGGTGTGAATGTTGTTGTTCTAGGAAAAGGTAATCTAATTTATAAAATCAGTAAGTTGCCCACAAACTGTAGCACTTTGTTTTATTAGTAACAAATGACGTAAGACACACCTCACAACCGAGGTTGGGGAACAGTTGCTCAGCAGCTGTGAAAGCCTGGGAATCTAACTGCAGTTTCACAATTTCACCTCCGGACCTGACTAGTCATTTCATTTTAAGATGGTTAAAATCTATAACACACACACACACAAACACAAACACAAACACACAAAATGATCTCTGTCCACTAGTTCCTATAGAAACACAGGAAATACTGCACCCAGAACTCACCTTCCCTAACACTCCAGACCTCTCCCCAGCCTTGCTGTTGACAGTTCACCTGTTAGGCTCATGAGGGGCTTGGAAAGGTCCACTGAGCTCACGATAAAAAGAGTTCAAAGTCCCACAGCATCTTTGTAGCCCACGAGCTACTGACAGTTCACACTGCTCCAAGCAAGGAGCAGGTATTGGAGCTGGGAATGGTGGGGCAACACCCAGCTCTCTGGGGGCAGGACTGGATTCTAAGCCCAGCCACAGGGAACAGACGAGGAGGGATGCTCAGAAATGGAAGCATCTTGGCTTTCCTCAGCTTTTCTGTTTCTGCTATTGATTACTAGGGTTAGAAGCAAACTGAAGAAGAAGAATAAAAACTATGTAAAGGCCTTTCCCAGTCCCAAGAAGATGAATGCCATCCTGAGAATCGAGGACGAGCATTTAAGGTGACTTTTTGCATGTGTATCATTGTTTTAAACTTGTATTGCAGGCCGGGCGCTGTGGCTCACACCTGTAATCTCAGCACTTTGGGAGGCTGAGGCTGGCGGATCACAAGTTCAGGAGTTCAAGACCAGCCTGGCCAACATGGTGAAATCCTGTCACTACAAAAAATACAAAAATTAGCTGGGCATGGTGGTGTGTGTCTGTAATCCCAGCTACTCGGAAGGCTGAGGCAGGAGAATAGCTTGAACCTGGGAGGCGGAGGTTGCAGTGAGCCGAGATCGTGCCACTGCACTCCAGCCTGGGTGACAGAGCAAGACTCGTTCTCAAAAAAAAAAAAAAAAAAAAGTTGTATTACATTTAATTGTATGGGATGTTGACCAAAACGTCCTTTTTCCTAAGGCTGTTTATATTAATAATCCTTTCAAAACCTAAAGTTGAAATTTAAATCTTTTCGATTTCCTTTTTGGTTATTTTTCCCCTTTCCTTCATTGCGGGAACTCACTGATTTATTATCTCCTGGATATTTCCTGGGCCCTGGTGACTTTATTCTGGGAACTAAGAGATAACCAGGTGGTCCTCAAACCTTTCTTCTTAAAGTTGATGCTTGTATCTACAAAAAAGAGAACTATCTAAGGAAAGAATTCACAGGGGTGTGGATATTAATGCTTTTGATGAGTAAATAAATCCAGCCTCACGAAATGCATTGCAACATTTTCAGTTCATTGTTTTTCCTGCTGTCTGTGTCATGATTGGATGCCCCTGTGCCAGATACATTGTGTTTACCAATTGATATATTGCAAATAGTCAATACGGAAAAGCAGAAATTATTGTATTACAGGAAATATAGTTTAGAATCATTTCTCTATATACATGCCACCTAATGGCCTAGCTATATAAAATAAAAGGTTATCAATCAGACACTCACTTTTCTATGATGATTTTGATTTTAAAAATAATCACAACACACTATACAAGATACCCCACACTAAGGAAATGTCATACAATTAGCATTGAACTCTTTCTACAAGCCAGCATTCCAATAGATAGGTTCTTCTGTTCTTGGTTTTGTTTTTAACCTAATACAGTTTTCCATTTGATTCTTTTCATAAGTGACTAGAGAATGCCAGGCTTTTTGTTTGTTTGTTTGTTTTTGTTTTTTGAAACGGACGCTTGCTCCGTTGCCCAGGCTGGAGTGCAGTGGCGTGATCTCAACTCACTGCAACCTCCACCTCCTGGGTTCAAGAGATTCTCCTGCTTCGGCCTCCCAAGTAGCTGGGATTACAGGCGTGTGCCACCAAGCCCAGCTAATTTTTGTATTTTTAATAGAGATGGGGTTTCCCCATGTTGGCCAGGCTGGTCTCAAACTCCTAACCTTAGGTGATCCACCCACCTCGGCCTCCCAAAGTGCTGGGATTACAGGCGTGAGCCACTGCGCCCGGCCAGAAAGCCGGATTTTAAATTCCCCTTTTCTTATGCCTGGTGTATTTGATAAAGGATATCTCCGATCGTCTCTGTCAACTATTCTTTCTCTGCAGCCTTCAACTTAGTAGGTAAGTCCTTCAGAAGCAAGTCACCTTCCTCCTCCCATTTCTACTCTGAGCATAGTTGAAGTCCAAAAGACTTACCCAAATGCCTCATGTTAGTTTAACCGGAGAGCTGCTCTGTCTCAGAGCTGGAGTCTGAGGGGGGGACCTAGTCAGCTGGAGTGGCCGGTAATCCAGCATTAAGTTTTGAGTTGTTTGCTCTCTTGTGGTGCAATTCTTTTATTCCAGCTTATTAAACTTTGCTGTGTACACAAATGCTTTCTGCAAGTGGGTTTTTTTTAAAAACCATGGAAAGAGATGGTCCATGGACCTGTCAATGTGAAACAGAGGGATGAGGCCCAGGAGGTGAGACGCCAGTAAGAGTGAACGGTTAAGAAAAGTCAGAACCAGGCCGGGCGCGGTGGCTCATGCCTATAATCCTAGCACGTTGGGAGGCCGAGACAGACAGCCTGAGCTCAGGAGTTCAAGACCATCCTGGGGAATATGGTAAAACCCTGTCTCCACTAAAATACAAAAAATTAGCCAGGTGTAGTGGTGCACGCCTGTAGTCCTAGCTACTTGGGAGGCTGAGGCAGGAGAATCACTTGAACCCAGGAGGCAGAGGTTTGCAGTGAGCCGAGATCACACCATTGCACTACAGCCTGGATAACAGAGCAAGGGTCTGTCTCCAAAGAAAAAAGAAAAGAAAAGAAAAGAAAAGTCAGAACCCCAGATCAGACTAGGTCAACAGACGTTAGAGAAAACCGAGGAGTCTCTGAGGTTTAGGGAGAGACACTGAGTTTCCCACTGTACATAAATAAAATGGAGGTTTTTACCCAAATACTTTTAAATTTTCAAGAAGGTCACTTTTAATTCACACATCAAAGATATAATATATGCAAGGCACTTAGCACAGAGCCTGGCCCATGGTATTATCTTAATAAATGGTGATGATGATGATGATGATGATGATTTTACATTCAAAGTGACAAAGGGTTTTCTATTTTCTCTCTTTATCATCAGCAAGTTTTAGCAATTGCAAGCAGTTATCACCGAAAAATAGTGTTGTTGGACACCAATTCGATTTTCTCGTACCTGCAAGTCTCATCAAGCTCCCAGAGCTTTTCTAAATGGGCTTTATTCTGTCTCTTCTGGGCACTCAGAAGCACTTGTCCTCAAGCTCCCTAGGACAGGAGCTGGAAAATAGGAGGGAAACATTGTCAAAGCCTAAATGTTATTTGGGGAGTAGTTGGCTTCTCACGTTTCACAGTGAATGGAAGGTACTTGATGGTACCTAGGCATGCGGCCTTGTGTGAATGTCTTCCTTATAGCAGAAATCCCATCCCATCCTACCTCTCCACACCCCAGAGAGAAAACAGGATCAAGGGAAGTCAGAGTTCGTTCCAAAGAGAATGACCTCCACCCCAAGTCTTATCACAAATATAAGCATCTTGTGAGCAAACTACTTTTCCTTCTGAATTTGAAAGACTCTCTAAGTGAGCTCATCTCTATCCAGAGAAAAGGCCAAGGTGTAAGAGAATAGATCCCCAAATCCTTCCTCAGTTGTTTTAGCCTATTTGTGCTGCTACACCAAAATAGCTGAAACTAGGTAATTTATAAAGCAGAGAAATGTATTTCTTGCTGTTCTGGAGGCTGGAAAGTCTAAGATCAAGGTGCCAGCAGGTTCAGTGCCTGGAGAGGACCCATCCTCTGCTTCCAAAACTGTACTTCGTCGCTACGTCCTCACATGGCAGAAGAGGCCAAAGTTGTGTCCTCGCATGATGGAAGGCTGAAGGGCAAAAGAAGATAGAGAGGGAGAACTCTCTCCCTCATCAAGTTCTTTTTGTAAGGACCTCTACTCTTATCCATGAAAGCAGAGCTCTCATATCCTAATCACCCCCTAAAGGCCCTACCTCTTAATACTACTGTTAAGTTAGAAATTAAGTTTCAACACGAATTTTGGAGGAGACACAAACATTCAAGCTATGTCATCAATGCCCATATCCAGACCAGGCAGTGAAAATAACTACCAAGATTTCTAATGGAGGAGTCACTACTTTCAGGTTCCCTGATGCCAGGTTCCATGACTTCCTTGGTCATGCCAACATATTGCAGGGAAACGCATCATTATTATAACGTAGCATTCCGTTGGCAACTTGATGTTAGCACTCAAACAATCCTTGTGTCCCCGTTAAGAATTTTCCCTCCAAAAGGCTGCAAACTCATGCATCCAAGTCATTATGATACATTATTGTAAAGCCTTGGGGGAATGGATGTGTGTCTGTGTGTATGTGCGTGCGTGCATGAATGTGTGTGAGTGCGCCTGTGTGAATGACGTAACTAGGAACCCTGCACTCGAAGACAAAATTTCAAATCACCTTTCATACACGGCACCCTATAACCACTCTAAAAAGTCAGCAACTCTAAATAAATGAGATTCAAAACCAGATAAAAATATAAGAATTATTAGCAAAAACTTGAAACCCATGTTTGTAAACCTGCATTCCCCTAAGAATGAGCAGCCAGAGGTTATTGAGGAGAATATTAAAAATAGAATGATGTTAGGTTATTGAAACGTATTTAAGTGTTCTAAAAATGTAAACACTAAGATTTAGAGGGCTGTGATTTATTGCTCTAGCTAAAAATCCGATAATACATCACGGCAGATGTGAACATGGTCATCAACTTTTGAAGGGTAAAAATGAGATACCTGTCCAGGATGTCTAGCAGTTCCCTCCCCTGGATCTTTTGTGTAGCTGTGTAGCTGAATAGAAATTTTCTCAGCATTCTTTTCCTCTGGAGAAAAGCAAAGAAGTTTCCTCTGTGGAGCACACACCCTGGACTTAGCACCAAACAAAGTGCTTTAAGTACATCTACTTTAGTAGGTGTAGATATTATGTATGATGTAGATATTAGTGGCTCCGTTTCCCAGGGCAGAAATCTGAGAATCAGAGAAGTTAAATAATAAGGCCGAAGTCACACAGCTAGTGGAGGAAAACTAGAATTCAGTTGTCAACTTTAAATTTTCAGTTTATTCCCTCCAGGCCCTTCTCAAATGTACAGGACTCAACACCAAGTTGATTTTTCGTAAGTCTCATCCTTGGTCAAATCTTAACCTTGCGGATTCTCAGACCGTATTGTGAATAATAGTTTCTTCTCCCTAAATAGCCTTTTAACCTCACCTCTAAGGGTGAAGAAGAGCTGCTAAAATAATTAAAATGATTCAGTCACAAGAGCCTGCCTGTTTCAAATGTTTTGAACAAACTTTTCTGTTCTGATCTCCCAGGGAAAGCCTCCACGTGATTTGCAAGCACCTTTAGAATAAGCTAAGCCACGTGGCTTTTAAGACAGTGCCTGGTTTAACAGCTAAACTTGCGGTGGAGGAGAGCTGACCACTTCCTATGCAACTGTGTGCAATTCTTATCAGGACAAGTCCAGCTGCTCTGGGCTAACTAGCTCCCCAAAAGTGATTCCCCCAGGCCCCAGCTAGGAGCAGCTAACATAAATGCAAAATGCACAACCCCTTCCCCCTTCACAGATAAAAGGCTGTGAAATATATAGGCCTCATTTTAATAGGGCCTCAGCTAGGTCTCTGTTTTTTGCACCCACAGCTAATTGAACGGGCAACTAGAGCAGACACAATTGGACACGTAGTTAAGGAACCACCTCACCACCTGGCTTGCACACATAATTAAATATTTGCACCTGCAATGGTAGTATGTGTGAAAGTTATCCCTGTAATTAGTTGTCGGGGTAGAAATACATGTAATTTTTAAAACCTTCTCTAATTCCAATAGTTATTTTTAAATAGATATTTTTTGTTGAAATAAAAGAACTCCTAACAAATTAGTGCTTTTAAAAGAAACTATTTCATATTGTGTTCTTTTCAGGTACTCCTCTAAAAATATAGCTTTCTACTGCTTCTATAGGCAACTGAATTGTAGGAGCATTGTTTGCATGTATTTTCAGTAGGTTTGGCATGTGATTAAGTCTACCTGCTTTTCATTCATTCATTTATGCATTTGCTCAATAAACACACTAAGTCCAGACTATGCCCTTGCTTTGAGGATACTAATATATTTAAAAGGGTACATCTGCCTACAGACTCATGAGTACGGGGTGAAATTTGGATTAATATTTTTATCAAATAATTACAATTTAATATTGTAAGTGTGTATCTCATACAAGAGATGAGGGTACATAGAAAAAAAATTTAACATAAAATTTTGAGTTGTTCCCCCTCTGTGGAACAATGGTATGTGTAAAGATTTTGACAATTACACAGGTTCTTTATTTGAGAAGATTCTACTGTTTCATTACCTGCAGATGTTGTTTAACAACATGAAAGAGTTGCCTATTTTTGACATGCTGTGTAACATATAACAATAAAAGATTTTAGTAAATAAGCATATTGCCGTACTATAGGACATGAAATGCCTCTTAGCACTGATGGGAAATAAAGTCCCTCTGCCTCTCCCCCAGGAGAGATAACACGCCAACGTTTTGGCAAACGCTTTCAGTACAGATGCATATTGTGTGTCTTTATCCATAATGGACACTTGTACTTTAATTTTTATCCCCCACATCCCTTCTATTATTGAAATGCTGAAACAAAATGTCCGCAGCTTTGAGAGTAAATCCGCAGCATTTAGATTTCACATGGATTGCTCCTCTTTTCTTCACTTTGTATTTGAACTGATGATTTCTTACCTCTAAGGACACGCTGTTTTGGCCACCACTTATCTTGTCTCCTGATAAGCTGGCCCATTTAGGGTTGTCCTAGAAAGGCTTTTTCAGTCCCGAATCTTATGATTATCACACACTGTGGAATTTTGATCTAAACATTGTGAGTGTTCAGAATATCGAAAAGTCACCAAGAAGCCCCACTCTCTCCAACAAGATGACCTGCAAGGGCGGCTTGATAGGAAAGCTGAGCCCAGCTCTCAGAGAATAAGCAGGGGTGTGGGGGCAGCCTGGGAGTTGGGATCAGCCTCTAGACCTTGAAGTGCAGCAGCTGTGCGTTGTCTTTGAGGCTGAGGATCAAGCAGAGAATATGAGATAGGCAAACGTTGGCTTAAACTTTCTTCTCTCTTTGATTGTCCTTGGACATCTGCCTCATCTCCTGTCAAGAATGTTTGGCAGCTGTTAGCTCAGAATAACACAGTTCTGCTGCCCCAGCCGCTACCCCAGTCTTCTAATACTTTAAGCCAACTAGTCTCCGTTATATGCCTGGCCTGATACACAACTATGCTAATGCCTTGAGCTAACTAGCTTTCTATCAAGCCATGGAAAACACAGGGAGAGAGTCTTTGGTTTATTTTCCTCACGTGCTAATTGGCTTTAATTGTTGGCCAATTGGATTTCAAGTTCAGAAAAGACTGGACTACACAAAGACAAGTGTTAACTTAAGACCGTGGGAGAAGCAAGCCAGCCCTTTTGGTCTTTAATGTAGTAGACTTTATGCAGATGCACATGTCTCCCGGCCGTGGGGGTCCAGGGGAGAATGCTGTGGGACCATCATGATGGTTTCTTAAAATCCGTAATTTTCCCCATAGGCCAAATACCAAGCACGGGGACCACCTAACCAGAAGTTGGGGGTGAATATATTTAGCATTTTTAGCACCCATTATACCTCATGTTTTTATTGTAATGACCTTCTCTCTGTCACTAAGAAACTATCATTGTGAGAAGAGAAAGTGCTGAGTTGCAAATATTTAAAATGGACATGTTTGTATCTAATCTGGGAGACTAATATGCCATGATAATAAAAATGTAGATTTATTTCACCCACAGTCCTAATGTCACATTCATGGGTATTCATGTACGGCAAAACAGAAGTGTCAGAACTGGTCCCCTGAATACCTGTGCTTTTCAAATAAAGTACAAACAAGTCACAGTAGTCAACTACAAGGGGCATCAGGACACTATATTATTAATAGCTTTGAATTATTTCCAATAATGGTCATAGGTTCGTTCTGGGGGCTGCTGTGACTTAGAATTGCCATCGATATGGGATGATATTACAGAATGGTGACTTACTGCCCATTCTCCCAAAGTGTCCCTCCAAGAGATTACCCCAGTGCTAATTCCCCAAATTCTCTTTTTCTATATTGGGCCTGAAATGTATCTACAAACACAAATGGTTCTACTGCTTTGATGGAATTGACCAGTCAGTCAGTCTAACACCTGTCAATTCGGTCACAGGGTTTTTGACATTTTTGACTGAATTGACCAGGTGCTAGACTAAACCCACCGGTTGATTTCATCAAAAATTGTCAAACCAGTTTTGTGATTGGACAAAGCCAGAATCAACACCCTCACTGGTATTCCTCCCTGTGCCTTGTTAACACCCTTGTTTCCTCATTTTTCTGGCTCTAGATGCCAAAACACCTTGAATTTACATATATCCATATGTACCTGTATATGTGAGGATCTCTTCTAATTAACCATTGTTAAATTTGTAATTTATAAATGGTATAGTGCATAGTAAATCATCCCTTTGTATAGCTCTAGTTCCAAATAAGATAATTTAATCACCTATTAATTTATTTCACTAGCACTTTTCATTTCTAGCCCTGACATAATAGAGAGTGTGGTAAGTGCAGAATCATCACTGCTTGGCAGGCCAGACAAATGATTCCAGGCTATGTGAAGTAGCTTCTGGAGAAAGCTTTTCTCTCTTCCACTGCCCTAAGACTTACCAAGTTCAGAAATAATTTTTTATGACCATTAGTCATTGCCTATCACCACCCTCCTCACTTCCCACAGGAATTTAAGAAGCGGGAGAGGAAACTCTGTCTATTTTATCCCCTGATCACTTCCGCATGCCTAGAATTGTGGCAGCACATTACATCTAGACCCTCGGCCATGGTTCTCAGAGATTTCTGGACTAGCAATGCTTATTATAATGGGTTAGGTCTGGAAGGCGCATGCTGGAATGTCTCCTTTCTCTCAACATTCTCAGCACTTTCCACCCAGCTGACTTGAATCATTTAGTCTACCCCACATTACATTTATGATGTTATCTTATCCTTTATTCATAGACTATAAATTCCCAGCAAAGGGATAGTACTGTGGTATAGTTCATCCTATGCCAACCACAGCACCTTATAAATAGTAGACAAGAAGAAACATCTATAGGCTTAAGAACATAGTCATTGATAAGTGAAAGAGCAGTATTCACTACTAACGATCAATGCAGCACATAGGATTCACCATAGAATAACTCCTAACACTTTATTGAATAACCCATATCCTTCTCAGGCAATCCAGTGTGGATGGGTCCAGTGAGAAAAAGGAACTGGCCAACATGAGATTAGAAAGGAGGCATAGTGTAATTCAGCGATGGGTTTAATTAGAACCCTAGACTTAGCATCCTTCACTGGCCGTAAGCAAAATGTTCTCAGAAACACGTCTGCAGCACGGTGGCTCATGCCTGTAATACCAGCACTTCGGGAGGCCGAGGTGGGCAGATAGCTTGAGCTCAGGAGTTCAAGACCAGCCTGGGCAACATGGCAAAACCCCATCTCTACAAACAAATACAAAAAAATTTAGCCAGGTGTGGTGGCACATACCTGTAGTCCCAGTTACTCGGGAGGCTGAGGTGGGAGGATCATTTGAGCCTGGGAGGCAGAGGTTGCAGTGAGTCGTGACTGTGGCACTGCACACAAGTCTGGGTGACAGAGTGAGACCCTGTCTCAAAAAAAAAAAGAAAAAAAGAAAAGAAACATACCTCAGTGTAATCACACACTCCCCAAAAGAAACCCAGGTTGTTTGAAAATGCACAGCATCTCTGACAAAGTAAGCACAGGGCAACTCCACCTGCAAAGCAGCCAATTCTCCGGAAGAGCGTTTGATGATCTCTTTCAGAGGATGATTGCTTTCCCCTCCCCCTCTCTGCACCCTGTCTGATTGTATCATTCCACAAGTCACCTGCAGATAGAGAGCTGGACACACTCACCACATCATTTTGATACTCCTCATGAGCTATAGACACAGCATTTCTAGTCTTTTCACAAGATCTGACACCTCTGTTTGTCACCCTCATTTTCCTTGAAGAGTGAAACCCTTCTGAAGAGCTAAATGATATTACGTGTGACACTTGGACAGAACATCAGTTTATGGCCCAGAAAACCATCCTCATTAGGTAAAATATGATCATTACCTCAAGCCTTGGGAAGATCTCCACTTGTATTTTCTCTTTCCAGTGGCTACCAAAAGCCAAAGTCATTACCTTTTTCTTCTTTTTTTATTTTCTTTCTTTCTTTTTGTTTTGAGACAAGATCTCACTCTATTGCATATGCTGGGGTGCAGTAGTGTGGTCACTCCTCACTGCAGCCTTGACCTCCCAGTTACAAGTGATCCTCCCACCTCAGTTTCCAAAGTAGCTAGGACTACACGTGTGCACCACCATGCCTGGCTAAATTTTCTGTTTTTGTAGAGACAAGGTTTTACCATGTTGCCCAGGCTGGTCTGAAACTCCTGCCTCGGCCTTCCATAGTGCTGGGATTATAGGTATGCACTACCATGCCCGGCCGAAGTCATTACCTTTCATGGTTTGTGCTGTTAAATCTTCTTTCCCCAAGCCACCTAAAATGATCTGAATCACAAGAGTACTTTGATTAGAAAATCTTGATTCTAGAGTTCTCAATCTGTGTTAATAAATAATAATTGCTAATGGTTGTAAAGCACTATCACCTGCCAGACCCTGTACTGAGGACATTGCATGGGTTACCCCATCTTGATCCTTCCAATACTCCTATTGAAAGTAGCTATGGTCTGAATGTTTGGGTCTCCTCAATATTGATGTGTTGAAATCCTAATTCCCAAGGTGATGGTATTTGAAGGTGTGGCCTTTGGGCTGGAGCCCTTATGAATAGGATTAGTTCCCTTAGAAAAGAGGCCTGAGGGAGCTTCTTTGCCCCTTCCACCAAGTGAGAACACAAAGAGAAGTTACCATCTGTGAGAAAGCTGGCTTTCACCATACACTAAATCTACCAGTGCCTTCATCTTGGACTTCCCAGCCTCCAGAACTGTGAAAAATAAATGTTTGTTGTTTATTAGTCACCCAGTCTAAAATATTCTGTAGCAGCCCAAATGGACTAAGGCAAAAGTGTTTTTCACCTCATTTCTTGTGTTCACTCCAGCACCATAGGCACCACCCACCACCATAACCATGGTCCTGTTTGCATGAAGGTCTAAGGATACAGATTATGGTGAGCACTGAACACTAGGAAGCCACAAAAAGCTCAGGGTCTTCTGCTTCAAGAATGAGCTGCGTTTTCCAAATAAAGTTGAGTAAAGCTCAGTGTCTAGTTCAAGAGGTACGGAAATGGGGCAGAGAAGTATGAACTTGGATATAAATTTGAATCTTCTTTTGGCTAAGGTTATGCCCTCAAGCAAGCCACTGACCCACTCTCATTTGGATTTTCTTTTAAACAATGGAATTCTTTATGTTGACATGTAACAGTGGAATATATATAAATGAGAACCAATGTTCCAGAGGATCATGCTCTATTGTTCCATGGCATTGTTCCTCTCTCTTTCTGTCACCATATATCTTTACCCAGTTGTGAAAATTCAGTCCAGGCTGCTTACAACCTAGGTCGCCTAGTGCCTGCCATAACCAGTACTCCATGTTTAAGGAATGAATTGTTCAAATAAAGGCACAGCATAAGACTGTTACCCTAAATGGGTGCTAAGAGGTTTCATTTCTTTATACTTCTGGTCCTGAACATGCTAGGAACATGCTCTTAATAGTTTATAATTCAAAAAGTGAAGATATTAATTCATCAATATAGAGGGACTGATATTTGATTCAGTTCAAAGAAGTTCATAATTGCCTTTTTATGGGCAGTTTGTAGCTCTGTATTTAAAATGCCTGAAGAGACTTCTAAATCTTTTTGTTTTTTTTGACTAAGTTACAAAATCAGCATCACTCCTTTCACGTTAAGCCAATAATACTTTTGAAGAGAAAGAAAAACAACCTTCAGAAGCTGAAAGTCACAGACGGTTCAGGGCTTCCAAATGCCAAGAAGTTTGCATTTGAGACACAATAATTTTTTGTTATTGTTTGCTTCATTGACCTATATCATGTAAAAGAAATGCAAAGGAATTGAAATACAAAAATTATCTTTCCATCCCAAAGTAGAAGCCAGCTCGGCAGCGCAGCTGTTTCAGGGCAAGACCTCTGTTCCACGCTTTCCTGACCTAGGGCTTCTGCCTCCTCTGTATCTGTTGCAAACGGCATCTTCTTGCAGGTGGGTCATTTTCCTTTGAAGACTGATGCTTGGAAGAGCAAGCACAAGACAAGACCACCCAGAGGTTTGCCTGGAGAAATACTACACTAACGATTGGGCCTGGAGCTTAGAAACTAGCCCAGAAAGCACAGTGGAGCTGGAAACTCACCCAAGCCAGGATAGAGAAGAGGATTCTTTGGGACGGGAGTAAACTAAATAAGAAAGACTTCACATTATTCCCGACCCGTCCCTCTGCCCCTTCCCCAATACTCAGCTCCACAACTAGGTGGATTTTCAGCAATTTATGTCAACAAATCATTTATCTCGGAAATGTTTCTAATTACTCTAATTTTCATCACAAAGTTTTTGATGCCAACTACAACATAATAAGTTCCTACCAGCCTTTCATCATATAATGATATCCATTTCCCCAAAGGGGAGTCCTTTAAGATGCTCACCTCCCTAAACAGAAACTTCACTAGAGGGTGAATTGTTCAGAATGAGCTTTTCCCCCCTCCACAAAGTTTCCTGTTTTCCTCTACCTATTTCCTATTTCCAAATTGATAATTCACATGTTTCTTTGGTAAGCAGGATTGTGTCTTTGTGTAGTTTCTTTGCTGGTAATTTAGGAACCTTCAGTGCAGACACTTGACTGAAGAAGAGCCTTCAGGCAAGTGTCCACACTGAAGGTTCCTAAGTGACTTCGAGAACCATCTCTTCACTCTCCTTAGCTACCAGACTACCAAGTAGCACTGCACTACTCTCTGGTTAAACCAAGTCTTTTAGAGATTCAGACACAGGGGCCAAGAAAGGTCTATCTGCTATCCATGACTACACAAGCCATGCTATTGTTATCATGGGTGAGAAAAGTGTCAAGGGAAAGCAGACTTCCTAGCTGTAAAAAATAAAAAAAGTGCTGCTCCAGATATGTGATGTAATTTGTAGCAAACTCAAATTAAAACTCAGAGTCTCTGCCTTTTAGCTTCCTGGAAGTTTCTTGAGCAAAACATCCAAATACGTAGTCACTGCTCAACTAGGACTTAATGAGGGCTAACTGTGAGTCACACAGAAGAAGAAGATAGCAGAAACAGAAGAAGCTTTCTGTCCTTCAGAGGACACCCTGGAAACGGAAGTGTGTTGTGCAGAACTCCCAGTTTGCAAGTGCTCACTTCATCCCGTACATGGTCTCAGATGCAGTTCTCTGAGCTGAGGCCTGAAAGGGTAAAGCATGATCCATGGTTCCCTACTAAACAATTATACAAAGCAGGATAGAACAAAGAGGTGCAGACAAAATTTAGAGCATGCATCCCTATAGCTTAGGGTTTCCCAACCTCAGCACTATTGATATTTTGGACCGCATAGATCTTTGTGGTAGGGACTGACCTGTGTATCATGGGATGTTTAGCAACACACCTGTCCTCCACCCACTGGATGCCTATACACCCCTCTTAGTCGTAACAACCAAAAACTCATTTTAGACTTCACTAAATGTCCTTTGAGAGGCAAAGTCACCCCCACTTGAGAACCTCTGCTATAACAATGGGAGGTGAGGAAGACTTGAAGGGAGAGAAAGTACAAAATCTGTGAGAGAGAAAAAAGAGCACATTTCAGGCAAGAGAATCAGCAGAACAAGAGTCCTTGGCCTTCCAGAGCCTACTACATTAAGCACAACCTCCTTAGTGTGACACTCAAGGGGTCTTGCGATATAACCCCAGCCTACCTATTCAAACGCATTCTGTACTTCTGCCCTTCCCTAAGGCTCACACTCTAGCCACGCCAGATGAATAAGGGTGTGCTGTTGCTTCTTTTTCAAGCACTCATATAATTTATTAGATAATTAGTTACTCACATGCTTCCTTCAGCTCAAAAATTCCTTCTCCCCCTCTTAGTTACTTTGAAGAACTCTGTTATTTTCTAAGGCCAGGCTGAGCTCAGAGAACAATTCCTCAGTGAAGATTTGAGCAACACTCAAGTCAGTGTTTTCTCCACCACTTGCAATGTTGGTCTTTGTAACCTATCTCTCTTCTCCCAAATGGGCTCCAGAGGTAAAATTATGTCTCCCGTTCATCTTTCCAATTCAGGTAAATGTCATCCTGTTCTGCAAATAATAGGCCTAAAATGAGAATTCTCTGAAAGACAAAAAAAAAGTTATGAATCTTATTTGAAAGACAGAGGGGTGCCTGGGCACGGGGGGTCATGCCTGTAATCCCAGCACTTTGGGAAGCTGAGGCAGGCGGATCACGAGGTCAGGAGTTTGAGACAGGCCTGGCCAACATAGTGAAACCCCGTCTCTACTAAAAATACAAAAATCAGCTGGGTATGGTGGCAGGAGCCTGTAATTCCAGCTACTCAGGAGGCCGAGGCAGGAGAATTGCTTGAACCAGGGAAGTAGAGGTTGCAGTTAGCCAAGGTTGTGCCATTGCACTCCAGCCCGGGTAACAAGAGTGAAACTCTGTCTCAAAAAGAAAGGAAGAGAGAGAGAGGGAAAAAGAAAGAAAGAAAGAAAGAAAGAAAGAGAGAGAGAGAGAGAAAGAAAGAGAAAGAAAGAAAGAAAGAAAGAAAGAAAGAAAGAAAGAAAGAAAGAAAGAAAGAAAGAAAGAAAGGTAGGTGCAAGGGTAAGTATGGCTCATTCATTCCATATGGAAAGACTTGGACACCAAAAAATAAATTGTGTAATCTTTAAAATTCACTTATTCAACAAGTATTTATTGAGTGACTATTCTCTGCTAGACATTGTGCTAGTTGCTGTGGATAGTACAATGTTTAAGCAATTGAGTGTTGTCAGTCAAGTGCTATAGTCTAGGCGAGGAGGGAACAGATAGTAAATATTTTTCCTATAAATTTCAGATCATTACTGCCATAATAATGTGATATGGTGGTGTGATCAAGGGCAATGGGATGGAGCTAGGTTAAATGTGGTGGTTCAGGGAGGCTTCTTTGAGAAGGAATTTGAATTGAATTTGAACTCTCAATTTGAATTGAATCCTAGTAGATGTGGAGTTGAGCTAAAAACATCCCAGATAGAGAAGTTAGTGAGAAGTTCACACAATGTAAATGGTTCATCTTGATGAAAACAAAAGAGGCTAACCTGCTAGAGTATGTGCATGGTAGAAAATAAGATAGAAAATGAGATTGGATATAAATATTTTTGAGTAGTAGTAGAAGGGGAACTGGCTAGGAGCCCAGTCTATGCACATACACACACACACACACACACACACACGCACACACACGCACGCACACACACACCCCATGCATGCATATCTGTAAATTAAAAATCATTACTCTTAGGCCTGTGGAAATAATACTATAGGTGGTGGTGTCCTGGCTTTACAATTCATTTCATTGAATTTCGAGACACCCCTAAAAGATGAGGATTATTATTTCCTTTTTATAACCTGAATATAAAAGTTAAATATTTTCCCAAAGATCATACAAATCACAAGTGACAGAGTCAAATGTCAAACCCACATCTTCCCCAACCGTATGTTTGTAAAAATTATTAGAAAAAACTCAATTATTTTTCATTCCAGGACATAACAGTTTTGTTGATCTAATAATGGTTGCACTTAAAAAAAAATAACTGACTATGAATTGCTAAGAAGACTTAGAGGTGAATCAAGGAATTGCATTTGTGCAGGAATTTCAATAATGGTCTTGATGGCAAATATTATGATATAAAAGTGCATTATCACCTGCAGCATCCACCTTCTTCTTTGTAGTCATGGCAGTTGGGACCCCTTCATACAAATGGCTTGGAATATAGAAAAATCCATAGACACATACAAATTTAGGGATTCACTAAGCCATTCAACAGTGATCCTTTGGAAATGTCTAGAACAACAATAAAACAACCGAAAAAAGGAAAATCCCATCCCTCTAACAGTAGCAAGAAATGAACAGAAAGAAGTCGTATATGATGTCCTGTAAATGTTTTAAATTAAATCCTGTTACCTTGCTCAGGAGGGAGCGCTACAGCAATTTCCCTCCAAACAGTTAAAAACTGGAGCTTGAGTTTCCACAAGTGAGTGAAGTTCTGATTTGGTTTAGATAGATTTGTATTCCAGAATTAATCTCAAAATCTCTTCTGGGGTGTGTAAACAGTCACAAGACTTGTGTGGAAATCAAAACCAAGGTCTAGGATTCTATTTGTTGCTTCCTGGGATGCCCTCCGCCGCCAAGCCTTTCGTTTCAGAATGAACTGGTGGAGTTTCTAAACATCAGCTGCATCCTAACAAACCGTAGGGCTCGGGTCTCAGCAGGCTGGCGGGGGAGCTGCTTGCATTCCTCTATGTGGTGGTCTCTTCAGGAGGGCGTTGGATTACATCGTCCGGCAGCCACCAGCTCTTCCTTTGGCCTCAGCAAACTTTGCAGTGGTGCGTTTTTTTCCCTACACAGCAGGCCCCACTAGCGCCTCTTTGGCTGCTGGGGCCAAATCCCAGGAGTCAGGGGGTGTGGGGCCCAAATTGATAACTGTGTCCATTGACTTTCCGTTCCCGATTCCACCTCTTTCATTATGTTGGGGAGCTTTGTCCCACAGAAGATTATGCAGTGGATTGCAGAGGAGATGGGACTTCAGGAAGATAGAGCACACAAAAAAGTGTGACAAATTGCAATGACAGGGCTGCGATGGTCGCTTGTGATGGAGTGAAATTAAATCCCCCACCAAACAATACTGCTTTATTCTATGTCTATGGGGACCCTTGTTGGGCCTAGATTGAGAGAGAAAGTCAGAAGAAGAGCGTAAGAAGGATGCACTCACACGGTCAAAAGGATATTTTTTTCCACATTCATCCGATTTACTTTCTTCAATAAAATTGCAATATAACACATATCTAGAAATGTGGTAAATGTGTGGGTATCCCTGAGCAACAACGTAAGAGTGTAGGACACTCTTTGTGAGTGCTTCACTAATGCTTTTTATAATAGCCCAAGTATAGGACACAAAGCCAAATCCTTTCTCACATTCAAAGTCTTGATCTGTTACAATTTCTAAGGGATTGTATTAGGATCCTGGTTAAAAAGAAGAATCTGCATGAGCACTCCAGGTCCTTATTTTTCTAGATATACTATGAGGCTTGTACACCCAGCACCCTTCTTCCACCTTATTACGTCAGAGCCCTAAGAAGAATCGATATTTCTTGTTCCTGCCAAACACAAATGTCTGGGAAACTGAATTTCAACTTCTAGGCCTCCCTGAACTCAGAGTACAAAGAACTTACTGGGCACTTTGTCATGAATCTCAACTTTTGACATCCCCTTAGCTCACCTCCCAAAATCAGTAGAACTGCCCCCTGCCAGTAAGCATGGTGGTTACCTGGTAAGTCTCCCTCCCTTGTGAGAAACCTCTCAAAAGATGTTATTGTCAAGTTGTCCAGAAGGGGTGAAGTTAAGGTGATTGAAACTGAATGTTGGCCATGTCTCACATTTGTAATGCATTTTCTATTGTGGTAAAATTCACATAACATAAAATTCACTATTTTAACCATTTTAAAGTACCCAGTTCAGTGGCTTTTAGTTCACACTTTTGTGCAACCGTCACCATTATATAATTTCAGAACATTTTAATCACCTTTCCAAAAAAAATTGTGCCCATTAAACCATCACTCCTCATTTTTCTCCTTTCCTCAGTGCCTGGCAAACACTAATCTGCTTTGTGTCTCTATGGCAGTGCCTATTTTGAACAATTTATATAGAAGGAATTATTTAATATGTTTTCTTTTACATTTGACTTCCTTCGCTTAGCATAATGTTTTGACGGTTCATCTATATTGTAGTGTGTATCAATGCTCCATTTCTTTTTGTGGCTGTATAATACTCCTTTGGATGGATATACCACATTTTGTTTATTTATGCATCAGTTGATGGACATTTGGGTTGTTTCCACTTGTTTGGCTCTTATGAGCAACGCTGCTATGAACATTCACGTGCATGTTTTTGTTTGAACATGTTTTCAATGTATGTGTGGGGTGTATACATTGAAGTGAATTGCTGAATCATACGGTAATTCTACATCTGGCTTTTTGAGGAACCACCAAACTGTTTTCCACAACGGTGGCATCATTTTTACATTCCCAAAAGCAAAGTATGGGGTTTCTAATTTCTCCACATTCTTGTTAACACTTACTATTTTTCATTTTCTTAAATGGCCATGGTAGACATTATGAAGTGCTATCTCATTGTGGTTACAATTTGTATTTCCCTAACGAATAATAATGTCATGCATATTTGCATGTGCTTATTGGCCATTCGGATTTCTTTCTTTCTTTTTTTTTTTAATTGGAGAAATGCCTAATCAAGTCCTTTGTCCATTTTTTAAAAATTGGGTTGTTTGTCTTTTGGTTATAGAGTTAATACATTTTGACAGAATGGTGTCAAACACTTTGGAAGGCCAGCACTATAAGACAGAGCAGTGAGGAACAGAAAAGAGACTATATTTATTGTGAGCCATGGCATCCAAGGGACCTGCATTGACCCCTGCTCTCTCATTCAGGAACTCTATGAACTTAGCCAAGTTCTTAACATCACAATTCATGGTGTTGTTGATAGAATGGCAATAAGACGACTAGCCTTCTTGGGTTGAAATGAAGATTAAGTGAGATCATGTACATAAAGCTACTGGTTCAGTGCTTGGCATATAGCAGTAACTCCAAGCAAACATATGGCTTGAATATTCAACTTGCCATTATGGCTGGCAGCAGGGAAGAGAAGAAACCTGAGGATTCAGTAATCAATGTACGGCAACCTAGGACCAAACCCATTCTTGACAGAATGACTGTTTCTGCTCACCTCCCCAGTGGAGAAACCTGGGGCATTGACCTACTGGCCCATTTCACCAGGTAGTGGCAGCAAGAGCTGAGTCAAATAAAACCAAAGTTGGAGTCTTAACTTCAGGGAAGGATTTCAATCAAAAGTTTATAGGCTTCTGCTGTTAAGTAATTCAAGCAGTGAGTTGATAAATATATACTGAGCATCCACTCTATGCCAGGGGCATGGAGATAATGAAAATACAACCTGACTTCAAGGAAAAATGGAGATTAAATGAGAAATGGAAAGATAAGTCCTCACATCACTGCCCCAAAGGCATAGGCCCAGTAACAGGTTGTATTTAAATGGTCATTAATAGAGAATTCTTCAAGTAGAGAAAACCTAGATTGACAATATCAATCTATTTAACTAAATCTGTTAAACAAACAATTGCAGAAAACAATCTTTTGATCATTTTCTTAATGAAAAATTCCCAGTTTTGCTTTGGATCTGTGGTTTAGAAAACATATGGTATTTTAATTCTATTAATATATCATAAGAGAAATATCAAGACACTATAATTGTTTTTCTGGTTGAGTTTGATTTCTTCTTCTTTAGTTAAGTAATATAAAGCAACTGATTAAGAAAAAAATGTGTAAATTCCCAATTCAGAAACAGCATCAACGATGAATTAATTCACTTAGAGAGAAAGATTTGTCCAGGGAATATAGAAAATACTGAGTTAGAGTTAATTTCCTAACACATGACTTGTGTTCGATAAAGGTTTAAAGTACTTTTTGTTTGGATTTCGTCTGTTCTTTCAGAAGCATATAATTGTGGTGAGTGATTGCTCCAGAGACTTAAATGCTTAAAAAAAAAAAGGATGTTTTATTTTTCATAGTTTTAGTGTATTCAGTATTTGTCATTAGGGTACCTGCATCTAGAAAATAATTGGGCCTCTTATTCCCACTACCCCTTCCTCAACTTGTACCCATAGAGAAAGTTGAAAGTAAATGCAAGTTGTTTGTTTAAACATCTGGGTAGCCAAGTACAGTACCATGCCACTGTATCATAAAGTAAATTATTTCTATCTATTGAGGTTCACCCTCCCAGTTTTTATGGCTATTGTCACTATTATTGTAACATTCTTGGCTTGTTTGAATGCAACAGTAGTTCAAGCTGAGACCATTTTTATGTACCAATTCTCTGACTGTTTCCCATCTCCCCTGATTCCTCCTCCCCCACTAAGCACACCCCAGCTTCAGTTGCCATGGCCAGACTTTAAAAACATTTCAGACTTAAAAGGTTAAGATCTAAGGGCTGCTGATTTTATCTGGCCTTTTAACTAACACAGGCAGGTGGATTAGAGATATGTGTACAATCCCCACTCTAGACACTTGGGTAAATATGCACATGTGCTAGGGCAGCCGAGGAAGCAATCTGATGTTATTGTCTATTAATTCCAAAGTGGAGATTAAAGAAATCAGTAGTGTAAATATCAAAAAGGATTTCCACTTACATATAAGAACATTACTGAAGCAGACTGGTTGCTCCAAATTATATGAAGGCTTTTTTTGCTTTAAGAAAAGTGTGAATTTGTTTTACTTGAAATTTGCATATTTTTTGTCTCTCTTTGTCTGCATGGAGGGTGCTAACCCAACCAGGAATTCTGTGCACATGGTAGTAATTTGTGCTGCTTAGAGTTTCCATGTACTTTTACCACAATAACAGATATATTTGCCAGAGTTGTAATGTAGAGTTAAATTTTACTTTTTGGCCTCTCTTTATGTAACATTTCCTAGAAATGTCAAAATAGGGGTGAGGGAAGCTGCTTATGAAGTTCAGAGCATTTCTAACTTTAGACAGTATAAAATCCCCATATAGTTCAGCAGACTTTTCCTCTAAGTTTCAGAATCCAAGCTGAAGTTAAGTCACCCTTCTGCCACCACAAATGAATAACATGTGATGGCTGGAGAAGTTAAAAATCCGGCGATTTTCCACCCTGCTGCAAGTGAGCTGAAGTAGACGTTCCAAAGCTGTGCTTCAGGGGGGGAAATGTCAATTAAAATGCAGGTGCCTCAACTTCAACAAAAGTCATCAAGAATCACCATTAGCTTTTATTATACTATACACCCGCTTAAAACACACACATGGCCTCACAGGGCTTTTTAATCAGCCCAGCAGTACAGGGAACCACGTTGGAAAAGTTACAGAATTTTTAGGAATTGTGATAAGCGGTAAGTTTTCCACCCTGTCTTGCAACACATCAATCAGAGATCTCAGGCCATCTTTCGAGGATATACCTGTGCACTCAGAATCAAGTCTAAATGGAACCCATCACTACTCCATAACTCTTTTCTGGGTGATTATGCCAAAAAGAAAATAAACGATAGCTATACCGCATCTTCAAAAATGCTATGAGCTACAATGCAGAACATTACTATGTGATACCCAACCCACCAGCCAACTCTAAGCAGGCACCCAATCAATCCAGTGGAAACTATGCATTAAACTTATTTTTGGGCACGAGGAGGCAGAGCAAAGGTCAGTGGCCATTCAAAGGAGGAGCACCAAGTGCCTGACTGATATTCGTCTAATGAAATCTAATGCTCAGGCATCAGGAAGAAGGAAGGGAGGGAAGCAGTTGTCCTCCAGAAGAGGCAAGAGTCTTGTAGAAGTCTTCCCCCATCAAAAATATAACATTGTCTTTTCTACCACTTAGAGTTCAGTGTGGATAAACATGGTCACTGGTTCTCATGTGAATCAAAACGTCATTCCTTTTCGCCCTAAGACTAGCTGGTCATTTCTTCATATCTTGGCAGAAATAACTTTCACACAATGAGCATGTGCTTTTCTGCGGAATAGCCAGCGGGGATGAACTCTACGGGAAAAAAAGCAAGTTTCGATTAGGAATTGGCAAGGGAGAAGAGATATTTATTTGAAGCAAGACACTTCAGGAAAGAAGAGGCTTGGGAAAGGTGGAATAAGAGGGACTTTGCCTACCTCACATGGTCGGGCGGGGAGGTAGGAAAGGGGCAACAAGAGGGGAGAAACAAGTGGATAAAAGGAAGCCGGAACACAGGACTAACTAACTACAGTGTTTGAAATAAATATAAAAACCCAACCCACATATTGATAGTTTAATTGCAAGTATTCACGTGCATGTGGCACATAGTCAAAATTTCAATCCATCACTGGACTACATCAGAAGTTGACAGATTTTCAACCCTGGCATGCAAGGACACTCATCTTGGATTCTATTGGCCTAGCGGATGAGGTGGTTGCATGAAACTAGGCAGAGAGCTGGTTCTGGAAAAGAGGAAGGGCAGCTGGAATCTCAGAAAGATTCCTCTGAAAATGAGACTGTCTTGTGTCATCTTTGGCAAACTTACCAGGAATGTGGCAAGTCAGTGTTGAATTTTGGGGAAACTCCTAAGAATAAAGTTCCCAGTCCTACCATTTTTACCTAGAAAGTGATGGAGTCCTAGTCTCATCTTTATATAATTGACAGAAAAAATAAATAATAGAAAAAAACATTCAAATTTGGGTTTAATATTACACCCTAATATAAGTCTTTAAATTAAAGCAGAAAATAAATGTAGGGATTTGGCTTTTAAAGCAAAATTTTTAAAATTGCTTTAAAAAGTAAAATACATTAGGTGGCTCCCTGGTGCATACGACTTTTTACAGAAAGCTGTAAAAAGGAAGCCCAATTGAAATACACTTACATTTTAACATTCAACTATAAGGTGCTTGCAAAATCTGGAATACAACAATGTAATTCCAATAACTGTGACATATCTCTTGGTAACTTCCCTGATCTTCAGACACTGGAAGAAACATCAAAGAATGAAAATACCAGTGTAGGACTCTCAGGGTGTTTTTCTGGGTAAGTGTCTATGAAGGTGGGAGGACAAAAAAAGGGTAAAATCAGTCTTTGTGACAAATGATTAATAGTTCAAAGTCTTGATGGCTTTTCTATGAAGAACAGACCCAGGAGGAATGGTATGAAATAAAACAGATCACTTCAATTAGCTTGTCCACACCCTCTTTGGTGTTCTGAAGGAGTACGTTCTCAAGGTGAAAAAGCACTTTAGGCCCCAGGCTCTCACTGCACCCATGAACATTTAGGTGTCCCTGGTTTTCAAAATCAGAGCACCTGGATTCTGTTTGGTAATTGCATCTCTCTCTTGGCAGCGAGCAAAGGCCATATTATAAAAAGAAAGGGGGCCGGGTGCGGTGGCTCAAGTCGGTAATCCCAGCACTTTGGGAGGCCGAAGCGAGTGAATTGCCTGAGCTCAGGAGTTCAAGACAAGCCTGGGCAATATGGTGAAACCCCGTCTCTACTAAAATACAAAAAATCCCCTGGGTGTGGACCTATAGTCCCAGCTACTCAGGAGAATTTCTTGAACCCAGGAGGCGGAGGTTGCAGTGACCCGAGATTGCACCACTGTACTCCAGCCAGGGTGACAGAGCTAGACTCCATCAAAAAAAAATAAAAAAGAAAAAGAAAGAAAAGAAAAGAAAGAAGAAAGAAAGAAAGAAAGAAAGAAAGAAAGAAAGAAAGAGAAAGAAAGAAAGAAAAAGAAAAAGAAAAGAAAAGAAATGCATACATGGATATGTGGGCAATGCCATGGGATGGAGCCAAAAGATCACCCCTTTCTAGTCATCTGACCCTGGGATGAGTCATTTAACCTTTCTCAGCCTCAGTTCTCACATCTGTATAATGGAAACAGTATCTTGTTCTGGGATGAAGTTCACATAGAAAATAGGTTGAAACCTCTGAGGCATTTCCCACATGGAAGGAGCTGTTATTATTCCAGGTTTCCTTCTCTGGTCTGTTGAGTTCCCATGTGTCCACAACTAAACAAAAAACCTAGACACATGTTTTGTCTATCACCAAGGCACACTTGTGGATTCAATTTCATTGTCTTCCATGTTGAATTCCTACCCTGGTCTACTTTTCAGTTGTAACTTTTACGACAAACCAGTTTTTAAAAATTCAGAGAACTAAAAGAAGACAGCTTAAAAGAATAAATAAGTACACGGACTGGCACAAATCTCAGAAAACAAAACAAAACCTCACCAGCTTTCTATCACTAGGCAACCTCTCTAAAACCCGTCTCAAACTCGGTGAAAAGATAGAGCATTCCTGAAAAGCTGGGGTCAAACCCAAATTGCACACCCTTACATGCGAAAACCAAATCCAATTCAGGATGCAAGTCAGCTTTAAATTCAAGTCAATAGATGGATAAGGAAGCTATTCCAAAAACAAGGGACTTCAAAAAAACAAATAAACAACAAAAAAATCTTCCCGGTGCACCTGCTGGAGATGCTGTGTGTCAGGCTCTCCATTTCAACCCTAACCTATATTTGATATGGTGTTGTTGCAGCTGTGGGACCAGGGTGGTTTATTTAAGTGGCTCCAAATGCCTGTCAGTGTGGCAACCAGCTGAATACATAAAACAGGCTCTCCAAACCCTTTATGGCCCAGGGTCAGAGTAAATGGAATAATAAAATCCAAATGCTTTTGTCTCATATTCCATCACCCGGCCCTTCCGCATAAATCTGCAGCTTCACAGTGACCTTCGCGTTCAGTGCGGGATGAGGCCGCGGGTTGGAGATACATTTGGTCTGCATCTTGGGTCTTTAAAAGCTTTTTCCAATTAATTTTAACTGGCTTCCATAAGGATCAAGTACAGCTTCCTCTCCTCCCTCCTCCCCTCACTCCCACCTTTTTAACCAGCCAAGTGACAGAATGCTCTAGGGTAATACAACAGGTATCAACCCCATTATGCTCCGGATGGCCAAGACAAAATGTGATTCCAAGTCCCAGAACATCTGAAAGAAGAAACATATTCCTCTTTCCAATCCACGGAGACAGGCTTGGGTTTTATTTGGTGGCCTCACCTCTAGCTGCTGCACATCTGTGCGAAGTAGGGAAAATACTGTAAAGTCCTTCTGGCAACACTCCTAGTACAAACTCTGGAAATCAGGGTATGTATGTCCTTGGAGTCAGCTGAAGAAACCTCCTGTCTTATTATTTCTGTGGGCATTTGGAGGCACAGAAATAGAAAATTTGATCTGCCTAATGGGCTTCTCATTTGAGTGCTTCAGAAGACTAAGAGAGGAGGAAAGTGAAGGTGCATGGGATGAATGACAAGGATCAGAGAAGGAGGCAAGAGGAGGGTCCTGGAAAACTGTGACCTGGGGCTTCTTTCTGCCACCGACCTTTGCTACCCCCTAAACTAAAGGAGGAAACAAATAGCAGCAGAATGATGTAATAAGGGTTACATTTATTTTCATTCAGCACAGAAACATGTTTATCATGCCATTTTTTGGGGGGGGGTGGGGGCTAGATATGGTGAGGGATAGAGACTTAACTAAGACACAATTCCAGATCCCCATGTTCCCAATCTAGGGAAGACAATGGTCACAGAACTTGCCTAGAAAGCAAACATGCCTAAGTTTGAAAAGTATTACAATGAAAGGGGATGCTTTCAATAACAATTTTGAATCTTTTGCTCCCATCAGTAACTTGGGTTCTATAGTCACTCCCAAGCCCATCACATAGACATTTTCCACTTCCATTTCGTCTCTGTTTGGACTCTTTTCTTTCCTATTTCCAAAATTGTATTTTCCTTTCCTGTAGTTATCTCTGTCTTTTCACTCTTTGTATCTGCAGAAAATATACTGAATTTATAAAGAAAGAAAACCTCTACACTAAAAGTGAAAATGTATTTATCTAAAATTTGATTGTGTTTCATAAACTTATAGAACGTTCTAGCAGAAAGCAGCCCTGGATTTTGTTTGGTTTTGACCTCCTTCGTTTTGCAGGAATAAAGGCAACCTGAGGAAACTGAGGTCTGAGGAAGGAATCCATGGTCAAAATACATAAAGCCAGTAAGTTAAGGTCTGGGTGAGCGTATTCCACAACCAACCGCCATGCATTCAGCTTTTTTGTTAAGTACCTTCCGAAATGAGTTCTGTTAACTATTGGCTTTTCTGTTTAAGAATTTTGCTGGTGTGCTGAACCTGGGTCATCACATTTCATCAATTCTCATTCCACATTATACTAACCTGGAATTGGTTAAACTTAAAAAACATATACATGAAGCTGATATTCCCATTGCTGCAATGGCTAACAAACTAAATAAAAAAGAAAATTTGGCTCAATCCTAGGACAAATAGTCCCCAACCTAAAGTCAACATCATCCACATCATCTAAGTCAGGCCTATGCAAGAACCAAGACTGGTGGAACTGAAGCTATAAAGTACATATGCCAGAGAAAATATTTCAACATTAATTTTTTAAAGTTGATTAAAAGGCTTAAACTTATGTAAATTAGTCCTTAAATTGTTTAGTAAGGACATATTTGAAGGGAATATGAATGGTTGCACTGAAATCAAAGAAGGAGGCATGAAACACAATGGAAAGTGATAGACCCAAAACAGTATGCAGTCTGTCTTGCTACTTTCTAGGGAATTCACCCACAAAAGAATAAAATAATGGAATCCCTTGAGACTTGAACATCATTCATGTCTACCCACTGAATCTTCGTCATTCAGGTTTAGCACAGACAATTCCATTAGAAAGGCACTTAAAAGTTTTTAAAAGGTGTCATTCAATTTCTTTTGCCTTCATTACCCTTTAAAAAATTTTTTTTTTACTATTTTAACAGCTCATTTTGTGGAGAAGTCTTTATTACATTGTCCAAAACACACCTCTGAAGGACTTCAAGGCTAACTATGTGCTATCATGAAAAAGCGTGAGTTTTCAATCAAAATACCTCAAGGTCCAAAATCCACCTGAGAAACTCAGAACAGATGAACTTAAACTCTGATTCTCAGTTTCTTTATCTGTAAAATGTGGGCAATAAAACAGATCTTACAAGCGCATCATAAAGATTAAGTGAGAGCAAAACTTAGGTGAAACAGTTAAAAGTTAAATGAGATAGCATAAGTGGTGGATACAGAGTAGCAAATACAGACCCCCCACCCCCACCCCCATATAAACACACATACATTCTCCTAACTTGTGGTTCTACTCTTGACCTTGGAATGTTGCTGTGTTATTTCCCACCCGACACCCAACTAACTATTGGAAGGCATGGGCTCTTTGGCCAGGTTCCACAGCCCCAGTTGCGATGACCCTATCTCACACCCCTCAACACCTCAGTTATTCTCTGGGTATCCTTCATTTTCTCATATCCTTCTCAAAGATGCACACATAACTTCTAAGCTGTGGGTTAACTAACGTGGGGAAAGTGGATATTCTGTTTTTTGAGAACCTCTCATTAATTCAGTGTAAGACACATCAAAAGCCTGGTAATTATTAAGGAAGAGCAGGGTCAATTTGTAACACAGAGTGTCAAAAAGAGAGTCAGGATAGTGCCCTCCCTTGGTCATCACCTGGCTTGACCAGGGTTGATTGTCCACTGTCCACATTACACAACTGTAAGCACAAGTCCTGCCATTCCTGAATTGGAAACAATTATACTCTTTTGATCCCTACTTGCTTGCTTTTGTATATAATAACACTTGGTTTAAAATGACTAGGTCTAGTCTCCAAATTCCTTTTGTAAATACAACAGGATTTTTCAGAAGAGCTTTCAAGAAAGGAAGTGAGAGAAATCTACAACAGCTCAGCCAAGTTTCTCCTAAATTAAACATCAATTTTAGAAATCAGGAACCAAGTGTGTTGTCCAAGACTTGAACCATAATTTGAAAAATATTTTTTAAAAAACAGAATATTAGTTTTTCAGCCTAGAAATAATAAACCCATCTTCATGAATAGAAATAATTGTGCAATATGTCAATTGATCAAGGCAGAGAGTCTATAAAAGCAAAAGCCCCTTTTGGGATGTAACTCTCAACTTGTTCACTGAATGCTTATATTCCAATTCA
This sequence comes from Homo sapiens, assembly GCF_000001405.40. Classification (NCBI taxonomy): domain Eukaryota; kingdom Metazoa; phylum Chordata; class Mammalia; order Primates; family Hominidae; genus Homo; species Homo sapiens. The sequence goes on from NC_000015.10 coordinate 95,952,006, forward strand.
CTGGCATGAGCATTCACAAAATCAAAACTTTGAGAAGAAATTAACTTCCTTTGAGAGACTCCATGACCCAATATGAAAGCAAGATAACATAATCTAAATCAAGCTCAAAATTATTTAAGGTAGTCATATTGTATTAGTCTGTTTTCACTCCGCTGATAGAGACATACCCAAGACTGGGTAATTTATACAGAAAAAAAGAGATTTAATGCACTCACAGTTCCATGTTGCTGGGGAGACCTCAAAATCATGGCGGAAGATGAAAGACATGTCTTCCATGGTGGTAGGCAAGAGAAAATGAGAGCCAAGCGAAAGAAGACACCCCATTATCAAACCATCAAATCTCATGAGCCTTATTCACTACCACGAGAACAGTATGGGGGAAACCACCTCCATGATTCAATTAACTCTCACCAGGTCCCTCCAACAACATGTGGGAATTATGGGAGCTACAATTCAGGATGAGATTTGGGTGGGGACACAGCCGAACCATATCACATGTCTAGCTTCCTGTGTCTCCAGATTTGGAGCTACTACAGATTATGCAAATAGCTTAGGAATATCCATCAGACCTCTTGTATCCACTTTGAATCTGAAGTGAAACAGAAACTTTTTAATGGCAAGGAGTTTCTTGATCAAATTTCATCCATCAGTTCCACTGCTAATTCTGGTGGCAGTGAGTTTGACTATCATGGCCTCTGGTCTCCCCTCTGTAATTTTCCAATTTGGTCAAGATGCTTCTACACTAAGCACCAGGGCGCCTTCCAATATGATCACACAGGTAATTACAGTGCTTGTTTATTTCTCTTGTACACCAGACTGAAAGCTCTGGAGAAACTGAGGCCATGGCTGATTTGTTGTTGCCTCTTTAGAATCTAAAACATAGCAAGTGTCCAGTAAATGTTGAATAAATTGTTTTTACAAAAAAAGGTAATGAATTTTCTTGAGAACTCAGAGCTAAGAGGAAAAACAGAAAGCCTATCTACTTCTCATTCTCGGAATGTATGCTCTGAAAGTTAAATGCTTTCTTTGTGCACCTAGCAGCACAGGTCATAACAGAGGGGCTCAATAACTATCCAACTAAGCTTTGGGGGTTAAAAACAAAAAAGAAGTGTAGGTGAAATGAAGTGCACAGAGGCAGGGTGAGAGGAATGCTATGTAACACTTTGCTGAAGAACAGTTGACAGCTGGGATATAACGTCAGAGAGAAGATCAACCCAACATGTGGTTATCAGACCGTAGGTGGATCCATTTCAGTAAAAGCATTTGCAGTCAGGGCCCAAAGATACAGGCTTGGAAATTAAAGCTGGGAAAACATAAACAAAAAAACCCACGAAGCTACGAGGGTAAGGGTTCTGGAAGGGTTTTGGTTGCAAGCAGACATGATTCCAACCCAACTGAATCACTTAACACATCAAGGGTGATCTTATGCTTAACAGCTCTCACTCTCCTTTAAAAAAAAAAAAATCTGTGAACTGGTAACAGTAAGATATGTCCTATGTGGCTTTTATAAGAAGGAATGGCATAGGCAGATAATGAGCTTGACAGGATGAAAGGTTTTAATGTTATTCCTGTTTTTAAGAAAAGCATGGATAAAATATGCACAACGGTAGGTCATGGGCAATAGAAACTGCACAAAAAAGCCAGATGCAATGCCATCTGCAGTCACAGAAGACAATTGAAAATGTGCTTGTGAGAACAAAGGCCTTTCATCAAGTCCTCATATGATGGTCCTTGGTTCTCAGGTCTAGAAAGTACTATTGGCCTGGTCATGGTGCCTCATGCCTATAATCCCAACACTTAGAGAGGTCGAAGCAGGAAGGTCACTTAAAGCCAGAACATTGAGACCAGACTGAGCAATAAAGCAAGACCCTGCGTCTACCAAAAAATAAGAAAAGAAAAAAGAAAGTTCTATTGGATCTTGAGAAACTCATCAAATAAAACCAAAATGGACTATTTTCACTAATATTTGAATTATGAATATTTGAATAATAAAATATCTGAATCACGATATTCATGGGGTCTATATTAACTTCGATTTTAAGATACACTATTATTTTAAATAATACAAAGAAAAAAGACAGTATTTGTATATGCTTATAAAATGCTGCCAATAAAATTATATATGCCATTAGTAAGATACATATTTTTGAGAGATATAAAGTGTTTAAAAAGTGCAATGGGCTGGGCATGGTGGCTCATGCCTGTAATCCCAGCACTTTGGGAGGCCGAGGCAGGTGGATCATGAGGTCAGGAGTTCAAAACCGGCCTGGCCAAGATGGTGAAACCCCGTCTCTACTAAAAATACAAAAATTAGCTGGGCATGGTGGTGCATGCCTGTAATCCTAGCTACTCAGGAGGCTGAGGCAGAGAATTGTTTGAACCCAGGAGATGGAGGTTGCAGTGAACCGAGATTGAGCCACTGCACTCTAGCCTGGGTTGACAGAGTGAGACTATGTCTCAAAAAAAAAAAAAAACAAAAAAAACAAAAAAACGAGAACAGTGCAATGATGTATAGAATTAAGGAATGAGGAGGTATAAAGGAAAACATGAACATTTCATAATTAGAATAGTTTCAAGGTCAACTATGATCGGTTTGTGTGTGTGTGTGTGCACGCGCGCATGTTTCTAGGCGTTTTCAGTCAGCAACTCCTCAGCAGTATCTGAACTCATTGGTAATCATCACTTTTCTTCACAGTGAACATACAAATATGAAGTTCTTTTTAAGGTTCCCCACCTGCCTTCTAAAAGCAAAAATTCTTTTTTTTTTTTTTTTTGAGACGGAGTTTCCCTCTGTCGCCCAGGCTGGAGTGCAGTGGCGCAATCTCGGCTCACCTCTGCAAGCTCCTCCTCCTGGATTCACGCCTTTCTCCTGCCTCAGCCTCCCAAGTAGCTGGTACTACAGGCACCCGCCACCACGCCCGGCTAATTATTTGTATTTTTAGTAGAGACGGGTTTCACCGTGTTAGCCAAGATGGTCTCAATCTCCTGACCTCGTGATCCACCTGCCTCAGCCTCCTAAAGTGCTGGGATTACAGGCGTCAGCCACCACGCCTGGCTCCCCAAAAGCAAAAATTCTTGTGATACCTAGTGAACTAGAAGAGCCTTAGTATACTTCTAGAGTAACAGGTGGAACACAATCTTGACACCCTAATTCTGAGGTTACTTTGAGAGTTGTGGCTTTTATACTAATGCTAACAGGTTTAGAGAAATTAAACATAAAATTGCTTCTAAGTGGATTACTCTGAGAAGAGGTGATAGGGTGGGGCACTGGTATTACTTGGAACATTTGCAGTAAAGTTCAAATGTTTAGGTTCCAACACTTAATTTTAAGTGTGCAACAGCAAAATTTAGACAGAAAATATAATTTGTAAAGTAATCATTTTCTCCCACACCTGGGTCTGTGTGCATGTGTGTGCGCACACGTGTGTGTTTATACATTTGCCGTTACTCCTTTATGCCATTGGCAGTCACAGAAGTTCTTATATTTCAGACTAACATGATAGAGATTTGGCAATGCCCTGAAGTTGCACAGTGCCCACAGATGGCAAAGCTTTTGCCAACTTTTACCTTTTTATTTTTTGATTGATACATTCAAGATAAAGAAAAAACATCTGTCAGCAAATGATTGGTTATGGACAGCAGTTCCATTTTACTGATTATTGATTAGTTATATTTGCTTTGATTTAGGGGAAATTTGAATAAAAATAGAGTTTTCAATCCTAGAGATAAGGCCCCGATGTGAAGTGAAAATACGTGATATGCTATTGCATGCTTGTTTTGTCTTAGAATGACCTGTTTGATCTATGAAGGCTTCTGTGAATTTTAATATCTCATATAAGGTAAATCACATTGAACACATTTTATGTCAAACACTGTATATCAATGATTTCAGATAAGTTCTCCCAATAAACCTGTAGTGTAGGTATGACTAAACCCATTTGTAGAAGAGAAAACTTAAAAGACGGAGAAGTTGGATAAACTCACAGAATTTAAGTAATTTTCCCAAGGTTTCACAATTTGGCTGCAGCGAAGCTGGGCTTCCACTCCACAGTGGTTTTTAAACCTGTCCTCTTTCCATCATTAAGCCTCAATGCTCCCAATAACCCACTAACTGTAAAGGCAGACACTCATTTCGCTCTTCAGCATAGTCCCCCAAGCTTCATTTTCTGAACAGACTTTGAATTCATTTTCTGGACAGACCTTGAAAACTTAACCATATGAATGGGCTAGCCTTAAAGAGAAATAATTGGTTTGCCTCTGCCTTCATTCTAGCAATATACATTCTTCAGAAATGGCACACCAATATGTCACAAAGTGAAGAGCTCAGTTTCCCACCACAGCTTGATCTGAAACCCTCACTGACACTATTCCTCACTCAGCCAAGATCAGCCTATACCACACAAAAGGCCTGTTAGAGACTGCATATTGCATCAATTTCACAAGAAGGTTAAAAAGAGTTTCACTGAATTAAAATATTTGTAATAATTTTTTGTGCATTTTGCATAGCTGTTGCTTAACAAAATAACAGAAGATTGGCATATTTTTACCGGAAAGTGGTAGATTTTAATTCCGATTTCTTTTATTAGTGTGGCCCAACAATATTGCGAAAAACCAATCAGACTGTAGAAGTGTGAAATAAAGAGAAAACAGGGATGAATGAAGCTATCAGAGGGCTATGACGTAGTCTGACCATATCGTCCAATAATTGCACTCCTTGGTATTTACTCAAATGAACTGAAAACGTATAGCCACACAAAAACCTGCACAAGGATTTTTCATAGCAGGTTATTGATAAATGCTGAAACTTGGAAGCCATTGAGATGTCCTTCAGTAGATGAAGAGGTAAATAAACTGTGGTACAGCCAGACAATAAAATGTTATTTATCACTAAAAAGAAAAGCGCTATTAAGAAACTTAAATGCATATTACTAAGTGAAAGCAGCCAATGTGAAAAGACTACATATAACATACTTTCAACTATGTGACATTCTAAGACAGACAAAACTATGGAGACAGTAAAAAGATCAGTGGTTTGCCAGAGGTTAGGCAAGAGGGAGGGATGACTAGGTGGAGCACAGAGGACTTTTAGGTTGCTGAAACTATTCTGTATGATACTGCAGTGGTGGATACATATTACACCTTTGTCCAAACCCATAGAAAGTACAACACCAAGAGTGAACCCTAATGTAAACAATAGACTTTGGGGGATAAGGTGTCGATGCAGACTCATCAACTGTTACAAATGTACCACTCTGATGAGGGATGTTGATAGTGATGGAGGCTGTATATGGTGGGGGTAGCAAATATATGGAAACTCTGTATTTTCTGTTCAATTTTACTGTGAACCTAAAACTCTGTTTAAAAAATAAAATTTAGGCTGGGCACAGTGGCTCACACCTGTAATCCAAGCATTTTGGGAAGCTAAGGTGGAAGGACTCCTTGAGCCCAGGGGTTCGAGACCAGTCTGGGCAACATAGTGAGACCCTCATCTCTACTAAAATTTAAAAACTTAGCCGGGTGTGGTGGCATGCACCTGTAGTCCCAACTACTCTGGAGGCTGAGGCAGGAGGATCACTTGAGCACAAGAGGTGAAAGCTGCAGTGAGCTGCGATCATGCCACTGTACTCCAGCTTGGGTGACAGAATGAGGCCTTGCCTCAAGAAAAAAAAACGTAAAAAATGTTTCTAAAGAAAAAGAAATTTAAAAAAAGAAATAAATATACCAACATTTTAAAAATAAATTCTATTCATTACAATTTAATTCAAGACTTTTCTTCCTTATTTTAATAATTAGGCTATGATATTAAAATGAAAGTGAAGAAACTTTTAAACGCAAAGGAGACCACTTCAGTGATGGGAAAATCTCCCCTTGACTGATGGCCACTCTGCTTCCTCGCATTGTTCCTGAGCACAGAATGGCTTGGAAGCCCCTAAACATGGTCCTCCAAGTCAGAGTTTATGCTGCCAATCTGTCATGCAAACGAGCTGTCATGCTTTCTGTCGCTATGTCAGAAGTCAGTGAGGGGGAGGCTTTCCAGAAGCCGCCTCTGGAGCAGCTGGCTGCCTGGATCAAGAGCGTTGGCCGTTTACCATCACAGCAAGGGGCCAAACATCTGGCCAGAGCCCCAGCAGAGGAAGGGGAGTGTAAGGTGAGGGAGACGAAGGGAGAACAGGGATGGGTCCATGAGGATGGGAGGAGATGGGAAGAAAAGGAGGTTTTTCTGAGATTTGGAGTTTTACTTACTACCAGTAGTCAAAAGTACCGCATCTTAAACTTCAGTACTCAGGAAGAAAATCTGCTCACCACCCACAGCAAGTGAAGGGAGATTTGGGGATCCCGGGGCACAGGCAAGCAGCAATGAATAGCTCTGAAGAGCCTATGTAAGCAGGGTTTGATTGAGAGCCTTTTTCCTCCATCAAATTCAAGTTTTATTAGCCAGCCTCCAGATGCTTCTCCTTAAGACAGATTAATATCAAGTTCGTTGTTCCACTTGAAACTGAAGAATAGGAATGGCAGTGTGAGAGCCAAACACATGTGAACTGTTCAAGAGTCCCAGTAGGAAATCTCCTCTGCAAATAATTTATGAGTGAGCTCTGTTCTTCTTTGCATCGGTCACCTTTCACGTGCCAAATCAGATAGGAGAGGCCAAGAGACTCTCCGCCTCCCCGTAGTTGTAAACATGAGTTTATTGTCTAGAGAGAGCCCTGTGTTGGCTACAAAAAGTGGCCTGTTCTAGTGGTGCTGTGCTGTTCTTGAGAAGACACTACTTCTCTGAGGAGGAACATCAATGAGCCAGGCTCAGACATATAAGCAGAAATAGGGGAGAGGTTTCTATGAAAACATCCTAAGTAGTGAGTGAATGGCTCCAAATAATGAAACATGACTATGAAACGGACACCAGCCTCGTGTGAGAACAGGTGGTAGGTATCCAGGAAAATCCTAAAAGAACACTCCTGTTCTCAATTATCAGAAGGTGGTTCTGGCCAGGTATGGTGGCTCACACCTGTAATCCCAGCACTTTGGGAGGCCGAGGTAGGCAGATCACCTGAGGTCAGGAATTCGAGACCAGCCTGGCCAACATGGGGAAACCCCATCTCTACTAAAAGTACAAAAAAAATTTTTTATAGCTGCATAGTATTCCATGGTGTATATGTGCCACATTTTCTTAATCCAGTCTATCATTATTGGACATTTGGCTTGGTTCCAAGTCTTTGCTATTGTGAATAGTGCTGCAATAAACATATGTGTGCATGTGTCTTTATAGCAGCATGATTTATAATCCACACATGTACCCTAAAACTTAAAGTATAATTAAAAAAAAGTACAAAAAATTAGCCCAGCGTGGTGGTGCATGCCTGTAGTCCCAGCTAGTTGGGAGACTGAGGTGGGAGAATCGCTTGAACCCAGGAGGTGGAGGTTGCAGTGAGCCAAGATTGTGCCACTGTAATCCAGCCTGGGCAAGACAGAGAGAGACTGCCCCCACCCATACCCCCACCCCAAGAAAAAAAAATTTTTGAAAGGTGGTTCTGGGGCTTCCAACATTGAGGCAAATGAAATGACTATAAATGACTGCCATTTCGACTGCAGTTGCCTCCCAAAATGATAGAATGTAGACACATCTACGAAACTTCACAGAAGACCAAAGAGTGCAGGCACCACCCCTGAGCCAAGCTATCTAGATAGGAGTTCACAATTTCTGTGTTTAAGGGCATCAGAATGCCAGCCTTATCCTTAAGTCCTTTGAATACAACACAGAGGACTCAGGGCCCCCCTCGGTGGCATATCTCCTGTGTAGAATAAATCTCCATGGCAAAGGTTCTTAAAAACTTAGACCTTGGGACCAACGCCCTGATAGAAATGGGAGGTGCTAATGAGACAATTAGTACAACGTGAATCTGTCTTTGCAGCCCCCGCAGGTCTCTGTTCTGCACAGAACTTGGAGCATTACCAGAAAATGTTGGTGATGGAGTGGGGCATTTTCCATTTGGAGAAGTGATTTTTATTATTATTACAGGCTTTTGTCAGTATTACAGAAATTGGGGGGAGAAAAAGAAAAGGGACTAATCACAAATGCTATTTACCAAGCCACATTAGTCAAAATACTGCATTTTAAAACCCCTTAAGTTGTTATACATCATCATATAAGTCATCGCCAAGTAGTAATACAAATTCTTGAGAGTTATGTTGACATGGAATTTGTCAGCCGAAGTGCTGGAAAATTTACCTCTGCTCATATATCTGTAGTCATATCCTCCAAAGAAATTAACATATAATAATGCTAATATTTCAAGGTAATGTTTTCCCATGAGGACGCCATATTTTATCTGTTAATATCATCTGTGTAAAAACTATTCAATTACAGTATCAAGCTGTATATGATTAATATTGATATCAGCATGCTAACGGTGACTTTGCAGGCATGAAAGCCTTACAGTCAACTCCACGGTGAACCTGGGAAAAGAAATGAATTCATTTCTGCTAAGTGAGTAAAATGGGAGTGAATTAAGACTCACACCAAAAAATGAAATTAATAGTCCCACTGAGAGCCAGCCATCTTTATTAAGAGTTCCAAAACTCTGGAAATCTTAGTCTTAAAGGTAGGACTAAGGATAGGGACTTTATGAAGACTTAAGGGGGCCAAAACGTGAAGGCGGTAAGTGGGTAGAAGTCCTAGAAAAGTGCATGGAGATTAGTAGGCTGCAAGTATTCAAAAGAACATGATATTCAGAAAAAAATGTCTATTTTTGATGATCTAGTGTTTTGTTTCTTTGCTCTCCATTTCTTTCAATTTTGTCATCCTACTCTTATATCAGCCACCTTCATCCCCTCTTTTAAGTTGTACCATTTGCCTTGAGCCTTTGACTTCCCTTATGCCTCCAAACTTTCTCTCCTAACTCTAAAAATTGCTCCTGAAATCTCACCTCTTCAGAAGGGCTTCCTGACTACTTTAAAATCTACCAGAGATACTGCCTCCCACAAATACTTGGATTTTTTTTCAACCTATCTCATTCACTTATACATTTGTTTGACTGTAACTTAAATTCCGCAAAAAAAGTATATGTATGTAAGTAGACATCCGTGGAACCAGCATCCAGAGCTAAACCAATGGAGAATATTTCTCACCATGAGAACCAGGAGACTCTACTTTGCCTTATGGCTAGTGACGATACCATTAGCAGTCACCAGTCATCTTCTTGTACATCCATGGCAGTGTCTTGAAACAAATTAAGCTTGAGAATGTGGCCTCCATCGTCCTTGTTTAGAACAAAAGGTTATGAACTAGTAACTTGCTTCTGGTAAGTCAGACGTGATCAGAGGAATCAGAAATATGAAGAAACAACCCTCATTAATATGAAGATGTTATAATCTCTGAGACCCAAAGCTATAATTTCAAATAATTTCTGGGTCCAGGTATTCACTGACTCAGCACACTTATCCACACATAAATAAGTGTGCTGAGTCAGTGGGGGGACTGTGTTTTAAATATTTAGTTGTAACTCTTTTTTTTTTTGCCATATTGTGAGATTATCTGAAAAAAAAGTCTAAATATGCATATGTATGTATAATCTCCCAATTACATATTGGTGCTTTGGTATGGCTTAGACAGCCCATATCTAGTGGCTGGATCTCGTCTACAGTGTGCAATTGTAAAAATTTGCACTTTACTCCCTGTTTCTCCCCATCAGCCTAAGTGTTGAGAAGCTTAGGTAAATTTGGTGGACAGTATATAAAGCAGTTTAGGCTGAAATAATATCAGCCTATTTCATCTACATCAAGGCTTCCCAAAGTGTCTTCTAGAAGCACTGTTTACACCAGCACCAAACAGGTGTTGTTGTTGACAAAAACAAACAAACAAAAAGAAGTTCTATTGACAAATAGGTCTTGAAAATATGGTTGAAACAACAATAAAGGGACAAAAGATCCAGAGTAACACAGTGAACACACACACATATATATATATGGTGTGTGTGTGTGTGTGTGTTCACATCACTGAAGAGAATCACGCTTAAGGAATTATAGGAAAGTGTGACAACAACGACTTATCAAAGAGAAAATATCAATAAGAAGATAAAAAATAGATAATCAAATGGCAATTCTGGAGTTGAAAAATCAATAACTGAAATGAAAAAGTTACTGAAATAGTTCAATAGCAGACTTTGTCTGCAAAATAAAAGAATCAGCGAAATAAAAGATGGATCAATAGAAATAATCTAATCCAAAGAACGAAAAAATGAAGAAAAATGAACAAAGCCTCAGAGACCTGTGGGACACCATCAAGCATATCAACATATATTTAATAGAAGTCCCAGAATAAAAAAAGAGTGAGAAAGCAGCAGAAAAAAAATTTAATTATGGGTGAAAACTTCCCAAATTTAGTAAATAGGCAGAGCACAGAGGATTTTTAGGTCAGTGAAACTATTCTATATGACAATATAGTGGTGGATATATGTCATATACATTTGTCAACAACCATAGAATGTGTAATCTCAAGAGTGAGGCCTACTGTAAACTATGAACTTTGGGTAATAATGATGTGTCAATGTAGGTTTGTCTGTAACACACGCACAACCATAGAGTGTTTATAGTGGATGAGGCTATGTATGGATGGAGGTGGTGGGGTGTGTGGGAACACTGTACTTTCTGTTTAACCTTGCTGTGAGCCAAAATTCCTCTAAAAAATAAGTTCTATTTAAAAGAAACTTTCAAATGTGATGAATAACATTAATGTATCCATCCAAAAAGCTCAACCAACGCCAAGCAAAATACATACAAAGAGATCGACACCTAGACATGTCATAGTCAAACTGTTTACAGATGAAAATCTTAAAAGCAGAAAAAGAAAACTAACTTATCACATATAAGACACTTACAGAAAACAAATAGCAAAATGACAGAAGTAAATTCAACCATGTCAACAATTACATTAAGTGTAAATGGGTAAAACATTCCAATAACAACTCAGAGATTGTCAGACTCAATTAGCAGCAAGATCAAACCCAATGCTGTCTAAAGACACACATTTTATATTCAAAGACCTCTATAGGTTAAAAGTCAAATGATGAAAATATGTATCATGCAAATAGTAACCATAAGACAGCAGAAAAGGCAATCCCAGAAAAAAATAAAATATCAGACAAAATATACTTTTACACCAAAATTATTACTTTAGTAAAAAAAAAAAAAGGAGATATTTAAATGATCAGTTGTGGTCAATTCATTGGCAATAGCCAGGTATGGTAATGCATGCCTTTAGTCCCAGCTACCCAGTAGGCTGAGGCAGGAGCCCAGGAGTTTGAGGCTGCAGTGAGCTGTGACTATCCCACAGCAGTCCTAGGCAACAGAGTGAGAAGCCACCTTAGAAAAAATCAAGAAGGTACAAAATTACAATCAGTATGTTATTTATTATATTCTAAACATTCTGTTTTATATGTAATAAGAGTCTCAAAATATATGAGGCAAAACCTGATATAACTGAAAGGAGATTTCAGCAATAATAAATTGTTGGAGACTTCATTACTATACTCTCAATAGTTGATAAAACGACTAGTCCAAAAAATCAACAAGATATACAAGACTTGAACAACATTATCAACTAACTTTACCTAATTGATATCTATAGAACACCACACCCAATGATAGCAGAATAAACATTCTGCTAAAATAAACATTTTAAGTACAATCTTGGAACATTCACCAAGGTAGACCATATGCTAGGCATAAAAATAAGCATAAAACAAGTCTCAATAAATTTAAATGGATTGAAATCACACAAAATAAATTATCTGACCACAATGAAATGCAAACAAAAGTCAACGACAAAAAGAAATTTGAGTTATCCCAAAGTACTTGAAAATAAAACACATATTTTAAATAATGGGCCAAAGAAAAAAACCACAGTGGAAATTACAAAATACTTTGAATGAAAATGAAAATACAATATATTAAAATAGATGAAATGCAGCTAAAGCAGTTCTTAGAGAGAAAGTAACAGTGTTAAATGCTAATAGTAGGAAAAAAGAATGGTCACGAATCAATACTTAAGCTAACATTATAACTAGAAAAAGGCTATCACACTAGTGTCAAAACCGGCAGAAGGAAGAAAATAATAGAAATTAAATTAGAAATCAATTAAATAGTGAACAGAAACAAAAATAAAGGAAAATGGAATGTTGATTCTTTAAAAAGATCAACAAAATTGACAAATTTTTAACTAGAATACAAGGAAAAAGAGAAAAGCAAATTACCAAAACTCAAGAATAAAAAGAAGACATCACTACCTAGCCTAAGCTAAAAGACTCAAAAGAGCATACTGTTACGTTATTAAAACCTTCATTCTAACAAATTAGAAACATATGAAATGAACAAATCTTTAGACAGTCACAAATTCTCAAAATTATTTTCAGGAGAAGTAGAAAATCTGAATAGACCTTTAAAGAAGTTAAAATAGTAATTAAAAATTTATTACCCAAAATCTTAGTTACAGAGGACTTTTGCCAGTGAATTCTGTCAAATACTTGATGAAATAATATCAATCCTTCTAAATGGATATTTCTCTAAAGATAATAAGTGAACGGCTAATAGGCACAAATTAAAATCACAATTTGATACCACTGAGGCGGAAGGCCGAACTCAACTCTGGAGGTAGTGTTCGGACTCTGGACCAGACTGAGGACTAACTAAAACAGGGAAGAGGTGAAAGCGTCTCTCCATAAGAGGTGCCCACCAATATGCCATGTCACTTTACCATTGCCATGGCAGCATCTGCAAGTCACCATCCCATTCTATGTCAACTACCCAACATCTCAAACATTACCACCCTTGATCTAAAAAATTCTGCGTATTCTGCCTCTTAATTTGCATATAATTAAAATTAGGTATAAATATGGCAGAACCATCTCTGAGTTCCTACTCTTGATACGCTGCCTATGGGGTAGTCCTGCTCTGCAGGAGCAGTCCCAGAGCTGTGACACTGCCACCTCAGTAAAGCTGTGTTCCTCCCAAACCAGCGCACTCTGGAATTCATTCCGGAGCCACGCCAAGAAACTTCCTGAGCTAAGCCTCAATTTGGGACTTGCCTGTCCTGCGTCACCACCACAGCCATCAGGACAGCCATAACCAGAACATAAGCAAAAATAAGCACTGGGAATGTGTGAAGAAACCAGAAATCTCACTCATTTCTGGCAGACATGAAAAATGGTAGCACCACTTAGGAAAACAATTTATGTTTAAACATTTAAACATATTTACCATAGAATCTATGAATATTACATAATTCCTACATATCTACTCAATAGAAATGCCCACACAAAAACCTGTAAACAAATTTCCTTGGAAACATTTTTTTTCTTTTTTAGACAGAGATTTGCTCTTGTTGCCCAGGCTGGAGTGCAATGGTACGATCTTGGCTCCCTGCAACCTCCACCTCACAGGTTCAAGTGATTCTCCTGCCTCAGCCTCCTGAGTAGCTGGGATGAAAGGCACCCACCACCACGCCCAGCTAATTTTTTTGTATTTTTAGTAGAGACGGGGTTTCACCATGTTGGCCAGGCTGGTCTCAAACTCCTGACCTTAGGTGATCCATCCCCCTTGGCCTCCCAAAGTGCTGGGATTACAGATGTGAGCCACCATGCCTGGCCAACATTATTATTATTATTATTATTTTTGAGAGGGACTCTCGCTCTGTTGCCCAGGCTGGAGTGCAGTGGCGTGATCTTGGCCCACTGCAACCTCTGCCTCCCAGGTTCAAGCGATTTTCCTGCCTCAGCCTCCGAAGAAGCTGGGACTACAGGCATGTGCCACCATACCTGGCTAATTTTTTAAATATTTTTAATAGAGACAGGGTTTCACTGTGTTAGCCAGGCTGGTCTCCAACTCCTGACCTCATGGTCTACCCGCCTCGGCCTCTCAAAGTGCTGGGATTACAGGCGTGAGCCACCGTGCCTGGCCCAACATTATTCTTAATAACCCCAAAGTGGAAACAATCTACACGTCTGACAACTGATGAAAGGATAAAGAAAATTTAATACGATTGAATAATATTCAGCAATAAAAGGAACTACTGATACATGACACAACATGGATAAATCTCAAAACCATTATGTTAAGTGAAAGAAGCCAAACACAAAAAGATTACATGTTATATAATTCCACTTATATTGAATGTCCAGAAAAGGCAAATCTATAGAAACAGGAAGCAAATTATGGGTTGTTTGCCTGTGTGGGTAGAAACAAGGATCAACTAACTGCAAATGGGCATGAGTGATCATCTTAAAGTGATAGAAATGTTCTAAACATGGGCTGTGATGACTGCTGTACAACTTTATAAATTTACTAAGAATCATCAAATTGTTCACTTAAAATTTGTGCATGGTATATTATGTAAATTATCCTGCAATAAAGCTGCTTTAAAAGCAGCAGTAAAAAGATTAAATTTGCTTGCTACTTTACTTTGCAGAGTAAATAAGCAATGAGCATTGTAAATCTCAGAGATACAGATTACAGGCCATTTACCAAACTTATTTGACTCAGAGAACACTTTATCAATAGTTTTAGAAGACTTTTTTCCCCTTATTTTCCATTCTGTCCATGGTATGTAGAGCAATTCATGTTATTAAAGATATGAGATACGTTCTATAGTAGACAGTATTAGGACTCATCAAGATTTCTGGCTCTCCTTTTATTCTAAGCACATGCACCATTCCTTTGGCCAGTTCAGTGTGAGCGGAAGTCTGTCACATCTGAGTGGGAATCCTTTAAAACACAGTCTTTGATTCTCCGAGTTTTCTTCCACTGCCGCCAGGAAGCCTGAAGCTTAGCATTGAGATGACGATGTCAACAGATGGTGGGGCCTCATTCTACACAGGCATCTGAGAAACTATGATAGAAAAAGCACCTCTCCTCCTTGCTGATATCCTTTGGACATGAAGCATGAGAGAGAAATTAATTTTCATTTTTTTTTTTTTGAAATGGAGTCTCTGTCACCCAGGCTGGAGTGCAGTGGCGCTATCTCGGTTCACTGCAGCCTCTACCTCCCGGGTTCAAGCAATTCTCCTGCTCAGTCTACCAAGTAGCTCGGATTACAGGTGCCTACCACCACGTCTGGCTAATGTTTGTATTTTTAGTAGAGACGGGGTTTCACTATGTTGGCCAGGCTGGTCTCAAACTCCTGATCCCAGGTAATCCACCTGCCTTGGTCTCCCAAAGTGGTGGGATTACAGGCATGAGCCACCGTGCCCAATTTTCATTGTTTTTAAATCATTGAGACTGTCGGATTTTAGTCCATCTTCCAAGTTTATCTAAATTGTGAAAGATACTGCTATGAGAAAATAAGAAATACGGAGAGGGTTTTTTTTCCATCCAAGTGCCTTAAATTGTGTACGCATTGTAAGAAATACATTAATACTACTTGTAAGTAAATTATTTAGCAATCATCACACACACATACAAACACACACGCACACCAGCCCAGCACTTTTAGGCAACTTGCTTTATTATAGGTTTCTGCTAATTCACCAAAAAATGTCTAATTTGACAATCGAAGAAGAAAAAAATAAAGACCACAAAATGCCAAGTTCACTGGCAGCATTTAGCATACATTATAACTTGGGCTCTACAACTGCCCCAGATTCCAGAGCCTGGTTATTCCAAGACAATGTGGGTCAGAGATTTCCTCTGGGTCCAGGAGATAGGCACTAATCCTATGTTTCTAAATCTTACTTGTGGAAAATAGAGCAGAGTGGATGTGGTTAACGATAGCAGCTATGCCACACTTGAGTCAACAAAATATAAGCCCAGGGAATATTGAGTAAAGTTGGAATACCCAAGGGAGCACGGACAGCCTGCTTCTAGAGGACAGCAAGAATAGATGCAATACTTAGAGACGTAACAAGCGACCCCAGGGATCCACTAGTGAAATAGGCCCACACATCCATTTTCAGCAAATACACCTATGAATTCCACAGCTTTTTGACATCATCCAGTCACTTACGCTTCTGTCCAATTCAATCAAAATGGTCAAATTAGTGATGCTTGTACGGAGTCCAATGTACCTTTCTACAATCTCTAAGAAGAATGGGATGCTTGTCCAAATGAGCGTCAGGAGATTCTATTCTAAAGGAAGAAAACATACTCATGGTGTGGCAAATAAAGTGCTTCCCCAATGGCAGGTTTGAGTATCACTAGCACCTCTCAGGTCCTCCTCTCTGAGATGGGATCACCCTGCGGCAAGTTGTTAGTAACTAATGAGCAATGAACAGGAAAGAAGATGGTGAAGAAAAATAAAACTCACTCTAAGTTTATGAAGAAAACTTCCTAAACTAAGTTACTTTTATCATTGAGGAACAATTCAATACCTCCCTTGCCCAAAGTGGAGCACTAAGCTCTTCGCACTGTTTATTTTATGTCGTCCACAAAACGATCCTATGAGGTATATACTATTCCCATTTTTCTCTTAGAGAAACTGAGGCTGAGAAATGGGCTACTTTGAATAAGCACCCAGTCAACAATACTTGCTCACCATTTCTTTAGTTTTTAGATAACTTTAAAAATAGTTAGAAGCATATAAATTGTAAAATTAGCACAGAGACTTCTCACTTGACAGAGACGTTGTTGGTTGTTACAATTGTGGGGGTGGGGTTATAATACTGGTATTCAGCGAGTAGATGCCTGGAATATTGCTAAACACTCTAGAATACTTTGGTAGCCCTTACAGAAAAGAATTATCTAGCTCAAAATGTCAATAGTGCCAAGGTTGGGAAAACTTGGTTTAGAGAACTATAGGTCTCATGGCAAATCATTTCTCACTTGATCATATCAGCATCATTTAAACCAGGGAATTCAAACTAAAATATCCACATTGCCAGCCAGGCAGTGGTCAAGAGTGCAGCAGACCCAGGTACACGGTAGAGAACTAGAAAGCTAGGAGCCTTTACCAATGGATCCAAGTTTGTGCTCTAGGGCAACAATTGCCCGCAATGTCCTCCCGAACAGGTCAGCCCTCTGGCTTTGCCTACATTTCCAAGTCTGGCTTCTAGGGAAAATCTGATGACCCAGCAAAGTTGGCCTATGCTTCATCATGGCAAGCCCCACTTGAGTGAGCAGTAGCTTCTCCCTTTGGGCAGGGAATGTGCTTTCTGGTTCTACACACTCTACCTAGTCTGCTGCACTCTTGACCACTGCCTGGCTGGCCGCTGTAGATATTTGAGTTTGAATTCCCTGGTTTAAATGGTGCTGATACGATCAAGTGAGAAGTGATTTGCCACGAGGCTTATGGTTCTCTAAAGCAGGTTTTCCCAACCTTGGCACTATTGACATTTTGAGCTAGATGATTCTTTTCTGTAAGGGCTACCAAAGTATTCTAAGGTGTTTAGCAATATCTGTGGCCTCTGTTCACTAGATACCAGTATTGTAATCCCACCCTGACAATTATGACAACCAACAATGTCTCTCAATATTGTCAAATGTCTCTTGGGGGACAAAATCATCCTCGGTTGAGAATCTTCTCCTTGGAACACACTATTCTTGAGTCTCAAAACACTTAAAAATAGTCAAGCAAATAGAGTCTCTATTTGAGTAAACAGCATTGTACCAATGTCAGTTTCCCGGTTTTGAAAATGCATTACAGATATGCATAACATTTTGTGCATTGGAGAAGGCTGGTACAAGGGAAGTCTCTGTGCTATTTTTACAATTTATATGCCTCGAACTATTTTTAAAGTTATTTAAAAATTAAAGAAAAGGTGAAAAAAATGAATAAATGAATGTGTGCTGAAATGTACACTTCTTTCTCATTTTTAATAGAGTGTATTTGATTTCCTTGAGGGTAGTAAACCTCACAGGTTATAGCTCTCTATCCCAGGTGCTTAGTATAGAAAACCTTCAGGAAATATTTGAAGTGTTTTAAGGTAATTTAAGAGCAGCTCAGAAGACAGGAACTCATGGATATGTATTGACCACTTAGTAATCTCTTGAAAGAAAAGAAGTTACCTTTCTCCATAAAGCAATAAGCAAAAGAAGACGACTAAGGAGAAAATAAAAAGAACAAGGAAGAAATTTGGATTCCTGAACTCATTTGATCTATTTAACAAAGGGAAGCACATTTTAAAGTTGAGAAAGAAAGAAAAATGGAAGGAAGGAAGGAAGGAAGGAGTAGGGAGGAGATATGGAAAGAAGGAAGAAGGAAGCGAAGGGAAGGGAAAGGAAAAAAAGGGAAGGAAAGGGAGGAGGGAGGGAAGGAAGGGGGAAGGAAGGAGAGAGAGAAACAGAGGAAAGCTGAAAGGGAAAAGAAGTTATTCTTATAATGATTCTCTGTTATAAACACATTTTGAGCAGATTGTAAAAAGCAATTCAACAGAAATTAGATTACAAAGAGCACACAGTACGCTAAGTGTGACTGTATTATACAAACAGGGAATTAATTAGTTTAGAACATGGTTTTTCCATTAAGATCTGCAAACATGTGAGTCTTATTGGTGACAGTCTTGGGTCTTTCCCTTAAGGTCATGTGAGCCCTGGCAGCATGACGTTTCTAGGCTATGGTCCTGGCCCACTAGTATCCACTGCAATTAGTCACTTGATCTTTAGGCAGTGACACCTGGATTCGTGGGGGGAATTTCTACATCATTAGAAGAAAACTGCTTACTTCCATTTCAGCATTTGTTTAATCAGTGGACATAGGCAGTGACATTTCAGTTAGGCTGGTACAAAATGGTAATGGAACACTTCCTCATAGGTTTTTTGGTCAAATTTTCCCTCCAAAAATAAAGAAAATGGTTTTAATTTTACATTAATGCATTAAACCACTTACTAATAATTCTAATAATCAACAGCTAATAGATCTGTGGAGTGTTTCCATCACTCTGATAGCTTATTGGGCCATACTACAAATGTATTATTTTATTTTAATATGATCACATTGGATTTGATTTGCTTGGGCTGTTATAAAAAGGCTTCGTGGTAATCTCTGGTTGTAAATCATGGACACCTGGCAGTTTGTTGGGGTTTTTTTGCTCGTTTTTTTTTTTTTTTTTTGAGATGGAGTTTTGCTCTTGTCACCCAGGCTGGAGTGTAGTGGCGCGATCTCGGCTCAATGCAACCTCCGTCTCCCAGGTTCAAGCGATTCTCCTGCCTCAGCTTCCCGAGTAGCTGAGACTACAGGCGCCAACTACCACGTGTGGCTAATTTTTGTATTTTTAGTACAGACGGGGTTTCCCCATGTTGGCCAGGCTGGTCTCGAACTCCTGACCTCAGGTGATCCACCCACCTCGGCCTCCCAAAGTGCCGGGATTACAGGAGTCAGCCATCGCGCCTGGCCCTGGCAGTATTTTTTTTTAATGTACCTGTATTCAGATGAAAAGAGGCTAGAAAGATGTTTAAGAACTCCAAGCATTCTAAATACAAATAACATATGATGAAAACTTCAGATTTACAGTTGACAAGTTTGGCCAGAGCTGAGAGCATTCATAATATATTGTTTTATCTTTATCATAACCCTATGAGTTCAGTAATAGTTTTTCTATTTAACATAGTAGGACATTTAGCTTCAAAGAAGTGAAACAATTTGTTTAGTGTTGCACATATGAGAAAGAACTGTATTTCAACTCTGGTGTGAATTCAAACTTGAAGTCCATACGCTTTCCGTTTTCCACTGCTGCCTGTATGGACGCACGCACACGAACAGTACTGATACTGTGAAAGGAAAGTATGATGAAATTGAAGAACATAAGCAAAGGGGTGCCCATCCCTCAGGGCTGGTGCTGCCTGCTCTCTTCCTCACGGTTACCTAAAAATTCATCACGAGGAATCAAGGAATCCAGGAGAGGCACTTTCTATTACAACTCTGCTAGCAACTGGATTTCCATCACAAGTACCAACAAGGAAATACCCGTGCAAGCCTTCATAAGGCC
Organism: Homo sapiens; assembly: GCF_000001405.40. Classification (NCBI taxonomy): domain Eukaryota; kingdom Metazoa; phylum Chordata; class Mammalia; order Primates; family Hominidae; genus Homo; species Homo sapiens. The sequence continues at coordinate 95,971,910 of NC_000015.10, forward strand.
CTCCAATCTCATGCCCGATTTCTTCCTACACAATAACCCCATGCCTGCCGCTCTTGTAATGAGAGCAGCTTTGCCACCCCCTAGTCCTCTCGTTTTAATTTCTGCTCTGTAGCATCCTTTATCACAAGGGAAGCACAGACTCAGCCATTCTCCCAGCATCTCTCCATTATCAAATACACTTCTTGTTCCCACTACTGGCTGCTTGGGGAGATGTTAACTGATTCCCTGGTTTAAATCTGCAGCACTTCAAAAGACTTTTCTGTCTTCACTAGCGCCAGTGCCTGGCACATGGCCACAGCCAGGAAGCTGAGGTTTGCTCTTGAGTCCCAATGCAATCATGCACTGTCTGCTTCTCGCTGCTCCCAAGTTCTGAAAGTGTTTTCAAAAATCCTCTGTGTTGCAAGAATGAAAATTGACTCAAGATAGCCAGAACCATCCAGCTGCTGAGAAAAACCTATCTGCAACAGAGCGATTAGAGAGGAACGTTTCTGCTGGAGGAAGGGCAGGACTTGAATAGCCAGCGAAGTCCTTCTGTGAAGAAGGAGAAGTGAGGAGGCCGGGATGACTTCTCCTCATTCCAGCATTTATTAGTCACTGACTCTGCACCACAGTAGGCTGTGGCAGTGCAGAGCTTCCACAAAGAAACACATGCTCCTGAACATCTGGCAGTGGACAAATCAACCACGCAACAAATATGATCCTGGAGGTGCCTGGGCAAGGGGCTGGAGACAACTGGAAGAGAGACACAATGCCTGTCCTCAAGGAGATGACTTCTTCAAAGAAAGAGAGGGCAGACAAATTCATCTTTATAATGGTTAAAGAGAAGCACGCCTGGCTTGCCTTGTGTTTGGCAGGGTGGGGGGCACGCATGCCTGCCCATTTGCGTGTGTCTCTAGTCAGTGTGAGGTTATGGCAGGAAAGGCAGGGTTGTCTTAAACAGGCTTTAACTGTAAGGATATGGGCACTGTACGCAATGAGAGTATCTCATACAACTAGACCAGCAGCCTGGAGGTTGGGGACATTCACACCACTTGAGCCCCTAGCATATTCCAAAGGGAGTGGGGCTTGGAGATCAGACTGCAAGATAAAAGTGCGACGGAGAGGAGGCAGGCCTCAATGCTGCAGGACTGGGCCTGGACTTGCTCTCTGCAGGGTTTCTTAATTTTCTGTTTAGAGAGTGGTCTGGTTAGTTCTGCATCTTAGAAAGGTCCCTCTGGCCACCATAGAAAAGCGGGATCAAAGCCAGTGAGACCTAAGGCAGAGGAGTCAGTGAAAGAGTCCAAAACAATTGTTCCAAAAAGAGGCCACTGGGGCCTGAGTATCGGGAGCACTGAGGCCCAGCTTTGCCCTCGTCAGTCCTGCAAGACACACTGATCAGTTAGATGGGAGACTAGAGGGGAGAGATGAACTGAGGGTGACTCCTGGTTTCTGTCTTAAATGTCAGGGAATAATAGCAGATAAAGAATGTATATGTGTGTTGCGGGTGGAGTGGGGCAAAGAGGATGCTAACTCTTCATGAATAGCCAGAAGATGAATTTAGAAGTCCCTGGATATGCCCATCACGAGCTTAGGTGAGATGTTAGGGATTCTAGGTCCAGATTTGGGAGACAGAAGAACGGACAAGGTTGCCCAGGATTTTGCAAAGGATAGAAACTCCAGGGAGCATATCTTCTCAAGTAGCAGAAGGCTCAAAAAATTTCAGTTATCTCAAAGGGGCAAATGTGCTGCAAGATGTAGAAGGCAGCAGAAGGCTGAATTGGGGACCTTCTTGACAGCCCTCTCTGCCCAAGGTCCTGTCAGGTCAGCTGAGCCTGCTTGTATGGCCCTTGAAGCTCAGTGATCAAATGAGCACAAAGGAGATAATAACTAACAGCTAGTTTATAAGGATGAAGAGAAATTTGCATACAGTATATACAAAGTGCTTAGTACATAACTGGTGCTTGAAAACAGGCATTATATTTTCGTGTGTGTGTGCGTGGTGTGTATGTGTGTGTGTGTGTGGTGTGTATGGGTGAGAATGGATAAGCCCCCTTTTTCCCCTTCTTTCTGATCCATGGGAGACTCAGCGTTTTGTTCTGACTGGTGCAAAAGGCAATGAAGAGTGGAGAACAACAGGGCAAATTGTCCAAGCATAACTCTGCTGTGGTTCATAGAGGAAGTAATGAGTGGGCAGGAGCACAGCTAAAGACTGCGCTCCCCCGACCCCTGCCTGGTTCCAGAGCCTCAGGGCCCCGCAGCAGAGGGGCTGTGAGGGGAATTCAGCAGGGAGGTTCCTTTTCCCTTCCCAGTTTCAAAGATTAGAGCACATTGTGAGAGATCTACCAATAAAACTGAAAACAGCACGCTGATGATACTTCTGTCTTGCAAGGAGGAGGTAGGCAGAACCATCCTAGGTTTTTTTTTCTAGGAAAATCTATACCTAAGATTAAGAAAAAGCCAAACAATAAAGTGTGTTCATGAATTTATCAAGAAAACAGAGCCTGTCCCCCGCAAACACCAGGGCTGTTGATAGATTTAATAGATACAAAAGTGGGTTCTTAAGAGATTGAGCAGAGGGACATTAAGGTGCTCCACGAGGATCTTTAAAATTCATTTGTTCCAAAGAAGCAGACACTGTCTCTTACACCAGCATCACTACTGGGAGCATCCTTAGTTAGAACTGACAGCCATGGAATTAAGTAAGAAGCACAAAAGACCAACCCCTAAGAGGAAGTAGCTATACAAAAGAATTTTCACAAACACTTCCAAAAAAAAAAAAGTAACTTCTTTGCTTGATGAGGCTGATCAAGATAAAAGATTCACTAAATTAGTACAGTTTCTACAAAAGGCCATAAGAGAGACAATAGATGAGGGAAAAAAAAGAAATTTAAATCAGGCTTGGGTTATGCCAAATAGAGACTGTCTAATTAAACAAAGAAATAAGATGAAGTTAATGTACAGGAACTTTTCCTCATATAGGAGGAAAATAAAGCCTGACAGTTTAAGTAGGAAAGTTTATGATCATTTTTAAAGGAAGATAAGAAAGGCTAAAGACAGAAGATTATTTGATATCAGACAGTTTATTCATTTGCACGTAGACAGATATTCTTTCTTAACACGAAGCATGAAATCTTATGGCCATGAAGCTTCAGGGCCCAGGCATGGAGAGTCAGTTTACAGCTACAAAGACATTTAACAAATCAGTTGGATGAAGATTGCTAGTTGCCCACAAAAATCTATCCTTCCCTACTTCTGGGTCATATGGATAAACCACATTTCCTTGCCTCCCTTGCAGTTAGATGTGGTCATATGACTGACTTATGGCCAAAGAATATGAGAAGAAGTAATGTGTGCCATTTCCCAGCCTGGGCCTTGGGTCGTTGCCTCCTCCATGCCTCTATCTCCTTCCTGCTGGCTGGAACTCAGTAGGGGCTGTGACCTATCTTCAACTGGAAACTCCCCACAGAAGGAGCCTGAGTCCCTGAATGACTCTGTGGAACAGGGAACTTCCACCAACCTGGACTACTCATCTTCGAGTTGAATGTAAAAGAGAAACAAGCTTTTATGGTCTTTAAGCAACTATTTTAGGTCTTCTTGTTTCTATATCTTTGTCTTCCCCTGAACTGTGTACCAAGAAACAAAAGATGCTTTCGAAACTATGTATTGAGAAGTTACTATGTCCTCAGCCTTGGTGTAAGCACTGAACAATTACTCGATGCTAAATGAGACCTTAACAATGGAAGGGATATGCACATAAATTATTTGTTCCAGTGTAAACATTGCCTTATTCTAGATCCACACAGACACAGTGAATACAAAGAGTGGGCATCTCATACTGCTTGGAAGAAGAGAGGGAAGAACCAATACGGTAATGGCATGTGAGTTGAGCCTAAGAACAGAGGTCTTCTGGACAGAAAAGAGGGAAGGAGGAAGGAAACAAAGGAGAAGAAACCCCTTAGTGTGTAGATAGGACGATGCAGCCATCAGTAGGGTGAATGGCTAGAGGTGCTGGAGAGAGCCAGGAAGACATTTGAGAGCCAGAATGTGAAGATAATTATTTGGACTTCACCCTGCAGGACAATAAAAAGCCTGCTGAGGTTTAAAATGAGCACTTGATAAGGCCATATTTGTGCACTACAAAGGGCCTACTAGAGGGTATGTGCAGAATGGAGCAGAGTGGAGAGAGACCAAGACAGGGAGCCCAGTGAGGAAGTGCTCGCTAAGCCCAAATAGCTCTAGTGGACACCTGAACAGGAAGGTAACACGAGACTGGAGAGGAAGGGGCAGTGTGGAGAGACCTTTCAGAGTGGAGGAGTGTGGAACCTGGCAACGACTGAATGGGCGTGCTAATGACCAAGTCACCTGCTCACGGTGGCTCTCACAGCGAGCTCTAGATTGTGAAAGCCACTTCTGAAAGAATCAATTCACATTCCCTCTCCCTCTCTCTACAGCCAACAGCAGTCCCTTCTAAGCAGACCGTCACGTCACTCCTAGGCCATTTCCTCCTACCCACCCCAACCGTCTACCTACCCAAGAGTCTTCAAGAGCCATCCCAGACTAAATCTGCTCCTCTCTTAATATCATGGGCATGTCTTGCCATACCTTCTAGATCCTATACCTTGCCCTCCTACAGCTGAGGATCAACCATGTTTGGCTTCCAGAATGAAAGATTATAGTTGGAAAAGAAACAGAGAAGCATTTCCAAATGAAAAGAAGAGATGATGAAAAGCGTGAAAAACCAGAAGAACATTATCAGGATGAACCTGAGCTAGTCCTGGAACATCTTCAGGCCTCAGGTTTGTAAAAGGAACAGATTGTACTAGATATTTTCTAATAGTCCATAAGGCCCTCATAAAACTAAAGAATGAATTATTCTAGAACGATGAAAAAATAATTGTGCACATATTTTGTATTATAAAATAACAACAATGTCTAGATTTCAGATACAACCAAATTAACTTTGTAAAACTACCTAACTGAATCACAAATTAAATGAGCTAAGAAATGGAAAAGTTATATGAGTGCATGTTTTTAGGGCCTAAACAAACACAATAGTTTAAGATTTGGAGTCATTTACTAGGAGTCAGTGTAGAATGTGGATTTAAATTAACAATAATTGCTACTCTAAAAGAAGAAATAATAATTCTGGTAACCAGAAAGGACATATAAAATTAATACTAATAATTACAGAGGAATTACTTAATTATCTGACTTGTGGAGAGAATAAAATCAGATGCTATTAAATAGAATTGAACTTTATATTACTTTGTTCTTATATGTCAGTCAAAAGGATATTTTAGAACAAAGAAGCAGTGTTGAATTGACACATTATATAAGATGATGGTTAGCTAAAATAATTATCTGAACTAATTAATTTAATTTAGTTTATTGTAGCCTTGGTTCAGAGAGGTACAAAAATTGTAAAATATTTAAGGACTTTATACAGTGAGGCAAATATTAAGGAAATCAAGACTGTTTTCATGAATGTGAAAGCAAATATGCCAATAGAATTTATGATATAGCTGTTATTACAAAGTTCCATATGATAGTGAGCATTTCTCAAATCTTTTGAAAATGGTTTTTGCCTAAAGATTGAAAAATATTATCTAGAGAGCTATTTAAGTACAAGAAGATAGTAATAATGCTAGAGAGAATTACAGTATAAGTAGATAGTAATAATAACACAATTACTGAGCACTATATGTCTGGCACTCTTCTAAGTATCTTCGCGGGGTTAATTCATTCAATCATTGTAGCAATACTAGGAGATTGGGACTATAACTCCCCCATTTTGCAGGTAAAAAAACTGAGGCACAGGGAGACTAAAGATAATATAGATGGTAAATATCTAAGCCCGAATTGGAAGCCTAGCACTCTGCTTCCAGGCCCAGTGTTCTAATCACTATCCTTGGCATCAATCTGAATAACTTGTAATTCACTGGTCCATAGAGAATTCATGCCCAAGTCTCCTGATGGCTGCTAGAAAATCAGGGATTGAAGAGAGCCAGTGGGGAGGAAGAGCCTTCACTGAAACCATCTTGAGTACCTCTGGGAAAACAAGTGCGAGTTGGTGGCATCAACGCCTTCTAAAGATCAGGGTCAGCATTTCAGACCTTCAGGTTTCCATCAGTGATGTGGGATACAGAGAGGTTATTTTAGGATAATCAAATATTTCAATTGGCTTTGCTGGAGCCACTGTTATTGCCACCAAAACTTGCATAGGTGACCATGAACAGGGATATTACTCACAACAAGCCAAAGAAGACAGTCTGAGGTTCCCACAGCCCTAACTCTTGATAACTCAGTAGGCACCCAGAGTATGTTCATCTTGTCCTTAGGAAAGAAACATAACTTATCCCTTATGTTTCTAGTGACAGGATAATTTATTGTCCAAATCAGGCATTTTTGAGATGGAAAGGGGACACTATTAATAACGACTTCACGGAGGGAAAAAAGACAAAAACAAGCCTTGCCCCACACAAACAAGGAGGTATTGCCACACTATTCACTTCGTTCTTTTTCCTCTGTGTTACAAAGCATTATGTCTTTTTTTTTTCTCCAGTTTTGCAGTCCTTAAATGCAGTTTAAATATTTTCCATGGAGACAGAGACATGGTTATGACCATGAGTCAACGAAATCATTTCTTAATGGCAGATAATGATGGAACCGCACAGCCAGAAAATAATGTCCTCTCGGGTCACACTGAGCCTTCCAGTGGAGCTGGGGTCACGCAGCTGGGGTCACCCTCTGGGTTAACCCTTCAGAATTACATTCATTGAAAGGCCACCTGGAAAAAGCCTGAGAAGTTGTCCGCTTACCAAATCTCTAAGTGGCTAAAGAGACTTATTTAGATGGTGGCAAATAACTAGTTTTTTTTATTTTCCCATAGGATTTGCTGGATATATCAATTTAGAGAATTTTGAGAATTTATTACTCAGGGCTCTGCAGAGCTAGTTGGCATGTGCCATACATGCATTAATTCATTCATTCTCTCACTGATACATGTTTTTAAACCAAAATGTATCATAACTGGAAGTCAATTCTTCCTTTTACCCATGCAAATACTCAATCTAAATTACTCCTTTATTCATTTCTTTATTCATCCCAATTGTTTGGATTTCTATGTGCCAAGCACTATGCTAATTGCTGAGGGGTGAATCAATTAAATCAGACATCATTTCTATGCTCATGGAACTTGCAAAAACAGAAAAATTAAACAATCAAAAATTGAAATAAGTTCTATGAAACAAACAAAATAAATATATAAGATGCTGAGTTGGGAATTAACAGGGAAGATGTTTTATTCTTTTGTTTATTCTTCAAATTTGTAGCGAGTGTCTACTAGGTGCCAACAACCCTTATAGGCTTGTAAGCAGTGAGATCACTGTGGTTAAAAATACAAAGGGTTATGGTTCCTACTTCATAGGGAGAACAGTCGGCTGATGAGGGCAGGTAAACAGCAAGTAAATGAGCACAGGGACAATTAAAAATTGCAATAAATGCTATTAAGGAAACCAAAGGCATTAAGCAATAGTGTAGGAGTCAGCAAACTATGGATCCCCAGAACCACATCCAGCTTACTTGCTCCCTGATTTTGTAAATAAAGTTTTATTGAAACACAGTCATGCCTAAGCATTTTGTTTTGCCTACAGCTGCTTTTAATGTGCAACTGAAGGGTAAAATAGTTGCAACAGAGACCCTGTGGCCTACAAAACTTACAATTTTTATTATCTGGCCCTTTAGTGAAAAAGTTTGTTGGTCCGCGCAAAAGAGAATAATAACTGATGACAGATGGAAAGAGGAGAACACTTTATTTAAATAGAAGACTCAGGGAATATTGCTTTGCAGGTATGACATTTAACCAAAGGCCGGAAAGAGGAGGAACTGGTCAGGAATCGACGAAAGAATAGCTCCCCATCAGAGAAAATTACAGCAGCAAAAGGCCCTCAAGCCAGAGGCCAAGAAACTGAAAGAAGCCTTGTGTAGCTCTGGTGTGGTGAAAGAGGGAGGGACGACAAGGCCGGGCTGAAGAGGTAGGCAGGTGCCAGGTTCTGGAGGCATTGGAGTTGGTGATAAAAAGATTGGATTGCATTCTGAAAGCAGTAGGAGAACGTAGACAGGTTTTACATAGAGGGGTAATGCAATTTGTTCGGAATTATAAAATATGACTCTGACTGCTGGTCAGCACATGTAGTTGGAAAGGTGGAGGCTAAATGCTGGGAACATATTAGGATGTAATATGTCCAAGTGAGGGCTACTGGAGACTTGGCTGATGAAGTGGCCATGAGACTGGGGAAATCTGTTACATGGAAAGCATGTTGTTCCTGGGGCTTCAATACCATCAGTTTCTCAATCAGCAGGAGAGTGGGTTTCAGACTGTTAAGAACTGTCCTCTCAAACTTTCCTTGCTGCTTGAGAGAAACATGTAGAGCACCACAGCTTCCAAGCCAGTCAGATGCTGAGTCTCACTTGAACTTCGTTGTCCACAAATGAGCTATGACATATGATAATTAGCCTTGACCAAGATACTATCATTGTGATCAACTCAGAGCCTAAAGTATAGAGGGCTGGAGAGGCATAGCTACACATTGCTGGATGGCACTGACTTACTCTGAGTTTCCCCCAGAAAGCAGGACCCGAGACAGGCCTTCCAGACCCCATATGTAGGAGCTAGGTGAGAAGATCATATGAGGGAACATTCTTGAGTGGGTCACTACGATGGGCACCAAAGTTCAATCCATCTGTGGTCATCAATCCATCATGGTCTATGCTCTGAAGGGCACAGAGAATGAGTCTGAGACTCAAGTGCAGAAGACAGTGTTATTCATCCTCTGGCTTCTGTACCTCCATGTTCAAGAGTTTGTTCATGGGATGATCTGAGTAATGCTTGAATAATCTCAACATGCCATCGGAGAAGCTTTGGCCCAGAAAGCAAGAGATTCCTGGAACAGCCAGGAGGAGGGTCTGTCAAGCTACAGCACCGTGAAGTTTTTGCCCCGGCAACAGCTCAAATAAAGGGAGTCTAAATCATGTGATGAGAGGCAAACAGGTGTCCAAGAAAAACCCTTTACTCACTAATGAAGCACTCTCTACACCCTCTCCCATTTGACCTTCAAAAAGTTCTGTGAGGTCTTTATGTACATCTTAGCAAGTTGTAACATTCCCATTACAGAGATAAGCAAAGTGAGCCCCCAAGACATAATGAAAACAATGGCAGGGCCAGGACCAGCATCCACACTTTTTTAACCTCTCAGCTAGTGCCCTTTGCGCTACACCTGCTACTTCTCCTAAATAACTGAACCAAAGGCCTAAGTGAGGAGAAACAAATTTCTGTAAGTGTGAGCGCAAAGCAAGAGAGAGGGAAGTTGATTTTGCCTGGAAAGGAACAATGTAGGAGGCCTCTTAATGAAGCCATCTTGTTTGAATGATCCAGTGTTTGGTAAACAAGTCCTTAATCATACCTTTGAGTATTGTATGTGCTTATAATAACGCCATCTCTCAGTTCCCCCTTTCCAGCCTGAGTAATCCCCATCTCTTTGGTCTCTGCATGTGACAGCTTCAGTATCTCATTTCCTGTCAATTCCCCAATTTTGTTGTAGCTTTCTTGAGGGACGGTGCAGACATTCCATGACGTGCTAGAAAATGCTAATTACTATTTATTATTTAAGAAAAACAAGATCGGCCCATGTGTGTAACTGAGCTCCCCGAAGCCTAGGTTGCCACTGATCATGGTCCCCGTCCCTTAGTGGCGGGTGACTTGTCATGTGTGCTTAACACTTGCAGGTAGAGTGCAAGGCAAAATCATAGCAACTGAAAAATGCCCTTCCATACCTCCTGGGAATTCACCTGTGGATTTTCTTACCCTCCTCAGCCATGACTTATCTGACAGGGTGATCACTTTGGGGCACGTTGAGGGGGCTGTCACACAGGAGTGCTGCAATGACTTGACCACCTGGTCCTCCTGGACAACAAAACAAACTTTTCTCCACTGAGTAAAGATAGCTTTATTATAAAGGACAATCTGGATTCCACGCTAATTTACATAAAATGAAAATGAATTACTAGAAAACATCAGCCTCGGGACTGTCATTACTACATTAGTTCTGAGAGCCTCATTCTCAATCTCAGCCTCTTCCTGGGAAGCCAAGTTCTGCCTCTACAGTTACTGGAAATTTAAACTAGACTTGAAGCCATAGGATTATCAGTGAAAATACTCTGGCAATAGTAATCGTGCCTCAAAAGAAGACATCAACATATCGGTCAAATACAGTTTCTAGTCTATTGTAAGGACTATGGCTTGCTAGCACCTGCCATCGAATAAACCTACCCTCTGAGCCTCAATTTCCTTCTCTGCAGAACGGGGATACAGAAGAACTGGAGCAGAACTAAGCAAATAGTAGGTGTTCAATAAATGGCAACTTACTATTAATAATAGCAGTAGCCTTATAATAAAAAAATACTAACATGCCAAGTGACCCACAAAAGTTCTCAAAATAAACAGTCTCAGATTCAGATTGTGCTGTGTCAGCCAGGAGTTTCCCGAACAAACACTTTCCCCTGTGACCAAATATAAACCAGCTTCACTTGCCTCTCCACAGACCTTCTAATTATCTCTGCTGTTTACAGCATCTAGCCCCTCCGCTACCCAATTCTCCATTATTCTGACAGCCAACAAACTAGACCTATTAGAACTCAGCACAACTTTCGCCTAAGGCAGGAACTTTGTGAGACCACAAATCGTCTTGGTATTAAAAGTCGGTGCATAAGAACTGCCCTCAGCTTTTGCGCTAAATTGCTAGTTTGAAGACATTCATTGCGGTATATTGTATTTCCACTATACTTTGCTTTAATAGACTTCGTGGTGAAGTGTATAAGAAGAGTTTTAAAGCCCGAGGTAGCACACAGCCAACTTTTTTTTTCCCCTTTTATATATTTTTCCATCTTTTGTTTGTCACCTTATATTGTTTTGTTGCTTCACATACATAAAACAACCTGGCAATCACAGAACAATACCCAGCAGTTAGTTGGAGGCACATATTGACTTCACTATTAAAAGTTGAAACAATCAAGCTAAAGAATCTGTGGTGTATTTTTCTGCTACTTGCATGAGACTTTAATTTGAAAACAAATGGAAAATATCCCCTCTGAATGTAATAGCACTTTCATCGACCTTGGTTTATGTCTATACTTTTGCATTGACTGCCTAGCAGAATTCCACAGTTAGACGGAGAAATGGAAGAAAGTATTTGCCCAGCACTTTCACCTGAAAGTCCTGAATGTGTTTTATGGCCCGGGTTCCAGGTCAGTTGGCTGAGTGATGCCGACACACCTTGCTTCCCCTTGGTTTAGGTGACATCTGTCTTTCTTTTGTTCAACTTCATGATGCTGGGGCAACTGTCTAGATAGCCTCTATTTATCATCTTCTGGCACTGGGGATAGGGGAGAGTAAAGGCTATGTGCTCCCTGTCTTCATGTAGCATCCAGTCTTATCTTCTTAGAGCATATAGTCTCCCCAGAGACATGAGGATTAAACAGCCATGTAAATACATATATAATTGTAGATACCTGTAAGTATCTATAGGGCCTCTTTACCACCAGGGTTACGAAGAAATATATTATGAGGGGATCAACTTTGGATGTGGAGGCAAATGGGGAAAACCCACACTGCTTCTTCTCTATACTCACATTCAACACAGAACGCTTCTGTGACCAAATGTATAGGGTGTTTTCCTACGTCAAGCAATTCTCCAGTTCTCTGCAGACAATTAAACTTGATTCTGACACCATCTACCTGGAGATAACATCCCACCCCACAGGTTAAAGTCTCAGCCTCACAAGACTGCACACATTTCAGATGCCAATCTCAAGTCCAGGGGTTAATATGATCTTCTCCTCAGGTTTTATTATTTTGCTAGACTGGCTTACAGAACTCAAAGAAATATTTTAGTTAGATTTACTTATTAATGAGATGTAACTCAGGAACAGCCAAATGGAAGAGATGTACAGGGCAAGGTATGAGGGCAGGATCATGGAGCTCCTGCATCCTCTCTAGGCATAGCCTCCTGGCACCTTCATGCACTCAGCAACCCAGAAGCCCTCTGAACCCAGCCCTTTGGGGTTTTTATGGAGCCTTCATTATGTAGGCATGATTGATTAAGTCATTAGCCATTGATAATCAACTTAACCTTCAGCCCCTCTTCCCACTCCAGAGGTCAGGGCATGGGATGGAAAGTTGCAACTCCAATCACATGGTTGGGTCCCCTGGCAGCCAGCCTCTATCTTGAGGCTATCCAGGTGCCCCAGCCATCCATCATCTCATGAGCACACACACACACACACACAAAAATTTATCACTTCAGAGATTCCAAGGGCTTTCGGAGCTGTGAACCAGGAAACTGAGGGAAGAATGACATACATATTTCTTACCATATCATGATATCACAGGAGGTCAGGGAAGATCTCTGCGGAAAATGATGGAAATGAGATGAGGTAGTTGAATAACAGTCATCTGAGGGAGAAGTGCAGAGATAGGAAACCACCCATGAAAAAGCCCCAGGGCAGAAAAGAGCAAGAACCTTTGGGAAACAACCAAAGCAAGAAAAGTGCCCACCTGCAGGAGAAGTAGAAGGTGGAAATGAAATGATGGGCAGAGCTAGAGCTGAAAGGATCCTGTAGGTGATGGCAGAGAGGTAGGATTGTATTCCAAGAGCAATGGGAGTCCATTTAAATTATTTTAGCAGAGGAGTTACATGATCCAGTATGACTAAAGTTTGGAAGGATCTCTCTCTCTCCAGCTTCCCTTTGGAGAATGAATTGAAAGAAAGCTGGAAAATAGGTGTTAAAGCCACCTTTGATAGAGAGTGGCCTAGGTGAGAAAGAAGTGTCACTTGAAAAGTTTTAGAAAAGAAACATTTGAGACAAAATATTTCAAGGTGATTTCAAGATGGACTTGATATGGTGCTGAAGGAAAAGGACAGTTTCTAGAGAGATGCTAAGATGTCCAGTGGTGCAACCTGTGTACATGCTGAAACAGGAAACTCTAGAAGGAACATATTCAAAAGAGTATCAAGCATTTAATTATAAACACTTAAGGATTTATTTGAAATGTGAGTAGTCAGAATCAAATTCCAACTAAAGAGAGGTCTATGGGAAGAATAGGGGGATATCTCATAAAATTTGAGAAAGAAGTGATACCTAAGAAGAAGAGAACCTGGGAAGTTCAGGAAGCGGGCAGCAAGAATTCATTATCTCCCAAGAAATCTGACATTGATTTGACTCAGTTTAGCAACTCCAATTGCAAGTGCCAACTGTGGGAAAAGAGAATCCCAGATCAGTCTGGGTTGGTGCAGAGGCCCACTATTCTCCAATCAACAATGGACAGGAAAGCAGGACTTCATACTACAAATGTGGCTGCCCCAGCCTCATCCATGTAGTTTGGCAGAATCCCTAAGAGAAGACTGTAAGTCCTGAAACGGTGAGATACTTCATATGTCTTTTGTACACATATGCAATCTCTTTCAACCTTTGCAACTGAGATATATGCTGAGATTGGTGCTGTTATAACCATGTTATAGAGAAGGACAATAAGCCCAGAGAAGTTAATCCATCTCCAAGGCCACAGAAATAGTAGGTAGTGGTGCTGTAAGTTAAACCGACATCTGCAATGCCTTCAAAACCTGACGGACTCAGTCTCCACTCACTGCTTCATGAAACGCACTTTTGCAGCTGTGGCCTTGTTATAGTTTGCTGAGCACCCCAGAGAAGAGAGATTTGGTTAAGCTTAATTATGTTCTAGTTGATTTCATCAGACTTCTGGAATCTGAGATTTATGCATTTTCACAGATGGTTAACATAATGATTAGAGGGATGAAAGTGCATTTGCCCAGAGTTAAATGGAAGGTTGGTAAAGCAGCATGATCGCTTGTTTCAGGGCTTGGCCAACAAGTAGACAATACTGTTCCTTTAGGAGACCAGGAGAGTGAATCTCTCCTTTTGAAGCAGTTGTACAAATTGTCCATAGGTTTTTCTATGAACCCTGTGATAGATAGATGGGATTTATCTTGACTGAAATGGGGAGAATCAAATTATCTTCATCAACATCAGAATAAAAAGTGTGATTATACATAATAAAATACCCTCCATCATACATCATACTCCCCTTTGCATTAAATGAAGGAATTGTGAAGGGCCTGGGATAATATATTAGTTACATTACAAAGAACCCCTATACACGTGTAGTATATTCACCAAAGTTTCAGTCTGAAGAAAAGAAAATCGCTTGGATCTGTATATGTTATACCTTTCAGAGTGGACTCAAATTTAAAACAAGAGACACTTTTCAGCATTTGTTCTTACCTTGTGTTAAATGTCAAGACATTGTAGCATGTGGTAGCCTCTTTCAAGCCTCTTACTCTATTTTTTATGATATCTAAAATTTTTTTTATGTATTTCCTTGTTTATTATAAATTTCCTCTACAAGAATATAGCTTCTACAAGAGCAAGGATTTTGTTTTGTTCATTGCGTTATTCAGTGTCAAGACTAGCGTCTGACATGTGATATCCAAATGCTCAGAACATGCTTATGGAAAGAGAGAATGACTCCTCTCTGCCACCACTGAGAAGCCCTCATTCTGTGTAGATCAACTCTTTTCTAAATCCATGGCACTAGCCCCTGGTGGATCTCTCTGCCTGTGGCCTCTACCTTAAACTCAAATCTACTATGCTTTCCCCAAAGTAAGCTTTGAATCCACAAATCATATTAGAGCATTCCTTTCATTAACTAATTTTATGGCTTCATAACACTTTTAGGCACGGGCTTCCTATCATGGAATTGAAGGTCTTCTGTAATCTGGTACCAAACTAAGTCTTTCTAACTTGACTTCTCAACTCCTTGCCCACTGCTAATTTACCTATCATGCATTTACAGGCCTACGTGAGCACACCACCGTCTGAGTAAGAGGCCCAAGACTCATTCCCTGCCCTTAAAAAGAAGTCCAACATTCAGTCTTGCAGAGAAACTGAAGGGAAAACAGATTGTTATGGCAGCACATAGTAAGGAGGCCGCAGAACACCTGGAGCCTTCATAAATCAGGTGCTGGTTCTACAGCTTGCCACACTCTGGTTTTGTTGTGACTTTGCACACCTCACTTCTCCAACTGAATATCCTCCTTACCCACCTATCACACCCAGAAAACTCCCACTTGTCCTTCAACATCCAGTCTAATTTCCCATTGCTGAATTGATTCAGACCAATTGTCTTTCTTGTTCTGTCTTAAATCAGACATTTAGGCATCTGGAGAAGATTGGCCACTGGTTGCCTAACTCAGCAAACAACCTGTAGCTAGTTATCAAACTGATACACAGACAAAATACGTTTCCCAGAAATTAAGTTTCATCTGAGGCAT
The DNA here is from genome assembly GCF_000001405.40 of Homo sapiens. Lineage (NCBI taxonomy): Eukaryota > Metazoa > Chordata > Mammalia > Primates > Hominidae > Homo > Homo sapiens. Next base: position 95,987,293 of record NC_000015.10, read on the forward strand.
TTGGTTTTTTTAAGAAAACAAAATTTAAATGAAATAAAATACTGATTCTTAAGCTCTCTCCCAACCCCCTAAATCAAAATTTCCTAGGGGAAGTCCTAAGAACTCATCTATTTCACAAGAAATATGATTCTCAGTTGTTGGTTCTGAGAGTGAGACTTTCCCTGACCAGCAGCAGCAGCCTCTGGGAACCTGTTAAAAATGCATGTTCTTAGGCTCCACTCCAGGGGATGGCCCGACAACCACGTGTGATTCACCCTCCAGAAGATGCTGTCACATACTCAAGTGTGACCCACTGCTGCAAGTCAACTCCTGGGAGTAGAAAATTAAATATTGGTCTAAAAAACTAAGTGACACCTCCGTTGCCCAAAAGCGTAAATAACAGCCTCATAAGCAGCTTCTTTTTGCCACAGTGTGGCTAATGCTAAACTGACCCAACAGAAATAAAAATTTCAGAAAGGCCACAGGCCTAAAATCAGAATTTTCTGCCACATTACACCTGTAACCATTGAAGCTATAAAGACATTTCCGTCTTGTGACTGGAAAAGGCAGCAAGTACCTTAGAAACTGAGGGGGAAACAAAAGCAAACACCAGGCACAAAAGAACCTTCAATTATCTGGATATTTCAGTAGGTAGCCCCAAAGATTCCCTGGAGCCACAATTTTTCAAAATTTGTTTTTAGCCACAGAGCCCTTTCTTCAAAACATATAGATTTAACCCCTATCTACATAACAGAAAAGAGTTGCTGCTGGGCCCAGCGCCATGGCCTTCCTCAGCAACCCTGAGGCCCCCTGTGGCATCCCCAGGTAACCCTACAAGGATGGAAAAAGAAGGCTGAACATTCCTGTTGTAGATGGTATTTCCTTCTGAATTCTCATAGTCACACACAACTGCAGAAAGAAAACAGGAGCTGGGCATTCAACAGCAACAAAAGAGATTATATTATTCTAGTGTTGACTCAGTGGAGGTCACTAGACTACATGTGAAAAGATCGGTATAATATGATCAGTTTATAATGATTTAAAATTAAGCAAAGAAGAAAGGAAGGAAAGTAGGAAGGGAGGAAGGAAGGAAGGAGGGAAGGAAGGAAGAAGGGAAGGGAGGGAAGAGGGAGGGGAAGGAAGAGGGAGGGAGGGAAGGAAGAGGGAGGGGGGAGGAAGGAAGAGAGGGAGAAAGGAAGAAAGGAAGAGAGAAAAGAGGAAGAACAGGAAGAAGCAAGCAAGCAAGCAAGCAATTCTAAACTGCTGAACGGTTCTACTTTTCATCTTGAGATGCCTGGAAGCACTGACTTTTGTTGTCACTTTGGGCCCAAGGCGGCCCTTCTTTTCCCACGCTGACCTCTGCCATTTCTGTAGGTGGTTTACATAGCAGAGTGCAGGGTTACAGCTCTTTGGCAAACTTCTTCACAGCAGAAAGGGCAAACAAAGTTTCATATAACTTCCTGTTTCTCAACAGAGCTATGAGTCTCCCCCTCCCCCATGTTTTTGTTTTTCTGCTCATTCTCATGGAAAAAAAAAAAAAACCTGGAGATTGTTAGAAAAGGAAAATAACTTAATCGGAAGCGGGGAATAATCAGAAACTTACATGGGGCTAAATTTGCATTTCGTTTTCTTTTCTCCACCATGTATTTGAGAAGTTTGTATATATTCTGTAAATTTTGTAAGGAGTGAGTGAAAAATGTAACATATGTACAGGCATTTATTCATGTGTTTTATGCTCTTTTCTTTTTTATGGCAAATGCCCTGGAGAGTTTTAACTCCAGGGATGTTGTGTGGAGAAGGGTTTTTGGGTTTAAGATTTTGAGATGAGGCTTTTTGGTTGACCCTTGACATGACCTTTAACTGGAAGTCCCTCCAGAGAAAGAACTTGGGCTTATTCATCTTTATGACCCCTGCACCCATCGTCACCGTGCTGGGTACAAAGTGGACACTCGGAAAGTTTATTGAGTCAATGTGGGTTGAATGTCATAACCCCAAATTTTCTTTGCCATCTGTAAAGATAATAACAATAATACATAGCCAAGAATATAATGTCATGAATAATTTCTTAAAGTGCTTTGAAATTAGTTCCAGAAAGATTGGAAAATTTTTTGAAAACATAAGATGCAACATGTACGGTTTTAAACTCTGACCTTTTCGATACAAACTTTCTCTTCCTTTACATTTGTATACTCCCAACAAACTTAAAATGTTATGTTTCAGGTAAGGAGGCATTCTGCCAAAATAACTGGCCAAATACATCACATGAACACAGCCTCCTGGAAATCACCAGGTGGCTGACTAAGTTGTTTCAATTTGCCAACTGGTGTTCTTATGTAAGTCTAGGAGAGATGCCCTCACCCTTGAGTAAGAACCTAGAGCTCACAGTGTCTTCTGGCATCATGTCTATATTCTTTTACATGGACATGAATGCATTCATTAATATGGAACATTCATATCCCGAAAGCTGGGACAGTTTTGTACTAAAGAGCCCTCTTGCCCTTAAGAGCAAACAGGTAGATAGAATCCCCTATCAATACCTGTCTTAGGAAGGCTGGATATCCAAGGCAACTATGAATTGCTTTCCATACCCCAACATCACATTTGGTGAGAATTTCTTTCACACCAGGCCAAATCAGTGTGTTCAAAATTCCATCCAGATTGTTTGCCATTTATACATTTGGTGTAGCAGGTTGTGAATAATGCAAATTATTTCAGTTGTAATTAACAAGAGTGCAATTGTTTCTGCATGCAACTGAGGGAGGAGGAAGACCCCTGAGAAATGACTCTTACAAAACGCAACCTTAACTTAGTTTTCCATTTAGATAATGATGGGCTCACAGAAGATCATTCACCACTTTTAGCTGCTTATACTCATTGAAAATCCATCTCAACTTCTTTAGAAAATTAAATTGGGACAGAATTATATCAGATTGAGAGGTTTTCAGATCAACTCCACGTATTTGTCTCTTATCAACCAAGGAATCTTTTTTTAAAAAAGGATATTTTCTTTGACAAAGTAGAATCTGCAAGTGGCGGAGGAAATATTTAGAAGAGATAGGATTATATTTGTGAATCTGTGATTTAGGCAGTGGATTGGATGGACACTGTGTTACTGGCTGCATTAAACATTATGCAGAAAACGGAAGATGAAGCAAAACCTGAGGCAAAGTCTCCGGTGGGACACGGAAGAGTAAAAGTGAGAGAAAAAGGGAAGGCGAGCAGGAGAGGGCCAGAGAGGCAGAAAGGAGGGCAGCGCTGGGAGAAGACATGAAAAATTAGAACAGGAGCTCAGAGCACTCGGGAGAGCAGGGGAAATGACAGTTGAAATTAGAACAGGAGCTAAGAGGAGCCAGCAGAAGGGGACGGCAGGAACTAGGAAATTTAAGGCGGGGAGAAACAACTGAGAGAAGTGGACAGAAAAAAGAAAGCTTAGCATAAATAAGAAGGCCCGGGACTCCCGTGCGTCCAGTAGACCTGCTCTGCTATGGATCAAAACAAATGATTTGTCATTCTGAAATGACTCTGAAAGGGGGAATGGAATGTGCCCCAACGATCAATATTAAATTTTATGCCTGCTGCACCTTTCAAAAGGCTCAAGAAGACATTGATTCAAGTAAGTGCCACATTTTTAAATGACCTTTGATGATTCACTTTAACAGTTTGAGAGCAGAAGTTTGCACCCTGAGCTGGGGAGCAGTGAGAACTGAAGTTTGGTTTCTAGTTGTGGTTGTGGTTGTGGTTGTGGGGCTGCCAGGTTGCGCTGGTCACTGTGGCAGGGGCAGGGATGCTCTGGCAGGAGAAAGTGCTGTTTCCTGTCCAACTAGGGCACGCGTGTGGGAGGCTGGAGTTGATGTTTTTCATTATATAGCTGGCATTCTTAGAAAGCCAAGAAGAGTTGTGCTTTTTGGCTGGTTTGATGAAGTGCTTTGGGCACTTTGTATTTTGTGGCCAATTTTACGAGAGGAAAATATCTGATTCCAATGGAATGGATTGGGAAACCTGAAGGTGGGTTTCCCAGATGAGGCCTTCCCAGAGGAGGCCTCTGCAGAGCGGGCCAATCGGGATTCTGGTTTTGCAGAGTTTTCACTGACGTAGCCTTGTCTCTTGCAGTCAGACACCTGTACTGGGTCCGAATTGGTTATAACAAGTAAAGAGTCTTGTCTGGGACTGAATGAAAAGGATTTCAAGCTGGGACATGTGGCATGTTCATGCTCTATATTTCTCCATACCTAAATGCCAAAATCAGAGCCTGGGTTTTAGGCCTAAAAGACATTATCTATTATGTCAGAAATCTCCATGTATAGCAGATTGGCTTCTGTGGGGGGAATCCCACCACCCTGTCTGCTGTCTGCTCCATGTCTGGCTTTTAAATGCTACCTGCCCAAGGAGCTAGGGCCAGCCGTGGTGCTTCCATAATCTGGTTCTGGATCCTTGGTTCTGGTGACTCATTTTATCTTCTAACTCTGGTTGATTTCCTGGATTCAGCTTCTTCATAACCTCTGATTTGGGAATCCCTCTTATCAGCTGGTCCTGAACAACCAAATCCCTCTCCATGCCATACCCTGCACAGGGAGAGTCACTTGGGCCACATTCTATCATGTTGCTGATGGTGCAAAATATCCTGGTATTCTTATTTCTAGGGCTTACTTGATAATTACATATTTATATATTGTTCAACTAACTACTCAGCAAGATCTACCTTTCCCCCACTGCTTCTTGCCTTCAGCCTACAAGGGGGTACCTGTCTCCTCAATTTTAGAAACTCACTCATTCATTCTTCAATACTTGTTTATTGAATCAGTATGATGTTCTGGGTGGTGCTAGACACCAATCAACTTTTATTCATTCCATTCACTCTTACTCATTCGAATGTTTATCAAACAAGAATCGTTTATTGGGTGCTTTTCTAAGTAGTGGAAGTAGAAGATAAAGCAGTGATGAAAATAAAGTTCCAGTTTCCATAGATCTTATTATATTTTATTGGGTGTACCCAATAAATACACAAACAAGTAAATATGGTAGGTTGTATGACGACATGGGAGAAAATAAAGGAGAGTAAGGAATAGGAGTGGAGGTTATTTTTTATAGGAAAAGTCTCATGATAAAGTGATATTTGAGAAGAAATGTTTAAAAGTAAAAGAGCAAATTATACAGATTTGAGGGGAAGCAAATACCAGTAAGAAAGAAGCAGAGTATTCAAATACCCTGAGAGGTTTAGTTTGTTTGAGGAACAGGCAATAGGACAGTATAGCTGGCACAGAGTGAGCAAAAGATAGTGAAAGAGAAGATGAAGTCAAAGAATTGCCAGAGCCCAGATTAGGTAGAATCTTGAAGCCATTGAAGCAAGGACTTTGGGTTTTACCTTTGGTGAAGTTTAGAAAACTACTGGAGGCCTCTGAGCAGAAGACTGGCATAAACAATGTTTTCAAAAAGTCACTCTAGTTGCTGTTGAGAAGACGCTCTGGGTAGGCAAGTGTGGAAGCAGAGAGGGTACGTAGAAGGTACTATAATAGTCCAGGCAAGAAATGAAATTGACTTGGGCGAAGATGGTGGCAGTGGATGTGGTGGGGTGCTAGATTATTTCAAACAGACAGTTTATGGTATTTGCTGATGGATTAGTTTGAAAGCATGAAGAAAAGAAAGTAGTCAAGACTATCTACATTGTTTTTGCCTAGACAACTGGAAAGGTTAAAAAAAAAGGTTAAAAAAAAAAAAGACTAAGCTAGGTGTTATGGCATGAGCCTGTAGTCCCAGCTACACAAGAGGCTGAGGTGGGAGGATTGCTTGAGCTGGGAAGTTTGAGTCCAGCCTGGGCAACATAGTAAGACTCCACCTCAAAAAAAAAAAAAAAAAAAAGACAGGAGAAGAAGCAAGTTTAGAAGAGTGGTGGTTAGGGAAGAGCCACGAGTTTGGTTTTAGAAGGGTTGAGTTGGAGATATTGTTTGGAAATCCAAGTGGACATGACAAGTACATCTATAATATTTAAATTTGCAGGTACAAGTCCAGGCTGGAGATGATTTAGAGTCATCAGTATTTACATGATACTTAAATACAAATGCAGGATGGGATCACATAGGGGTCAATGTAGCTGGAAATGAGGAGAAGTTAAAAGAGAAGTTTCTGGGGCATTCTGACGTCAGGAAAATGGGGCAAAGTACTAGCAGCAAGATGGAAGAGGTGTCCGGTGAGGTAGAAAGAGAACCATCAGAAAGCAGTGTTCTGGAAGCCGAGAGAAGCAAGAGTTTAAGAAGTGGGAATAATCAAATGTGTAGTATGAGAACTCTGAATTGATTTGTGGAATTAGCATTGTAGAACTCACTGGGGAGCTTGATAAGATCTCATTCAGTGAAGAGGAGAGGCATGAAAGACTGATTTGAACGAATCCAAAAAGAGTAGGAGAGAAATTGGAAGTAGCATGTGTAGGCAGAGAAATGAATCAGAACATGAAGAAAAATGTGGAGTCGTGAGAGGATGTTTTCAGGATGTGAAAATTCGAGCATCAGTGTACAAACAAGGGAGAATTGATGGCACAGGAGAGAGGAAGAAAATGCTGGCACAATGTCCTTGGGAAGGCAGGAAGGAATAGGCTGCAGCACAGAAGAGGTTGACTTGACTCAGCGGTGTAGACCAATTATTCATAGTAACAACAGGAAAAGTAGACTGATTGTTATTCCATTTTCATACTGCTATGAAGAAATACCCGAGACTGGGTAATTTGTAAAGAAAAAGAGATTTAATGGACTCACAGCTCCACATGGCTGGGGAGACCTCACAATCATGGCGGAAGGTGAAGGAGGAGCAAAAGTGCGTCTTACGTGGTGGCAGGCAAGAGAGAAGTGCAGGGGAACTGTCCTTTATAAAACCATCAGATCTCATGAGACTTATTCACTATCACGAGAACAACATGGGAAAAAAACTGTCCACATGATTCAATTACCTCCCACCAGGTCCCTCCCATAACATGTGGGGATTATGGGAGCTACAGTTCAAGATGACATTTGGGTGGGAGCACAGCCAAACCATAGCACTGACTATTGATACAGACATAGGGATGAATGTGTGGAAGTTCTCCACTGATTGCTTCTAAGTTTTCCATTAATTTAGTCAGAAAATTCATAAGCAGAGAGTGAGGCTGGTGGAGGAGGTGTTGATGGTTTAGACAGAATGACTTGCGCCAAGATTTGGAAGTAGGGGAAAATTAGGCAGATTTAAGAAATTTTGCTGGCTACTTCTCAGCCTCTATCCTTTTCAGAGCTAATATCCCCCAGAGTGTGGGCAGCAACTGGTGCTCACACTGTTTTCATCAGCGTCCTGCATCCTAGCTCCCAGCAAGATGACTCACACCCTTGAATCTGCTTATGCATTTTCAGTTGGATCTTCTGTGACTTCGGCATCTTGGAACTCAAGATGCTAGGTATTTTGTCCTCAACATAGCTGCAGCAGTCCATTCCACTCCACGGACCACCCCAGACCTGTTGAAATGCCAGCCTCATTTCCATGACCATAGAACAACTGGGGCCTCTTTCTATCATTCTTTTCTGTACCTTTCACTAATTTTTCATCTTCCTACTCTCCATTAAAAGGGCCAGTGCCCTCCCCACCCCCCTCCCCCACAAGAACCTGCCTGTCCTCTCCACTCGCCTTTAGTAAGCAACCCTGTTTATTACCACAGTATCAGCCACAACCATATCACTGATATTCTCAAACCAGTATCACCTCCATTCCACACTACCTGATAAACATTTCTGATGAAGTTGTTGTGCAAAAATATGTTATCGATGGCTCAAATCAAAATATTTTAAGCTGTATTTATCACCTTTCTTCCAAGGTCAGTTCTATATCCTGACTTATCTACTGTTATTAATAGCACTGTGATTCCATCAGATCTCTAGGCTTGAAAATTAGGCATTACTTTCATCTTCTCTCTTCCTCTCATGCCCACACACAGTCTTAATGGACAGAACCATGTCCTCATAGCATGTACCTCTGAAGAAATTTTGCAGTTTTAAATATAACAGGTACTTGGTTGACATGCAAAGTGAATACCCATGAAATATTTAATAACCTATTGCCTGTGCCATGATGTCGTCCTTTCTCTTCATTCATTGCTACCAGTGCCTTATCTTCAGCCCAGTTTGCTTTGGATCTACCAGGATTGGCACAGCACATTTACTGACCCCGAAAAGAGGCCATCTCAATTTGCAATAGATCAGAAGAGATACTTTAGAATGACTAAATGTTATAGAAATTGGTGTCTGCTCAGAAAACATCCTTCATGACTTTGCAAATAGGCAAAAATGTCAAGTCAGCTCTACTCTGAAGCCATTTGGAGACATTTGCAACAATGAATGCATGATTAAGTTTATTGTTTAGTAAACAGTTTGCAGACATTAGCCAAGGAAGAGTTATGGCGGCAGTTTACAAATAATTGCAATTGAATTAGGCAGACTGCAATGCAAAAGCAGTGCAAATAACTTGCCAATTCCATAAAATGTTTTGCAAACAGATTCTGGGAGAAAATAGAATGAGAAAAGCAGAAAATCCAGAAAGCAATGTTTTCCGAGTCTGCTCTGCGGATAGTGAGAGAGGATGCCCTCATATTTTACCATGAGAGTAAAGTGTTAGTGAAAGGTGTTTATTTCTGCTTTGCCTCAGAGACAGAGCTTGGCACAGACTTCAGAATAGGAAAAAGGGGGCATGACTCAGTGATTTGGCACTTAACAAATTCAATTGAACAAAAGTAGCAGAACCATTTTAAAATAGAGTATATGTGTTTGACTGAGGGGGATTGTGGTGGGAGAATTCTGGCCTATAGAAATACACCACTCACAGCAACTCATTGCCGAGATAAACCTGTGCACAATGTTGGAGAGCTGACTGTATATCTGCAGTATGCTTAAAAGAAGATTCATTTTATTAAATATACATTATATGACACATACATTTAATTAAGAGATATACAGTATATATGTACATATATAGCTATATATAGAATACTGTATGTACATATTATATATAATATGCATATAATGATGTGAATGTATAATAAATATATATTTAATAACATACAATTAACATAATATTTAATAATATATACTATGTCAATATTAAGGTTACCTCTCCTAGACCAAAAAGCGTTTCCTAGACATGCTATGTTTGCTTTCCCCAAGCTGTTTCATTCATTTCTTTGCACTAATTCTATGAATTGAAGATACAGATCCAACTATAAACACATTAGAATGAATCTAGAAATCAAATGAATAAAAAACTAGACAATACTTAAATTGTAGTTACTCACCAAAACTGCTTGATTAAGAATCCCTTAGCCACATTATCATGACTTCTATGTCAAAAAAAAAAAAAAAAGCACAGAACATTCATAAAAAGCATGAGCATGATTTAGTGACAGATTTTCTGCGTAAGGAACACCCACAGGGCTTTTGTGGTTAAAGTTGGCCTTTTGTCTCAAAATGCATCCTGAGCACGCGGTTTTCCTCTTCTAACCACACCCTTTATCATAGGCTATTGATTTTGTAACTATTCAACCAGATTCTTAGATTCAAAAATGCATCTAGGGAAGAACAGGTGATCTAAAACAAATCCTTGAGTTCCGTGTCACATACCAAAGGCTGGGACAATTGGTTTAAGTAAAAGAACTGACTTCTGTCTCCTCTGAAAGGATTCAGGATTGGTCACAGATCAATTGGAATTTAAAACAGTCAGACGTATGGATTAGGAAATTTCATTTTAATCCCCTCTCACAACATTTTGAAGTCTACAACAGATGCATAATTTGTGGATTTACTACAAATATGTTTAAGTCTACAGATCTGCATAGTAGCTGAGGCTGGGCTAATGGGTCAAGTATATCATAATTGGACACTTCTTTGCACTGAAACTAGATGCAAAAATCTATCCATCATTTCTCAAAGGCAAATTACATTTATACAGTGCCTCGTTTTGCACATTCAAAAGTTTTCAGTATCTACCATAGCCATTTGTGGTGAGACAGATCACGCTCACAAATAGAGCCTTTGGAATCATATCCTTTGCAGCATTTTAGTTGCAAAGCAATTCTATATCTTAGAGGTTGGCACAATAGGAAGCTACTGAATTGAAAACCAAATAAAAGAGAACATTAGATGACAAAAAAATCCAGGCTCTATCTTTCCCTTTTATCTTTTGCTCTTCTGTCCCTGAAAAGAGGCACCATTTTCTCTTTGCAACATAAGGAAGAGAAAGATGCCTGGTTTCAGCACTTGTTGATCCCATTAACAGGAAAGATTGACAAGAAGTAGACAATTATATCTGACATGAATATGGATATGGAGGGGATTGTTGAAATGGAGACTCTTGCTAATGGAAGAAAGATGATTCAAGCCTTCTGACAGATGTCAAGTAGATTGGAGTCCAGTGAACTTACAACCATTTAATCTGCATTGCAAGAGAAGACAAATTGCATGACTGATAACCTCTTTATTTTTTATTCTATAATTTTTTACTCTGCAGTGTAGAAAGAGTTAGGGTTTTCAACTTGCTAATGTGGGTCACTATTATTCACCCAGAGTTTCAATGGCATTGGGGCTTTTGTTAGCAGGTGGCTTCTTCTCTGGGTCAAGGAAGAAAAGAAATAAATGAAAAAGACGTGAATAAAGAAATGATATAAATCAATCTGAGAATTACAACTGTTCAATAAGATTTTGACCTCAGTTTCAGGAATGCAATTTCTGACTCTGTCTGAGAGGCATTAGTGACTCATTTAATGCATTATATGAAAGTAAGGTAAGTAGGAAAAATGTACTTGAACTCCATTTGGTTCTACAATATAATAGAGATAGAAATGTTTCTTTATTTAAAAATAATCTTTTATCCTGCTGAGATATTTGTGTGTAGTATGTTTGTGTATTTCTGAGTAAAGATTGTTTAAAAAAAAAACAGTTGTTTTGTTTCTCTAGTATACTGGTACAAGCAAACACACAAGGAGAAGAAGAGTTGATTTACGACCTTTGAACTCTTTCATATTATGTTTTTCAACTTCCTTGTCTAGATTAGAAAGTTCCCTCTACCTGTCTGCCCATACTCATGTCTGGAGCTTTTGAGCTCTACTCAAAGCCAATTCAATTTGGCAAAACTTGTGATGTTCCTCCAGTAGAAGAAATTTCTTGACTCTAAATTTTGCTGACACCTTAAAGTGAAAATTGCATAGAAAATCCCATCCTCAAGTGGTGGTGCCTGCCTATAGTCCCAGATACTCAGGAGGTTGAGGCAGGAGAATCACCTGAACCCAGGAGGGGGAGGTCACAGTGAGCCGAGATTGTGCCACTGTACTCCAACCTGGGTGACAGAGGGAGACTCCATCTCAAAAAAAGAAAGAAAAAAGATAAAGAAAAGAGAAAATCCCATCCTCTGATGATGAGTAGTTTTCCTTTTAAGGTTCCAAAGGAGCTCTGTCAGCATTCTCTCTAGTTAGTTAGCAGTAGGATTCGAAGAGTCACTCTCACTCCAAAGAGAATGAACTTGGCTTGCAGAAGGCAGAGAGCCATGGGAAATCCCACACAATGACCCAGGTTATGGTGACTTACATTGTACCATTTCCTTATAATAACCAAATCACCTGCAATACTCTTCAGGTCAGTGTGCGTTTCTTGAGTGTCTGCTTTGTTCTTGACAGTGCACTGGGTTCTGGGTCTGCAAAGACAGGGGATCTGACCCTCAAGTAGCTTACAGTCCAGAGGGGAAAACAGACCTACAGGCATATTCTTTCAAGACAATGTAGTAACATAAAGAGGTCAGCAAAGGAAGTGGAAGTCAGATGTCATGCCTCCCAGCAAGGTCTGAATGTTCTCTCCTCAACAAAGTCATCCCTAAAAAAAGCTATGAGTCAAGTGAAAGAGACCCATCAGCTTCTTGGCCAGAGGAAGCTTTGTTAGGACAGCCATGTAGGCGTGACCTGCCGTGAGGAGGGATGGGGACTCCTCTGAAGCAGCACTTTTGCGTTTCCCATTTATCTTGTTCTCATCAATACCTCGAACCACAGCTCCAATACCACTTTGGCAGTGGGGCCTACTGGGAACACCCACTGGTGGAAAGAATAACTTGACTATATGAGCTTTAGAAGACCTCAATCCTCTCCTTTCCTTCCTTCTTTTGGTTTATTTTTGTTTGTTTGTTTGTTTTATACTTATTTATTCCTCTTCCCTCCACATGCCATTTAACTTTGCTGAGTGCTCCACTGAACCAGGAGGATGTTCGAAGGTTTTGCATGTATTATCTCATTTAATCTTTACAATAATCCCCTGGGGTAAGTAATACCATTTGCCTGTTTTACAGATATGAACTGAGGCACAGCCAGGTTACGCAAGTTGTCCAAACATATAACGAATAAGTGGTGGCACCAGGGTTTTCCTCAGGCAATCTGATTCCAGGACCACTACACTGCAGCTATTTTCAGGTGCCTTGTATCCTTAACTGTATTACAAAGCTTTTGAGAGGCACAGAGATCACTTGTTATTTGCAGTTTACACAATACCTACTCTCTAGAGATTGTAGGGGTGATCACATGATATTATTGCACGAAAGGGTAAATGAACAGATAAATGAATGGGGGAACTCTACTTAGAAAGCTGGTGAAAAAAACAAACGTGGCCTATAAAACGTTGAGCAGGAGGATGAATGATAAAAGGAATATAATGCTATTTTAGGAAAATAAGCCTTCCTTTACGAAAGAAAGCAATAGAATATAGACTTTTCACTAGGCCTTTGTAGTCTTCAAAATATTGGCGTGAAGATCTGAGTCAGCATGGATGTTATCAGAAAGAAAGATGAGGAATGGATACTTGGATTGCCGTAAAGGGAAAACTTGGTGACTGCATATGGAGACATGTAGAAGGATGTTGCTGTAATTTTTTAAAAAATCCTCATTATCCTAATGGAAAACACATTAAAAGCATTTAAAGAAACACAATCATTCATAATCTTACCATCTGATGGTAAACAAAATTAACATTTTTATATTATCAACATTGGTTATTGCATGAAAATCAACTTAAAATATTAGACCAAGCAAGAAAATAATGCATGTCAATTTCTTCTCAAAATTCCAGTTCCAAAATGCTACACCAAATTAATATTCACTTTGTATTGCCAAATGACTGGTTTATTCGGCTGTGTGGAAACTGGCCACTGATGTTGTAAATAACTGAGTTGACTTAGTTTTAATCTGGTTCCATCGTCATGGGTCTAACGTGTGTTGAAGGATGCAAAAGTTAAGTACACCCTAGCCTGATTTTCTGAACAATGTAACATTCCTGCAAAATGTTTTCTGGTTTGAGTGTCTATTGATCAGCTACTTTCTGACTTAACTCATTCAGTCTACACAGAAAATGCTCACAGGGCTCTGTTTATGTCCCTTCTGCCTAGTTTCTTAAAAACAACATTTTCACAGAATCATTAAAGTTGTAAACATCATCTATATAAAAATCTATATAAATGATACCTTTGCCTCTCTAAAAAAATACAAATTAATTGAGAAGTTGCATTGCAAATGCCAATTAAGTAGAGAATTTGTTTCTCGGCATAGTAATTTCAAATGCAGTTCACTATAAATTCACATGTAAACATCCGGAATTATAAAACCAATACTATGAGGAGAAAGCAAGTGGTTATTGCTTTATATAACATTTCCTCTGGAATTCCTTCAAGAGGTAAGGCTTGACAGTTTCACTAAAATGAAATATACTGATATTGATTCATAAATCTGATATGTATGAAGCCTCTCTTCTGTGCCAGGCACTGTGCTGGGGGCTGAATTATACACATTATTTTTCCAGAAATGCATCTGAACATACATATGACCAATGCACATATGTGCAGTTCTTCTATTAAGATAATTTATGAGGCAGGTACTCTTGTCTGAGTCAATCAGCTTGACAAAGACTGTTGCCAGAGAAGTATTTATTTAGTAGATGTTTGCCATAAGCTTTGGTATGTTTTCCTACCTGTCTCCCCCAGCAGACTTTATCTTGCAGAATTTCAGGAGACATTTCTAGAACTTAATTAAATCATTTTCATATTGGAAGATGATACAATGAGGTTTGTATTTTAGGTGTCAAATTACTCCCCAGAATTATTAACTACTGATTATACCCTCAGAACAGTTATTACATATTAGGAGTCTCCAGTTGAAATATTTTTTTTTCCTAGAAACTTAGATGTTGAATTTAGAACTCAAATTCACTAGGGACTGTAAAACGAAAAACAAAGTCCATAGAAGGTTACTTGATGATACTTTTGATGATACAGTGAATAAGAGCAAAATGCAAAAGGCTTTAAATTCTATGGTGCTGCTGGTGACTCAGAATGCCCAGGTTTGGACCTCGGTCTTTGGAGTTATCTGACCTAGTTGATCTTATATAACCTCTCTAAACTTCTGATTCCATGACTGCAAGAATAGATTTTATCATGACAAAGATGCTGTGATGATAATGAGTTAATGAATCTAAGGTGCTTTGTAAGTACTAAAGTGACATAAATAATATTATTAATATTAACTTTACAAATATCTCCACAATTACACCACCTTGAATAATATTCCAATATAAAGCAATAAATTATAACTCATCTTAAGCTGCCATCATCCTTCCAAAATTCATAGTCCACATCACTTATGCATGATAAAGATAATTGCAAAAATTCTTAGAGATGGATTTTATCTTGGAACCTACTGTGTTTCAAGGGGAACATATCATTATCTCAGTATGCCAACATAATGCTGATCCATTAATAGAAAAACATGAATATGTGCTGATGATAACCTGACAGGATATGGTTTTGCCTTCTTGTTGAATGTCTGGGGTTAAGAGAATGATTGAGATGAAGGAAGAGAGTAAAGCTTACTGACTCAACTACCAATAAACCATGGCCTCTTCCACACCATGCTTTCCATCGAACATGTCTGCTTCTGAGGAGTGTTCCTACTTGCAGGCAACTTGAAATAACTTCCCAAAAGTTAACCACCTGCAATGCTTACCTGCAGGCAGGTAGATGCAGCTCCAGGGGCCCTTTAGGATCGACGGCTCCAGATAGCTCAGAAATGACTGAATTTTTGATGCAGCAGACACTTTCCAGGGAAAGCAAAATTCACCCTGGAGCCCCCCACGTACAAATTATAGTCACCATTTAAACCATCATCACAGTATTTGAGGTTAGTAAAACATATTGCTTGAGCTATAAAACATTCTAAACTAGCATTCCAAATGTCTCGCCTCAAGCAAGCACTTAAATTAAAGTTTCAGACAGCTGGCACTGGAATCATAATAACAGTTTTACACAAAGGGATTGGCTAAACATGATTATTGTTTTGATAATTTATTGTCAACATGCATTATTGTGCCCTGATCCCAACACTCGGGTTTGGTTCTTTTCTATTGTCAACAGGTGACAAATTCTGGTTCAGGTGATAGAGTAGAACATTTGTTGCCCTGGTTCTAGCTAGATCACACACACACACTCAAACACACATAGTATATTACAATTAATTTATACAGTCATCATTTTAGGGTCTCTTTTCTCTAAATTGCTTTGTTAGTAAAGAGAAATAATCTCCAGGTACCCCTATTACAAAAAAAAAGTTGACTTACTAAATTCTCTTGGAATATCTAATTTCCAGTACCTCTTTTGCAACAGATAGAAAATGCTACAGTATTTCTTTTGTAATTTGAAGTGTGTATATAACACTGGCAGCCTTGTGTCTATTTAGGCAGATGGGTGCTAATTCACCCAAGGCACAGACAATGCTGACGATAGCTATTTGCCCTTTAGCCAATTCTAAAGCACAATATTTTGCAGACATATTAACATATTTTCAAGTATAACAGATTCTCTGTTCACTTCAACTTGGACCACTTTGAAAGATTTTATTTCCACCACAGGGAAATAAGCGTGATTGACATTGATGTTCCATTTTACTCAAACCGGTCTCATTCACAGATTTTATAACAGAATTAGAAACAGAAAATTATATTTTTATTATTTAAATTAAGCCCAACATATAGTACAGGCAAATTTTTTTCTCAGTCTGTTTGAACATTTAGAAACATTGTGATAATATGTTTTACCATTTTAATAAGAAAGCAGGCACTGCTTGTGTTTGGGTGGTGAGGATTGCTGTATCAGTGCAACAGGTTTTTCTGGATTATATCTTTCTGTACACAACACACACTAAAAAATTGGAAGAGTCAGAAAGAGTCAATATGCTCAGATCGGCCAAGAGGGAAATAAAGGACACATTAAATTTTTTTCTGAACATCACTTTTCCATTGACTTTAATTAAGATTTCATTAAACCCTGAGTTTGGAAAGCTTTTAATTGAGAGAGAATTTGCTTACCGGGCATATTTTTGGTGAGCTGTAAAGAGAATCTCTATAATTAATGGCCCTTCCAACTTTACAGTAAGTTCAACTTTGTTCTACCTTTGCAGAAATTGGTTATAGATCCAGTCTTAAGAAATGAGCCAGGCCACAATAATGATTTTTATCTTGTAGTAAAGTGGCACAAAGTTGGCTCTAGTATACTTTATGATTATATTGTCTGCCGACAAATTAATCCAATTAGCAAAGGTGAAGGTTTATAATTGGGGTTAACTAGAATTTAACTGGTCATTGCTCATCAAACCTCCCTCACCTCCTCTAGAGCATGGTCCCCTAAGTTATTCGAGTAGTCACAGCCAGTCCCCAGATCAAACCAAAAGTCTGACTTCAAAAATCCTGTTTCAAGAAAACCTGATAGAGCCATCTTTCCAAAACCATGACAACAATGGAACTTGGTGGCATGGTATTTTCCTGCTGTTTGGGAGAGTGAGTCCCCACCCCCACCCTTTCTCCACCCCCCGACTACTGAGAGTATTTTTATATAGTTCAAGTCCCTATTGGTCTGCAGTTTGCAGTGCGGTTTAAAAAGTAATACATCTTTTCTTAGATGTACCCCAGTTTCTGCTTTTTAATAGATATGATAATGAGCTTCTGGGTCTTCATTTCCCAGTGTGCAGAGAGCTCAAATAAATCTTTGATTGTTCACAACCCAGGAGAAGTTTCCGGAGCAGTGGGATCCATTGAGGTCTCTCTAAACAACTATTATTTTAAGGATATTTTTTAAACGTTGGACTTTCCTGGAGCCATTGAGTTTTTCTTTTCCAATGTTGTTAGTGGCACCTGCTTATAGTGAACTTAGACAAAATGAAATTCCTTTTACAGTGAATCAGCATGAATGAAAGTTCCCAACTGTTTCAGAGCAGCATAATATGCTAACTTAGTAAAGGTTTCCTTGTAGGTAAAAGGAAAAGTAAGCTTTACTGTAGATTTCCACAAAAACACGTCTGTGTGGGGAGTCCAGGTTTTTCCTAGATTTCAAAATTCTGGAAGGTGTTTTACATTTCTGCAGGCAAAAGTATGCCAATGTGAAAATATGTTTGACCACTTTGAAGACTCTTGTTTTTGGAGATTATGACTTATTTATATCTAGCATAATATAGTTTCTCCTTAATGAAATGCTTTCCAAAAAGTGAATTCAAAAGTCTGTCTAACAAACTTAGAAATGTACAATTACTTATTTCTATTTTTTTAAAAGTCAAAACGTCCTTTGGGCAATTTCTGTTTTCAGTTTTATTGACAATTTTGAAAACAGAAATCCTAACACTGAAAAGACCTACTGTTGTCAGATTTTTCATAAATTTCAGGGAAAAAATACGCATCTTCTACTTTTTTTTAATGGGGGGAGGGAAGGAGCAATGGCATCAGGTATGTATTTTGATATGATATGACCTCAGGTTATGCTTAAAGAAATATATATTACATTGGCTGGAATTTTTATTTATTATAGCTGAGGTGATTGATGCTGCTTCCGTTAATTCTAAAATAAGCCATTGAAAACTATTTTTATATGTCTACAGACAAAATTTCCTCAATTTTCCTAGCCAACTGGATCTGGTGGGAGGTTGAAAAATGTTTTTATTTAATTTTTTTACTCGTGTTTTTATAAAAGAAGAAGATGGTGGCTTGTGTCCATCCCCACAGCTTTAGCCAATTGACTATGATTGAATACTTTTTCTTATTACTGCTCACTGGGATCTTCTTATGAAATGCACATTTCATTTTTATCCAGGACCTGGGGATACGGGACGACAGACGAATATTACTTGAAATTTGGCACGCCACAGTCTATAGAAAGCTGCACACCAAGACTGTGGAAGAGTTATAATTTTAATTCTTTTTACAATGACAAGGTTATTTCAAAGTTAAATTATCATTATCTCTTAAACAAACAGCACTGTGGCAGTTTTAGTAGGGCAAGGTGGCTTATTCTAATTGGTAGTATCCGTGGATTCCTATGCTGAATTTTAGATCTAAGCATTTCCAAATGAATAGGAAGATTGAAGAGAAAGGATATATTTGCAATCTGTTTGGGCTGAAATGGGTACTTGGTGCCACATATCTTGATGCAGCAAGCCATCATTATGGTTATTACTGCCTCCATGATAGCCAGGTAGAAGCACCTGCTCTTCCTCTGCCTTCACCAGTGAATCCCTAACAATCAATTAATTTCTGAGAAACACTAATAACGAGACAAAGATACAAACTATTATAATATCAAAGGAGGATGTGCTTGACATTGGTCAGTAGAGAGGCGGGGCTTGTAGAATCCCAAAGGTTTAAGAGCACGGATGCTCAGCTGAAATAAAGCTGAGTTCAGTCCTGTAACACCCTGCTCTGAACAGAATCCACTGCAACCCATTTTTTAGTAAGAAATTCAACTGTGATATTCTCTGTTTATAGACTCTGTCATCAGTAGGGTTGGATTCTGTGACTTGAAGATTCCCAGCTTGTAATTTTGTTAGTAACATGTTCCTGGTTTTGCATAAAAGAAAAAAACAAAGCAGAGGAGATTGTTTTACCACAGATGATATAATAGGGATAACAAAACAAATACAAGTAAGCAAGCACCAAGCACACATATACATGACTGCAAAACAACACACACACACACACACACACACACACACACACACACACACACACAAATTCAGAACCATAGGAGAATAAAATCTGAAAATATATTTTGTGCATAGTATTTAGCACTATATATTTCCAATGTGTAATGTCTTCCTCACAAAGGAAATTCATGATGAAATAGATAGAATAATTTAGCACATCTTTCAAAGTGGAAAACTGGGAAATTTTGTTCATTTTCCCACAGAAGCAACAAGGATTTTTCAAAATCGTTTTTATGCTGTCAGACCAAAAAATAAATTCAGATTAAAACCAAATTAATCAAACTGTAGTTCTCTATATCACCAAGGAAGACTGGGATGTGCTCTTTCCTCTTCCTTCTCAAATTCCTCCTTCTCCTCCTCCTACTTCTTCTTTTTAATGTATCAATAGGAAAGGATCTAATATTTGGATTCATGGCCAACATTTAAAATCAGAATAGATAAAATAAAAATATAGTTTTTGTTTTTCTTGAAAAGTCAGATCTGACAACAGCAGACCTTCATTTCCACCTGTAAACAAAAGGCTTGGCTTCTGTGACTGTCCCAGTAGACCAAGCATGCCCTCTCCTCCCATTTTCCAACAATCCCCACCTAACCCACGTAACTCACTGAAGTCACCAGCAGGACCATGTCACCTTCTGGTTGGCAGCAAATCTGTGGCTTAAAATGGGAACAGTCACCACCCCTGAATCCCCTCATCTCTCTGTTCTCTGTCAGGAACCATCTTTCTAGGCCATGTCAACCCACCTACCATCTTCCCTCCTTCGTTTGCTCTTTTCTACCCCAACAGTTTTCCCAGGTGACATCCTTTCAAGAAAGCACACCCTTCTCCAATGCATGTCTATCCTTTTCCTGAGATTCTAGACAAAACCTCCCCTCTGTGTAGCACTTTTGACCAGCTCTGCTCTGCTCTGGTCCCTATTCTAGTCCACATGTCCTGCATCCACACCTTGATACATGGTAGACTCAATGGAAGTCTGTGGTACAAAATAATTAATATTTGCTGAAATAAGTGTTCTTCAAAGACACAGTTCCCCTCATCAATTTCTTGGCAGTTACATACAGGAGACCTGCTACATGCCCTCAGAATGCCCCTTGGAGCTAGAATTTGGCCACTGTCATCATTTACAGTGGTTGATTACATTTCCCTGTAAGTGTGACCGCATTTCAGTCTCACCTCTCTATCCAGTCTTCCTAGATGATGTAGAAAACTTCTGAAGTCAAGAACCAAAATCTTCCAGTTCTTGGTGCCCCTTAAGACAAAAGGGCATTGTCCTCTGACATCTATGGTGGAAACCATCTCTCTTGCCTCAGAATTCACATCACGTTTTGTACCATTTCCAATGTACTTATCACATTTTATTGCACATTAAATAGTAATAGAATATACTCTGTTTAAGGGCAGAGTGTATACCTTCTGCAACTTTGTATTACCCTTAAAGATAATCACCCTTCTATGTGTTTGAATTAATGAAAGTTAAACATTCATCAAAGGATACTGGTTGATTCAATGTACATTAGAACCTAAATTTCCAGAGTCTAAGATTTAATGTATTTTTGTTTTTGTTTTTGAGACAGAGTCTCACTCTGTCACCCAGGATGGAGTACAGTGGCCTGTGGCTCACTGCAGCCTAGACTTCCTGAACTGAGGTGATTCTCCCACCTCAGCCTCCGGAGTAGCTGGGACTACAGGTGTGCACCACCATGCCTAGCTACTTTTTGTGTTTGTTGCAGAGATGAGGTTTCACCATGTTGCCCAGGCTGGTCTTGTACCCCTGGGCTCAAGCTATCTGCCTGCCTCAGCCCTCCAATGTGCTGGAATTACAGGTGTGAGCCATTGTACCCAGACAAGAGTTAACATTTAAAGTTACCAACAACTGGTTCAGGATTCACATTCCCAGTTTACGTGGATTCAGGTATCCAAGGAAAAGAAGTCACAGGAAGCAGGAAGCCTCAGGGGAATGAAACTTCACTGACAAGACACTGCTCCTGTTTTCTTCAAGACCACAACCCCTACCATCCCTTTACTGCCAGTGATATTAAGTTGCAACATGAAGGCGATTAAATGCAGATGAGGTGCTTTCCATCATTAGTTTTTGCTTTGATTTAAAGCGTTAAATTCTGTTGATCAAATAGACGCACATCTGAAAGGGTTATTTCCTCGAAGTTCTAGAGTGTGAATACGTTTATCATGTTATCTATCCTAGAATAGTCCCTCAAGAAAAGGGGACACAGGCTGGATGTTTTGATTTATGAGTTGGGACTGAGAATAAAAAGGATGAGGGTTCTTAAATGAAGAGTCTTAGGATATCTGTGTTGAGGACCTTTAAATTAAGTTGAGGTTGGTATAGAGCAGGTAATACCTATTTTTGTAAAGGGCTTCATAGGATCTTGAAAATAACCTTTGTGTGTTTTAAGATATTGCCTTCAGCTTCCCCTGTTTCTAATCACTACACCAAGTTCTATCCATTCCAAAACATGCCTTTTTCCCTTAGCCTACCATTCTAACACAACATTCTGTTTCTTGGTCTCTTATACCCAATGCACACGTACACGTACACACACACACACACACACACACCCCTTTGGGCTCCTCATTCTGTTTATTTCCAATAGCAGAAACATGAAGCAATGACAAGATGGCCAGAGTTTCACATCAGACTCAAACTCTAGTAGGAGCAGCTTCAAAAACAGATAGGCTGAGTTGTTCACCAGAAGATGTGGTATGTATGCTTATCTCCTTAAGGATCTGCTTTAAGGATTTCATATTTTGTATTTCTGAACATGCTCCATTAGAAATGTTGAAGGGAAAAAATGTTAATAACAGAAAACTCTGTCCCTTATTTCAGGGACCTTGAACAAGTTTCTTAGGTATTCTTTTCCCCATCTTATCAACAAAGAAAAACATAGCTACCTCATGGAATTGTGAAGGTTGATAAAATGTGAAATCTCCAAAAAGGTGGCACATACATAGTGAAGATTCAAGAAATGGCTGTTTCCCTCCACTTCCCCAGAATTCCCTTATGTGGCTTTAAATATGTCCAAAGAGCCTTTTGCAGAAACATGAATAGATTTTGTATGTTTAACCAAGTCATCATGTGCTTTCACTTTTCTTACAACTTGCATTTCAAAGACTCTTGGAAAAGCATAAACTCAATAAGGAGAATTCATGGCTTGATACCAGCTACCTTAGGGATTCTGGTGCTGTTGGAGAAGACATCCAGGCAACAGAATGAGCAGGTCCCACGCGTGGGCAGCTTTGTCATTCAGAGGAAAAAAACAAAGGAAGTCTTGAGAAATCTATCTTGGGCATATTGTCTTCATAGTGCCAACTTTTCTTGGATTCTTTCACCTCGATTATTAAAAGACTGTAGAAGAAATGAAAAATCGTATATGTCTTCCTTTCCAAACATATTTCAATGTCCCTGTCAATATTCACTTGGGATGCACCACTGATTGTGAGATCATCAAAGGACATTTCTTCTAGATTAATAGCCTAAATTAATTAATTAGCTTCATTCTCTCATTGCCTTCACCTCTCTGCCTCTTGTCTTCCCTTCCCCCCATTCCCAATTGCTTTTCCTTTGTGTCTTTTTTCCCTTCTGGAGGAATAATTTACCCATCCTTGAAGATTTGCCATTCCCCCAAGAATTTTGCATATATGAGCTGTGAGGTTCTATTAATTTACATTCCTATTTTGAAGTCATATTGTGAAACATACAGCTAGAAAAAATATTAACATGGGATTTTATAATTTTTTTTATTCTGGGAAAAAATACAAAAAAATTATGGGGATCATTTGAGATAAGAGTGAGAAACCCCACTGCACCCTGAATCAATTAGGCATATCACAATTTTTGTGAACAATCACATGAAGTCGGTCAAGGAATTGGCAATTGCATGTTTCAGAGAAGAATCCCCTCGTATTAAGATGGGAGGCAAATAGAATCAGTGACTCAATATTTATGACTTCTCCATGATCACTGTTTTGAGCTTTCTCCAAATCCAATCTTGCTACAGTAAGATAGAGACAAGAAAGAATTTACCAGCTGTACCCATCCATTAATTACGCAGACTATGGGACCCTCTGCAGTTCCAGAGGGACATTAGCTTTGTTTATGTTTCAAGTAAGCCCTCCTGTGTAGGTAAAGAATCCTCTTTGTTCTGGTCTAAGTTTTAATAAAAAGTAATGATATTCATTATGCAGTGTTAAAGTGGACAGCAAAATAATGAGGGTAGAGGGGTTATTTTTTTTTTTTTTTTTTTTTTTTGAGACGGAGTCTCGCTCTGTCGCCCAGGCTGGAGTGCAGTGGCGCGATCTCGGCTCACTGCAAGCTCCGCCTCCCGGGTTCACGCCATTCTCCTGCCTCAGCCTCCCGAGTAGCTGGGACTACAGGCGTCCGCCACCACGCCCGGCTAATTTTTTGTATTTTTAGTAGAGACGGGGTTTCACCGTGTTAGCCAGGATGGTCTCGATCTCCTGACCTCGTGATCCGCCCGCCTCGGCCTCCCAAAGTGCTGGGATTACAGGCGTGAGCCACCGCGCCCGGCCGAGGGGTTATTTAATAATTGGAAATAAAACATTTAGCTAGAAATCTTTCTTTCCTCCTTGTCTCCACTTCCTTCTCCATCAACTACTCATGTCTCCTTCTTCTCCTGATGGGGAGGCCGGCCACTGAGCGGAAGACAATTGCCATGAATACCCCTAATCATGGGGTTTGGCCAGTTAATCAGTATCTCTGCGGCTGCCCATTGTTTACAGAGGGAAGGGGCCCCAAGATTCTTGATCTCAAATACTGGAGGGCTGCAAGTCGGGGCCTTCAGCTCTCCAGCAAGCAGTTGCAGCCTCAATTTAATTAACTGCCTATCCTTGCCCTGGTGTGACTTGTATGGCCAGGAAGGTGTTTCCCAAGGAAATCAGAATGGGTGGGGGCAGAGCGGGAAAGAAGAAAAAAAAAAAGGTTCAGGAGGGCAATGAGGCGGGGGGTTAACAACGCTGCTTAAGATCAAGGGCTGGAGTGCTGAGATGCTGCCAGACTTGAAAACTTTAATTTACTGTCACTGTTAGCCCCCTTTGAGGTTTATGGTGGTATTTATACACACGGCATCAATCACATGAAACAAGGAGGGGATTTATAGTTTGTTTTAAAGACTGCAAATGCAATGTAATGCAAATAGCTTGCCTCATGGGCATTTACGTTTAATGGGAAAATTACAGATGCAAAAGATTGGTAGAACAAATTTTAAATTGACTTTATTACATCTAGTGCTTTTCAGAGAATACTATTAAAAAAATGAAAAAAAAAAAGATATGGTAATGGAGTTCTACACTGTAGCCTGATAACTTAAATTCCACTTAACTGACTCTCTTTCTTATTTCCTTTCTTTCTTCCTTTTTTTTTTTGGTTTGTTTTTTGCATCTTGTGTTATCTCTACAGTAAGTTAAGCTGAATGACAAATCCCCAGGATTGTAAACTGATTGATTAGAAATTTGATTTTTCTTTATTTCATTTTATAAGACTTTTTTAGACCCCGCCAAAGAACATTTCCTTATGATGTGTGTGTATCCATAGAATTACATCATGGTTGCATATGCAGTTTTAGCCTATGCTATAAAATGCCTACTTTTTTAAAAAGACGTTATTTTCTTAGAGCAGTTTTAGGTTCACAGCAAAATTGAAAGGAAGTTACAGAGATGTCCCATAGACCCCCTTGCCCCCACACATTTATAGCCCCACCAAAGGGGTACATTTGTTAACTGCCGATGAACCTATGTTGAGACATCATAATCACCCAAAGTCCCCAGTTTACATTAGAGTTCGCTATTGCTGTTGTACATTCTATGGGTTTTGACAAATGTATAATGACACATAGCCATCATTATAGTGTCATACAGAGTAGTTTCACTGCCTTAAAAATCCTCTGTGCTCCACGTATCCATCCCCCAAACCCTGACCCTCAACCCCTGGTAACCACTGATCTTTTTGCTGTCTCCATAGTTTTGTCATTTCCAGATGTCATATACGTGGAATCACAGAGTATGTAGCCTCTTCAGATTGGCTTCTTTCACTTAGTGATATGCATTTAAGTTTCCTCCATGGCTTCTCATGGCTTGATAGCACATTTCTTTTTAGTGTTGAATAATATTCCTTTATCAGGATGTACCACAGTTAGTTTATCCTACTGAATTCACCTACTGAAGGACTTCGGCATCCCGGTTGCTTCCAAGTTTTGACAATTATGAATAAAGCTGCTGTAGATATCTGTGTCTATATTTTTGTGGGGACAAGTGTTTTGCCATCATTTTCATAAATACCACGGAGCACAACTGCTGGATCATATGGTAAGAGTGTGTTTAGTTTTGAAGAAACTGCCAAACCGTCTTCCAGAATGGTTGTACCATTTTGTATTCTCACCAACGAAGAATGAGGGCTTCTGTTGCTCCACATCTTCACCAGCATTTGGTTTTATCCATGTTACAAATATGGGCCATGGTATAGTGGTAACTTGTTTTAATTAGCATTTCTCTAATATGTGATGGGGAGCACACGTTAATATGCTTACTTGCCACCTGTATATCTTCTTTGGTGCAATGTCTGTTAAGATCTTGGTCCCAATTTTTCCTCTTGGTTCTTTGTTTTTTTATTGTTGAGTTTTAAGAGTTCTATGTATAATTTTAAATGAGTCCTTTATCAGATGTGTCTTTTACAAATATTTTCTTTCATCCTGTGGCTTATCTTCTCGTTCCCTTGATATTGATATTGTCTACTTGATACTGGCTACTTTTTACATTAATATGTAAATGCCTTTAATCAAGGATTTAAAGTTTTGGGTTAGATAGGTCTCTTGTCCTCATTTCATATAATATGATTGAGTGTGTGTGGGTGTGTGTGTGTGAACGTTTTGGCAAAGATCTTTTCCTGAGCTGTGAACTCCAAAGGGTATCATGTGATAGTTGCTTAGTTGTTTTTTGCAGGAGATGAACTGGCGTTCTCAGCTTGTACTCTGGCCAATGCCTAGTGTCCCCTTCACAAAACTGACATTTAAACCTGCACAACCTGGTCAAAAGAAAAACAAGGGCTAAACAGGCAGGAGAGGAGAGTTTTGCTTGTATTGGAGGCTGCAGAAGCTTCATCTTCACATGCACAAAAGCACTGTCTTGGTTGGACACAGTGGCTCACATATGGAATCCCAGCACTCTGGGAGGCTGAGGCAGGAGGATTGCTTGAGCCCAGGAGTTTGAGATCAGTATGGGCAACATAGGGAGACCCTGTCTCTACAAAAAATTTAAAAATTATCTGGGTATTGAGGTTCATGCCTGCGGTCCCAGCTACTCAAGAGGCTGGGGTGGGAGGCTCACTTGGGCCTTGTAGGTTGTTTTTAGTGCTCACAGTGAGCCATAATCATGCCACTATTGCACTCCAGCCTGCACAACAGAGCAAGAATCTGTCTCCAAAAAAAAAAAAAAAAAAGCCACTGTCTTCTTATCAGTTTACAAAAAGCATTTCCATGATAAGCTGGTCAACACCAATTAGAAGCTATGTCCATACTGTTTTCTAAAAGAATTTTTGCTACAATTTTTATGCTGATTTGTTCTTTATTCTCTACGTCTTTCACAAAGTACTTGGGATGATTTAAAAAATGAATAGGATTGTAAATACAGAAATGCTGAGGTTAGATTATTTTTTATAACTTTATAATTTTTTTCCCATGCATACCTAACTTTTAAAATATATTCCTTTTATATGTATTCTAGTAGTCATATAAAAGTACTTCAGAAAAAATACTATAACTAGGCACAAATAACTTGAAGAATTTTCCTGTCTTTGTAAACTTTTTAAAAAATATTCTAAATAATGAGCAACTACAGTTAGAAAGAAATATTTTTTCCAGAATCTTATTGTTTTCTAATAGCGGCAACAAGATCCCTGTAAAGCCATGTTTATACTTGACCTCCAAATCTAACTGCAATATGACCAATATGTTAGGACCAGGTTGCATTGTGCATAACAGTAAAATTCCAAGTAACAGTGATGAAAATAAGAAATTAATTTCTCCCACTTCAAACAAATCAAGGGGCTCTGGTGACCCTCTTACAGAATGTTGGAAGAACTCACACTCTTTCTATCTTTTTGCTTTATTATAGTTGACTTTCATTCTAAAAGTCACCTCCTTGTCCAAAATGACCACCTCAATTTTCTCCATGATGTATTCATTTTAACTGGAAAGGTGGAGAATGGGAGAAGGAAGAGCACAATGCCCTCCAGTCTCTGCTGCAGAAATACTGGGGAGTTGCCTACATCACTTTTACTTACATCTCATTGGCCAGCAGTTTGCCACATGGCCACATGTAGCTTCATGGAAGGCTGGAAATGTACGCTTTTATTTTTCTCAGACAGCCTTAAGTCTGGCTAAAATTTAGAGGTCTTTTACTAAAGTAAAAAGTGAAGAACAAATTTCAAAGACAATCTAGCAGTACATACCAGAGTCCCCAAGATTATCTTTACCCATATTTGGAATTGATATTAATGCTTACACTCAAAAGAGTTGGACGATAATCTGTGTCAACCAGACACGACAACAAGAATGAACAATCTGGCTGTGTGATCCCTGGATCAACTATGTAGACTCCATTTCACTCATAAGACTGATACCATTAGCAATTAGACATTTACCATTAGCAATTTGCTGGGGTCTGATTTTCTTTTAACTCACAGATATAGGCATTGTTTCAATATTTGCATCATTAGCTATTCAGTAATTTATATCTGGGTGCAGTTGCTCAAATATTCAAAGCAATGCAAAACATGCATGCATTTTTCCTGATTCAGCAAATAATTGGGGGGAAGGGTACATATTCGGCTTGATTTATCAAAGTCAAAATTCTCTGAATAGCTTCCAGGTTTCTACTGCTTTATGCAGAGTCAACTAGAAGACTTTGGCATTTGCCAGACATCGGGCTGTATGTACTTGGTTTATTTAATCCTGGAGGTAGGTATTGGGAAGAAAATATCATTTTCCACCTCTGTATTAACAAATGAGACAGACTGAGGTTCTGAGTAGTTAAGGATATGCTAGTTCCTATCAAGACCAGTATCGTTAGATTGGAAGACCAGACAGAGAGCAAGCAGAGGATGCCTCGAAATGTGCATTTGAACAAATATCAAAGGAAAAAGTCATGAAATTTATATAAACAGCAACAGTGTAACTACCCTCAAATGATTAAACAGCCTCTAAAATGCAAAGGCAAGTGACCAATTAAGGCTTCAATCTTTGATCTGTGAATTCACTAGTAGCCTTAATTGTTAAATTAAAAGCTGAGAGACACAAATCTCTTCATTAAGTTGATCTCTCAATAGATACTAAATAGATCTATTAAAGATAAATTATGACAGAGTGAAATACCTCCCAACAGCAAGAGCTTCTTTTTTTTTTTCTGTGAAAATCTTTCTTTTATTACTGTCTCTTGCGGCAAAATAACATTTTATACAAATAAGTCACCTAGTTTACTCTGGACACAAAGACAGTAAAAACTGGAATGTGATTTTGGGGGAAGCGGGAAGGAGGAGGAAGGATAGATCAGATCACTGATGTTTCTTATATTCTGTAAAAAATAGATTTACAGGAAAAAAATAGACTTTCACAACTTCAATGACTTTACACGGTCCTTTGTAAAATGGGGTAAATCCACCTCCACCAAATCCTTCTTGAGGCTGAGATGTTCTATGACATGGAATATGAGTAAACAGGAGCTTTTTCATGACAAACAAAAAGGAGCGTGCTATTTACAGTGAAAGATGGGAATTTTCCTCTCCTTCAAATTTATTTTATTTATGAGGGGTCAGAATTTTACCCAGATGGAAACTGAGTCTTCTTTAATTTAGGGGAAAAGGCAGGGGAGCTATGGAAAAAAATACACGAAAATGTTTATAGTTTTGTAAAGTTTTTATAAAAGCCTAATACCCTGTGATATGGTTTGGCCATGTCACCACCCAAATTTCATCTTGAACTGTATCTCCCATAATTCCCATGTATTGCTGGGGGGACCTGGTGGGAGATAATTGAATCATGGGGGTGGTTTCCCCCATACTGCTCTCGTAGTAGTGAATAAGTCTCATCAGATCTGGTGGTTGTATAAGGCGGAACCCCCTTCACTTGGTTCTCATTTTCTCTCTTGTCTGCCGCCATGTTTAAGATGTGCCTTTCTCCTTCCGCCATGACTGTGAGGCCTCCCCAGCCATGTGGAACTGTGAGTCCATTAAACCTCTCTTTCTTTATAAATCACCCAGACTCGGGTATGTCTTTATCAGCAGTGTGAGAACAGACGAATATACCCTACAAATGCATTGATTGGGCCTCTCCCTGATCTTGGAAGGCGCCATGCAAGTGAGGGCCCTACTCCCTGGTGAATGTGCCTCTCATCCTGTATCCAGACAATGAGGCCAGGATCACGGCAGCATCTCCAGCACATTAGCACCCTCCCACCAGCACTTTGTTTTCTAGAGAAAACAAATTTATTTCCTAGAGTCAGGTGTTATTTTCTACAATTCAGGAGACACCCATCCATGTTAAACTTTTCAAGAGAATCAAGAACAAGGCAACTGTGGTGATGCTGAATTACTCTAAAGATTTCTGTAGTATTCTAAATTTCTCAATAAGCATGTACTATTTGTTCTAATTTAAAAATAGTTATAGAGAAGGTACTCATCATAACGAAAATGTTATGATGCATGATTTTAAACTAAATATCTTTCTAGTTGCCTCATCCTTCACCATTGTAAGTAGCCATGGGAGTAGCATGGCCTAATAAGATTTCCTTCTAGGATGGGTGCAGTGGCTCACACCTGTAATCCCAATGCTTTGTGAGGCCGAGGCGGGCGGATCACTTAAGGTCAGGAGTTTGAGACCAGCTTGGCCAACACGGTGAAACTCCATCTCTACTAAAAATACAAAAATTAGCTGGGCATGGTGGTGGGCACCTGTAGTCCCAGCTACTCAGGAGGCTGAGGCATGAAAACCACTCCAACCCGGGAGGCAGAGGTTGCAGTTAGCCGAGATCACGCCACTGCACTCCAGCCTGGGTGACAGAGCAAGACTTCATCAAAAAAAAAAAAAAAAAATTTCCTTCTAAAGCAGAAGCTCTCAAAAATGTGGGGTGATAGAGGGAGAGGCTTAATGTAATTGTTATCTACCTTTTTCTTTAATCTCCCTGCCCCTTGCTCGCATCAGAATCATCTAAACTTTCGGGAAACTTTCTTCATAAATGCCAAAGACCATTGCCCCAATACCATCATGATCTTTGGACAGAGGTGTTTAAAGTTAGGTCCCCAGAAAGTATAAGCATTTACTTAGTCAGTTGTTAGAAATGCAAGTTCTTGGGCTACTCTTACACCTACTGGGTCAGAAACTCTAGAAATAAAGACCAGCAAACTGCCTGAATCTGATACATGCTCAAGTTGCAGACCCTTTCCTAAGAGAAAATAAAGAGTGAAAGCAAGCAAGGAATATGTCTAGTGCACCCCTGCTATCCTGCAGTGTCTCTAGTCATGCATTGCCTTCTATAATTAACTTCTCCATAGAACAGTGCCTGTAATCCCAGCACTTTGGGAGGCCGGGGCAGGCAGATCACCTGAGGTCACACATTCAAGACCAGCCTGGCCAACATGGTGAAACCCCGTCTCTACTAAAAATACAAAAAATTAGCCAGCATGGTGGCAGGCACCTGTAATTCCAGCTACTTAAGAGGCTGAGGCAGGAGAATCGCTTGAACCCGGGAGGCAGAGGTTGCAGTGAGCCGAGATCACACCATTGCACTCCAGCCTGGGTGGCAAGAGCAAAACTCCATCTCAAAAAAAAAAAGACTAAAAGAGTCTTTTAATTCTGAAGCTTAAAGTAAAATAAGGGAATTACAAAGATATTTAGAAAAGATATGTGTATGTATGTTTATGTTTCCTTTGTGGGGTTTTTTTGGTTTTGTTGTGGGCACAAAGAGAAATGAAATTAATTCCCACATGCCAAAACTCACTGCAAGAGAGGCTTGGGAAAAATATAAAGGAAGTCATTGAGCTGATGGTAGAGGGTAGGTCGATGACTGTGGTACCCACCTGTTAGGATTTTAGGACCAGCAACATTTTAGAAGACGTGTCAGGGTATTTCTTTTTTTTTTCTTTCTTCTTCTTTTGCTAAGTAAGAACGTTACATTTTTTTTAAACCCGTCTAGTAGTATCATCATTTTTCTTTTTAAAAATATTTTAATACTAGTATTAAATAGCAATTATTGTAATTAATAGTAATTAATAGCAACTAAGGGTATACTTGCAGTAAAATAGAATAGTCCTTCCCAAGAAAACATTGTTGGCAGGCTTACACCAACACTTCCACTGCAAACTGTAAAACTTGAGGACCGTGCAGGTTTTTTGCTTTAAAATAAGCCTTTGATAATTACAAAGAATATGTCCCAAGACTTTCACAAATGTTTGCATTTGCTAGCATTTCTTGTTTGTTTAAGCATCATGACCCCGGCGGTCAAGGCAGCCCTGCCCTCCGAGAGCTTATAGTCCAATGGAAGAAAGAGACACACAACAGTTAAGCCAACACATAAGGATCTTCAGGTGGTGGTAAGCGTGTGAGGAGAAATAAAGCAGAGACAGGAAAAGAGAGTGTCACAGGCTGAACTGTGTTTGGTGTTTTTGTTTTTGTTTTCTTAGAAGCAGGGTCTCAGTCTGTCACCCAGGCTGGAGTACAGTGGCACAGTCAGAACTCACCACAGCCTCAACCTCCTGGGCTTACGTGATACTCCCACCTCAGCCTCTGCCACGTACAGGCTGAGTTGTGCACTCCTAAAATTCAAACATTGAAGTACTAGCTGCTCATAGCTCAGAATATAACTGTATATGAATACAATGTTTTGAAAAAAAAGTGATTAAGTTAAAATGCGTTCCTGAGAGCAGGCCCTGTCCAATACGACTGATGTCATTGCATGAAAAGGAGATTAGATCACAGACATCCACACAGAGGGAAGTCCGGGTGGAGACCTGGGGACAAAGGGCCAGGGAGAGTGACATCAGTGAAAACCAACCCTGCCAGTACCTTGATCTCGGACTCCTAGCCTTCAGAACTGTGAGAAGCGGAATTTCTGTTGTTTATGCCACCCCATCTGTGCTACTTTGTTATGGCAGCCCTAACAAACTAATACTGAGAGTCCAGGATTTCGGTGATCGCCTCTCAGGGTGACATTTGTGCAGATGCTGTGATGCAGTAGAGGATTGAGGCAGGCGTGGGTTTGGAGGTTGAGCAGGGCAGGCAGAAGGACCAGCATATGTTTCTTATGTACATGGCCTTTAACCACAGGCTAGCAACGTTTGCAATCAGTCGTACAATTGCATTACTCCTGGATGGGCATTTTTCACAAAGAAAGCAAGTTGAGAGGTAAAGACAACTCAACTACATAAACACCTTGTTCCCATACATATTCACGGTAGTACTGCAGGCAAGCATGTGCCTCAGTGCAAATTCCAATTGTTACCTGCTACCATCCTTCTGACCTGTTCAGAACTCATTGTAATCTTAAAAGTCACACCCGACTACACCATCTACTTTATATACTACACCAAGTAAAATGGGTACATTTCTAGTGATCTATTTTGTTTGTTTGCAAACATGCTATATTTATTTATTTAAACTTGTTAGACGAACACTATATGTAATTGCAAGTTATATCCAACTGTCAGCATATTTTTATTATTTTTTGTTTTACATATCCTTGCCTTAATAAAAACTGTGGTGTCTTACTGTTAGGCTAGTCATCTGATGCCAGTTAATTCTGGTTTCTTTTCATGGTTTTTAATTTATATTAATAACCATATCCTCTAGTAGTACTATGGGTATTTTAACAGACTGCTATTATGTGTTGTTCTTGCAATTTGGCATCAGAAGTTGTCAGTCTGCATTGCAGCACTATTTTGAAACTAATTCAAAGAGGCATTATTCCGCGCTTCTTCACCACAGGCTAAAGGCCTGCTCGCATCTGGGAACTGCCCAGTGAGAGCTGCAGGCCAAATCTGGCATGAATTTATCCAAAGACTAGGCTTACTGTTCACATTTCAACGCTGAATGGACTATTGAATTCCACTACCACCCCCAACCTCTTTCCTTCTTGAAGGTGGACTGTCTCCCATAAAGGAATTTGTAGATTTTTTTATTAACTTGTTAAAATCTTTGTAATGGATTGCAATTGGGCTTTTTCTTAGGCATACGAAGATAATAGCATTCAATAGGGATAAAGATGCAAGAGACTGGTACATGCGAAAAAGAAGGAAGAAAATAAACAATTTTCGTATGATTTATGAATGGTAGACTAGTTTTCAGACATAAATGTGATCTAGCTTATTCATCCACAAGTTGACCCAATTTTAAGCCTACTATGGAGTAGATCAGAATGCTTTTGACATGTCTTAAAGTAAGTCAGGCCTGTTTCTTTTGCAAAGTTTCTTTGGGACATTTCACCAACATAGACGTCTTTCCATCAACATGGCTATTGAAATTATAGTCATAATCAAGTATGTAGTATCTAAACGTTCCCTAATTTATTGCTACAGATGCATTCTGTCTTCTCTGGTTGGCAGGGAGATGTTAGAGGTCGGGGAAGTATGTATAGGCTCCTCTTATTTCATCAGGGCCTCTGAGAGGTTTCTGCTCAGTAGTAAGAGTGCAGCTAGGAATTGCTACTTAGTGAATTAATCATTTTCTTCCCTGACAGCTCTGCAAACATTCATCACTGTTGTTTGTTCATCTCAATTTCAAGTTCTACTACTATTATGTCTCATAAAGACTGGTGTATATACTTTTTGACAAATATTAAAACTTTGATGAAAGATTCTCTATAAGTCAGGTGTTTACAGCAATACTTTATTCTCCAAATACCTTTGGAAAGTGAGACAGTAGTAGCAGATGAGCTTCATAAGGACTGGAAAACACTCACTTTCAAATTCCAGCATATTCTGAGCATAGTGCCTACAAGATAGTAGGTGCTTTAAAAAATTTGCTGAATAAATGCATGTATACAGGATTTTTATGTGATTTTTATACTACAGTGACTGCAGCTATTTCTATCCTTAGGGAATAATTTCACATACTTCTTTCTAAAATCAATCTGGATATTTAAAGCAAAGTATTTCATTGATATCCGTTGGGCTAAAAGGGTGAACTCTACCTAAAGGCATATTAAGAAGGAGCCAGCAAAACAGAACATTGGCCAAACTGGTCTAGATGAGAAAAACAAAACAAAACGAAACAACTTTTGGGGTTAAAAGCAGCATAAGAAGGGCCAAGATGAGAAGGAGGCTTGAGAAGGTGGAGAGGTCAAGCAGCCTGGCTGTGGGGCGGGCACTTGTGGAAACACTGGTCACGACAGGGCAGGGCAGGGAGGTGGAAGGAAGCTTAGTTATGAATAAATCTAACAATTAAAATCTGTATTTGGGTGCAGAAGACATGAATTGAAGGTTTTATTCTGTTTTTATATGGCATGTTACATGAACAATTAATTTAAGCTTTTTTGAACTCAATTTTTTTTTTTTTTTGAGATGGAGTTTTGCTCTTGTTGCCCAGGCTGGACTGCGATGGCATGATCTCGGTTCACCGCAACCTCTGCCTCCCAGGTTCAAGCTATTCTCCTGCCTCAGCCTCCCAAGTAACTGAGAAGACAGGTGCTTGCCACCATGCCTGGCTAATTTTGTATTTTTAGTAGAGACAGGGTTTCTCCATGTTGGTCAGGCCAGTCTCGAACTCCCAACCTCAGGTGATCTGCCCACCTCAGGTGATCCTCCCAAAGTGCTGGGATTACAGGCCTGAGCCACTGTGCTTGGCCTTGAACTCAGTTTTTCTACAAATAACCTGTATAGGCTTGCTCTTGCTGTGTAACAAAACCCACCCCAGGACTTATTGGCTTGAAATAGTAACCATTTATTATTTCTCGTGGCTGTACATCAGCTAGGTGGTTCTTCCGGACACTTGGGAGTGATTAATTTACCCCAATCATTTACATTTTAATTTACTCCTAATCATTTAAATGATTAAAACTTAAATGATTAGTGGCAAATTAATCACTCCAAGACCTCAATAACACCTGTGCATTCCCAAAAGCTTGCTGTTCATGCTGTTTGTGAAAAAAGCAAAACAATTGGACAGGGACAGGAGACAGAATGGAAAACAACTAATCTCCTGGAAATTCACAGAAATCTTAAGAAGGGTTTATTTACGCAAATTTCATGCATAACATTAGGAAAGAAGGTTCAAGTCAGTTTTTGCTAAACTCTCAAACCAGAGGGGTTACCTCAGCTGATATTCAGGCTACAAAATGAATTAGTACATTATTTTATATTAACAGGTATATATCCCAAGTAATGAATATATTGTTAAAGTACAATTTTTCTGATTATAACAGTAAAGTTTAAAGTACAAAAATGTATACAATTAATATTAGCAAAACGGAAAAAGTGAAAATTACCTATAATTTCCTCACTCCCAAAAAGTTACCATTTGTAGTTTGTTATCTATGTTTTCAGGTTTTTCACCCCACTCCTTGAATCTCAGTCAGCTTTGTGAGTCACGAGATTCATATTGATAAATGACAAGGGTCAAGTTC
The DNA here is from genome assembly GCF_000001405.40 of Homo sapiens. Classification (NCBI taxonomy): domain Eukaryota; kingdom Metazoa; phylum Chordata; class Mammalia; order Primates; family Hominidae; genus Homo; species Homo sapiens. Next base: position 96,022,956 of record NC_000015.10, read on the forward strand.
CCAACCTAGTCCTCAAAAAGCATTGCACACTTCTACTCTTTCTCTTGAAACTTTTCTTTGTGAAATAAACAAGCTCAAGCCTTAGAGACCACATAAAAGATAAACCAGTTGTCCTAAACAACGCCATCCTAGACTAGCCAGCAGCTGGCCAACTCCCACACAGGTAAGGAGGCTAGCCAAAGTCAAAGAGCTGCCTCCCCAAACCACAAATGACTACAGACACATGAATGACCTGTCTTGTCCAGAGAAACCACCTAGCTGACCTACAGTCATGAGAAATAATAAATGGTTACTCTTTCAAGCCAATGAGTCTTGGGGTGGGTTTTGTTACACAGCAGTAGCTAACTTATACATGTTATCTGCAGAAAAATTGAATTCACAAAAGCTCAAATTACTTGCTCATGTAACATGCCATATAAAAACAGAATTAAAACTTCAATTCATGTCTCCTGTGTCCAAATAAAATGAACATTTTCCCCAATATGTGTATCTTTCTAAAGTAGTTTTTGTTGTTGTTGTTTTGAGACAGAGTCTCGCTTTGTCACCCAGGCTGGAGTGCAATGGCACGGTCTCAGCTCACTGCAACCTCTGCCTCCTGGGTTCAAGCGATTGTCCTGTCTCAGCTGCATGAGTAGCTGGGATTACAGGCGCCCACACCATGCCCAACTAATTTTTTGTATTTTTAGTAGAGATGAGGTTTCACTGTATTGCCCAGGCTGGTCTCAAACTCCTGAGCTCAGGCAATCCACCCGCCTCGGCCTCCCAAAGTGCAAGGATTACAGTTGTGAGCCACCATGCTTGGCCCTAAAATAGTTTTTATACATTCCTATTTTCTTAAACTTAAAATACTGTACTTAATTTACATTATACATTTTCTGATATCGTCAATATAGGATATGATTCTAAATATATATTAAATGTATAGATGGCTTCTCTCTTCCATTTTTATAGTTATTTTTTCTTTCTAGTAAGCTCAGATATTCCATTAGATTCTAGATGTTCTCTGAATAGTTTCATGTTAACTTGAGCTCAGAATTTATAAAATAATATTTATTACCTGCCTCTGCAAGTTAGATGTCTTTAAACAAACATCTATTAGGTTGGTGCAAAAGTAATTACAAACACACACACACACTACTGCTCCTTGGATTATGTATCTAGCTCAAGAATAGCCCCAATCCTATAGTCATGCATGATCAAAATTGTGAAACCATCATTAACTTATCCTTCTCCATCAGAAACCATCTGTTAATATAGCGAAGACGTCTTATAAGTGTCTCATGTGTTCTTTCTTTGCACTTCATGACCACAGCCGCACCTCTGACAGAAGTTTCTACCTGTATATTGATGCTTTCAAATTCCATCCATCATACTTCTAGTTGGAGAGGTTGGAAAACTAAAAGCTATAACCTCCAGACTCCTTTGCAATTCTGGATATGGATTAGTTCTGACTTTGAAGCATTTACGCAGGGTTTCGAAAGCGAGGAAGTCATTACACGCATTGGATCCCTGACTTCTTTTTTGGCTATTTCTATCTGCAAACAAGACTGTGGAAACTGAGCTTTGACAGCAGCAGCATTCTAGTGTCCATTCTCCACAGTTTCTGGAGCATCTAGAGGCGGCTGCACCTGCAACCATGGCCTCAGGAAGAGCAGCTTCCCTGCCAGCCCCACCCTTTTGGATCCTGGGAGCTTCCCTCGAAGGTCAGCCTACGTCCCACTCTTTTGGCTCTCCCAGTGCTTTTGCAAATGCCTAATTCTCTGTATTAAATCCCATTCTCCTTCAAATGCCTAGAGTTATTTCTAAAAATTTAAATAATATAATAAAAATTCATCCTGGAATATGGAACTTTCCCTACAAATGGAGAATATAGATTTTATTCAAGCATCCCTTCGTTATTTATGGTTGCATTTCTCAGAGTGCAGCTATATCAGGATTAACTGAGTACTAGGGAAAATGCATTTTCCCACCCCTATTGAATTATAATTTCCAGAGAGGAACTAAACATACGCATTTCAACACCTCAGGGATTCTCATGTACCCTAAAATATGAGAATCCCTGGTTTATAATAATTGTGCAAGTGTTAGACTTTTAAAAACTTAATAAATAGAAACTGTACATGTTACATTTTCTGACCCACACAATTAAGCTAGATATTATAACAAAGTATTACATCATAAGAAACCAGTAACTGAAAAATTTATGTATCCTACTCACTAAATTGTCTCAAAGAGGAAAGCAGAATAAAATAATGAGTTAATCAGAAAATAATATCTATTGGGTCATTACATAACACGAGGTAATGAATGCAGTCAAAGATGCTTTCAGAAGGAAATTTGTAGATGCAAACATTTATATTATTAAACAAGGAGGGAAAATGATGAAGTCAAATCAGAAGTTAGAAAAGGAATCATAAAATAAAGACCAAGGAAAGAGGGTGAAAAATAATCATAAAACTAAGGGAAGGTATCAATTAATTAAAGAAACAAAGTAGAATTGGAAAATAAATATAAGAACTGATTTATGAGGAAACTGTGGAGTCAATATAAAAGTTTTTACATAAAAATATAAAATAATATGTAAGAATTTTTTGATATTTTGAAAATATAAAAAGATTAGAGTTTTTCTGAGAATGTTTAAATCATCAAAATCATTTCAAAAACATATGTATGTATGCATGCATGTGAACAGACAAAAGATAAAGGCAGAAATAAAAATACAATGATTAAAGTCCAAGTAAGATGGCTAGATGATTTTATAAATGCATTTCTTTTTAATTTTTCCCATAATAAATAGGAAAGCATGAAAAAGACAGAAAGCTTCTCAATTTGTTGTTAAAGACAATAAATTCAATACCTTAAAATCTAAAAGAGATAACACTAAAAAGAGAAAATTCCAGTGCATCTCAATTGTTAATATTAATAAAAAGCATTATTACATAAAATCCAGTTAAATAAAGTACACCATAACATTGAAAAAATAATCAATAATGATTTAGATTATAAATATAAGGATGGTTTAATATGAAACAGTTTACTGATATTATTCTTTCATAACGCCAATTGGCTGAGGAAGAAAAATCAGGTGATTATTGAGATGGATTTTGAAACTTGCAAAATTCAATATAGTTTTTTATTAATGCAAGTTATTTTTACTATGTTTCAAATTTTCCTTCCATTTATTATTTGCTGTCAAATCACAGCAAAGCTCACATACATTAGTTTGAAGCATATACTTTAAGTTCAAATAACAGATTTGAATGTCTCATATCACTACTATTACTTTACATTATTTTAAAAGATTTCGGCAGTTCCACATTCTTTTAAAAGTAGGCAATAACATTATTTGAAGATAATATGAACAACTACCTAGCACCCCCAAAAAAATAAAATGAAGTATTCTTATACCTAACATGAGAGATGAGTCAACAAAATCAATATGGAAGGCATGACCATTGTTCACAAATATCCCATTCTCCTCTACTTCTTGGTGCATTGTTTCCTGTCTCTCTTAATGTTTGTCCTGGCCATGTGCCTAGTGCTGGTCATGAATTTGAGAAGTGACTCATATATGCTTTTAGGCCAAAGTGTTTTTGTTTGCTTGTTTGTTTGCGACAGAGTCTCGCTCTGTTGCCCAGGCAGGAGTTCAGTGGCGTGATCTTGGCTCGCTGCAACCTGCACCTCCCAGGTTCAAGCAATTCTCCTGCCTCAGCCTCCCAAGTAGCTGGGATTACAGGACAAACCACCAAGCCCAGCTAACTTTTGTAGTAGAGACAGAGTTTTTTAGTAGAGACAGGGTTTCACTATGTTGGCCACACTGTTCTCGAACTCCTGGCCTCAAGTGATCTGCCTCTCAAAGTGCTGAGATTACAGGTGTGAGCCAGTGCGCCCAGCCTGTTTTTAGGCCAAAGTATTTTACTTGCTAATGCTCAATTCTGCAATCTGCCTTCCCTGGCTAAGGCAACTGTGAAAACATTTGCTGATATAAAGGTAACCAAGGTAGATGCAACCTAGGTCACTGAGATAACACGTGGCGAGTAACTTCCCCAGAGTGTTGCCCAGACCTGCAGAAGGCTTTACGTGATGAAGAAACAGATGCTTATTATGTTAAACCACTATGATGTGGGGTTGTAACTGAAAAATAATCCATCCCAAATAATGCAACAAATATTAAAAAATGAATGACTTTTCAAATAATAGATAACACAGTGGAAAAAATCTCAGGTAGTTATAATAAATCTTAAATATTTAAGCATTAACAAAAATATTCACAACTACGTTAAAAACATAAAACTTCACTTAAAGCCTAAGTGCTTAATAAATGGAAAGTTATATGAATCAACAAGAAGGGATGATGATATCCTAAACCTGTCTAGCTTTTCACAAGTTCATTGATAAATTTAATCATTTCTAGTTAAATCTCCACAGTAATTTTTTTCTAAGCTTAACAAAATCATTATAGAACAATCTGAAGAAATAAAGAGTTAAAAACAACTGAGAAATTTTTGAAAATGATGATGATGACTCGTGCTATTAAATACTTGGAGAAAATTTTTGTCGTACATGTGTATGACAAAAAATTTGTATCCAAAATTTATGTTTAAAAAAAACTCTTATGATTCAATAATAAAAAGGCAACCCAGTTTAAAAGTGGATGAAAGATTTCAACAGATATTTCATAGAAGCATGTAAAATGATAGTCAATATTGGTAGTCATCCAGAAAATACAAATTAAAACCATAATGAGCTACCACTACTCACACACTAGAACAGTTAAAATTCTAAAACACTGACAACACGTGTTTGCAAGGATGTGGTACAAACAGAATTGGTATGTAAAATGATAAAAGCACTTGGAAAAGAGATGGCAATAACTTAGAAAGTTAAGCATATATTCTCCATATAACCCTCCAATTATAGCAATTCCAATCTCAGGTATTTACCCAAAAGAAATGAAAATATATATGCACAAAAAGACTTACACAGGAATGCTCATGGCAGTTCTAATGATGATAGCCAAAAATAACCCAAATGTCCATCAACAAGTGAATGGATAAACAGAATGTACTTCAACCATACAATGGAGCACTGCTCAGCAGCTAAAAGAGATAGACTACTGACAGATGCAAAAACATGGATGAATCTCAAGACTATTATGTGGAGTCAAGATACCAGACACAAAAGAACTTACAGCAAATTCCAGGAAGGTCCATAAAAGTATTGGAGAGGATTGAAATGTTAAGCATTTTGATCATTTACATTAATTACAATGCATCAAAACATACACTTAAAATGAATACATTTTATATGTAAATTATACCTATATAAAGTTGACTTTTCTAAAAATGAGACTACTAAGATGATCTTAGCTGTCTTGACATGCTATGATATATATTCAATAAATCCCTCTCCATTTTTAGAAGAAACGGACTTTCTTTTCTGGGCTTGGTGGTTCATGCCTGTAATCCCAGAACTTCAGGAGGCTGAGGCTGGTGAAGTGCTTGAGGCCAGGAGTCCAAGACCAGCCTGGGCAACATAGCAAGATGCAGTCTCTACAAAAAAAAAAAAAAAAAGAAAAATTAATTAGCCAGGCATAGTGGTGCATGCCTAATCTTCCAGCTGCTCAGGAGGCTGAGGTGGGAAGATCACTTGAGCCCATAAGTTCGAGGTTACAGTGAGCTATGATGACACCACTGCACTCCAGCCTGGGCAACAAGACCCTATCTCTTAAAACAAAACAAAACAAACAAAAACAAAAATAGAGTCTTGAGCCAAGTGAACAAATGTCCAATGGTGGAATTTGTGAGAATAGAAGAGCAGAAATGCTTTCTTTTCTGGGCAGCTAACATCCTACCAACAGGGGCGCACTCACTGGCCAATGCAAGGAGAGTCTAGCCACTGATCTTCCATTTATTCTGTGATACCTAATTAAGTTCAGCTTTCTACCTCTGAATTGAAGGGGCCAGCAAATCATTCTCACCTTGTAGCATTAGCAAAGAAAGACCTGCTTTCTGTGTCCAACTTAGCTGCTTTGAGATTGTTAAACTTTGAATTGAAATAAAAGTAAATGCACGTGACAGAGAAAGAAGAACTGGAATCAGATACTAAGGAAAGAAAGAAGGAAGATTGAGGAAAGGATCCAGGAAGGGAGGGAGTGAGGAAGCAAGGTAGGGAGGAGGGAGGGAGAGAAGAATAGAGGGAGGGAGGGAAGGAGAGAGGGAGGGAGGGGAAAGAAGGAAGGAAGAAGGAAGGAAGGAAGGGAGGGAGGCCTTTGACAAGTCAAAAAAGATAAGGCAGATCAACAGAAAGACCTTTTTCTAGAACAATTCTGTTTGATTAGCTTGAGGTTACAATTAGCCATAGTTGTTTATCTGGGAACTTTTATGAGGCATTAGCCAAAGGCCAATGAGAAGAACCAGTTCTTCTATGAGATGCAAAGTTGCCAACTTTTTTTCTTAAGTTTAATGTTTAAAAAGACAGCATCAGAGAGCAGGAAGCACAGACTCTATAAAGTCAGATGATTTTAAGGTTTTCTTAACCCTTTCCAACCTGCCTTTCTCTACCTTGTCAAAATTTGAGAGGATACCATTTATAGAAAAGTCTCTTTTAATAAAACAAAAATGGAATGACTTAAATGTTACTTATTAGCTATAGTCAAGGTACACGGTACCTACAAGTCACATATGTAGTCTGAGCTGACTATACGAGCAGGAATTGTTCTCCTAGACTGGGGGATATTTTCTACTAGAGCCACTAGAAAGTCCAAAGAGGCCATAAGGAACAAGTTAAAGGAGGGGGAGGGGGATTACAGGTGAATGCTCTTGATAGACAGGTCAGAATTAAGTTTCTTGTAATAGCCAAGTACCCATTTCTGACGGCAACACTGGATTCCGCTGCACATCAGACCAGGGCTCAGCTGGAGCCTGCAGCATCATAAAGCAAACCTGTGTATATGTCTTGAGGCAATTAGAAGATCAAACACGTGGGAGAGGTGAGGGGGCTCTGGCTGGGTCTGCAATTGAAACATAGGCCATAAAATTCTGGAAATGAAGGTTTCTCGGCTATCAAGCCAATGATTGCCACATGCCAGAACATAAACCAGATTGCATAATGAGTAGGTTTTTCATAATTTCCTCAAATTAGGTTTTTATTAATGCCTGTCAACAGCAAATGATAGGCATGTGTTGCATTAGCAGCTGCTATGGGTCATGCCAACTCTGATATCACAGCTAATCTAAAGCTTACAGTAAGCCACGGACCCATAGGCCCTATTCGAATGAAACCTCAAATCGTCTGTAATAAATAAGAAGTCGTCCATTTAGCGTTTCACCGTTAGTGGAAAATAATTGTTGAATGTGGTTTTAAATACATTAAAATTAATTTTCATCCAAAACCAAATGTCTTCACTTTTCTCCACGGTTTGCAGACAACTTGATTTAGTGCAGGGCCTCTGGTATCTTTCTGGGATATTTCAGGGGTTCTGGTCTATTTAAGTTCCACCCTCCTTTAGCTTCTCACACATAATCATGAAAGACTTGTTGCTTCCAAAGGGGGATACTGATGATGTGACTGATTTCAGAGACACAACCTCATGGTGGGCTTCTAGAGAGAAGAACTAGAATGTAATCATTGTTAAGCAAGGTAATAGTTGGACAATCAATACAGCTGAAGATTTTCATTTTAATGGAAAATACAGTAAAACGGAGACAAAGATACTATTTTACTAAAAACGAAAACATTTTTATTAATACCATAAATTTAAGGCCCATAACGATAGGGAACATTCTTATTGATGCAACTTAGTAAAACCTAGACATCTCTGGGGGTGACGGATGTGAGGAGGCCAGGCCTCCAGGCAAAGAAGAAGTCCAGTTTACACGAGTGGGATCAGAAAGCCAAGCAATGAAAGAAGAACTTGGAAGCCTGAGTAAGGAAAGGTGGATTTTATGGAACGGAACCCCAAGGTATATTCCTAAGTGTCCCATATCATGGAGGTAACAGAATTTTTGGCTGATCATTTGAAAGAATGGCTTACGTGAAGGAGAAGATGGAAACAGGACATGGTAGCTGGGAAGTAAATCCAGTAATGCAGATTAAAAAACAAACAAACAAACAAAAACCATGAGCTAGGGTAACATATGCAGATGGGAGAAAGTATAAATCGATGTGACATTTTAAAAGGATTATGGGATATAGTGATTAACTAAGAACAAGGAATTCTGAATTAAGATAGGTTACAATTAACTGAGATCTTGGACCTAAGAATGGAGGGAATTACGGTGTTGGCCCATTTTCTTTTTCTTTTTGTAGAAATGGGAAAGGGAGACAGGATTCTCTGCTTGAAGATAGGAGGATGGTGAATTCCACTCTTGGTGGATATAATATTGTAGACCTAGAGCATAGGAGGGAGGGATGCTTTGGGGATGGATGTTAAAGTCAGAAATTTCTTCTACCATAAGGAAGGCCTCCCTATCTGATGTGTCTATAATATAAATGATCCTGTTCCACTGGCCACAGTTCATTGAGTCATCTAAGGGTTTAGATTTGGGACTAGCAATTCAAGTTAATCTCTGTGGCTGGCTTCAACCGAGGACGGGTAAACTCAAAAGTTGTAAAAAACTCATAGAAACAGAGGAAGCTTGTTACTAGCAAGAAGAATACCCAGAGATGTGAAAATGAAATCGATCCTCAGAGAAGCAGTTTTCAGTTTGAGCAATTATGTGAGCCAATGAAAGAGAGAAAGAGGCTGCCTTGGCTCCTGCCCTCTTTCCTACTTTCTGCAACAGTCTCTCATCCCAAGTTCTATCATCTCTGTCTACATTTTTTCTCCTCCTTTTTCCTCCTTTTTGTAGAGTAAGCTTTTGTTTGTTTCCATTTCTAGTAAGAAGAGATTCTTGACTGAGCAAGGCTGTAGACTAGCCACGGTTTGGGACGTCACTAGCTGATGAATAGTGGGTAGGGAGGTTAATAATTCTAGAAAGATAATGGGAAGGCACACAGGAAGACAGATAAGTATTCAAGGTTAGCAAAGAACTGTAAAGAAAATGAGATAAACCAGGAAGCAAAGAGACCCAGCAGAAGTTGTGTTTTCAAAAGTCAAGAAACTGGTAACTCTAGCAAGAAAGAAAAGGAAGAGTCCAATGGAAAAGCTGATAACCATATAAACTTGAGCGTTTCTTTTTCTTTTTGGTGCTGATAGAACACATGTATAGGACCTGAAGAGAGGAGTTATTCCCCAAATAGTGCAGAATTCCAAATGTTGACAGACGCCCTCATTCTCCATCAAAGCAAAATCCTCAAAAGGCTCTATTGGCTTGCCAGCCAGATTCCGTCTCTTTCTCAGCCAGTGTCTACATGTCCCAGTATTATTCAGGAAATAGTTATCTAGTAGGTACTTATTTCTCTCTATCCCCTATTGCCTTCCACATTGCTGATCATGGCCACAACTTTATTAACAACCCTTCAGGCAGATCAAGGTAGAGACAGGAAATTGGTCAGACCCTTCAAAACTTAGCAGGGCAAGATGTTGAAATGATTGGCTAACAAAATTATTTATTCAGTCTTTCCTTATTTTCCAGTAATACAGAAAATAATGAGTTGGCTCTAATAGACTTGACAACATCATTCAAAATATATAGAAAACCATATTTGTATGCATTAAATAGCTTGGATTCAATGCCAAATTTAATTTTTCCACATTGAATGAAGCTGGCATATTTTCAACTGCCAATTATTCATATAAGCACATTCTTACTGCACTTTAAAGAAGAAAAAAATGCAAAACTCTCTGAAGGCAGGATTGGGTCATCTTAATAGATCCAAGATATTGATCATTTAAGTGCTCAACAAGCAGCTGCTAAATTGAAAGGCAAATACTAATGTTCTTCATTTCACCAAACTGCCACTACTTTATATCTTCCCAACATTTTTAAAGTATTTTTAAATGCTAACATTTCCAAAGGTGGATGCCTCAAAATTAGATTTCAAGCACTCTAAGCACATGTAGAAATGCATCATCCAAATTAATTCCTACCTATTTAAAAAAAAAAAAACTTTTTCTGGAAACCTTAGAATTTTTGCAATGTTAAGCAAGTATTTATAACAATGATTAGCTTTATGTTCATGACCACAGCTCTTTTAGCTGACGAAACTGATCCAATTTGCTAACAAGTAAGTAAACTTGGAGAGAGGGGAGGGAGATGATAGGTAATAAGTTTTTAAGTGCCTGGAAGAAAACAGAGACGCTTTTTAAATAGAGTTTCTTTTTAAATGAGCAAAACCTATATGGTATTTAGATGAAACAACAAATTAGGATTGAAATGCAGGTAGTTTGCAATGTTTGAGGGAATAAGTGAATTTACAAGGTACAAGACCTTTTTACATATTAGAAGCTGTTAACTTGAAAAGCCTTAAGAAACACTGAAATAATCATTCCATCTTCATGGAGAAATAAGGAAATAAGTTTCTCAGAATCCTCAATCCTTTCAAAATTCCCTTGCATTTTTCCAAAGGAAAGTTTAAAAGTGAGATCTTGACCTTAGCTTCACACTTCTATGATAGAACACCTCTCGCCCTCTTGTCTCCTGACAGTCATGGATGGCCATAAGAAGTTTAATTTGGTAACTAAATGGTGAATGTTGATCTGCTGTGAGGTAGACTGGGCAATATTTTAATAAAAGTAGTTAAATGCCAAGATTTTGAATGATCACACACACATACAAGAACTGAAAGAAGCCTCTTCCTATAGCACCATCAGTCTGTCTTGGTGGTATGAGGACATGTGTTCTTGTATGAGAGGGATGTATGTGTGTGGCACCACAGCCATCTTCCAGGAACTACCCTTCCTAAGCACCCATGGGAGAATATAACTTACTTATCCACTACTGCCAAAAAGAAACCTCATCAGAGAGACTCAAGAATTTTCTCTGGAGAATATTGTGTTGTAACTTGACTCCATTGAGCCCCACACATAGAACAGAAGACCCTTGAACAAACTGGTAGCCGGGTTGTTAAATAGTCACTGTTATCTGCGAACAATCACTTATTAAGTAGATTTTATTTTATATATTATTCCACCCCCATCGTCTGGAATAATATATTGTTTATTTTGACACAGGACAGTATGGATGAATATCTCATCACAACAAACTTTGGAACGAGTTCTTTAAAAAAAATTCTAACTCTTCCTTGTGTCTGGGGACATGCAGGAAATGTACACTTTATCTCTGATGCTCATGTTAACCATGAAAGGGAGGGGCATTGCCCTGATTCGTAATAGGAAATTGACATTGAGATAAATTAACTAGACCAACATCCCTCAGCCAGAAAACAGCCAAATTAGGTTAGGGCCCCATCTGTGATAAAAGCTGATATATTTCCACTACCTGATGCCACCTTCCAAATGTGACCAGGATACACTTCCCTACAACAAATTCATCTGAGCGAATCATAGAATTTTAAAGGTGTTGGAGAGTTTAGGGGTCATCTCATCATCCTCTCTGGTGAATCAAATTGTTCTCAAACTCGTGTCCTGAACCAAATTTGTGAGCATGACAAATCTGGTCCCAGTCCAGTGTCCCCAGTCTGTGAGTGACTTCACCGTCCACTGGGTAATTCCAGCCAGAAACTGGGGGACATGTTCTAGAATCTTAAACCTGACTCATCACCATATGCTGTCAAGAGTGTCTCCTGAGCATCTCTTCATTCTGCTCATCCTCCCCACCAGGCTCTCAGGCAGGTAATGCCCATCCTCTCTTGACTGGTTTACTATCATAGCTGCCCCCTGCTTGACCCATTTCCACTCTTGGTCTCTTCCACCAAGTTCTTGACAAATCTTTTGCCAACCCAAATCTGATCACGCCCCATCCCCTTACCATATGCCTCCCTCTGCAGCCTTCTCTCACTGCAAGCTGCCCTTGCTCCTCCCTTGTACGTCCTCCAGTCCTGTGCACTTCCCCACCTGCCTCCCTTGCACGTTCCCTTTGCTCTGCCTGGACATTAAATTATCACGTCTCAGCTCAAGACATAGCTCTCCCTCTTTTTTGCTCACTTTTGAATCCTCAAAACCTATCACAGTTCATGCTGTATGGTGGCTAGGTTCCATGAATATTTATTGAATAAATCCTCCTCCATTTTATAGATTTAAAAAATTGGGTCCTTTGAGGATAAGTAAATGTCTCAAGACGTCAGCTGGTTAGGAACAGAATCGGCACAGAAACCCACACCTCCTCACTCCAAGTTAAGTGCCCCTTCCCCTTGGTTCCCCTTCCACTCTTGCCAACAGACACACGTCTGCCCTGCTCCTGTTTCCCAGGTGCCTCATGGCCCACTGAAGCATGCATATTCACAAACTATATTTAGAAGGCACAGCACAGCCAATTCTTCACAGAGCAAAGATGCCACAGACTGGAAGACTCCATCCTCAAAGTCACAAGTACAATCAACAACTCCGACTTCAAAAAATGAATCCTCAATAACCCCCTGATCCAGACTTTCCTTCATCTTGGCAGGAGGAGGATCTTACCAATCTGCCACCATCCAATCAATTATTGGGTTCAGCAGGGAGGGAGATGATAAGTGTGTCCTTCTCACACACAATAGAAATTGAAATTAATCTAATTAGTTTGAAGGAGCACTTCAATGCCACAGTGATCAGTACTAGATGTAGAGATGAAAGATGGAAATACAGATGAAAATTGATGGTTATTTTCTGTGTAGTTTCAGGTTGGAGGTAATTTTCGAAGATTTGTTTTGTCGTTAAGATTCCTTACACTGATGAGACCCAACTGCTTAACTCTTTAAGCACTTCCAGAGAAACTCGGGAATGCACACACCCGCCCACACACACACACACACACACACACACACACAGGCACACACATGACTACATAACAGGTAGATAAAGCTTATGCAAGTTGCAAATATAGCAGTTTTAGCTTCTATATCTCTTCTTTAGCATTGTGACTGTAAAAGAAGTGATTTTTTTTCCGTGTAAAATATTTAACCAGGATGACCAAGATCAAGTTGTTTGGTGGCTTGTGATGAATACTTGGGGTTACACAAATACTGTTTCTGTGAGAAGACTACCCCTCTCAATGAATTTCCAGTACCTAGGTGTGGTTTATGGATCTCCCATCAATGTATTAAAAATGGGATGTGCATTTGGCTTCTGTTTCCAATTAATGTGGCACTTTCAAATATTTCAGAAGGAAGCTATCGAGACATTATTAAGAAATGGTGACGGCGTTTCAGACAACTAAAGTCAAACTCAGGAGAGAAAATGCCAGCCACTGTTTAATAATAGTTTGTCTAATAAGATATTCATATTATCATATATGTCCCATCATAGAGGATAGATCTTAATGTCATTTTAATATTTTTCCTACTAAAATAAAATTTTAATTAAGGCTAAAGATATATTGCCTAAGGTAAGCTAAACTGTTTAAAATTATTAACTGCTTGAATACTTGTTGCTATACTACAAGCTTCCATAAAAGAAAAGAAATTAAGTACTCGAGGGATTAATGCAATTTTGAAAGCTGCACCCCCTCCTCCCTTCTTCTTTTAGATACGCCTAACTGAACCATAACTGTTTTTCTCCACTCAGCCAGACTCCAGCTTTGTGGCTTTTTTAATAACCTGGCTTTTCAAGGCCCTGCTCCGGAGAGCTTTTTCATTTCTGCCGCACTACCTACAAGCAAATTTCTTCCAGTTGCTCAACAGTCGAATGCCTCCCTTTCTTCGTTGCTGAAGCATTTCATTGCAGTTTCATTGACAGGGTGGTGTTCTGTTACAGTGGAATCAATAGCTCAGCGCTTCCCAGCACACCGATTAGCTTGTCAGTCAGGGCCTGGGGGAGGTAGTGTAAATCCCAGAATACCAGGGGCCAGGGGTTTGCAAACGGAGGAATGCACACAGGCCCCGTGGTTGTCTACCACCTGTTGCTGTGCAACATGTGCAGAGTGAATTAACTTTGTTGCTGCAACATGCCTTAAAGGTCAACTGCAATGGAAGCCTTAAGCTTTTGGAATATTTTAACTCATTACAAAAAATCCACCCCTCCTGATTTGTTACTGGTTCTGCGACAAAAAAGGGAATTTATTCTTTGAGAGGCTAAGTTTGACAAACAGGTTGTCGAATGTGGGGGCTTAGTCTAATCTGGAAGGGCATGGAGGGGAGGGCAACTGGTTTCTTATTTTATTTTTCAAAGTAAATGGCCTGCCTGCTTCTTGATTACACATTAATGGAAAACAGTTTCCACAGTTAATGTGAGCATGCTGTGGCTTTCCGTGTGGGGCGTGTGTGTGTGTGTGTGTGTGTGTGTGTGTGTGTGAGTGTTTCTTTCTCAAACTTCTAACAAGACTTTTTTTGATAACTGGGGAGTCATCGGTTTGTTTTGTTTTTGTTTTTTCTTCTCCAAATGTTGGACAAACACGATAATAAAAGAGTAAACAAAGAAATGCAAGATTCATGCAGAAGTTATTATGCATAACTTCTTGGACCACACAACAAAAAGAGGTGTGAGTATTCGAGTTAATAGGGGATTAAATGATTATTGTCTATTAGGAGATAATTACAAAGAGACGTGACTTCAATATACTAAAAAGAAAAGTTTTCCGGTTTCACCGTATAATGCTGTGAAAGCAACAACTTCAAGTGTCAATGATGCTTCCAGTCAACCTCAGGAAATCTTTTGACAGATATTTATTATCCAATGCCAGGTCACCCTAGACCACAAAAGGAAATTCTGTGCTTAGTACATCAAGACACTATGGGCTGAGAAAGGTTTGCTTTCAGCACTTGGAGTTTTCTCACGAAACCGCCTTTAAACTCACCACAAACCACAATGTAAACCAGTGCGCTTCAGATATGACTTGTTAACCTAATTCCACCAAATTAATTCACCCATTTTTAAAAGGATTTCTAATGATGCAAACAAAAGCTCCAAAGCCATGAGAACACCCATTTGAATTCAAAGGTTGGCAGAGAAAATATTAATGTTTTGAAAAAAAATACGCAGAAGGAAAGCATTGAATTCTACAGTGGCCAATGTAATTTTACCCCCAAAAAAGTTATTTACTGAGAAATAAATGTGTCCATTTCAGAACAGAGAAGGTATGTAGCACCCCCTGACTTCATTTCCCTGCGGGGGAAAACAAACGTGTATTCTAATTTAAAGTGGTTGCTTGTCTTTCTAATTCTAATGTGCAGTTGCTAGAAAAATATTATAGAGAAGTTTAATTCTTATACACTTTTAAAGATGTGAATATGTCTTTCTGTTCTTTCCATCCTTAGTTTTGTCAGTATGTTTAATGCCATGGGTATTTATTGCCCAGCAACAGCACACACGCCCCTGTAGCTAGCAATAGAGGGTGTAGTGATATAATGCAAAGAAAATCAAGTCCATGGTCCCTGGACTCCAGTCCTCTAATTCAGCAACACATCAAGTCATGTATAGCTTAGGAAGAGAAATTCATTCCCAGTAGTTAGTAAACATGACCACTCCAATACCATAACTTGGTACTGCATTGCCCAAAAATATACAAAAATATGCCTTCTTCTCTACAAGCTTACTTTCTAGCTTTGCACACACTTCCAGAAAAAGATTTGGTTATTTTAAATCAAACACAGCTCCACACTTTTGCAGAACCACAACCACTGGAGACCTGAGTGATGTTTCTCCTGGTAATGTCCAACTATTTTTAATAACTGCTTTTTCTGAAATCCCGCAGCTACCTTTAGCAAATGAATTCAGGACCTGATACCAGTAACCCCTTAAAACTCTGCCACGAGAAAAAGAAATTGAAGACAGATACACATAAAGAAAAATGAGTCATCATGCCATTGTGATTCCATCTCAGAATTTTCTCTAGCAGTTCTCAGATCCACCCACAATACCCTGTGGATTTCAAGGTGGACATGTGACAGGCATTATGTAGACAGATACAGGATAGGATAGATGTGAGAGCTGAAACCACGTTTACAAGAAATGGGGAAACTACATTTTCCATGTCTTTACCAACATTCTGTTAAAATTTGTGTTTTCAGTTAAAAGCGTCTAGCTGTGTACACTGCCTTTATAGTCACTACGGCTCTGTGTGAGTGTAACTTAGTTTTATTTCACAAGTATGTGTGAATAGCTGCTCCTGCCATCTCCTAACAGGGGACTAGAGTCAGCTCCCACAGAGTAAGAATCCTCTGCTGTCATGGCGTCTTATTAAGCCCATACATGATGATACCTCGCCGGAACATTCCAAGCGATGTTTTAACTCCTCCCTACTGCCCAGCACCTGCTTCACATGCACCCGAGCCAAAGGTTGCTGCAGTCCCCATGCTCGTGGTAGCCCACGCTGTACCAGCCCACACACAAAATTATGTTCATTTGCAGACAGGCAGACTTCTCTGGTGAATATCCAGATGGGCCCCTCAAGATCAAATAAACTCACACTAAGCTATGAAAGAAAGGTTCTACTGATGCTGCTATCACCTCAACTTCCGACATTGTTTGAAAGAAGCAAAACAAGATGGTTGTACAGGGCACTTTCTTCCCCAGAACCTGACAGGCACGGTCAAGTTGTCTATTTTGCTTACTTCAAAGAATATTACATTTGAAATCTGTATTATTATTAGTACTTATTGTTCAAAGTATATTGGCATTGCATACATTTTGTAGATAATGATAATTGTTTCTCTGATCTGGGACCCAACCGGACATTTTAAATAGGAGTGGCTACAAATAGATACATCTGGAACATATAAACATTCACCAATACTTGCTTGGTTACATGACTTATACCATTGCATAAAATGTTACAGAACTGAGGTGATTAGAATCAATCACCCCTGTTGGATGGGATTAAAATCTTATCTAGCTCTTTACCACTGGAAACCTTGCCATACCAGGGACACTCCAGGCTCAAGTAATCTGCAGAAAACCTATTACAGTGTCTATTACATTATATTTTTATTTCACTCTATTATATTCTCAAAAAGAGTTAACATGAGTTATAGCTCTAATACACCAAGATAACATGAAAATTAGAATAAATAGGCAAGGAGAACAAGTGAGAAAGTCAAGAGGGAAGTCGAATGTGTCTGGGCATCATGTAGACGGTACAGCTTGGAAGTAGGTCAGGTGACTATGAAGTTCTCTCAACTGCCACCTGCAAAGGTCTGAGGGTGACCTTGTCAGCAAATTCAGACAAGGAATAAATAACTAATCATTTGGGAGACTGTAGCAGACACACGAGATGAAAATTTATTTTGCCACCCCAGATCCATAGGAAAATAAAGTGGGCGGTACTTTTCTTTCTTCTGTTGAAATTGATATATAAAAACATGCTAATTACATCAGATTAAATATAAATTTTATTTATTCAATTATCTGAATGACTTAAGACTGAATTAATTTTGACTTCAATATTATAATCAGCTTTACATTAAGCATTGCGAAAGTGAATTTCTCATCCTGTGTAACTTTCTTCTTTTCATTAACATATTTTCAGAACACTTGCTTTATATTATAGTTTGTCAGGAACAAGATACACATCTGCATAATAATCATAATTCTACATGCTTTATTCAGTCAGGTAACGATTTCCTAATTCTTAGAGAATCTTCTCCAAATTCTTCCAACGGATCATACACACTCACTTTCCACCTCCATGGGCAAAACAGAACTTGCTTCACATTTTATTATTTTGTTTAGTCATCTGTCATCTGGTAGAAAAAGAGAGAGCACGAGCAGCAGGGAAGAGGAATGGAAAGGATGGGAAGAGGAATGAAATTTTGGGGGAGTGACAAACTTCACATGGATATTCACAATATTTATTGGTCCATGCACCTTCAGAATTTTTTCATTGAATATCAAACATTCTAGTAAATGCCTAAAGCTACTCACTCTAATATCAGTTGTATGGTGATTAAGAAGGAGCAAAAAACTGGGGGATCATGGGGACCGAGTGTTAAATTTTAACCTTGCTACTTAGTGAATCTGCCTTAAGACCTGCGGTCTGTTACTTACTCCCATTTGACTTCAATTATGCCTCAACTATTGAACAGAGACAATAGTATCAACTTTCAGCGTTATTACTAGAATTAGAAATAATATAATAAGCACCTATAGTAAGTGGCTGGAACATGTTAGGCACTCAATAAAAAGTAGATGATATTAAATTTCCTGTTCAGAAATAAACGGTATTACATTCCCAGAATTAAACTGCTGTATAAAAACTTATAAATTAATTTGCTAATTCCCATGATATTTAGAAATTGTGTATTGAGTCCCAATGCCTTTAAAGATGGTCCTGTACAAACAGGGGAACAACAGACACTGGGCCTCTCAGAGAGTGGAGGGTGGAAGGAGAAAGAGAATCAGGAAAAATAACTAATGAGTACTACACTTAATGCCGGGGTGACAAAATAACCTGTATGACAAACCCCCATGACACAAATTCACCTATATAACAAACCTGCACATGTGCCCCTGAACTTAAAATAAAAGTTGAAATAAATAAATAAAGATGGTTTTAGTAACAGTATCTTAAGAACACTAGAGAGTCATATTATCCAGGTCTTATCAGGGGACCCAGATGGGATCACCAGGTTGTCAGTACAAGGAGACTAGCATGCAAAGGGAGAGGCAAGATGTTTATAAAGTACCTCTTATTGAGTGTACACCTCAAAAACACCAGGCCAAATGATGTATATGCATTACCTAATTTAATACAACACATCTACAAGGCAAGTACTATGGAGATAGCCACTTTAGAGCTGAGAAAACTGAGATACTGGGTTCTCCAAGGTCTTCATCACAGTCCAACTCTGGAGCACATGCTGCTAGCTCCTGTGACAGGATAAATATAAGGAGCAGAACTACAAATCAAGCCTGTGATATAATAGGTATAATGTCGATTGGGCAGATGGAAGAAGAGATAATGCAGAAATTTCAGCTACATAAGTCAAGAGACAGCCAGGCACTAGCAGGTAGAACCAGGCAGCTCAGGAGCTCACTGCATGGACACTGGCACCTGGCAGGATTGTGCTGTTGGTTTCAGGACCAAGGGCAACTTCTCAAAGGGACCAAGCTGGGCTAGAAAAATGGGCACATTCTAAATGTAATTTACAATCTATGTTTTTGAAACTGAAAAACACTTTCTCAAAAAGAAAACTTTAACACAGATCGTACAAATGACCAATGAGCACATAAAGAGATGCTTAATACCATTAACCATTAGGGAAATGCAAATCAAAACCACAGTGAGATACTTCACACACACTTAGATAACTACCAAAATAATGGACAATAGCAAGTGTTGGAAGGGATGTGGAGAAATTGGAACCCTAGGAAACTGCTAGCAGGAACGTGAAATGGTCCAGCCACCATGGAAAGCAATTTGATGGCTCCTCAATGAGCCCAGTAGAGAATTTCCATATGACCTAGGAACTCCACTCCTGGGTATATTCCCCAAGGAACTGGAAACTGGTGTTCAAATAAAAACATTCACAAAAATGCTCATGTTAGCACTATTCACAGTAGCAAAATAATGAAAACAACTCAGATGTTCATCAACTCATGAAGGAATTTTTTAACATGTGACATATTCATGGAATGGAATACTATTCAACCATAAAAAGGAATGAAATTTTGATACATGCTACAAGGTGAATGAACTTCGATTGAAAACATTTATTGTAAGTAGAAGCAGTGAGACATAGAAGGTTATGTATATGGCATAATTCCATTTATATGAAACATAAAAAGTAGAGTTGGCAAATCCACACAGACAGAAAGCAGATTAGTGGTTGCCACGGGCTGGTGGAAGAGGGAAAATGAAGAGTAACTGCTTAATGGGTTTGGGGTTTCCTTTTGGGGTGGTGAAAATGTTCTCGTGGTGATGGTTGCATCACAACATGGTAAATGCAGTTAGTGTCACGGATGGTAAATTTTATGTTATATGTATTTTACCACAATTTAAAAAACAGAAAAAGAAAACCTTTATGAAAGCTCTATATGGAAAACTGATAAAAGCAGGGTAGCGCTGGTGAAATCTGGCATCGACAGGAACCCTGGAGCCATTCTTCTTCCAGCTTCCCTGGACACACTGTCGTTAGAACAGAGAAAGCCAAGTTTACTTATCTAACCCATAACACGCAGCTCTGAAGAAAAGCAGAACTGAAATTTCTCTGTTGTCACACGGAAGTGCCAGCTACACTTTGAGCCAAATGCTAAGGGAAAGTTTTCAAAAGTTCAAATTTATAGAAGCCACACTAGGAATTTTAATTTGCATGGAAAAACGAGAAACAAGCCTCTTAAAAACAAACAAACAAAGCCTATGGGAATGTTTCCAGTTATTTTTTAAGTCTTTAGTGATAGAAAACATTAGCCAAACTTTCCCCTGTTGACTCTCATGGAAAAAAAAAAATGTCAAAAAAAGGGTCTTACTTTGTAGCATACATGGCCATTTTTCATCAGTTTTGCAAAGCCAGGTTCTACCTTTTCATTTAACTTTGGGGATGTGTCTCTTAACCAAAATCTAACTTTTCAAGGTGCTTCATTCATTGCTTTAAAAGTTCCTTCAGGTGGTGGTGTCATCTTTTTGTCCACTTATTTGTTGGGAAGTCATCTACTGGTGTCCTAAGCCAGGATTCAGCATTACTCTCAGCCTTGCAAATGAATTAACGGGTGACCATCTCGCTATCTCTACACTAGAAACAGACTTGAACATACTCACCTCTTTCAGTCCTAATCTCTTCTTTCCTTCCTCCCAATTCACAGTTGCCTGCAACTGGTTCCGAGTGCCCATGTGTGGGCATCTCCACCGAGGGAGGGAGGCATGGGGTGAGGTCCTTTCTTCCTCTTTAAGGAGTGGATTTTCTCAAGAGCAACGTGGGAAGTTCTACATTAATGTTGAAGCTGAGCTTTCTTGCCACTGTGTGTGTGGCACAGGAAACAGGCTCTCCACATGATGGTAAGAAGCCTTAAACCCAGATTACGGCACCTTTCTCTCTGGAGTGCTCTTTTTGGGTAGAGGGTAAAAGGTCATCCTCTCAGACTGGATAGTTGTTCTCAGCCAATTACATGATCTCCGTGCTTCTACAAAAGGGATCTTTGAAACTGCATCAAAAGATTTTATGCAACTGATTTACAAAAAGCACAATTAAGTAGATGGAAGCATTATTCAAGACCATCTGGTGGAAGAGGTAGCATATTTAAAATTCTAGTATAATTATTAGCGGCAAAAAAGATTGTTTTAAATGACGAGCTATCCATTATCTGTCATACTCTGGTAGACTACATAGCTCCATTTATTCCATCAAGGTCCCAAAATAAAAAGATGTAAACATGGTACCATTGGAATGCTAGAACTCAAGAAATCTACATGTAGAGACGAAGCTCAGGAGAGAAGCTATGGATGGCCTTGAACTCCCAATTACAAATCTTTATTTTCTGTGTTTCACTGGAAGCATTAAAACTGCTTCAATGGAAAAGAAATCAGATTTATATTCTTTTTTCTTTTTCTTTTCTCTGGGCATCATTGAAACCAAGGACGGTGCCTTGCTGGGATTTTTCTTATCCTTGAAGGGCAATTGTCAAGCATAAGTCTCCAGCGTCAGAAGGTGTTGAGTCAGTGTGTTTCTGTGTCAAGGACTGCAGACCCAGTTGCACTTCCAAAATGCCCTCCTTCAGCTTTAACATAGTCAGAGGTGATTTAGGTCAACACTTGTGCCATGATCAGTAAGTTTATCCGCAACTAATACTTGGTTACCCCGAGGTTGTTTAGAGTATTACATACAGTTTTTAACAAATCCCTGCTCTTTTTTCTACATGGAAATAATAATCTTGTTGAGAGAGAAACCTTTTTGACAAACAGAATTGGAAAATTGGAAATAAACGTTCATTTTTGGAAATATATTCACTCTATCACCTTTGTTATCTCATCACATATGAAAACAATCACTTTCTTCTAAAACATGCCCTAGCAACTTTTAAGAAATTCTGAATAATATTAAAGCAATGCATTCCTGTTCTCTAGATTTAGGTCTGGAAGTTAGCAAGTTTATTTTATTTTATTTTAGACGAAGGCTTGCTCTGTCGCCCAGGCTGGAGTGCAATGGCACAATCTCTGCTCACTGCAACCTCCGCCTCCCAGGTTCAGGCAATTCTCCTGTCTCAACCTCCCGAGTAGCTGGGATTAGAGGCATGCGCCACCACGCCCAGCTAATTATTATTATTATTGTATTTTTAGTAGAGGCAGTTTTCACCATGTCTCCAATGGCCAGGCTGGTCTTGAACTCCTTACCTCAAGTGATCTGCCCACCTTGGCCTCCCAAGTTAGCAAGTTTAGACTATTATGCTATAGAATTGGGGTCCAAATAATCATTCATTTGGTTTACACATGTTGATTGAGAATTTATTTTAAGGTCTCGGTCACCCCAGTGAAGCAGAGCAATGGGGAACTGGCCTAGAAGAAGCCATGAAGTAGAATCATAAAGTACAAACAGCAGAAGACTCCAATAACAGAAGAGGGTAAAAATAAAGGGACTTAAGTTCTTCACATATTTTCAATTTAAACATCCAAAAGAGGTCAAATTATACCTATGGGTTTGAAAAACAATATTTTAATGGGAAATTTCCAGGGTAGAGTCCTATGCATCTAATGTCACCCCAAACACAGAAAGGCAGATAATTGGAGCTGGGAGGGTAGGAACAGAAATGGTCTCATACTTCCTTGTAAGCTCAGCTCTTAAACAAATTAAAGTACACTAAAGTATCACTTCAGAAAACAGAGATGTAGTATGTCTATTAATCATTTTTTTAATGAAGTGGCCTGAGGACCTACACTTATTCCTTCCAAAGAAGCCACAAAAAGGCAAAATCCTTGATCCTGTTTTGATCATGGAATGTTTGCTCTGAAAACTTTTACAAATAGCTTGCTCACTTTACTCCTCACCTAAATCTTCGAGAAAACAGATATTTGAGAAAAAAAAAATCTCAGTGATTTTCATATAGTATGAGCCAATCTTTCACCACATGCAAACACAAAGAACAACAATAACTGTGTTCACGCGTTCCAAGTCTTTGCTGATTCAGTGCCCAGCTCGTGCTAGGTGTGGGTCTGGGCTCAAGAGTTAAGCCTTGGTGGCTGGGCGCAGTGGCTCACACCTGTAATCCCAGCACTTTGGGAGGCCGAGGCGAGTGGATCACGAGGTCAGGAGATCAAGACCATCCTGGCTAACATGGTGAAACCCCGTCTTTACTAAAAAAAAATACAAAAAATTAGCTGGGTGTGGTGGTGGGCGCCTGTAGTCCCAGCTACTCGGGAGGCCGAGGCAGGAGAATGGCGTGAACCCGGGAGGCGGAGCTTGCAGTGAGCCGAGATTGCGCCACTGCACTCTGGCCTGGGCAACAGAGCAAGACTCCATCTCAAAAACAAACAAACAAACAAACAAACAAAAAACAGTTAAGCCCTGGACAGAAACCTGCGTGGAATGTGGCAGGCCCAGGGAATATCCAGGGAAGAACATTTTGGACAAAGGGGACACTACAAGCAATGACTCTGCTCATTCATCCAAGCAGGAGGGTGAAAAGCGAGTTTGAGTAACAGAAAGGTGGTAGGGCCACAGCAGAGTGAGCGAGGTAGGAGGGTGAGGAAAGGCTCCCAGAAAGTGAAAGGAAACTGAGTCAGAGCCAAACATGAAAAACATTATGATGCTAATGGAAAGATTTGTTTGTAAAAATTCCTTTTTCTAAGTGAGATGAGAAGCTTGAGCAAGGTGAGAAATAGGAGTGGTTTTAGTAACAGAGTAACAGGATTCCAGAACAAATACTTACGAAGGATTGCAGGGTTCTAAGCGTGAGACGGTGGTGGTGGATTGGACCAGAATCACAAGGAAATACCTCCAAAAGGCCTGCAGTTTCTTCCTGCTCCACTAAATGGTCTTGAAGTGAATAAAAAGAATTGCATAGGGCTAATGAGAAAACGTGGTAAGTATTTTGGAATTCAGTGCCATCTGCACAAAATCCCAGCCAAAGGGGTTCCCCACTGCCCCACCCCAGTTCAGTGACCCCACACATAACTGAGAAAGTGGGCAAACAGCTTGGCTCCAATTTCCTTATGTAGGAAGATTAATATTACATGAGTCAATGAATCTTCACTTCTCAAATTTGCCACAAATGAAAGAACTTCCTCTGCCCCCTCAAAACATCTGGATGCTGCCTGCTGGGGCCTCAAATCCAAGTGAAAACATCTGGGTGTCAGTGAAAAGGTAGAAACGGGTGGCATCTAAATAGGATTTTGAAAAGTTACTCAAATAACAGCGTTTTGTTGTTGTTGTTTTTAAGTTCAGCCCTGTGCTGTGTAAATCTACAGTGTACTTAGACGGGCTTGTGTATTTTTTCACTCATCAGCACTGCCCACATTATGGGAAAGAGATAAGGCTTGAGGAGAAAGAAATGTAGCTATGTACGTAAGCATGCCTTTCTCAGTTCATCCGACTGTTAACTACTGTTCAGTAGTTAACATGTTCATGTTCATGCAGCCCTTTTTGTTCTTTCTGCTTCGGGTAGTCAGGTTCCCCTCTGTGACTCTGGAAATCTGGAATCCGTGGGCAATTCTGGCCCTAGCCACTTGGAACTCCCACTCTGCATGCTTTTTGTATGACTGCCTTTCACTCAGGAGGTTCGAAAAATAGAAGCAGTATGCATGCGGGAGAAATGTGTGCGTTAGTCATTTTATTCAGTGCATGCTATGTTGTCATCGCTGTCAAACGTAATAAAAGTGCAGCTAAAACACTTAACCACATATTGATCTGCTCCCACGTCTCCTGTAGTGAGCTTAAAGTAACAGAGCCCCCTCCTTATTCCCCCTGCGCTTTAATGCACAGGGTAGTGAGCTTCCTGTAACTGTTTATTTTGGAAACAGTTGAGGAAGCATCGACCTCAAACTTTCCCATTGTTCAGCTATTGCCATATAAATCCCTTGCATGAACTGAAATTTCTTATAAGAAATGTTAAGATGAACTTGGGTGGCTTGGTTCAAGGCTGGTTTGTTATTAGTAGGATTCTTCTTATTATTATTAGCATTATGAGTTTTGGTCATAAGTATTTTTTTTCTCTTTTAGACCATAAACTTTCAGCTCTTATTACTAGTAACTGGAATGAGAGCCACCATACACTGAATGCTCACTACATTATAAAAACACTATGCTGAGGATTTTCCATACATGCTTGTTTAAATTTGTGTCACATACCACCTCTACGGAAATATTATCTGTATTTTACAAAGAAGGAAGCTGAGGCTCAGTTGAGAAAGAAAGAGAGGGAAAGTGACCGGCTCACAATCACTCTGAGAAAACATAAATCCATGACTGATTAATTCTGAAGCTCATATTCTTAACCACTTTACTAGGTTGCAGGTTCATGTCTAGAATTGGGAAGACATCTTCCTGCTGGATTGATGCGTATGCTTGAAAGCAAAGCTAATCTTCACTGTGACCCACAGTCACAATCTGGAAATCGGGACTCAAATTCCCAGCCTCCCTTGCATCTTCCCAACGTGCCACCTGCAGGATACATACCGTGAGAGCTGGATTCAGACACCTGGTGGAGTTTCCATTTTGTTGGTAGGGGTAGCCACATTAGCCACCAGCTTTGGGTTGCAAAGTTGAGTTCTCCAGGCAGGCTTGGCTTCCATCAGTGCAGAGAACAGCAGTGACTGTAGAAAAATTCTCAGTCCTCTGTTCAATAAAGCAGCAATGACAACTGTCTCTTCATGTCAGTGTCACGGTTTGGGGGCATGTTTTGGGATATGTTTCTGGAAGCTTAGCCTTAAATCTGTTTCTCTAGTTCCCCAGTGATGCTATAAGCTATTTAATTTTCTTTATTAAACCTCTTTTCCCTTTAACCTAGCTGAAGTGGAGTCTGTTGTTTGCAACTTAGACAACACAGACAGGGAACACAAATAGAGGAAATGTATATATTTCTTTACTCGCAACTGTTTCTCTAGTGAGCTGTAATTTTATGCCATCACTAGCACCCTACAGGAACTATCTCACTCCCCGTGGGAATGGATGAGGCTATTCTGTGTGAAAAATATTCACCTTTTCCTGCTCTGACATGGGAGTAGGAAAGCAGAATCTTAGGGCAGTGAAGAGCTCCTCTACTTGGGCGAAAAGGAAGCTTTCTCAAAGAAGCCCATCCACAATGGATACAGACGTGTTCTGTTATTGGCAGGCTTGAAAACATCATTCTTTACAATCATGCCCAACTCCCTGGGAGTGAAAAAGCTGAATTGTACACAGGGGTTTCCCGCTTTCTTCGAGTTGTGTTTACTTCTCTCTACTGATTCCACACATTTCCAGATAAATTTAGGCTCCATTTCATCTCAATAAAGCAAAATCTGTTCAACTATGTCAACAAGTAGAAAAGCTTTCTACTCAAATGTTATTTTTGTCCAGGAACACAGGATGAGGACCAGAACAGAAGAGGTGAGGTATGTGGCAATCTTGACCCAAATAGAAATCTGAGATAACCCAACCCCAGCTTATGCAAAAGGGTACAGGCAGATAGCACAGTATTTCAGGCTCAATGGGGAGCAGCCAGCAGTCAGAGGTGTGGGCTGATAGGTGGGTTAACAGGTGAGCATGCCAGAAGAAGGGCTCGAGTCCAATATAGGTCAGCAGGCAGCAGGGCGTGATCCAGGAGCCCTGACAGGCAGGTGTTGGGCCTTTTCCTCTCCTTCTGGAAGAAGTTGAATTGAACACAGTTAAACAATACTTCAATTTAAGATAGTGACGCAAATTCATTCAAGCAAGAGAAAGTTAGATGCCTTACAAATTCACACCTCTTTTTGGTCCTAAGGGAACCACGTACCCTTATACATTTGCTCTTACTACCCCAGACTTGACAAACTCTTGTAAAAGTTTTGTAGAGTGATCTTCTGCTTTTCCTAGTCTGTGTTCTTAAAAAACAAGACTGGATACTTGACAAACTGGAATTTCTAGACTCCCTTAGGGTAATTCCAAACCATGGTAGGTATGCTAAATTCCAGCATCCCCACCATATATTTTTTGTTTGTTTGTTTGTTTGTTTTCCTGTTAACACCCAACAAGCAGAAATCCAGCCCTAGAGGCAGCAACATAAAATACAATGGAAGTCTCAGAGTGGAATACAGAAGATAAGGTAACATAATTGTCTGTTTTTGTCAAAAAAAAGTAAATATGCAGGTATATAAATATACCTGTATTGTATGTTATTTTTTACAGAAGTGAAACAACAGACCAACAAAATTTCTAAATACTTCAAATTTCCATTCCTATCCTATCTCCTCCAAACGCACTCATGCTATGTATGTTCACATTTCTGATGAAACAACAAAAATGAATGCTTTCTGATCCAATAACTCTACTTCTAAGGATTCCACTGAAGCAGGGGAAAACCTTTTAGGCAGCCAAAATATATATGCAAGATTATTTATAATAGCAGCAACTGAAAATAACCTATAGGTCCAGGAATAGGGGAATTATTAATCTGGGTTATGGAAAACTATAATAAATACTTATAATAAAATTATGTAAAGACGATAAATGAAAAATTTAAAGAATATTTGAGAGTGAAAAAATGTTTATCAAGTTAAGAGTAGCATTCAAATCTGCATGACAGTTATCCTAATCATGTGTGTATTTATACACTTTTTTCCTTAACAAAATTTATGTGTATTAATAAAAAAGGCTGGAAGGAATAATGTCAAAAATATTTGCAGTAATGAAATTTTCGATAATTTTTTATTCCCTTCTTCATAGTTTTCCCAATCTTCTTTAGTATTATATAATATATAATTATATTAACATATAATATCATACTATGTTACTATATATTATATTACCTTCCAAAGGTAAAAGAAACCTATTTGCTCTAAGGAAATCCTACTGCAGGGTTAGATGAGCTAGAAATTACCGCTTGCATTCCTGACAACCTCAGTTCTCAATAATTAATCCCTGTTGCAATTTCTGCAAACCCCCCTTGGGTAAAGATGTTCATTTTTTTGTGGAGCTGTCTTGTTTGCTGTGTGTTTTCCACGACAGCCTCTGTGCCTTCTACTTCCAAACAAAAACCCTGGGAATTGGGTCGTACAATAGAAAAGAATATTTGAAATAATTACCACCCTAGAAAATCGGATACCTCTAAGAATTTAGTTTCAATGAAGTTATTTAAGAAGATAAAAAGAAAGTCGCTGCTGCAGCTGCTGAGCTTTGTGGCAGTCTTGTTATCTATAACATGAGGAAATAATATCTATCTCTTCTCAGGGTTAGGGGGAAAAAGATAGTAAGATCATTGTATGTAAAGTCCATAACAATGTCTGGCAATAGATAATTTTTAAAAGTTAAAAGTTTATCTTCTATTGGGATAGTTAGTACCTAGAAGGCAGGGTGTTTGAAGGGAGGAAAGTAATGCCTGTGTATGGTAATACCAAGACAATGAACACGGAACCACAGAGGGGCAGCAGCCTGCTTGGATGTGAATTTCCTCCTTGTGATGCCTTGACCAGGTTACCTAATTTCTCCATACCTCAGTTTCCCCATTTGTAAAGTAGAGCTGATAACATTTCTTGCGTCAGAAGGTTGTTATGAGGATTATGCCAGGCATTTAGGACAACACCTAGCAAACAGGAATCACTGTATAAGCCAAGTTGAATGTCTGTTGTGACTTGTTCCACAATAACACAAATGGAATTGCCTAGGGTACAGCACTATTTGCTCTGCGAAGTCAGCTTGGACACCCGGAGTTAGATGCCTCCTGCACTGAACTTTCTGTACCCACAGTGGTTCTTTATGTACACACTAATTTCCTTGGACCTTAATTAATCTAGATCCTGATTGTGTCTTATCTTTGTGTCCTCAAAACCTGGCACCCTGATGTCCACACTAAATATTGAATGTCTTTAGAAACAGGCCACAACACTCATTGTGCATAGACAATGCATCTTATTCATGTTAGGTTGTTTTTGGTTTCTTCCCCCCACCACACACACAAAATGTACTCATTAGAGAGATTTTGGGAAAGAAGGTCACATTTTACCTCAAATATTGAAAGGTATTAATAAATCCACATTCCATATCTTATTTTTAATAAAATTATTAGGATTCTAGCAAGTAAAATTATATCACTTACTGGAATGACTTTGCCTATTTAAAGAGACATTTCTATTATCCCAATTTGAGCTACTAAGAAACTATTTAAGCAGAAGCTATTGACCCAGCTATTTCTATGCTGCTAAGAGTAAAACTCTCTATACTTACAGCTCACAGCTTACTTTCTGGGTAGCAGGACTCCACAGGGAAACAATAAGGGCATCAACATCATGGAACTTACAAGCCTGGAGTCTTGGCTTCTGGGTCAGGTGACCTTGGGGAAGTCACTTCACTTTCCCAGGTATGATTTCCTTATTTGCCGAGCTAAAATAAGGCTGACAAACCGGTCTACAATTCATAAAGCTGTAGTAGCACAGCAAAGACCCCTGAAAAATTCTGCCCTATTCGGAAATGGACAGTTAGCAGGGAACTGGCAAGCTGATGCCTGTAATTAAACGAGTAACTGAAGTTTATTTCTCTCGAAGTTTCTAGATGCTTCCAAGACGGTGCTGTCTGCCTAAATTTTTCTAAACAACTCGAAGCCATCCTTAAAGTGTTTGAGGAATGGACATTCTCAGGCAAAGTCGTTTCCAAGCCCCTTCGGCTCAGCACTGCACCGCAGATCACTGCTTTCTCAAATCAAAGGGGGCCCCCCTGCAGAGTTGGTTTACACCATTAAATTTCCTCCAATGTAAAGCCAGGAGAATTTTTCCAGGTGTTCGAATTCCTAGAGGTTGGGGAAAGTGCCGAGCTCTATATTAGAGCAATACCACGCTAGAGTGAAACACAAAGAACCTTTTTTATGGTGTTGCCCCCTCTGGAGATCTCTATTTAGGGGCTGCCTTGGCAGGGCCCACCAGACCGTCTGTCACTCTCCGCTGACACCGGCTGCCGGAGGAGGGCGGTCCCCGAGGCTCTCGTGCTGGCGGCAGCCCCGCGCTGGCCCCGGGCAAGCCTTGATCCGCCCTGCGCCACGTGGAAGGTGCCTGGACACGGGCTCAGCCGCAGGGGCCCCTAGTACCTCCATCGGGTCTCGTCCCCCACGGCGGGGTCAGAGGGCAAGTCACCGGCCAACCTCCTCCAGGAGCTCTGTTTAAGTGAGAAGCAAAAGAGATTCCAAGGAGAGCCACAGGTTGAAATCGGAGCGAAAGCCTGGGCTTCCCCGAGCCAGGTGAAGAAAGCTGGCAAGGTCACCCACTCAGTCACCAGGTGGTGCATTTAATTTAAAAGGAGTGTTAACCTTGTTTATACAAAATAACACCAATATGCAGAGAAGCAGTAAATCCATTGTCGTTAAACAGCGGGGAGCCGCTGGCGCTGGCAGCCTGCCCACCGGCGACGGTGAACCGGGCTGGCACCGAGCAGGGAGCCGGGCCTGCCAGCCTGTCCGCCTCGCGAGAGGAGGCCCGGGCTCGCCCTCTCTGCCCTCCAGATGACTCTTTGCATTCTTGTCAAATATATTTAGAACAAGAGGTGTCCACTTAAAGAGAAACGTTTGTTAATCACTTAAATGCAGGCGCTTGGCAGCCCTCCAGTTTCACCTTTATAAATATGTAGGATCGGTTTCCAGCTAAGCAGGGAACTCCACAGCGAGTTCCCTTTCTCTCCGCGTCCCCTCGAATTGACCTAAGGTGGATGTCCCTAGCACCTTATTAATTTTCTATCCCAGTGGGCTTTCTGGAGTTAAGGCCAGTCTTCTATCTGGAAGTTGACGGAGATAAATAAATGATGCACCGTGGAGGGAGGGAGAGAGAGAGAATGAGAGGAGTGTTTCTTTAAGTAAGGGACAGATTAAAGTGAAATTCCTGTTGACGGAGGCGCTGGTGTCGACATCCTCCTTGTTTACCAGCAGCTGTCCCTGTTAATGACACTCTGATAACTTTCGGAGGCTGCCCTGCGGTAGTAGGGGAGAAGAAGATAAAGAGGCCTCTGTTTAAATACTCCGGGCCTCGACCCCACTCTTTTTAACTTCCCTTCCTTTAAGAATGGGTGAAACTGTTCAGAAGGGGCAAATCCTGGGTGCAGAGATTTTTGCCCCGGAAATTTTGAGTTCACAGCATAAAAACTCTGCAGAGCTGATGCCTATTCCAGGAGTGGAAACTCAGGGTTGGCGGTGGGGGGCAGAAAAGGCAGCTGGTCTGCAAGGTGAGGAGGTCTGCAGGAGGCCGGAGGAGAACTCTTCCTTTTGTTTTAAAAACCCTGACACTTCCCTGCCCTCCCCCGGCCCCACCCCAAACAAGTCTTACAGAGGTAACTAAGTATGTTAGGGACAAGGTTACAGAATGAAGGTTCTTTGAGGGCCAATGTATCCTTAGCGTTAACCACATGAAAATCACTTTGAACACTTGGAACACTCTCCCTCATGAAATTCTCAGGTTTTGGGGGACCTTGCCGGGCACCCAGGCTAAAACTTTGAATGTGCAGCTGAGAAAGCAGTTCCAGTAGGTGAAGGGACCTGCCTAAAATCACTTAGTAAGTTTTGTGGCAGGATGAGGACTGGAACCCAGTTCCCTGTCCAACGTTCTTTTCAGACAGACAAATAGATATGAAATACTTTATATTTCATATAATACATATAAATATAAATTTATATATTTTTTAAATTTCCACCTCCCATCCTGAGATAGCAGGCAGACGGCGGCAGCTATCTAGTCTTTCACACTGAAAAAAAGCCAAAGCTCTCACTTGGCTCAAGTCCCAGACTGGTAGATGCTTGGGCTTCCCTCAAGACCCACCTCCGCCCCGATTATTTCATGAATACAATTCACTTAAAGATCAACAAACGTGGAATCCCATAATCTTATTCATGCTCTAACCAGTCAGGCAGACATGCCTCCAATAAAGCAAGCACAGAGGACAAATGTTTTCCTGCCTATGGAAAATGAAGATGGTGTGGAACAAATGATCTTGCGTTTTTTTGCACCTCTGTATTTTGTCACCTAAAGCGTGTCCTTTATTCATCTCAAGAGATTTGGGGAGGGAAAAAATAAATTAAATGGCAAAGTATTTTGAGTTCACATGCTCAGAAGAAAGATGTTGACATTTTTGATCCATGTAATTTTCTCTGGAAAGTTCTTTATAATGTTTTTAAAGATCGACGACAATGATGTACTTTCCAGTGGCTTACGGTAACACAAGTTCATCATTTATATTCCACATGGTAGTGACTCCACAACTTTCTCTTTATATATAGTAAGGTATGGTAGAATTATTCTCTCTACAAAATTTTAATTCAGCTTATAATCTGTTTATGGCAATTTGTTAACTACCAATTGTTATGGGTTGAACTGTGTTCCCCCAAAATTCACATGTTGAATTTCTAACCCCCCAGTTATGAGAGTTTATTTGGAGATAGGCTCTTGGCAGAGGTAATCAATTTAAAATAAGTTCACCAACGTGGACCCTAATCCAATATGATTGCTGTTTTCTTAAAAAGGGGAAATTTAGAAACAGAGATATGCATGCATTGATGATATAAAGAGATGTAGGGAGAAAGCCACCATCTTCAAGTCAAGGACAGAGGTCTGGAGAGGATCCCTTCCTCACAGCCATCAGAAGGAACCAGCCCTGTCGACACCTTAAATGTTGACTTATATCCTCCAGAACTGCAAAACAATAAATTTCTGTTGTTGAAGCCATCCAGGCTGTGGTACTTGCTTATGTGAGAACCCTAGCATACCAACCAATTTTAGCCACTCAGTAACTTTAATATCCCCTCAGATCAATATTTCAAAAACATATGAAACCAAATTAAATGGCTTAAAATTATGTTTAAAGTGTCCTATGTAATGGGGAGGCAAAAGGAACTAATACGTATTGTGCATCTATCATATCCTGGGCAGAATTTGGAGAACTTGATATATTTTTGTTGATTTCACACGTATAAACCACTCTTTCAACAATAAAATTTTATCTAATTCAATAGAAACACATCTTGTGCAGAAGAACATTTACAGTAAACATGAGTAATTTAAATGAGTACCAATTAAGGGGATTGTACCTTGCTTAGTATATTTCATCAAATTATACATCATAAGAGGTAGAATCTTCTCTACATCATGAGCAATGGTACTTGTTGAATTCTTCTCCATCATTTCACCCACATTTTTTGATGTATCATATAATTGATGGTTGAAAAGTTTATAGTAGGTTTTGTCAAGGACCCAGTTGTGAACAGAGATTATAAATAAGCACAGTCAATCAAGAAGATTTATCAAGTAGGCGCTCTGTATACGGCACTAGAAGGAGAAGGGGAGGTTGCAGAAGCCACACCGCCTGGTTTGGGCTACGTAAGAGTCTAATTGGTGAGAACAGCTATAAGCAAGTCAAGAAGGCAAATTAATAATATGCTTTGGGGCAATATCTCAGCAATGCAAAAGAAAAGGAACTCAAGACACGGGCCATAAATCCCTGTGTGCCAGTAATAGTCCCAGTTTACACTTGCTGTCTCCGATTAATTGTTAAGAGTGGTTTTTTTTCATTCCCCAAAATGTCTGAGGTTGCTTGAAAAAGTCTGGGGTCACTCTAGCTGGGGACTTCTCGACCGCCACACTACTAAAGTTGGAAGATGGATGATTCTTTGTTGGGGGGCTGTCCTATGCACTGCAGGATGCTTGGCAGTTTCTCTAGCCTCCACCCATGAGATGCCATAAGCAATGCCCTCTCTCCTTTGTGACAACCAAAAATGTCCCCTACAAGGCAAAACCACCCCCAGTTGACAACCACTGTACAGGAACAATGATTACATCACGGAAAACTATCTTCAGAAGATTAGATTTCAGTATCTGTAGATAAAGAACCTGAACTGCCTGAAAAAGGAGGACATTTCCTTTTTCTTTTTTTTTTTTTTGGGGGGGACGGAGTTTCACTCTTGTTGCCCAGGCTGGAGTGCAATGGCGCAATCTCGGCTCACCGCAACCTCTGCCTCCCAGATTCAAGCGATTATCCTGCCTCAGCCTCCCTAGTAGCTGGGATTACAGGCATGTGCCACCACGCCTGGCTCATTTTGTATTTTTAGTAGAGACGGGGTTTCTCCATGTTAGTCAGGCTGGTCTCGACCTCCCGACCTCAGGTGATTCGCCTGCCTTGGCCTCCCAAAGTGCTGGGATTACAGGCATGAGCCACCGTGCCTGGCCAAAAGGAGAACATTTTCTATATAAAAGTATGAAAGTGGAAAACAGCAAGTTGAAGTCAGAAGTCCAAGGGATGGCAGTAACCACGAATAAAGATTGGGGAGTTAAACAAGTTAACCAACCTGTTTACCAAGCTAAAGCTATGTTGATGTACCCCGCAAGAACACTTAAAAACAATAAATTACTAAAATCTCTAATTTCTGGCGCATCCACAGTTCTCGGCACAGTGTATTAGAACTAGACTGTTTACATTGCTTAGCTTCTTAATATTTAGAGAGGCAGAGAGTGACACCCTCCACAATTGTTTTCTGAAAGAAGAAGAGTAGATAAGAGCAGTAATAATAATAGCAGCAGCTATTTATTTGGAGTCTCTTACAACCAAGACCTTTTATAGACATTATCTATTATCTGGTTTAATACCCTGTAGACTTTTTTTTTTCTTTGAGATGGAGTCTTGCTCTGTTGCCCAGGCTGGAATGCAGTGGCGCAATCTTGGCTCACAACACTCACCACAACCTCCACCTCCTGTTCAAGCAATTCTCCTGCCTCAGCCTCCTGAGTAGCTGAGATTACTGGCGCCAGCCACCACTCCCAGCTAATTTTTGTATTTTTAGTAGAGACGGGGTTTCACCATGTTGGTCAGGCTGGTCTTGAACTCCTGACCTCGTGATCTGCCCACCTCAGCCTTCCAAAGTGCTGGGATTACAGGCATGAGCCACCGTGCCCGGCCATCCCTTGAAGACTTTCCCAAGACCAGTATTAACTTCTCTGGGCCTCAGTTTCCTAAGCTGCGACATGAGTGAAGGTAGGTGGTGTCACACATCTATTAAGTGTCAGGGTCATGACTTGAACCCAGGTCCAGCTCCCCTAAGCCTGTGTGTGTTTCCCTTGCCTCACTGCACTGGCTGGCAGAAGAGCAAGCAGAGAAGATTTCACGTAAAAAGAGAACACAACCAGTTAAAGAACACAGTAAACATGATCATTCTTCGTACAGACTCTGAAACACGGGGAGGTGGGGAAAGGCTTTTCTTTTTCAATTTCAAATTAACCTTTAATGACTGAGGGTGTCCTTATTTATCAAAATGAAGTAAGCTTTGTCTGGTGTCTTTCATTTACATTAGGTGATCATTTTGGATTAGGGGTCTTCAGATGTGTTGATGTTTAGTAGAAGTATATCAATATGATTCTGAATGCCGGCCAGGGTAAATTCTCTCAAAATGAAGAGTTAAATGCTGAATTTTTGTTTCAGACTCTTCCAGGTCAAGATTTTCAATATCCAAAGGCAGAATCTCCTCCCATCTTGCTTCATTCTTAGTTCTTCTTTTACTCAGTAAATTTAGCTCACACATGCGGCTGGAAGGAAGTTATTTGGTTACAAGGGGATTTCCATGAAGACGTGAGCAGTATCCATTATTACCATCACTGGTTACTTTCTTTGCCCCACTAAGCTAAATGGGGAAAGACAAAGTACTCACAGTGCCAGGCTAGTGGGAAAAAAAAGAAATTCAGTAAAATGTAGTCATGTGTGATTTGTACCAAAAATAATTATTGCTGGTCAAGGCGGCTCCGGCCTGTAATCTCAGAACTTTGGGAGGCTGAGGCCAGAGGATCACTTTAGCCCAGGAGTTCAAGTCCAGCCTGGGTGCCATAGGGAGATCCCAGTCTCTACAAAATAATAAAAAATTAGCCTTGCATGGTGGTGCATGCCTATAGTCCTTGTTATTTAGGAGGCTGAGGCAGGAGGATCACTTGAGCCTGGGAGGTCAAGGCTGCAGTGAGCTTTGATTGTGCCACTACACTCCAGCCCGGGCAACAGAGTGAGACCCTGTCTCAAAAACAACAACAAGGAAACTTATTATTAATACCCCCACAGAGAGAGGTAGGATTTAAGCCAGGCCAGAGTATATGCTTTTTGTCTATCCGCATTAGAGCAGTATGGTGCTTTTCATCTACTATTTCATTGTATCAACACCCAAACCCAAAGACAGAAGACATATTATGACCCCTCTAACTTAGGGGAAGAAAGAGAGGATCAAGGGAAATTAAATAACCTGCCCAAGGTCGAGTGGCTAGGAAGTAATGTGGCCATGATTCAAACCCAGTTCTACCTGATTCCAAAGCCTGTAGTCTTTCCACTAACACAAGTAATTCAAGAAAAATTTAGCTATATAATTTAAGGAAGTGAGAAGATCAAATTTCCAGCCTATCCCAGAGAAGACAAGGTAAACCCCAGGTCAGTAGAGAGGTACTGAAGGCTTTTGGGCTCCCAGGATGCAGTTTACATCAGCACCGTGCAGTCCACTAAATGACATCCCCTCCCAGAAGAGCAGCAGTTGAACATCACCTTGTCTGGAGGACTTAACAACCCTCCATTTCCAACCCTTGGGAGGTAAACATTATGCTAGATGGTGGCTTTAAATCATCTTTTCCAACATAAATGATATTGCAAAAAGTCCAAGAAGAGGCAGATAAATTCACTGGGATCTGAGCACAGGCTTTTTATTTTGCGGTGCTGAAGTATCATTAGCCAGGCATCTCACAGAGAAGGGAACCTCCAGTGCTCCCCAGCTAGACACAATCCTTGTCCTGGATAGAACACTCATCCACACCCACTGGAGCCTCGTGGAAGGGTCCAGGAGAGCAAGCTGTGAGGAAGTAAGGAGGTTGGAGACTTTCACAGGCTGCCCTTGTGCTCTTCGTTCCTCTTGCTTTTCTAGTACTGTGAGAAGATGTGCAGTAGGAAGAAGGATCTCCTGGGTCCATTTCTACAAGGCAGTCTAAGTGAGGGGGAGTACCAGGAGCAGGTGAAGGGAGCACATAAACTTTCAAATGTGTGCAGGTGTCTATGTATCACTTCAACAAATACATCCAGCATCACTCAGATGCTTTACTGAACAAAACAAAGTGCTGTCCCCCGTGCAGCTTGTAATCTTGCAGGGCAAAAAGAAGACCTGGGAACAAATTTAGGAGGTCATGGGTTGATGAGAATGGGGGAGGTGCAATGTTCTATAGCATTTTCACACAAGGGCTTTCCAAGGAGATGACATAAGAACAGAAAACAAAACAAAGCACAGAAATGAGCCAGAACAATCTCTGAGGAAAGAATCTTCCTGGGAGAGGGAACCACAAGTGCAAATTCTCCAAAGGATGCCAATGTACTAATAGTAAAAGGATGGAGGGGAGAATGCAGACCATGGCAGGCCAATAAACTACTGAGAGACATATCTTATTAATTCTAACTGCTGCACAGTATTACTTGCAGGAATATACCATATTCATTAATTCCTCTATTGACATACATTTAGGTTGTTTCCAGTTATTCACTCATAAGCTATGATGGGATAGTTTTCTCTACGGTACATATAAGTGATATATGGTTTGGCTCTGTGTCCCCACCCAAATCTCATCTTGAATTGTACTCCCATAATTCCCACATGTTGTGGGAGGGATGCGGTGGGAATAATTTTAGTCAGTATGTGATTTCCCCCATACTGTTCTGGTGGTAGCAAATAAGCCTCACAAGATCTGATGGTTTTGTAAGGGGTTTTCACTTTTGCATCTTCCTCATTTTCTCTTGCTGCCGCCATGTAAGATGTGCCTTTCACCTCCCGCCATGATTCTGAGGCCTCCCCAGCCACGTGAAACTGTAAGTTCAATTAAACATCTTTTTCTTCCCAGTCCCGGGTATATCTTTATCAGCAGCATGAAAACAGACTAATACAGTAAGGAAGTACAATTGCTGGTGATAGTGGATGAACATCTTCTGCTTTGTTACATATTACGGAGTCAAAGTCATTCTCCAGAGTGTTTGTTCTAATTTACAGCCCTTACAGTAGTGTATGAAGCTCCATTTTCCTCACATTTTCCCCAATATTTGGTGTTATTTGGTGTTATCGGATTTTTTTGTTGTTGTTTGCTTTTTTTTTTTTTTTGCCATTCTGATGGGTTGGAAACACTCTGTCTTCATCCTTTTAATTTGTATTTCCCTAATATCAAAGTATGAAAGAGGGATGAATTTTTTTTCAAACATTTATTGTTGATTCAAGTTTCCTCTTTTGTGACTGGTCTTTCCTAACCTCTGCTCATTTTTCTCTTTGACTATTTGTCTTTGATAAACATGTAGAACTTCTATGTTCAGAATATGAACTCTTTTGTAAGTATTAAAATATGTTATCCAGGATGTAGGATTTTAAAAATATTTTAGGGTATATGCAACCAAAGAAAAGAATTTTAATAGAATAGATCGAATTTGATTTAATCAAATGTATTAATAGACTTATGATTTGCACTTTTTATATGTTTAAAAATTATTTCCTATCATAATGCCATAAACATATTCTCTTCCTTTTCTGTCTAAGAATGTTAAAGGATTGCTTCCAAATGTTAGTATCTGAAGTTCATTTTATATATATATGTAAAATATATATATAAACATATATATGTAAAAAATATATATAAACATATATATGTAAAATATATATAAACATATGTATGTAAAATATATATAAACATATATATGTAAAATATATATAAACATATATATGTAAAATATATATAAACATATATATATATAAACATATATATATATATATGATATCTATATCTACTTTTTTTGTATGGAAAGCCCATTTCCCCCCACTGGTCTGTAAGACTATTTCTTTTCCATTCTCATATCTATGTAGGTCTGTTCCTGGGATCTTTATTTCTCTACCAGTGTACCACCAGCACACTGTCTTGAATATGATCACTTTAACATCATTCAGTCTCTAACTGCGCATGTGCTTTTTCTTTACTCTCCCTCTTCAAAATCACTATTTTGAGCTATTTGGGGTTCTTGATTCTTCCAGATGAATTAACTAGTTCCACATGAACTGACTAGCTCTGTGAAGAAAAAAATCTGTTGGAGTTTTAATTAAAGTTTTAGATTACTTTTGGGATAATTGATCTATTTAGGAAAATAAATCTTCCCATATATAAAATATCTAAGGCCAGGTGCAGTGACTCTTGGCTGTAATCCCCGTCTCTACTAAAAATACAAAAAAATTAGCCGAGCATGGTGGTGTGTGCCTGTAATCCCAGCTACTCGGGAGGCTGAGGCAAGAGAATCACTTGAACCCAGGAAGCGGAGGTTGCACTGAGCTGAGGCTGCCCCACTGCACTCCAGCCTGGGTGACAGAATGGGACTCCATCTCAAAAACAAAATAAAATAAAATATCCATGTATATGTCGTTTTGTGTCCTTTGACACTGTTGTACAATATTCTTCATACGGGGCATCCATTTCTTACATTTACTCATTGACACCTGGTGCTTATTGGGCATAGAATCCTTTAAAGAATACATTTTCTAATTGGCCACGGTGATATTTAGGGACACAATCAAGTACATGTATTGGTACTTATATATCAACGTTGTATGTGTCAAATTTCCAAAATTCATTGAAAATTTGTATTAAAAATTATACTACCTGTAATCATGACAGTTTCTTCATTCCAATAATTATAGCTCATATTTCTTTTGTGTATTGCACTGTCTAGGACCTAGAAAGAGTAATAAAGGAATGGAATTCATTGTCTTATTCTTCACTTTATAGGAAATGTTCCTTACACATCAGTATCAAATATGATTTTTTGTTTTAAGTATTTGTAGATACTTTATCAAATTAAGAAAGTTCCTTTTTGTTTCCAAAAAGCCCAAGGAATTCTGACACAGTAATGGAAATCCAATTGCAATTCGCATGCTGGCATCAGGCATGTAATAAGTGTGGTCCATTTTTCATCAATAGAATGATAAATGTTGATAATGCAATTGTCTAAATGTTTACAGAGTTTATAGAGGATATTCTTGCCAACTTTCTTCTGTGGGCTAATATTTGGGATTTAGTAGTAGAATAATGTAAAATTTTCTATAAAACAATCTCTTCGGGCTTAAATAATCTCTTTGAGCAGCGTTGCAAGAGTTTAGCTTTAGTCCTTTAGAGTAATGGAGTTCTATCTCTTGCCTAACAAAAGTAATATTATTCTGAGAGCTCAAGATATAGAAAATTATATATTAGAAAATTCTTACAAAAATTATAAACCCAGCAGACCTATACTAACTTCTGTTTCCAAATCTCTTATTCTAACAGCATTTCAGAAATAACTCAGGGATTAAAATGGCCTGTCAGGTTGACATCCACATTTCTAGATTAATTCACTTCACATGAATACATTTTTCAATAACTTTATTGAGAGTTCCAAAAATATTTACAAGGCTTTATTTGATCCTGATTTTACTTTAATCACACTCACTTCTCTAAGGGTAAAAAATGATATGTTTTAACTAAATATAACTGAAATTTTAAAATGATACAATTAAAGGCTTTTCAGAAATGCAATGTAAACTATCTGAAGGAGTGACAGAGAATTATTGGAAGTATATTCAGGAAATGGAAAGATTCAAAGCAATAGCTAAGAAAATAATGCACCCTCAGGAGGCTCAAGGATTAGAGCCAGATGCATGATGTTACTCTTTCTTTTTCTTTCTCCCTCTCTCTCTCTCTTCCTCTCTCTCTTTCTCCTTCCATTCATCCATCCTACTCTCATCTTTGCTCCACTCTCTCAGCCTTCCTCTAGTAGTGCAGAAAATAGACGCTCTCAGGATAAACAGCTAACGCATGCGGGGCTTAAAACCTAGGTGATGGGTTGATGGGTGCAGCAAACCACCACGGCACACATATCCCTACGTAACAAACCTGCACGTTCCGCACATGTATCCCGGAAGTCAAAGTAAAATTAAGAAGAAAATAGATGCTCTACAAAATGCTCAGGAAGTCCCCAAATCCACCCTCAGGTTTAACAATTTATTAGTAGGACTCACAGAACTCAGAAAAGCCCCTACTCTCATGGTTACGATTTATTGCAGTGAAAGGATACAGAGAGGAGGTGCATAGGGTCGGGTCTAGGACATACCAGGCATGGAGTTTCAGTTCTCTCTCAGCAGATAATGCAAACATGATATATTTCTCTCAGCAAGAATATATAGCAATGCACACCGAATATTACCAACCAGGGAAACTCACCCAAGCTTTGTTGTCCAGAGTTTTTACTGGGAGTTGGCCATTCGGACATTCTGTTCACCCATGTGACTACCCTTAGTCTCTAACCCCTCTGGAGCTTGAGTGGTACCACATGTCCAAAGGCCCCCCCACCAAAAGTTACATTGTAAGCACAGACTATCTGGTATTGCTCAAGACCTCCAGTAAACAAAGACACTCCTACAGGCAGAACATTCCAAGGGCTTAGAAATTACAGCCCTGCAGCTGGGAGCAAAAGGGCCAAACCTCTCCAGGGCAAAGTTAATCCTTTACTGCATACCCTGAAGACTGAGGTCACATGCTTACCAACCCAGGAAGGAAGAATTGTTTTCCCTAATACTTGCAGTATAACAAACTCCAGGGAACAATTCTGATTGGCCCAGCTTGGGCCGCATGCTCGTCTCTGCACGAGTCACTGTGGCTCAGGGAATGAGGTAATATGATTGGCCCAGCCTGTGTCATGCACTCAGCTTCGAGGTCAGAGAACCGAACCATTTACCAGAAGAATTTCATGTTTGTCAATGCAAATAACAGCAACTACAACAACAACCACCGTAGACATTAAAAAAACAAAACAAAAAAACGCAATAAACCATCGTCTTGCTCTTCTCACTTTGAATTAAGTTCTGATTTCTAGATCAGGATATCTACAGATCTAAGGGAAGCAGATCTTAAGTTAACTAATTACGTTTGTAGGATATCAGAAACATCCACTCAGCTCTTTCCTATTTATATAATCGGTGGGAAAAATATAATTCAAAACAGCCAAGGGAGTGAGATTTTTATTTTTGAATATTAATTTTTGCCACTCTGATTGTACCCCAAAGTTTTAAACATTTTGTCTTGTATATGATGATTCCTACTTGATGTCGTTACTTGTGATGAGAACAAGGATTAGGGATTTATTATTGCCACTCAAAAATATTATGAGTTTTAAGAAAACAGGAAATTATTAGAAACTGGAGTTTTAAAAAATGTTTGTTATCACAAATATCCTTTCATAACAATCATTTAAATTATTACACTATGGTTTTCATATGCACTTACTAATGCTTTTATGGGGAATAAATCTGAATATGAAAAAAACTGGATAATGGGAAGTTGATTCAAACTTAAAAGAAATATGTCCTTAAAAGCAACGC
The DNA here is from genome assembly GCF_000001405.40 of Homo sapiens. NCBI lineage: Eukaryota > Metazoa > Chordata > Mammalia > Primates > Hominidae > Homo > Homo sapiens. Next base: position 96,065,434 of record NC_000015.10, read on the forward strand.
ATTATTTATAAGCAAGCCAACTCCAGATATTCCTTAAAGTGATTACCCAATTAAATTCTGGTATTAGAGGTTACTGAGATTTTTTTTAATATTCCTGACTTGAAAAAATGTCCTAGATTTAATAGGCTATCATAGGACACAGTTCTGTGGCACCTGTGATTTTAGCTGAGTTCACTGGGAAACTAGATGCAACGTAAATATTAGCACATAAACAAAGTTACCTGTTTGTACTTGGCAAAGTACAAACTAAAATATAATAATGATTATAATTATATCACCTAATTTCATAACAATCAGATCATGTGCTTATTTTACAAATGTAAAAGATGCTCTCAAACAGCAGCACGCAGGTGGCCCTAGTGCCATAGGTAGCATATTGATCGTGGAGGGACTGGAATTCACGTCTCACCCCAAAGCTGTATACTTAATCAATCACTAGCCCATTAGGCAACCTGGAAAAGACAGGGTCACCTCATGAAATCATTATTGGTCTCAGTCTCCCACTCAGTACTGGTTTTGCACTACTCACTCCCATCAATGCTGTTCATAAAGTAAATTTTTCTATGATCCCCAGTCTCCCATAATTTTCCATGGTTTGCTAACTGTATGCCTCTAAACAGGTGGAAACTAGTGCCATGCGAGGGGTGGGAGAGGAGGAAGAAAAGAAAATTACTGCACCTGGATAAGAGATAGTATGATCTCATCCAAACATCCTTTAAGGCTCAGTTCAAATCTTACCTTCTTTCGGAGCCTTCCCGATGGTCCCAAAGCACATACTCTTGACTACTTTGCCCAAGACCTACCAGGTTTTTGTTAGCAGACAGCTGGGATTCCTCCATCCTCCGCTCCAAAATGCTTTCAAATGCTAAGCCTCATCTACCCTGAGACTGGCCAGTCCCCTGGCAGTGCAACCATTGCACAGATACGAGCATAATCTATGGCCACTGTTCAATTTAGAGCTTGTTAGTAGTGAAGACATTTTTCTGATAACATTTTTTAAAACCATCTAGTTATTTGTATGTTTTCAAGGAGTTGTATGTTTATTTTTCTTGGTTGCTTAAATTCAATTGTTCCTATTTATCTTACAGAAAGACTAAATATTTTAAAATTTAGAATGACATAGCTGATATGGCCTAAATTCTTTTGCCTTGCCAGGTTTTTATTTTTTTAAATAAGGATACAGTTCGCAAATTTATTTTGGAAAGGCCAGTTGCCTCAGAAAGTAATTCTCTGGCAAAGTGGATTTATAAAACCTCTATTATTTTTAGGCTATCTAATCCTTTTTCCAATACTCTAATGGTCATATGCACAAAAACAGAAAAATAAACAGGCCTGAGACATGTCAAAAATAAAACTTAAGATTTCAAGCTTTTAGAGATTGTCTACCTTCTCACTGGTGTTTTGAAAAAGTTTTAATTTGAGAAAGAAAAATAATTCATCACCAGCGATACTTTGAATTCATGCAGGAATTTTTTATATAGTGCGCAAATAACTTTTCATTTCGTTTCAAGATAAGTAAAATAAATAGTTGTTGATGATTATGATAATATTACTATTAATAATATTAATAATTATTAATTAATATTAATATTAATTATTATTAATAATTAATAATATTAGTATTAATATTAATTATTATTAATAATTAATAATATTAATATAGCAAATATTTCTTACTGTTATGTGTCAGACATTTTACACATATCATCACATTTAATCCTCCCAGAAAAGCTGTTTTAATCAACCACAAAAGAAGGAACTGCGATTTAGAGAGACAGAATAACGTGTTGCAATTACACAGAGGTGATGGAGGGTTGAACCCCGGATGTGTGCCTCTAACCTTAAACAATGTGCTGTGCTGACGATGCCAGGAAGTCTTATGATCAGGGCTGGGGATTGTGGCCTGCAGCAAAGCCTATGATAGGCCATATCAGCTATGTCAGGCTCCCTTTCCACCTGACCTCACATCTGCTGTGGTTTGGATATGGCTTGTGTTTGGACCCATCAAATTTCATGTAGGAATTTGATCTGTGTTGGAGGTGGGGCCTGGCGGGAGGTGTTTGGGTCATGGAGGTAGCTCCTTCATGCATGAATGGCTTGGTGCCATCCTTGTAGTAACGAATGAGTTCTTGAGAGTTCCATCAAGAGCCAGTTGTTAAAAAGAGCCTGGCACAGCTCTCCTGATTCTCACCTCCTGCCCTGTGATCTCTGCAGGCCACCTCCCCTTCACCTTCCACCATGAGTGGAAGCGGACTAAAGCCCTCACCAGATGCAGATACTGAAGCCTTGCTTCTTGTACAGCTGAAAAAGGGCGAGCCAAATGAGCTTCTTTTCTTTATAAATTACACAGCCTCAGGTATTCCTTTATAACAACACAAACAGACTAAGATACCATCAAAGGCTAAGGGTTGCCAGACTATAGCCTACCTTGCTCACATCCTTCCAGGACAGGGTTAGAGCTGTGATGCCATTCATATACATCTCTCTTTGCAGCCAGATACACCTGTGAGACTGTACTCATTATTTCATTTCCAGTTGTTAGAATTAGAACTTCTTTTTCCAGACATGAATTGAATATGAAATGTTGTGTCTTAAGGCCAAAACTGATTCACTCCTAACAAAGACTGTACCACTCATTCATATCCAATTTAACCGTCTCTTAATTTGGCCTCTGCAAAATCACAGGGTTTGGAGTTCTTGTAAAGGGGCTATTAGATTCATTCCATCAATGCCAGTAGAAGGTAGAAGTGATCCAACTAGTTAAGAATTTATAATTGTTGGCCGGGCACGGTGGCTCACGCCTAAAATCCCAGCACTTTGGGAGGCCGAGGCGGGCGGATCACAGGAAGTCAGGAGTTCAAGACCAGTCTGACCAACATGGAGAAACCCCATCTCTACTAAAAATACAAATGAGCCGGGCGTGGTGGCACATGCCTGTAATCCCAGCTACTCGGGCGGCTGAGGCAGGAGAATTGCTTGAACCCGGGAGGCGGAGGTTGTGGTAAGGTGAGATTGCGTCATTGCACTCCAGCCTGAGGAACAAGAGTGAAACTCCATCTCAAAAAAAAAAAAGAATTTATAATTCTTTTTAGGAGACATTTTTTCCACTAGGTTTAAATTGGGTTATATTTACCATAACGAACATTATTCTTAAAGTACAAATTTACAATTTTGTCCATATACGTAGTCATTCAGTAGCTGTTTATTTCTACCCCAGACAAAAAAAAAAAGACATAATACATTAGGCGTATTGTATGCATGTCACAAAATCTTTCAAGTTTGTGCATTTCCCTGGCTTCTGGCATAAGACATGCTCAGGTGAAATCTTTCCCCTCAGTGCAATCTTGTAAACAAGTGGGAGAATTATCGGTCTCACCACTAAACACCAGTTTTGTAGTTTAGGCTTGCAGACAACACCTGCTCCCTAAATACAAGTTTGTTGAAATGATGGAAGCCACCAGTGAATTTCAAAATCTATTGTTTCCAAAATATCTTTGGAATGTAACATGCTTTTAGTTTAATAATAATCACGTAGACTCTTGGACTCAATACCATGTTTGAAGAAATACTTAAGTGGTGATAACAGGTATCAGGACCCACAACATCGACTCACACCCTGATTTGTTTGTCTTTGATGTAGCCATTTTAAAAGCCATCTAATCATTAAGAGCTCTACTAGGCAGAAATGGGAGTTGCCGGTCATGAATGCTTCTTGTGGCTTCTCCATGTGGGCAGAGCTTATTGGGCCTACTCAAGTCCAGATAAAATGGATTTATTTTTCCCAAGCAGATCTTACTTATTTCTGGCTGTGGATTTCCTCCTACATACCTGTGGAATCTCTTTGGAAATTTTGCAGGGCTCTTCTGGTCTGTACACATAGAAAGGGGAGGACAGGGAAAGAACTGCACACTCCACGTTAGAGAGGAAGCGCTGGGAGGACAGGAAACTGGAGAAGGCCACCAGATAGATGTCTGCCCACCTGCCCCCTGGGACTCAGATCCAGGAGAGACAGAACCACGAGTCCAGAAATAGCCCTGGACTGCAGTTGCGGCTGTCTTCACTTTACAGGTGAGGAAATACAGGCTGTGAGAACAGGCTTCCTGCTGTGGCTTCACCAGAGTTTGGTTCCCTGGGTTTTGCGTCCAGCACATCATTCATAACAGCATCCAGCAGATCCAGATCTTCAGAGCTCGGAAGAATTCCCAAAGGGGGCCATGGAAGCCCTACAATTAATTCCCACATTTCTTTTTTTTTTTTTTCTGAGATGATGTCTTGCTCTGTCACCCAGGCTAGAGTGCAGTGGCGCGATCTTGGCTCACTGCAACCTCTGCTTCCCACAGTCAAGCGATTCTCCAATTCTCCTGCCTCAGCCTCCCGAGTAGCTGGGATTACGGGCACCCGCCACCGCACCCAGCTAATTTTTGTATTTTTAGTAGAGACGGGGTTTCACCATCTTGGCCAGGCTGGTCTCAAACTCCTGATCTTGTGATCCACCCGCCTTGGCCTCCAAAGTGTTGGGATTACAGGCATGAGCCACCGCGCCCGGCCTAACTCCCACATTTCAAAAAGCCTAAGAAGCCCCAGATTTACCATCAATTAAGCCACACGGTGTACTTAATACATGCAGTGGGGGTATTCTTCAATTAGTGATATTCATGGGGAGTCAGAGGCAGATAATTAAAGAGGCTCTTGATTTGAAAAATAAAAAGTCAGGAAGACTTGCACCAGAGCATACAACATGCTCTGAATGTCTGCAGAGAACATGTGCTCCCACACACATATTTGACATAGCTACATGGGTTGGATGTGTGTGTCTGTGTGTGTTTGTGTGTGTGCCTGCACGCGCACACACACATGCATGCGCCAACTTAGGTCTGTGTGGCTGCAGCCACACCCTTCAAGAAAAATATCTGCATATGTTTGACTAAGGCCATTGACTCTCAGATTTCCATAAAAGGACCTCAACAGAAATAAAAGATAAGGGAAGGGGAGAAAAAGGAGAAAGAAAAATAAAGAAGGTCTAAGAATTATTCAGGCACTTGCTTCTCTTTAGCTTTATGACACCTGACTCCCCACTAACCTGATAAAATACTGAAACTTAATTGCCAAGTAATGAGATTTAGTATGGGGCTGGAGGAAATGGTTTCCCATTGTAAATGGGAAAGAAAAAGAAATCAGTTGTTCTTCTTCAATAAAGGATATACACAAAGAGGGAAGTCCTAGGCATTCCAGATTGGCCAGTTCTACAGAAGCAGCGTGCTGATTCCCAGAAGGAAGACGAATTGGGAAATGGGGCACATGATCTGGATGTTTGCTGATGGTTCTTTATCTACAGTATCAACAAATGTGATCTCTTGTAATCAGCATGTGCTCTGACTCAGGGATTGCTTGGCACAGGAGAGATCTTAAAGCTGACTCCCAGTGCCACCGGCTCTCCAGCAAGTCCCGCATTCCATTGGCATGGTGCTCCCGAGCAGATGGGCACGAAATCATCCTGCCAGGAAAACAGTATGTGCATCGTGTTCGTAGTTTAGGGGGTGGCTTACCATCCCAGAATTCCAGCTGAGAAGTTTGGATCATATAGCTCCAAGTGTGGAAAAAAATATATAGCTACTCTGACTCTTCCCATCTTTTTTTTATTTTTCTAGGTTTTATTTATAAGTAGAAAAAAAACAACTTTATTGAGGAAATTGCAATAAAAATAATTGATGCTTAAAACTTGACTGTTAGAATTTAATTTTCCAGATACCTTTTCTCATTGCCAAAGAACCACTTTTTCCAAAGGCGTATTTTTCAGAGACTCAGTAGATGGCAAAAATAAACAGCTAGGGAGGCTGGTGGAGGGACAGCGGGTGGAAGGAGGATACATACTTGCTCTCTGTCTCACAGCATTCTGAGGCTCAGGGGATGCATTTTAAAAGCCACTGAAAGACACTGATCTCGATCAAAATGAAAATATTCCTTTCAAGGATATCCATTTACATTCTTATCAAGCATTTCTACCTAATGGGAATAAAGGTATAGTTAAGGAAGCTTGTAGATATTACATAAATAATTAGTTCTTGAGCTGGGTCAGATGTTCTAGTGGGGTATAGAAGTAAGATGAGAATTGTGTGGCCCCCATTTCCCTGACAGCGGACCCAGCTCCTGTTGGACTTTAACGGCATCAGCCGAACCCCTAATCAACCCTAAGGATCCACAGACGAAGCCCCGAGGAACATTCTTAGCAGGCGGTGGACCACTAGCTTCTATCTCAACATAGGATGTTATGAGACAATGAAACAAAGACCAGATGCCCTGTCACATCACAGCTCCCCAAACTCTGGGCTCTTCTCACCAACCCCGAATTGACTGTAGACTTTAGAGGTTGCCTACGGAGCCCAGAGGATGCAAACAGTCCACAAATGTCTTTCTTCTGGCTCTCACCATGGTTCATATAGTATAATTATAATATAATACAGTATAACATAATATAATGTAATATAGTATAACATAATACTATGTGTAAAAATACACATTAGATTACAATGGGATTATGTTCTGATAACCCCACTGTAAGTTGAAAATATTGTAAATTAAAAATGCATAACACACTAAACCCACCAAACATCATGGCTTAGCTTAATCTACATTAAACATGCTCAGAACACTTACGTTAGCCTACAGTTGGGCAAAACCCAACTGTTCATTTTATAATACAGTGTTGAAGATCTCTCATAATTTACTGAATACAGTACACTGTAGAGTACAGTATGGGTTGTTCACCCTCCTGTGTGGCTCACCGGGGAGCTGTGCTCATGGCCACTGCCCAGCATCACAAGAGAGCATCACACTACATTTCACTAGCCCAGGAAAAGATCAAAATTCAAAATTCAAAGTGCAGTGTCTACTGAACGCATATCACATTCACATCATCGGAAAGTTGAAAATTCAAAAGTTGAACCCTATTTCAGGAATCATTTGTACATAAAATAAGTACATATATTATATGTAGATATACACCTATACTTTATTTAAAAATTACAGATATTCTACGAAGTCAGGGCCCCGATTTCCCAATGCAAACATCAGACAGCGGCATGGCTACTCTTTCCGATATACAAACACTCAGTTTTACCTCATCAAGGTAGGTACACTGGTTGCTTTTGTGAGGATTAAATGAAATTCTAGATATCATCCTGTATGTAAATGCACCTAGCACATAGTAGGTGTGCAATAAATGGCAGCTATTATCATTTATTTATTTGCCCAACCAGAGTCCTTTAAAGATTCACTTGAGAATTTACATCGCTCACATGGCATACACTACATATGGTATGAGTGTGTTTAGCCAAACAATTTTTCAGTCTAGGAAAATAGAACATACGTGAACTTTTAGAGGAGAAATTAATGACTGTATTTGGAAATCATTTCCTGAGGTTTCATGAAAGAAAAATATGGAGGATGGAAGTTACATGGGAGCCATTGACATTGTCTTAGAATGTGTGCTAGAGGTGAGTCCAGCAGCTGTGTTTACTGCCAGAGCTTTCAAGAGCTTAGCCCAGGCCTGGGTGGAATGGAAATGCTAAACAAGATGCCCAAACAGTAGAGGGCGTGGTGCAAGGGGAGCCATGGAAGGCATGGCCACAGTGAAAGAGTGCAATTAGGTGCAAGGGCCTGGCAGTAGGAATGGCCAAACTGAATGATTAAGGCTAAAAATGTATCCAACCCACCAAGAAGCCACACAGCGACCAAAAGCTATTATCTCAGCATGAAAGCCATGCAATGAAGGGTCTATCACCCTGCTTATACATATTCAGCCAACTCAAATACTTTTTAGATACAGGCAAGAAGATAAAAAATGCATCTCACCTATAATCCCAGCACTTTAGGAGGCTAAGGCAAGAGGATGGTTTGAGGCCAGGAGTTTAAGACCAGCCTGGGCAACATAGCGAGACCCCCACCTCTATAAAAAAATTTAAAAATTTGCCAGGTAAAATGGTGTATGCCTGGAGTCCTAGCTATTCAGGAGGCTGAGGTGGGAGGAGCGCTTGAGTCCAAGAGTTTGAGGCTGCAGTGAGCCATGATTGCACCACTGCACTCTAGCCTAGGTGACAGAACAAGACCTTATCTCTGAAAAAAAAAAATCTGAAAGAAAACTAAACACATAACTATTAAAACTATCTCCACATATAGCTATTTTCTAAAACTCCCGAAGTGAAGCAGTAAAATATGTATAACTTGTAAGTTAAATGTACATGTATATGTTTGTTTCTATACATATAAATATATTCAGTATTTATTAAATGTAGAGAAGTCAGGCATTAAAAACACAAAACCAGGAAGGGGTGATTCCTTTGCAGGTCCTCAAAGATTATTTGTTCCTTAAACAAAGAAGATTCAGTAATGGGCTGTCTGATTGAAGACCAAACGTGAAGTTAATTTTCTTAGTTTTCTCTCAGACAGTGGTAAATTCCTTACAGAAACCCCACTGGAGGCTCTGAGAAAGAGAGTCGCAGTTGAGAGCTGGGTGCAGGTGACATGGCGAATGGCAAGGAAGTGGAAAGGAGTAGCAAGTTCTTTCCAGGAAACTAGAAAGGAAACTCAAGTTGGGCTCCCCTTGAGTTTTACCTCCTCCTGAGCATCTGTGTCCCTGACACCCCCACTCCAAGCACTATCACCTTCCCACCACCCGGGGGCTTGATCAGCTGCAACTTCTTCCTTTCCCAACCTAAGACACATTGGTTGTGGGCATTGACTCCTACAAGCTTTCAAGTTACTCATCCCACTGTCTTTAGCTGAATGCAGTATCACACCATGGTGAAACCTAGCGGGACAGCAACTGCAGGACCCAGAAATCAGTCCCTCAGTCTGAGTTGTCTGCTGAGACATCAGGAAACAGGATACGGTATTATAGGTTCAGCAGAGAAAGGGAAATTATGATACTAAATTGCACTGTAAACTTTATAGTTTCTATCTTGCTTTCTCAGTAGATGGGAAGTCTTAATTATTATTTATTTATTTTTATTTTTATTTTTATTTTTTTGAGACAGAGTCTTGCTCTGTTGCCCAGGCTGGAGTGCAGTGGCACGATCTCCGCCCACTGCAACCTCTGCCTCCCGGGTTCAAAGTAATTCTCTGACTCAGCCTCTCAAGTAGCTGGGATTCCAGGTGCCCACCAACACGCCCGACTAATTTTTTTTGTATTTTTAATAAAGACGGGGTTTCACCATCTTGGCCAGGCTGGTCTTGAACTCCTGACCTTGTGATCCACCCGCCTTGGCCTCCCAAAAGTGCTGGGATTACAGGCGTGAGCCACCGGGCCCTGCTGGGAAGTCTTAATTATTTTATGTTTCTAAACCTATTGCAATTCCATAATATGTGCTTGATGAGATGTTTTCTGTGTTTTTGCAAATACAATTTGGGAGACTCTGGGTCCTTTCTTTTAGACAGCATGCAGCCATGCCATGCATGTTCCTTCTCAGCTCTTTTGAGCTGAGATCCTCTTGATCTGATGGATCCTCTTGCCCTGATTCAACTGTAATTGTTGCAATAACCCTGGCCCTATATGTCAGAGAATATATAGTCTTCTCTGACTATATGTTCACCCTAGGTGGTGTCATTCAGTTCCTTGGCCCTAACCACCATTCATCTGCTTCTGACTCCCAAAGTTTATCTCCAGGCTTTGCCTTTCCACTGAGCTCTAGACTCCTGTATCCAACTGCCTACTGGACATCTTTACCTAGATCCCAAATATATATCCTTGAACTTAACTGGCTAAATCAGATCTCATGATTTCCTAATCCCAAACTTCCACTCTCCCCCACGTTAGTGTAAGATGGTGTACTAGGTATACTTAGTTTATGACTGTAGCCAAAAACCTAGAGGAGTCTGATTCTCCTCTTTCCCACACTGCCAACATTAAATCCTTCAAAAAGTCCTTTTGTCTCCTTCACCACTTCTCTCTGCCTCTACTGCTACAACCTTCATCCACAGAACCGCTATCTCTTGCCTGGACTCCTGAAATAGCGTCCTAGCTAGTCTCCCTGCTGCCATTTTTGTTATTCCAGAAGCCATGCCCCACATGACAGCAAGAGTGGTCTTTAAACCGTACAAATAAGACCATGTCACTCCCCAGCTTTAAAATCTCCCTCAACTTCCTAATGCATTTGCCAGGAAATCCAAACTCTTTGTCCTGGTCCTACATGATCTAGCCCCTGCTTACCTAATCTCATCTTACTCTGCTCTTCTCACCATGACCCAGCTACCACAGTTGTTTCTATGTTCTCTAAACATGGAAAGTTTATTTGTATCTTAGGCTTCTAAAACCTGCTGTTCACTTCTACCTGAAATTCTCTATTCCCTTACTTTCACACCAGCTTTTTTATATAACTCAGGTTTCAGCTCAGATTCCACATTCACAGAGAGATATTCCTGGCCACCTAAATAACACACACACACACACACATGCACACACAATATATATTTTTAATTGCTGAAACTCTTACCACTCTCTAAGATTACCTTGCTCTTTTATTTGTGTATGTTTGTTTATTTCACCTCACTCCCTTTTAGAATATGAGCTTTCCCTTTTAGAGTAGCTTAGTGTATCGTATTTATCAGTGTGTCCCACAGCCCAGGACAACACCTGTCCTATAACAGGTGACCCATAAGTCACCTGTTGAATGAATAATCTGCATACGACCATCATACTGGCCCTAATCTGAAGATGGTGCCAGTGGCAGAGAAAACATAAGCTCTTATCCCATTCATCACAGTCTGCTTGACCTTAGGCAAATTATTTAACTGATCCTGACCTTGAATGCAAAATTTAGGAAGAAAGCTGAATACAGTACTTTTGATGACATTGTAAAGCAACTCTTCAAGTAGAAGAAATAACAGAGGTAGAAGACTAAGAACCGGGGTTTTGGAAAAGGGAAATGTCGAGGAGCGGGAGCGTAGAGTTCAATATCTTGGGAGTAAAACTGTTGTTATATAGGAGTTGGGAAAGATGTGAAGATAAAAGCCGCTACAGCTTAAGAAATGGTAGAAACTTGCAGTTATGATGTAAGAGGGATTTACCACTTGACATTTGGAAATGCTTTCTGTATCCCTCTTACTTCCCTTAGTATAGAATACCCCTTGCCCGTTACATCTATGAAGCAGAACACAATGACTCACTCCACAACAAGCACCAAAAGACATGACATGTATTTTCTATATCCGTGGTTCTGAGAGGAGGCAAAGGACCTCACAGGATGTGCAGAAGGAATATTAGAACTGCTATTAATATTGTTTTTCATCTTATTTCAATGATTATTTTGTCTGTTTTATGCACGAAATGTCTTATTATGTAACATTTGTATAACCCATAAATGCATATACATAAAGCAAGACTACATGTGTGGCTTTTCTTCTTACTGATAACAATATTTGGTCAAAGTTTTAGACATAACTGCTTTTAATGACCCATGTAGCTCTATATTTCACCTTATAGTTTCATCACCTTTTTAAAACTGTGTGGATAGATTACATTTCTACCACCAAACTATGCATTTATTAAGGGTAGGGTCCGTGTCTCCACAGTGACCAGCAGTGTGCCTTACAGTCTGTTCTGACCACGGGGCTAGATGAGTGTCAACTGCCTGAAAACAGAAAGAAGCAAGTCTGACACTGCCCACGCTACAAGAGGGAGAAATGGGGATGTTGAGTTTGTTCCCTTTCTCCTTCCTTCAAGAAAAGGGGAGAAGAGGCCAGGCGCAGTGGCTCACGCCGATAATCCCACCACTTTGGGAGGCCGAAGGGGGCGGATAGCCAGAGGTCAGGGATTTGAGACCAGCCTGGCAAACATAGTGAAACCCCGTCTCTACTAAAAATACAAAAATTAGCTCAACGTGGTGGCAGGCACCTGTATTCCCAGCTACTCAGGAGGCTGAGGCAGGAGAATCACTTGAACCCAGGAGGCGGAGGTTGCAGTGAGCCAAAATCGCGCCATTGCACTCCAGCCTGGGTGACGGAGTGAGACTCCATCTCAAAAAAAAAAAAAAAAAAAAAAAAAAAAGAAAAGGGGAGAAGAGTGGTCTCTCTTATGTTGAGATTGGGAAATGCTTTTCTGTTTCAAAAATCTCATGAGGAAATCATGTAATTTTGGTCTTTCAAAGAGGAAGAAACCAAGAATATGGACCAAAAGAACTAAAATGCTTGCCAGTTATAAAATCATCATCATCATCACTATCATCATCATTTTTACAATCATTATATATGTATATGTGTGAGTACAAGTATATACATGTATGTTTTATATAATACATACATCCCTTTCTCTATATATATCCTGTATGTCATATATACACACATATGTGTATGTTTTACTTTGTTCGTATTTATATATATCGTATGCATTTACATATATCCTATATTATATACATACACCGAAAAAAAGACAAATGACTGATAGTCTGGCTGTCTTTCAGAGTCACAACAATACGGAATTTTCTAAGTCAGCGTAGAAGGCATATGTGATGTCACTACAGCTTTGATAATATAAAACCCTCTGTCTATAAAAGCCCTTTGATCTACCTTCATCTGTGCTCCAGGTACTGCTGGTTTAATTGCCATAATGTAAATATAAATTAATGAGTAGTTTTTTCAATCATCATTTTATGGATTGTAGAAATGGGTAAAGCATTTCTTTTGCAGATCCATAATTATTTAATGATATCTACGTAAAGGCTTTTAATTATATGGGAATAGTAATAATAATTATAAAGGCCCGCAGTCAGCTGATAAAATACATATTGTTCCAGAAAAATATATTATGTCTATTAAAAATGAATCATTTCCGCCAGTGAATGGCTCATATGTCATTTCTTAACAATTAAAACGTGCAGTTTTCAGTTTTTACCTTTTACTGGGGAAAAAATTCCTGGTTTGTGGAATCAGAAAATTATTTTTTCTGTTCTTTCTTTTTGTTTAAATCCTCCTAAAACTTTTACTTATTATCTTATTCTTTTGGTGTCAAGTCTGTGCCCACCAACTCTAAAAAAAACAGTATGAAGAAAAATTGGAGTTGATTTTACATGTTGAAATTTAGTTTAAAATCGATATTGTGGAATGGCTGATTCAAGTGTTAATCTTCTTGTGTGTTTGCCAGAGTGTCTTTCTCTGCAAGGAAACTGCAGCTATCTATGGAAAGAAACCTGTCACATCTTGTCATGTCTTAACTGTAATGTCAACAACAAAGTTTCTATAATTTTCATATACAGTCACCAATATTTGTAAATTCAAATAATGTATTTGATCTCAAATACAAAAATCTAGTAATTATGCATGTGATCATTTTTAAATAGTGTTTCCTTCTGATATACAGCTTGCCCTAAAATTATAATACAAAATTAAACAAATAAGATTATTGCCTTTTAAAAATGTCTCAAAGTTGAGAATTTAGTGTCCTTAGGTAAAGCTGGCAGCTAACTTAACTGCATTTGAGACATTATTGCAATTTCAATACCATAGTCTTACTACACTTTCTTTTTCTAAAAACTTTAAAAGGAAGCATTTATTTTCACAAAATCATTTACCCTTTTTTGGTTTAGTATAAGGAAATAGTACTGCAATAACCCTCTGAAATCGGAATATTTCTATATTGCATTTCAAGGTTTAGGTTGGAGGAATGGGGGATGGAGGAATTAAGGCTGGTCAATGAGATTAGTGTTTCAAAAATAAAAAAGAGAGAGAGAGAGAGACTCCAATTAGAAGTATCCTGGGGTTATTAGCGATAACCGTGCTCATATCCAATTAAGATGAAAACCATTTTACCAGCTTAATGTGCCACCTCTGGCAGTGTGGGTTTATTAGTTTTATCAGACTTGAGAACTGAAACTTGAAATGATACGTATGCTGGGTACCAAAGAGACACTGTTAAGACTTAGAGATAATTGGTATAAAATGAGATGCCTCAAAAGTTGTTGATTAACAAGCATTGTGAATTTTGGAGAAAGGAAGAAACTGGTCATTTCAGACAATATATGAAAAGAAAAGACTGAGTGTGTTGTGCAATGAGATTCTGAAAAAAAGAAGTTTCTATGGTCTTCTTCGAAAATGCCATTATATGACATATTCATCTAGAACAAGACAACCTTCAAGATCCATGATGCATATTCTGTATAAATGCTCAAAAGATCAAAGGCAATTGTTTATGATGAATGGCAGGGTTTTGTTTTACCTTCAAGATTAAAAAATATAATTACTAATGATTAGTATTAATAATTAATAATCAAATCTTTTGTGCTATCTCCAAGCTTCTCAAGATGGTCGACATAACCAATAAAACTTATTTTTTTAATGTTTTCACAAAATTATTTAAGCTTTTCAAAACAAATGTATCTTTAACATTTTTATATCATCCATTTGAGTACCATGGAATGATTAACAAACAAACAAATATATAAACAGTAAAGCTTCCCACTTAGGCAGCAATAAAATCACTGTTGCATTTCTTCAGTAGACATGTCTTTGACTAATAAAATTCTTGTTGCTTATTTCTGAAGCAGTTGAGGAAAGCCTTCAATCTGAAGGCACGGTGTTCTGAATGTTTGTCTTTGGTAAAATATTCAGTGCACGGCCAAGAATGTGACTGGTGGCCTCATACAAGTGGTTCTTCTAGGAGGCACATGGGACATTCTCTACTGTTTGTGCCCAGGTATGCAAACCCTGTCCCATGGGACTAAGAAAGAAATCTGAAGGGCTGGATGCAAGTGAGATTCATTGCTGGGTAGGAGGACGGCATGATCAAGTAAAGAAACATAGGCCATTTCATCTACATCATGAGTTGAATGGAATATTCTCTATCATAGAAAAAAGATGAGGTTCATCAAGTGAGCCTTGTTTTAGCAGATACTTAATGATTAAATTTCTAATTATGTCTGTCACATGCGAGTCTTTCAACTTTATAAAGGAGTGAACATACTACTGTGTTGGCAACATATTTTTTTGTTTCTGCCAAGTAAAAATGAGGAACGGCTTAACAATAAACCTTAAATTGGCACTGGTCACATGTGACTCTTCTAGAAAACAAAGTGAAGATTGGGATTTTTTTAAAGTCATACAAGTATATGTGTGTGTGTGTGTGTGTGTGTGTGTGTGTTTTCTGGATCTTTTCTGAACAATAGATCTTAGAAAAAAAGCAATGACTACCAGTTGGTAATTTAGTTTTCAAAGGGCACCACTTATGTGGTTTGGTGATAGCATGTGTTTTAATGTTTCTAAAAGCATATATATTTATTGAGTACAGTATCCAGCTTACTTAACTAACATTTGTCACCTTTTAATTAAATGTTATGATCAAGATGGCATTAACATTACTGAAAACAGGTGTTAATCAATGGATTAATCATATGTGTACATAGTTTATACAAAGGAATCATATATATTTGAATTTTCTACGACATAACAGTTAAATTTTTACTTCCAGAAAAATAGTAGGAGTTATCCACAGATTCTTCTCCATGATAGAAAAATTGACCATAGCTATATTAGTAGAACAGAGAAGGTACAGCATAGGAGAGAATGCTCATTAACTGTGTGACATCATCTGATGTAACCAGCAAATTAAATTTTTATCAAAGTAGATCCCTAAGAAGTTCTACAAGACCATAGGTCTAAAGTGTGGGGTATGGTACCATACTCCTTTCCACTACTCTTCTCAAATGGAATGAAGAGGGTGAAAAATGAAACTGGAATTAATCATTATTAAGAAATTTGGCCTCACTGAGAAGTATTTCATACAACTGCACTCGAAGCAATGAAGACAGACCTGGACTTTGGAATTGGGATATATTTTAGGTTGTCTAAGAAACAGTTTCCATTCACTTCAATTAATCTATGAACATAATGAAAGCCTTGAAACATCTATTCAGGAATAAACATCGTAGAAAATATAGAAAACACGGGTATTTTCTTTCACTTATCTGGTTTTACTCTATTCATAGAAAACAAATAGCATTTTAATAAGTGTTTTTCCAGAAATTTTTCTACTTAAAAAAAACTACATATATATTATCTATAATACAAGCATGGAATAAGAGTGGATTTTAAACTAGTTTTTAATGAGATTTTTAACTTCTTTTAAAAATGTAATAGTAAACATTAAACATCTTTTCATATCAATAAAGATTATTTTACTCTTTTTAGTGGTTTGTTTGCATTTTTCCTGAACAGGGATACCCATATTATTCAATAGCTTCTTGGAGGGACTGGTATTCAGGTTGTTCCTAGTTTTGCCACGATAAACAACATCATGAAGGAAATTCTCTAATCTTGATAGATGATCTCCTTAGGATATGTTCTAGGACTACTTTCAGATCCAAGGATATGAATTTGCAATACCATCCATATAGCATGACGTCCCTTTGGTCCCCCACACACTCGGGGCAAAGGCCTGGAAAAGAACCTGAAGAACACAAAGGTGGATCACAGACGAAGAAAAGTAATTATGCCTCCTTAAAAGCCACATGAAAAGGGCCTACTAACTGTGTTCTCCTCAGTGTGAAAGCCAAATACAGTGTGTGTGCGTGTGTTTGTATGTACACGCATGTATTAGCTATCTATTACTGAATAAGAAATTACCACAAATTTAGCATTTTAAAAAACACACATTTATTTTCTCACAGTGGAGGAATTAGGACACAACTTAGCTGAGTCCTTTGCTTCAGGGTCTGTCACAAGCTGCAATCAAAAAGTTGGCTAGGACCTCATCTGAAGACTCACTTGGGGAAGAAGTCACTTCCAAGCTCACTTACATGCGTGTTAGTTGACAGAATTCAGTTTCCTTGGGTTGTGGGACTGAGGGACTCCTTCCTACCTGGCTATTGGACTTTGTTCCTACAGGCCTCTCAGTTCTTCGCCACGCGAGCCCCTCCAACATGGTATATTGCGTCATGAAAGCCAGCAAAGAAGAGAGTTGGCTTGCAAGATGGAAGTTACAATTTTACATACTCACAGAATTGACATCCCATTGCTTTTGCTGTACTCTTATTGGTTAGAAGTAAGCCACAGGCTCACACTCAAGGGAAGGAGATTACCCTAGACTGTGAATACCAGGAGGCAGGGATCACTGGGGTCCATCTTACTGACTGCCTGCCACCGTGAGGCTGTGGTTGGAGGTGTATAATAACCTGAGATATGCTGGTGAGGTGTGCATATGTCAGAAACATGTTTCTAGACATGATAGAAGATTTTTTTTTAGCTGTGCAAAGTTGTGGAATAAACAGTTTTATTTGTTTTAATAGTCTCCAGTATTTAATCATTTAATTTTCTGAGGTATGAAGATTGATCTGATTTTGATATTTCTATAATTATCAGAAAACATTTAAATGTGTTGTATGTTAAAGAAAGAATTGTCTTACTTCCCTTACTTCCCCTTGTGGCTTTTATTATTTAATATTTAATTAAATTTAAAACATCTTAATTGATAGCCTGTGTGTACATACTTTAACCAACCACATTATTTTATTATATTATTTCAGAAAATGAAAAATATCTATTATGATAAAATATGGCTCTTATTGCATTTCAGCTTTAATTCTGCCTCATAATACACATGTGAGCAATACTAATAATGAGATATCAATGTTCTATTTGTTCTACTATTGAATGCTTATTGTACTTACTGGAAAAATATCTCTTATAATACTCTTTTAAAAACACATTTCAAGTGCATGTATACAAACATAATCAATCACAAGAAAGGACTGATGACACATGACATTAAGTGATAACTTTTCTGATGACTGTGAAGGTCTTATTTTTCTAATATCTGTACAATAGCTTTCCTATTTCACCAATGATTTTGGGTTCCTGCTGCTGAAAGTCCATCCGTACAAGGCCGTAATCAGTGGTTGAATGGCAGATGGAGCCCAGGGCATCCACCTTTCCCCAGATTGGTCTTTAATTGGCATATGCAGTAGCTTGAATTACTGGTTCCACTGAAGGAATTGTGTTCTCTCCTCTGACCAGTAAGAGTGTCTTCCTTTTTCTTTTCCTTATTTTTAAAGAGGATAAGAAAAATGGTGATAAATTAATGACTTTTTAAAGGGCAATCCACAAACTGAAACATTTGTGAATAAAATGGAACTTAATGATAGAGCACCGGCTTCCCAGCTTCGTTCTCATTAAAGAGGGAAGTATTTATGTACCTAGTAAAGGTTTAAAAATAACTAAGCAGCCAGAAGTACCGACTGAGAGTTGGGGAATAATGAATCTGCAAATCATTATTGATTAAGCTGTGAATTCAAGATTGCTTCTTAACCTAAGAAAATTTCTTGACCCATACTTTTTTCTTTTATTTTGTCAAATGAATTCAATTCAATTAGTAGTTATTGAACACTTATTCAATGCATGATACTCTAGGAAGGTGAAAAATATTCAGATTCAATCTTTGACCTGTTTGTTAGGGAATACAGCTTCCCGAAGCAATGTCAAGGTACTCTCCCAACCCCACCTACCCTCTCTCCTCAAGGCAGAAGTCTAAGTCATTCGCTTACAGGACATTTTGTCCTATGGCAGGTGCACAAGCCCCATGTTTAGGACTTTAGCCCAATTCCTCAGCCCACTCAGGGGAGTGGCTGTTAAGGAGTAACTATAATTTCCAGACCTGACTGCAGAGTCCCTCAGAACAGTGGTGGAAGCCAGAATTCCCCATTCATAAAGCAGCTAATACAGCTAAGAGTCCAAGTCCCGCCCGGCGCTGTGGCTCACGCCTGTAATCCCAGCACTTTGGGAGGCCGAGGCGGGCGGATCACGAGGTCAGGAGATCGAGACCATCCTGGCTGACACGGTGAAACCCCGTCTCTACTAAAAATACAAAAAATTAGCCGGGCGTGGTGGCGGGTGCCTGTAGTCCCAGCTACTCCAGAGGTTGAGGCAGGAGAATGGCGTGAACCTGGAAGGCGGAGCTTGCAGTGAGCCGAGATAGCGCCACTGCACTCCAGCCTGGGTGACGGAACGAGACTCTGTCTCAAAAAAAAAAAAAAACAGTCCAAGCCCACCAGCAACCCCTTAGACTTCCAGGATGTCAGGAGCTTGGAGAACCAAGTGGAAGAAGACCTCCATCTTACCTCCAAGTTTCATGGAGAAGAAGCCCAGAGCAGGAGCCCTGAGATTTGAATTCCAGCTTTGCCACTGAACGCACCAGCTCGAAGTCCACGGGCACATTTGAAATCTGTTTTTTTTTTCCTCTATTAAAATAAAACCAGGAATAATATTTTACATGAAAGTTGAAAGGATAAAATGAGGTGACAAACAATAAAAAGCAAATTGTATGCAAATCCTGTTTTGTTTTATGATAAATGCTGCTCAATGAATGTACGATAAATAAATGAAATTCATGTCAGAGGGAAGTGTTGTCCCTGAGTTAGCAATAGTCCTCTGTTAAATGACTTAAAATAGGAATCCCAGAGTAAAAAGGTAAAGAGGCTAGATTCTGCCTAAACCTTGAGGACGGAGGAAGGAGATCAAATATGAGCCACTTGACTGTAACACTCACAGCTCTCAGGATCCAAAATTCGAGAAAATGGCTATTTGCCTTGACTGTCCAATGACTTGCTCTCCCCAGTAGTATAAGGATAGAGGGAGAGTATAGGGAGATGACGAGTTGGCATTAATTAATGAATTAATTTTCAAAATATTTTCAGTAAAATTCAGCTGCAGGTATATGGGCTAAGAGAAATGCTTTGATTCCAAGATCAAAATCTTTAGTGACACTTGTATGCCTTGAATTAACCTTACACATATTACTTTCCTTTAAAATAGAAAGCACGGGCTGGGTGCAATGGCTCACACCTGTAATCCCAGGCCAAGACGGGTGGATCACCTGAGGTCAGGAGTTTGAGACCAGCCTGACCAATATGGTGAAATCCCGTCTCTGATAAAAATACAAAAATTAGCCGAGCATGGTGGCTCACACCTGTAATCCCAGCTAGTTGGGAGGCTGAGAAAGGAGAATCACTTGAACCCAGGAGGCAGAGGTTGCAGTGAGCCGAGATGGCGCCACGCACTCCAGCCTGGGGGACACAGCGAGATTCTGTCTCAAAAAAATAAAAAAAAAAAAAAAGAAAAGGAAAGAAAAAAAGGAAGCATATATTTACAAGAAAGAGAATCTGATTTTTCATGCACATTTGCTATATGCCTGACATTTTGCAGTATGTATATTTTAATTGTTGTTTTGGCAAAAGCAAGAATTAATTGAGGTCTTACATGAGCCAAGCACTGGGTTATTTATGGACCATATTATTTTATATTCTCAGCAACTCTGTGAGTTGATACCATTCTCACTTGACAGATGACAACAAACTGTGACTTAGGAAGACAAGGGGACTTGCCTAAAGTCACATAATGAGGACACAAAGGGTCTGTGAAAACTTCAGACCTCTGTTCTTTATTATGGGTGTATTGAGATAACGGGCTTTGACAGGCGCTCTAAGAATCTTCATACTAGCTTGGAGTTCAAGTGTAGTTATTCCCACATAACACATAAAAGGAAACAAATCTTACCCCCAAAATCTTTCCCCTTCCATGACGTTTCTCATGAAAATAAAACATTCATAAAATTCTGTTTAAAATTCTGCCTTTACTACATCACCAGCTTCGTGATGGCTTACCAGCTGTGAGCTATATATCCATATATGAAGTCTTCACCCATGTCCCAAAGACTTCTATTTATATATTATAGATACACTTCTCTCTTTCAAATTCTTTGTCTTACTAGGGTTTTCAGATGACTCTTTGAGCCCACCAAATCCAAATCACAGCAGTCTTTGCCTCTTCCTCTTTTAAATAGTCCCACTCGTTCCAGTGATCTACTGTCACCCCAACACATGCCCAGCTGAATTCCCCAAAAGGGGCTTGTCCACCTCCAGCTCCTTCAGGGCGGCAACCTCAGCTCCCAGGTCTTCAGAGGCCAGCTGCATGGAACATCACAGGCACACAGCAGAGCTCATGGGAGGCAATGACGACATACTTTTATGCATGCAGTTGATTTCCCTTGAAAAACACTTCTTAAAAAAATCTTTCCCTGTCTTGATCCAATTTGGTCAGAATAAAGTTCCTTAAAAACAAACATGTCTTTCAAAACTGTGTTTATACTTTGAATAAAAAGGAAATTTTTTAAAGAAACATTTCCTTTAGCGTGGAACGGCCCAACTTTTCCATCTGATTTACCTAAGAGATGAACTTATAGTTAAGATGTTTACAGACATCCTTTTAATTTAAAAAATTACTTATAAAATATTTTGAAAACAACAACATTTAGACCTTTTCAAATAGTAAATTGTATTTACTTAAATACAATACTTAAAAAGTACTAAAATATAGTAAATACTAGATTTTAAAATCAAGTTTTTTTTAATATTCATTTGTTTACAAACACTAAATACTTTGTCTTGTTATTTATAGAAGATGATTAAGAATCTTTGAGAAATAAATATCTGACCAAAAATATAAAATATATCTTAAAGGATAAATTTTCACCAAATTACAATGTTAGGGTGCAGCTTTAGTAAAAGTTTATGGTGACTTTTATGTTCATTGAATATTACAGGGGGAGGGGTCATTGAACACAATTTAATCAAAAATCCGCTTTTCTATGAAATCAAAAGTGATTATGAACTGTGTAACTGTTG
The DNA here is from genome assembly GCF_000001405.40 of Homo sapiens. Lineage (NCBI taxonomy): Eukaryota > Metazoa > Chordata > Mammalia > Primates > Hominidae > Homo > Homo sapiens. The sequence goes on from NC_000015.10 coordinate 96,087,090, forward strand.
GGTTATAGAATGATTCCTATCATGACAGTGCAATCATTTCTTAAAACATAAAAAAGATAGTTGCCAAGAAAAACTCTCCAATGAGGAATTTAGTTAATGTGGTAGATTTCTCCCCCCTTCCTTCCATCTGAATATTTAACATAAGAGAAAAGTCCTACTCTGTTTTTCAGCTGAAATCACAGCAGTTTCTGTTTCTAACCTGGGAAGAATGTGGTTGGGACTGAAAAGCCCCCTGTCCTATTGTTAGACTCCTCGGCACTGATCCTTGCTTTTAACATCATAATGAAGGATGCTCTTTAGTGGATTATCTTGAGAAGGGATTAACTCCTTCAAGTCTTCTTAGGGGGCAAGGTGTTTTGAGCCCTAAATACACACCAATTGCCTGCTTAACTTTTCATCTTATTTTGAAAACTGCCCAGCTGGAATTCAAATTCTTTTCCATAGAGCTGAATTTTATTAGTAGCAAAGTTGGAGTTGGGGGCAGCAGATGCTAAATATAAGCACTGTTCTTTTAATCTCATGGGGCCAAATGTTTCAGATATTTCACTGAGACAGGCATGTCAGGATAAGACTCAATCTAAACTCTGCTGTAAACTTTGCAAGCACTAAATCCTGGCCCCATCTCCCAGGCCCATGACTTAAGCCCTCTAGAAGACCATGCTTTTACTAGGATTCTACCTTTAAACTCCTCTTGCCTATATGGCCCTTGTACCACGGCTTTTAAAGTTATTATGCACATTGTTTTAAGTCACACTCAAAGTAGAATTCAAATGCCTGGTAAACACACAGACACACACACACACTTGAAAAGAGGACTAATTGCTCTATAATTTACAATCAACTAGTTTCCTTAGCCTCTGCTGCTTTGTCTTAATAACCATTTATTTCTGTCTGCCTATTACGTTAATACTGAAATCTTGCATTTGTTTCATATTCACCTTCCCCCTTCTCTAACCTCATTTCTGTTATTAACTACCCATTGTATTATGATATGATTTTTCCAGGAAACTAGACAGTTCTAAATTTGTCCTTTCTCCTCCTTTTCTGTTAACTCAAACTTCTTAATAGATTACAACTTTTCTTTTGTTCAACCAAAAGAATATTTTCAACACTGAAAACACTCATTTTAAAGGTGTTTGTTAAATGTAGGAAAACGCTTTTAAACACACACATGCCAAAAAAAAAAACAACCACTTTTTCTTGGAACTTTGTCTTTTAGGCTGATTTATTTTTTAATCAAATTGCAACATGCATCACCTGTAGCTTTCTTATAAAAAGATATAAATTAATTAGGAATTGCTAGGCTACATATGTAAGAAGTTTTAAATATTAAAAAGTCAAAATATATGTATACGTGACAAAAATTACAACAAAAAGATCTCAATAAAATGAAGTTTCACGATTTTTTACAAACAAGGGTATCTAGGTGCAGTTTTCTTGTGAAGAAAATGAAATGAACTCTCAGTCTTTATATATAAATCTATATATATATATAATAACTGTATTCTAGAGGCTCTGCTTTAATTGCAAATAATCCTCCACATTCTTTCAGTGTAAACTCTTTAAGGAGTCATGAATTTTATTTATACTCTCTCTCTCTTTGAGAGTCTTTTGTTTATTTGCTGTTTCGTTCTTTGTGAAATAACACTCCCAGAGGAAAATCCCCCTCTCTGCTTAAGGAATTAGGCCAGAGACAAAAGCAGGGAATTCTTTAAGCCTTGTTTTGTGCTAAGAGAAATGTTTGACATTTCTGTGGAGAGGTGTTTAGTTTGGATTCATTAGGTCTTAGGGACTCTTTTCTCTTTTCTGGCCTTTCAGTTTCTGTCACTGTTTTTTTCTGTGTTTGGTAGACAGAAGAGAATTTACCAGGGTGTAATTAGGTTTCCTACACTGGAATAGGAAAAATCTAGTTGTTGTAAATGGTTAGACCAAGTATTCCCCTGGCTCAGCAGGCCAAAACCTGAACCTCACTTTCTGATACCCATCTGGGTAGGAGAACGTTCGGCAGCGGAAGCGAGGGGTAAAAGACACTTTCAAGGAAGTTTATGCCCCGATTGAAATAAATACCTCTCGTAAGCATCTTTAAACAAAGCTGCTTGACCATCACTTCCACAGTCCTACCCCGGAAGGCCAACACCTTTGGTTTTTCTGTGCTTCCTCTCAGAACATTAAATAAAATTAGCTTTAACATGCTTTTTTTTTTAACACAAAAAGAAATTTTTTAACTTTTTTATTTTTTATTTTATTTTCTTTTAATCTTACAACACCTTGGCCAGCCCCTCCTTCTTCCCAAGATCATTTAAAGGCTGTCTGTTGCCTGGTTTGGGAATGGTACAGTCTGATAGGATTTCCCAGCCAGCGCATTTGCCTTCTGCAAAACAACACAGATACTTGCTGGATTATTAGTTTCGCTGCCTGAATTAGTAGAAGCTCAAACATTTGGTAATTCCCCAAATCCTGAGGCCAGAAATAGAGCTTGGTGGTATTTTTTTTTCTGTTTCTTTTTGGATATGACATTATAGACTAAACCATGATGATCTATCTGCACTCTGCCTTTACTACTGCTGTTATCAAAGCATGGAAATGGTAGCGGGGCGTCCGTCCTAAAGGGTCCACTTAAGAACAATTCAGAGATTGGCAAGCACTAGCCATACCGTCTGTATAGACTCCTTTCCAACTACATCCCCGTTGATGTTCCAAAGCTTGGCAGTCTCAGCCCAATGGCCTCTGACTTTGAGCTTAGAAAACGTGCCCTCTGGCAACTGCTGGGCCACATGTTCTCCATTCACACCACACCTGGAGAGTGATGAAGTTAACAGGCGGAGAAAAAGAGCCATGGGCAAGACCTTGCCAGTGTGTTGGGATGCCAGCTTCCTTTGACTGGTTAACAATAACCCTTTGGCAGATCTGGCTGGGAAACGGTTAATCCCCCTACCCACCCCCCTCAAAAAAATACAGAAACGTTGAAGAAAGACCCAATGCCTCTGATTAAATGGGGGAGAGGCCAGTTACTAACATCTTTAAATAATGGATTGTATCATTGTGAAATGTGCCTTCCCAACCCTATTTCCCTCCCCATAAAAATAATGATTTGTCTTTCTGGGAATTGTGGAGAAACTGTCACCTTGTCAATCCAGCTCCATCAACAAAGATGTGTGTGAAATGCCAACCTCTTTCAGCCTACTATCTCCAGAAAAATTTTCACCACATACTCCAGTGGATCTTTTTCATTAGATATTTAACTCTGCCATGTTAAACTTAATTCTAAACGAGTATTATTTAAAAGAGTCAAAAACTAAGACTACTGTTTTTCCTCTTCTTTTTAAAACCCTGGATTGTGAATTTTAGTTCAAATCCTATGAGAGTCTAGAGATCATATCAAAAACCTTTTTGCAGTTCCACATAATTTAGTGGTCTTTGACAATAAATATAAAAGTAAGGGAAAGTAATGGTTGAAATCATTTATTCATAAAAATAGTACGGAAAAGTAATGGTTGAAATCATTTATTCATTAAAAATGGTAAAAAATAAATCCATCAGACTTTATTCACAGAAGAGTAAGTAAGAAGGAATAATAAGATAAGCATTTGTGAAAAGGTGTGGACATCAAGAAATGTAAGTATTTAGGGCATCAGAAGAAAGAGTTAATAATTCAAGTATGAGCCCTTGATCAAATTTTCAAGTGACTCTTTTCCTAAACTAAGAAAGAACATTATGGTCTTTGGGAAGGAAAGGGGGTCAGAAGGAAAAGGAGAAACAGCTGAAATATAACACAGTCAGGCATACGCACTGCAGTCAACCAAAGGTCTTCCCTTGAATTGAGAACTGAAAAACTTATCATGCAGAGAGTCTGCAATGACAGAAAATGTCCCCAGTCCCTGATATGAGGCTGGCATATTACTGATTAGTCCCCTTGAGTAAAACCTATCATTTTCAACAATGAGCCCATGTTTTAGAGAAGCTTTTCCATCTTCATCATCTGTGGTGATCCTAAAGTAGTAGGAGAAACAAGAAAGGGAATTCTGGAAGGACTTTCAACCACCTCTATTTGAGAGAGCAGGGAAGAAGGAAGCAAATGCCATCGTCCTTAAAGGAATGCTATTTGGGGGAATAACAAAAATGAATAAACTTTTGAGAGGAAAATTCAATATGCTGTTTCATTATATAGAAAAAGTTTGGGTTGACTAGATGAATTTAAATAATCATATTTTCCCTTTTTTTTGAGACAGGGTCTTGCTCTGTTGCCCAGGCTGAGGTGCGGTGGTGTGATCTCGACTCACTGCAACCTCTGCCTCTGGGGCTCAAGCAATCCTCCCACCTCAGCCTCCCGAGTAGCTGGGACTCAGGCACACCCCACCACACTCGGCTAATATTTGTGTATTTTGCGGAGATGGAGTTTCACCATGTTTCCCCAGCTGGTCTCCAACTCCTGGGCTCAAGTGATCCACCCGCCTTGGCCTCCCAAAGTGCTGGGATTACTGGTGTGAGCCACTGCATCTGGCCAATAATCATATTTTTTCTTTCTCTTCTGTTAAAAAGCTCAAAGACAATAATAAAAAGAAGCTCTTGAGTACCCAAAGAAAAAAAAGTTTGCTATGCCGTGGCATATTAATAACTCAGTGGCAAGTAAATTGAGCTGTTATAACTGGAATGTTATTAAACAGAATATTTAATATTCATAAGTATAAAATAAAATATATTGTTACATATAAAAGATATTGTTTTATACATAAGGATATAACAATGATGGAATTTGCTCTGCAAGTATACATCTAGTCATACTATATAAACTCAGTGATTCTAAGTCCCACCAGACTTTTTTCTCTAAATCTACCAAATATTATGCGTTCTAATGTGCAAAGAAAGTTATAAAGAACAGCTTCCAACTTAACCGCAGAGCCTTTGACCTCGGTACCTCAATATGAAGATTCAGGGTCTTCATTAATTGTAATTATTTAGAACCAAATGTGTTTCTATATTTTAAGTCTTTGTGTAAATACACTTCTTATATTCTAAACAGAAAAAGTTACTATCCCACATACCATTCCTGTTATTTCTTCATTACTTCACAGATTAGAACTTTAAATAAACATGATGCTTAAAATTCTTAGTAAAGACAAATTGACTTCTTGAGTTATTAGAAAAAGTGACATATTTTGTGATTAAATGTGTGTTTGTAGTTCTGAGACACTGCAAAAAATTAACGTTTCTTTTTGATAGTAGCTTTTATTTTTCTTACAGTGACCAAACCATGTTCCATCCTCCCTCACTTACTTGCAGATAAGGCAGAATGACTTGAGGCATTAAAGATGTGATTATATCCTATATATTGAGTTGGTTCCCAACTCTTCTTGTCTCTGTGTGAGGTCTAAGATACTCAGGTCCATGGTATAAGAAAATGTGATTGATTTCCAAAGAAAATGGTTGGACCAAAAAGAGATGCATTTTTGAGATGCTATTTTGTTGAGCCATTTTTAGAAATAGGCAAACATTCAGAAAATTACTATAAGCACATTATGGTTTTTTGCAGAATAAATTTGATCTAAACCTTTTGACATTTTGTGCTGTAATGTTTAACATTATTGAGTGAAAGCTAATGGAAACTTTCTAACAAGTCCAAGTATTGCCATTTCTCACAATAAGAGCACATTCTCTGTCAAAATTTTTAAAGATTTTTAAATTTTTTCTACTAGATTTGGATTAAATACTAAAAGCAAACATTTTGCTTACAGGCACTCATGGTAATTTTTGGCATCATGTCAACCAAACAAACCCCAATATAAGACAATTTTTCATATTCGATGTGGACTTTAAGAGTTCCTTTGCAGATGTTATTTCAAATGTGATTATCTCACCTCCTTTTTTTATTGTTACAAAATAAAGACTTTTTTTCCTGTAGGTTGCCTGTCACTTTTGAAATGGAAAACATGATGAATTATGGCACATTTGCCTTGCTATGCTTTATCAAGCTCATTAGAGATGATGCATGATCTGAACTTTACGGAAGGAAAAAAAAATACATGGACACCCTCTTTCTTATCTTCTCTGTTTACCTCTAAAATCGTTCTGGTTTACTTGTTGCAGAAACTGACCACCTATTAAGGAAAAAAATGGTCTTGTCTGTAAAACACATGGCTTTCCTGTAGAACAGCCCTAAACTTGAGCTGTAAATTCTCAAAGAGTGATATCACCTCCAAACATTTAGCTCAGAATGCTTCATTTTATTTTTCCATTGTCATGCTGTGCAAACAAACAACTTTATGTGTATGTTTAGATATAATGGGAAAGGTTGTTTTTAATTCAATTTTCCAATGAGATAGCCCTATAATGGATGTTTTCAGAAAGAAAACTACAGTCTTACAAAACCAACTTTCATCTATGAATTTAAACAAATTTTATTCTGCTTCAGAATCATAATGGTTTACTGAATATTCCTTTTTAAAGAAAATGTAAAGACTGAGTTTTAAACTGACTTATGCCAAATAAGTCTTAAACAAGTCTTTAAAATCCAAAATTTATTACAGAGATAAAAACCCTATCTTCTTACCTCTCTCTAGAGTACTTTGAAAAATTTGATTTGCACTAAAACCTAAACAGATTCACCATGATGAAGGTCATCAGATAAAAAATGTTTCTCCAAGTTTAATTCAATACTTATCAGCTAGAACAATTCCTTCCTAATCCTTCAGATGTTAAGTGCTATCAAGAAGTAAAATGCAAATGAATATTATTTTAAAATGTTAATACAGAGTTGGAGAAGGCATTTGTCCTCGAAATAAGAAACACGACGACTGAAATAGCAAATATACATATTACCTGAATTTCTTTTTTGTTAATAAATGTTTCATTTCTGGCACTTATGATTGATGAGTTTCCTTGGAAATAGAACACTGAGGCACTTCCGTTAAAAAGACATCAAATTCCAAAACCATGGGGAATTGTGCTACAATTCCTTAACCTCTTGCCTGAGAGAGTCTTCCTGCTGGCCCACGGGTTAATCTCTACTTGTAAAAGTGTTTACAAAAATGGCATATATGTGTTTGCTTCTGTGATTGATCAGTTCAAACACATGAAATTAATATTTTACATGTAAGTGGTGTTTGCCGTTTTACACTGGGTATCACTGGCATCATCTTATTCTCTTCCTTCATTCACCTACGAAATGTTCCATGTCTGGTAGTCTACTGGGTTCTGGAGGGCTGTGTCAACAAGTCAGAGCTCAGCCCTTCCCTGATGGGGATGAGAGTCTGAAGAAAAGATCAGTCTTAATCTAATACCATCTAATCAGATAAAGAATTAAGTTGCTCACGACTGAGATGAGTCTGGTGAAGGAGGCATTCAGGGGCTCTTCAAACATATGTCAGACAAGACCAAACCTAGTGCAGAATGGTAGGGGTGTGGACCCAGCACGACAGAGGATTGGAACCTAGCTCCGGATGTCAGGTGTCAGAAGGCCTCTCTCAGAAAGGTATGCTAAGGTGAATTCAAGGTTTTAAAAGAAAGCCAGTGGGGGCTAAAAAGAAGTCATTACCAAGAGGAGTTATTAAGGAGGAGGCTAGTGAGAGAAACAGGGCCAGATCATGTGCTGCCCTGAAGTCATCGTAAGGATATGTTTGTTTGTTCAAAGACTCACAGAAAGCCACAAAAAAGATTCAGGGAAAGCTTCAACAAAGGAGAGTGACACAACCTGACTTGCCTTTTTTTTTTTGAGACGGAGTTTCACTCTTGTTGCCCAGGCTGGAGCGCATTGGCACGATCTCGGCTCACTGCAACCTCGACCTCCTGGGTTCAAGCAATTCTCCTGCCTCAGCCTCCCGAGTAGCTGGGATTACAGGCATGCGCCACCAAGCCCGGCTAATTTTTTTGTATTTTTAGTAGAGACGGGGTTTCTCCATGTTGGTCAGGCTGGTCTCAAACTCCCGATCTCAGGTGATCCACTCTCCTCGGCCACCCAATGTGCTGGGATTACAGGCGTGAGCCACCGGCCTGGCCTGACTTGCATTTTTTATAGATGATTAACAAAGAAACTCTATGAGGTAGACAAATCAAGTGCAATAAAGCCCATTAAACAACTGTAGAAACTAAGATGCCAAGATTCAGTTCCTTGCCAAAGGAGAGACGTGCAGGAGAGTGGTTGATACATCCACATGCCCATATGCTTGGGGTGCATTCATATGTGTGTGCAGAATTCTATTCTATTTCTATCATGGGTCTCTGTCCGCCACAGCACGCATTCAAAATCAATGCCACACTTTGCATTTCATTCTAATTCCAAGCTGAAAGATGTTAGTTAGGTAGGTTGTGAACCAAAAAACTTAAGAAAATAGTAATTTAACAATGTTTTTCTCTTCAATGTGTGTCTATTGGTTGTCTAAGGAATTCTCTGGATAAGTTATGTTTGCATACTTTAATAAGCATTTTGGCTCAAGGACTAGAATAACATTTAAATAGTAGCAACACTATCCATTCTAAAAAGCAGGCTAAATAGACTATTAGAACCACATTATACTCCCCACATAAAATAACTTATTATATACCAAACCTTAACTACAAGTACCTATTCTAGCATTGAAGTAGTATAAACAGGAGATCTGAGAAAAATACGGCTTATGATAGTCTGCTCAGTTATGACAAGTGAGCAAACACCACTTGAAGGAAGAAAGTCAGCCATGGTTTATAGGAAAATAGAAGAAGGCTTCTCTCTGCTGCTCTCGCTTTGGTTCTTCCCATTCTCTGACCCATATGCTGGGTAAGAGGCTAGATCTACTCATTGTTTCCCCAGGACTTGGTGTACAAAGTGTTTCTCCACCTCTAGAAACAAGAAGGAAACATTTGGGCCTGGCATTTGTTCTTGCAGAGAAGGAAGAATGAAGAAGTTACAGCAGGAACATCTCATTTTTGCGAGGTGGAATGAGTGAGATCAACAGAGCATGATGATGCTTGGAGTGGTTCTAGAACAGCTGTCAATGTCTACCTTGTATTACAAACTTCATCAAAAGTGCTTTGGCAAAATTAATTGGCTAAAGATTCAGCAGTATACGGAAGCCAGAACATCTACAGCTACGTTTGCAGGACGACTGGTTTGAGTATACCACACTGAAGCTGGATTACTCCAGGAAGTGTGTTAAGCACGGCACAGAGTAAAAGAGAAAGGTCCACCACCAGGTTGGCCCTGTGGGCTTCCTGGGTTTTAAGGTGGCATTGTTTAGTAGGCAGTTGGATAAAAGAACTCAAAGCTCAAGGGAAAAGACGCTAGACAAATAAACAGATTTCAAAGCAGCAAAAGGGTATAAGAGGAGGAGACCCGAGCGCCAAAGGCCAGGCCTCGGAAATAGTAACTCCTCTCACACTGATTGCCTCCTTCTCTGTTTTGCTTTTGCATCAAACTGTGCATCATCTCATCTGATTCTAACTCCTCCTTACACAACCCTTATCTTGCCCGTTAAACTATTAGATCCTTGAGGTCAGGAGAGTATAACATAATGTTCTGATATCCTATTGTTCACCCAAAATAGAAGCCAGGAATTGAGGGAACTATCTAAATTCTACCACCAAATCTCAACCCAATCGAACACTACTAATTTAAACATTTCATTACACACAGAGATTAATCTGTTTTGGTTTCTTGGCTGAACTGCCCAAATCATTGTTTACTTCTTAAAGTGGGTGGGGTCAGTCATTCTTCGTGGAGTTGGGTAGGGCAATGAGAGAGTAGAGGCGACATTGAGAATTTCACTCGGGTGCTTCAGAATTCAGGTTCCCAAATACAAGGAACCAGTTGGGTGAAACTGTATTTTCCAAGACACAATGAATCATACACATGTGAAAAAACCCTTTGGAAGGGAGGACCCCCACATGCGCGTCTTTCCTCCATCACCTTGTAGAACGTACACAACCTTCTGCGTTTGATGCCAAAATGCACTTTTAGTCATGCTTACAGTTCCAAAAAAAAAAATTGTATTTACTGGGCCAGTTTCAAGTTCTGGTTATATGTGTTCCTTTAATCATTCTCTTTCTGTTAAAATCTAAGGAATTGTCTTAATATGTATGTCCAAGATGAGATCAAAATCTTTGCAAAGCTAACGAAGTTTACTTTAAGGCAGAACAAGAGAAATTGATGAGAATGTCTAACATGTGACGTTTAAGATAGTTGATAATTTGGAGGGACTTAGAAGACTTTACAGGTATATGATTAAAGAATACATTTCATTTAACCATAGTCAATTGCATTTCATAGACATTGTAGTTTACTTGATAATGCAACCTAATTTTTTAAGATATTATTCTTCAATTCACTTGAAAAAATTTTGCATCTGATATAAATATATAGATTTCTCTGATTAAATCAAATATGATGAGACAGTTAAATTCTGTGCCAAAAATATCATAGGGTATTATACCTTTGCTATTTAGAAAAAAATAAATGTTTCCAATTTGAAAAAAGAACTTGCTGTAAATTCTTGAAATTTGAAAGTGGCTTTCACGTCTGGACTCTCAGTGGGGCACTTGGTGTGCTTCCCTGAATTCTGCCTACGTTGGTGAATTGGTACAACCATTCCTTTAACAAATCTGCTTTGAAACACAGAAGAAGCCTGCTGTTTAAAACCTGGTGAAAGGTGATTGCAAGCCTTAAAATAAAAAAGCCTAGTTTCATTTTTTTTTTTTAAGACAAGACCCTTCTCAGTTTGACTGAAATACAGTAAGCAGGACAGAGAGACTATCTCTTGTAATTGTCAGCAGATTGGCAATCTGACATAGAATTCTGGCAAACCTGTACTTAATTGCTAAAATATGACTTCCTAGCAGCTACAAGTATGTTCTGGCAATGTCAAGTTATCCCCAACCACATGACTTGACTTCTGCTTTAGAATTAAAATTGAAGATTTATCCCAGGTTGAAGCTGCTCCTTGCACATTCTGCAAGAACTCTATAGACTGTAGACAGGAAAACGGGATATCGTTAAAGTATTGCAGTGCCCCAGGGGTCAATGTCAGATACAATCTAATTTAACATCTTTATTAAGGATCTCAAAGAGAGAGTAAGCCACATATTAATGAAATGTGCAAATGATATTAAACTGGGAGCTGGTGTAACCACCAGTAAGGACAAAGAAATAATAGAAACGCACCAAAAGAGGTTAAAACTATGAGCAGAAAATTATTATATGAAAATCACCTTCTTGGGATTGATGGTTTTGGAGATGAGCGCTGGGAGTCAGAAATCTCAAAGTTTGGGGGCTGCATCCAATTGGGAACCAAAAGGAAAGAAAAGAGGGCAACCCTTAGCCAGCATCTAATTTAGACACCAACGCAAACACTTTACATTACATTATGTAAGTTTATACAATCTTTAAAATCAGAAAGATCATCAACTGTAAAAATTTAGGCACAGGACAACTCAAATGTAGTAGCTTAACTAGCCACAACACAGATAGCTATTAAAAATGACTAGTACTGAACAATATTGACATGCAGAATATATGAACTAGCATGCAGTAAAACAAAAGGCAGAGCATAAGGTGTGTGCATGCTGATACCACTTCAAATACATGGATGCTCATTAGACAAGATCCAGAGGGATCCACCCAGAAGCCAAAGTTTTCAAATATACATTAATTTGGAAAAAGAGAAAAATGTGTCTTTAAAAAAAATAAAAAGAAAAAACAGTGAAGCTCTGATTCCTTAGCTTTTTCTATTTCCCCATGTCTCCCTATTCCTCACACCCCCCAGAAAAGTTGAAACAACGCTAAAATGACTCTTCCAAACCTATAACTAAAATAAAATGCCCTTAAGGCAACATCTGACAACCTTCTGGGATTCAGGTAGGAGTCCCCTGACTGCCTATAACTTCTTGAAACCATTCCATCTTCTTTTACCTCCTCCACTTCTACTCCTATGCCAATACCCTTGGCCATCCCTTAGATACTCAGGCATATTGACCAGAAACTTTAAACAAGAAAACGCCTTGCATTTTAGAGCTCCTGCCTTTTACCCTGTGAGTTCTTCAAAGGACTGGTCTTCGTTGAACTACACACTATGACATACACAAAGCACGGGGCTAGAATGGCAGACCTGGTGTGCAAGCATAGCATCCCTGGAATCTTTGATTTCACCCCTCTATATTTAGTGCCTACTTAATAAAAAGTGGCTTTCACTTGTTTTCTAATTCCTGCCATGACCCCTTACCTCCTTTCAGGATCCAGGAAAATAAGTAAAGAATGAAAATTCCCTAAAGTCTCAGATAGACCAAGAAGGAACCTGTTGACCTACCAAGGAACCCACCACAGTAGCCTCTAGTTGCAAATAATCTATTCTTCCCTAATTTAAAGTATTATCAGAATAAAGAATGAAGTCAGTGGAAGAAAACCGTCTTTTTTTTTTTTTTTTTTTTTTGACGGAGTCTTGCTCTGTCACCCAGGCTGGAGTGCAATGGTGTGATCTTGGCTCACTGCAACCTCCACCTCCCGGGTTCAAATGATTCTCCTGCCTCAGCTTCCTGAGTAGCTGGGATTACAGGCACCTGCCACCATGCCCAGCTAATTTTTATATTTTTAGTAGAGACGGGGTTTCACCATGTTGGCCAGGCTGGTCTCAAACTCCTGACCTCGTGATCCACCCACCTCGGCCTCCCAAAGTGCTGGGATTACAGGCGTGAGGCATCACGCCCGGCCAACAGCAGCTCCTTTTAAACAGCAAGACTTTAGTAGCAGACGATCGAAAATGCAGATACAAGTAGATCCAATGAATCTACGATATTGATGTTCTAAAGTAGTAGAAAAATCAGCTTTATTCATGCTTTACACAAAGAACCTCAAACCAACACCACACAACAGTAGGGTTAATGCTCTCTGTGTCAGAATGATTCGAATATATCAGTGGGTGACCAGAAAGTCATGGCACACAAAGGGCACAAAGGAAAGATTATAGACCCCAAGTAAGGATAGCAACTAATAGGGGTGAACATGCTGGAAACCTACAAAGGATGCTTTTGCCAATGAGGAAGAAGTATTTTAAGTATACTAGAAGGAATTACTAGAAATATGCGAATAAAATTCAAGAAGACAAGTGGGCTAAAGCTAAAGAATTTTCTTATAGTATAGCTTTTTTTTTTTTTTTTGAGACGGAGTCTTGCTCTGTTGCCCAGGCTGGAGTGCAGTGGCACAATCTCGGCTTACCACAACCTCCACCTCTGAGGTTCAAACAATTCTCCTGCCTCAGCTGTGCCACCATGCCTGGCTAATTATTTTTTTTGCATTTTTAGTAGAGATGGGGTTTCACTATGTTGGCCAGGCTGGTCTCGAATTCCTGACCTCGTGATCCGCCCGCCTTGGCCTCCCAAAGTGCTGGGATTACAGGCGTGAGCCACTGCCCCCGGCCTCTAGTATAGCTTTTTTATGGACTGAAGATGCCTAAGTACATACTGAAAAACAGCTCTGTTAATGATCCCTAAGAAACTGGGTTAGAATACACTTCACAGGAAGTCTAGCATTCCCTTTCGTTGGTTACCTGAGTTCATTTACAAGGTAGGATTTCCATGTAATCTCCCCACCATGTCAGGCCCAGTGAACTTCACTCTACCCCAAGCAAAACTCTTTCCAAAGTTAGGAAAATGTTTCCAAAAGTTATTTTGTTTTCTTAGATACTTTAGCTTTTCTTAAGGTATAATTAGAAAACACATCAGAAGTCCAACTATAGAAATTATTGTGAAATATTTTCTCCTGTGATAAAATAGAATTTTTTCTCCCTAGAGGAAAGTCAGTTCAGCTTACCTGTCTATGTCTTCTTCCAAATGTATATGAAGTAAAAATTGCTAATGCCACAATATGTGGGAAAATGTTTAATGCCTGCTCCATGTCAGCCCTTCTTCTAGGTGATGGGAATGCAGAAAAAAATATCAGTCCTATTTCCTACCCCTTCTCACCATTAAAAAGCTTGCTATTAGGTGAGAGATACTAACCAATAAACAGTTTCATATTGTAGGCTATATTTAAGCAGTAGGATTAATAATACCAGTACATCTTCCAGGAACGCCATCAAGAATAAATTACTTGATTTTCAAATATTAAAATACAAGTTTTGTAAATGGAAATATGTGATGTTTTTCAAAGAACAAAATAGTAACTTTCAAAGAGCAGCAGAAAAGACTCATGGCAAATATATTGTTCCCCTCTTGAGGGCACATGGGAGGATTGTAATTCTTTGTCTCCTTGAAATTAGGCATGATAATGTGACTTGCAGCTGGGCACAGTGGCTCATGCCTGTAAATCCCAGCACTTTGGGAGGCTGAGGCAGGCAGATCAGCTGAGGTCAAGAGTTCGAGACCAGCCTGGCCAACATGGTGAAACCCAATTTCTACTAAAAATACAAAAAAATTAGACAGGCATGGTGGCACACACCTGTAGTCCCAGCTACTTGGGAGGCTGAGGCAGGAGAATCACTTGAACCGAGGAGGGGGAGGTTGTAGTGAGCTGAGATCACACCACTGCTCTCCAGCCTGCATGACAGATCGAGACTCAATATTAAAAATAATAATAATAAAAAAGTGACTTGCTTTAGTCAATGAAATGTGCATAGAAATGAGGAGTGGAACTTCTCAGAAGCTTTTAACTGCCATTGTTTGAATTCCCTCTTTTACTGCTTTGGCAATCACTAAAGTGCATATTGATAGGAAGGTGAATTTCAGATCAACCACCTATAAGATAGCATGCTGGAGAGACATTCAGATCTACAATGAACTTTGCATGAGCCAGAATTAGACCTTTCTTGTTAGTCACTGATACTTAGGGATGTTTATTACTGTAGCACAATCTTGCCTATCCTAACTGATTCACTCAGCAAACTCAATGACAAAGATAATGTACTCTTTATAAAGCAACTGTGGCTAAAAAAAAAAAACGGCTAAATGAGTTCATTGCCAGGTAATCAAGATGCATTTACTGTATGTCCACAAGGTGCAGAATAGCTTAACCAGCCATGTGTCAGGATTTATTTCATAGAATATTGTGACTTTTCCCAGCTCATTATTATCCATGAATAATGAAGACAAAGAGATCTGGTACTGAGTAGCTGTCATTCTGAGGACCAAGTGCACCTACCTCTTCAACAGGTGGCCTGTGGGCTTGCAGCCATCCATACCTGAAAAACATTTTGAGAACCTCTAATGTAGGCAAAGTGATTTGAATATTTTCTCTGTCAGACACTTAACAGAGATTTTGACAAGAAAAAAAATACAAGTGATCAAGAAATCATTCTTAAAATGGACTCCATAGTTACAATCATGGGTAAGAAATAAAAATAAATATGTCTAATCACAGACTAGTTTATCACGTGAAATAAAAATGAATACTTTTGCATTGAAGATCATTCTCACGTATCTAATGTGGAGAGATACTTAACAAATAATATAACAAAGGCTTACTTTCTATTATAATAAGTAATTGATGTAGACTCAACCATTTTGCCTGATGGATTTCAGGGCAGAAGAATGACAATTGCTCACTGTACCATCACTGAAAAGCTGAATTATAGATATTTTTTTTTAATTTGTATGCTTCTTGAATTGAGAAAATGGACTATCCATGAAAGACCATTGTTGTCACTGTTTTCACGAAGTGCCACATGCAGAATTTCAAAACAACACTGGAGCTCCAGCTCATAAAACTGTTGAGAAGAATCACTCAGTGACTGGTCTGGACTTTGAGTCAGAGACCTGTCTTCCTGGTTTCTGGTCTCACGTCTCTTCCACATCCAAACCTGCTACTATTCGGCTACCAGAGCTAATGGTTTAAATATAATGCTGACCTCATTCCTTCTACTTGAACAAGCTCCAATGCTTCTCAATCGCCTTGTGCATAAAGTTCAAATTTCTTAGCCTACTCCCCCGTCTAAAAAACCCTTTGCTCCCACTATGCCAAGTGGATCTCACTCCCTACATTTATCACGGTCCTTCCTTCTCTAATCGGAGGCAAGTTTCTTCAACTTCTTTTTCTCTATTTGTGAACTCATTGCTCAAGAGAAAGTTCACTCATATGATATCTCTTTAGTAAAACTAAGATTTCTTGTTTCTTTTCGCCTACTTTAGATGCATGTTTGTTTCTATCAACCCATTGTATTATATGATTGCTATATTTTATTATAATGATTTATGCACATGTTCAACCGGACTAAATCTCTTCAAAGAGAGTGTATTTCATTTAACTTTGTATCACATCCTCTTTTATCCAATAGCTCAAGTGTCAGACATATAATCATGGGTAAATATTGGTGGATGAGGGAACAAACAAATGAATGAATCAGATCTGAATTCAACTGATGATTTTATCAGTGACCTACTGTGTAACCTTGGCCAGGTCAGTTTGCCTCTCTGTGCCCCAGATTGCTGATATGAGAATGGGGGGATATAATTACTACCTGCCATAGAGGGATGCTGCGAGTATTAATGAAATAATTTTATAAAGCAGTTTGAGCTCCCTAGAAGAAAGGCACTATGTAAGAACAAAGTGTTATTGTAATTATTATGTAGCACCTTTCATCTGAGAATCTCAAAGCACTTCACCAAACATTGACTCATTAATCTTCCCAACTCTCCTGCAAGAGAATTAAATTACCTCCATTTTAAGAACGGGGGAAATGCAGACAGCAAAAGGTTAAATGCCCAGCCCATGATACCATCCCCGTTGAATGCCAAAGCCAAGAGCGAGCTGCAGGACTCCGGCTCAAAGGAGACTCCTAGTTCAAAGGAGACAGCTCTTTGAAACTTGAGGCACTGTAACTTCCACCTTTTCCCTATACAGAGAAAATCATTGAGCAGCCTTGGTGGATGGCAACGATCCAGTTGGAATGATGGCCCATGGTAATACCTTCCACAGAAGAAGGGGTGGGATGGGGCAGCAAGGTGATGACCACAATCCTTCCCTCAACTGTAGCAGTGGGAAGAAAATGTAAGCAATGCCTGCAATCAATCGCTTACCCTCCTCCGATGGCTGTGGCTCAAGTCCTTTCATCGGCCCTCTTTTAACTTGACACCTTTCTAGGATATCTCTGTCTCTCAGCCAGAAAATGTCTCATCACCTTTCAATACAAAGGTAGCAGTTTAGCAACCAAAGAAATAATCCTAAAATACTGCATTCAAAGAAGCTTTCCCCTCATAATACTGTTTTTCCTGCTGAATCCCATGAACGTTAGCTGAGACAGGTGGTACTAATCCACCTTCTAAGAGGAAAAGGAAGAATGTTAGCTATTCTCCATATACTGGGGGTAGGGGGGAGGCGTATTTTGGATTAAGATGTGTTACATCAGGAACTTCTAGCAAAGTGGAGCCATTACTAGTCATAGCTAACCAGAGAAGCAACATTTGTGCTTTTCTTACAGATGTTAAGTTCATACTTCCTGGAGGTTGTGGTCAAGATTACTGGCCCAATCATGTGTGTGAATCTGTTACAAATATACATAGCATGTGTGCCTCCAGGACCCGGATGTAACAAGACTGTATCCCAAAGCCAAGTGAATTCAATATTCCTCATTCCAGCACAGCATCCACTTCTCTTTTTTTCTTTCTTTCTTTTCTTTTTCTTTTTTTTTTTTTTTTTGACAGAGTCTTGTTCTGTCACCAGGCTGAAGTGCAGTGGCACAATCTCAGCTCACTGCAACCTCCACCTCTTGGGTTCAAGTGACTCTCATCCCTCACCCTCCCAAGTAGCTGGGATTATAGGCATGCACCACCACACCAAGCTAATTTTTGTACTTTTAGTAGAGATGGGGTTTCACCATGTTGGCCAGTATGGTCTTGAACTGCTGACCTTGTGATCCAGCCGCCTCAGCCTCCCATAGTGCTGGGATTATAGGCATGAGCCACCGTGCCTGGACCACAGCACGCATTTCTAAGGGAAACATTAATTTCATCTTGATTTTAAATCTGGAAGAGCAGAGTTTGTTAATTATGATAAGCTTCATGCTGACAGAAGGGAGTCCCTCGAATCCCTTCTGTACTTGTGACCAGTTTCTCCACTCTGTTTATTAACAAGCCCACCTCCCTGAAGTTAGTTACTCACAAACTGTGTCACTGTAAAGATCTTAGGCTCCTGGTCTACTCTTCCTGGCCACTGTCTTTCTTACCTTTCTTACTTCCTCATACCTCCTTGAAAGCCACCCATAGTTATGGAAAGAGAATGGGCTTTGGAACCAAACCAATCTGACAGTTAATCCTAGCACCCACCACTTTCTGTTCTGTGACTTTGCGCAAGCTCCTGAACTTCTCTGAGCCTTCTTTTGTAGCCTACAAAATAAGAACTACAATTCTACTTTGCAGGCATTTGAGACATGGAGCACACACAGAGTTCTCAACAAAGATAAGGGCCCTTGGCTGACAGGAACCTCCAAACGCGAAGTGGAAGATGGAGTTTACATTCATACAGCAAGCACTAGAAGATGCGGTATACTCACAGTGCCAGGAGTGCCATTCCAGAAGATGTCCCAGAAACAGAGACTAGGCCTGGGTAAGGCCTTGACAATGGAAATGCAACAGATGAAACTAAGCAGGGTCCATGAGCGAGGAGCACAGGCCAAGGTCAAAGCCTAAACTGGCAGGCAGTAATTTCCAGGAAGGTCTGGAAAGTAAGGGGCAGAAAATCGCCACGGGGACCAGAGTTTTACAATCACAATCTCTGGAGGAAAGTGAGATATGGTAGGGAAGTCAAAGAAGTAGGGGATTGGGTTGAGAATTAGGCTAGAACTTCAGCAAGAACGTCTGTCTCAGGGTGATTCCAAGCAATCAAAGAATGTACATGAAGAACCATCTCCAGGGAGCTCACTTCTCCCCCGAGCTCAACCTCTCAACTACAGGTTCCACAGTTCTGGGCCCCCTTGGGTTTGCACTTTGCTCTTCTTCCACCATCTTGTCTTGTATAGACTTGTATATTGAAGCTGAACTGTTCATCTATATCTGACTCCAAAGTCTCATTTAGATACTAAACTAGTATGTGCTCTCCGGCACCAAAGATACTGTGTTGTGTGGTCACTCGAGTTCCCAGGTCACTACTGAGCACTTCCCCAGTCACCTGCCACTCCATATGGAGAAGAGTATCAGACACGAATAGACAAAAATGGGAATTAATTACTGGAACTCCAGCAAACTACTTCACCAAGAAGAAGAGGAGGCAAAAAGGCAGTACACAGAAAATTGCTTCCATTCCTCCTTGACAAGAGATAGAATTGCAGATTCAGGGGAGGGGTGACCCTACACATGGGAGCTAAGTCTCTACTGTGGAGCCTGGCCAGTAATTACCCCATCTGCTAGCCACCTGACACTCCACTGGTGATCTCTCCTAGTCTCGTGGTTTTAGATACTACCACTGAACAGATGACTTCCCACCTGTTCATCCCTCATCTCTAGCTTTTCTCTAGAGCTACAGGCCCACATTTTAGAAGGCTGTCAGGCATGCACACCTAAATATCTCATGGACATCTCAAATCCATTATAGTGTTCTCCATATCTATTAGTAACAACAAATATTTCCTACATACCAAGTTCAAGATGATGCTTTGACTTTCCAAGTTGGGGATTGAATAAGCTCACAGCCAGACCTCAGGGTCAGTGTCTTAACTGTGCATTAACAGTGCTGGAAGGAGAATTCTTTACCCCAGAGACACTTCTGCAATACATGCAATAAGGACCGACACTTTCACTCAAAGATTAGGTGAAGCAAGACTTCTGTGGTGTCCAGTCCCATGCATCTGGACAATGTGCCCAAGGCATCCCCTGCACACAGAAAGTGAATTAGACACGCCCGAATAAAGCAGACGCAGCTAGCTGAGTTAGCTCTAGGACAACATTAAATGGGTTTCAAAAATTGACCATCATACCCACGTTCTAGCTACTGAAAAGAAATGGAAGATTCTAAATTAGCTGAGCCCAGTTGCAGATAAGGAAAGAATAGTGTTAGTAAAGACGGTAGCTTTTGCATCTACTATCCACATATCCCCCGCAGGGTCCACCACATGTTAAGTAATTAAATATTTACTGAATGAAAGAATGTATCTTTGATTTTAGATCTAGCCTTTACTTCTCTGGGGTATTTTGTTACTTGTAAGATCTCGCTTTCTAGTTAGTTCCTCCCCAAACCTCCCCCAACCATCTAGAATTCTACGGAGCACTTGACTTTCCAAGTGCATTTCACCCAGTGACCTAGCATGGTGAACCGGTCAGTATAGTGTAAGCACTTACTTCAACCATGAGTTCTACAGGGCACCTCGTTCCTCAACACAGAAATTAGAATAACCCCAGGTGAATCAGGTCAAATCTATCCTGGAGTTTGTCTACAGAGAATGGTAACAATAAGCACTTCCATGTATCCAGTCTTTGCGATGGGCCAGGCTCTGTGCTAAGCCCTTCACAGACTCTAATCTTCACTCAACAAGCAGGAACACCATATAATCCCCCCTTTTTTGTGGAGGGGCTAATCACACAATGAATTATGGTGGAGTGGGACTCTAAACACAGGTCCATCAGCTCCCCAAGTGGAGCTCCTCCTACCATGCAACTCACCCCCATACCAAGGGGATATCTGCAACTATTTGAGCCCCCTTGGATGTGCACCTTGGTGGAATCTTTGCCAGTTTTTCCCAAAGTTCTCCAAAATTTTATTTCCAGTTCAGGCTCAGCAGGAAATACATTTTCCATTGCCATCCACAAACACTGTAAGTAGAAATTGAAAGTCTGCAGCACCAGAAAGGGTATTAGAAGGAGTCTTCCTTGTCCAGACAGAGGGACTCAATGAAAAAAAACAAACAAACATAGTTTTTAACTTTTGAATTGCTTTCTTAAACACTAAATATACTCAACCAGAATGAGCACCTCAAAATAAAGAAGTCTCCATAGCACAGATTTGGAGACTCAAGATGTCATTTAAAATTAAGACGTTTCTGAATGAAATGACTCTTCTAGTAAGTTATGTCTGAACATGACCACTGGAATTTCAGAATTGACTATAGGGAGATAAAAAATGTAAATGAGCTTTGCCTGGAGGATTCCAGGCCATGGGTTTTTCTGGAGAGCATGATAGGAAGTTGAACTAGCTATGGTTTCATCCCAAATAAATTAACCTTGCATCAAGGGCCAAACTTCTTATTAACGTCATAAAGTGCCCCCAGATGTTTCTGCAACTCAACCATTTCCAGAGTGTGATTTTACTCAAGAAAAAAAAGAAAGTACTATAACATTCCCCTTTAGCCAAGCATGGCTAATCTAATGAGCAGGTTCTTCAACACCGCTCTTTTTAGATTGACAACTTTCTTTCCAAAATTGAGAAAAAGAACAATTATTTGAGCATCCAGACCCTGCAGTGCTTCCGCATTCAACACATTGTATTGGCCTTTGAAATCCTCACCTTCACTTAGGGATAATTTTAGTTAGTCCATGGCTGTGGCCTGTTACAAACTGGGCTTCACAGCAGGAGGCAAGTGCTAGGTGAGTGAGCGAAGCTTCATCTGTATTTACAGCTACTCCCCATTGCTCACGTTACCACCTGAGTTTCACCTCCTGCCACATCAGCAGCAGCATCAGATTCTCATAGGAGCACGAACTCTATTGAGAACTGTGCATGTGAGAGATCTAGGTTGCACACACCTCATGAGAACCTAATGTCTGATGATCTGTCACTGTCTCCCATCACCCCCAGATGGGACCGTCTGGTTGCAGGAGAACAAGCTCAGGGCTCCTACTGATTCACTGATTCTACATTATGGTGAGTTGAATAAGTATTTCATTACATATTACAATGTAACAATAATAGAATAAAGTGCACAATAAATGTAATGTGCTTGAATCATCCTGAAACCATCCCCCTCACCCCAAGTCCGTGGAAAAATTGTCTTCCACGAAACCAGTTCCTGGTGTCAAAAAGGTTGGGGGCTGCTGCCCTAGATGGCTCAGTATTAGTCACAGCTTCTATCCCATCCAGAAGATGCAAATCCAGGTTATCTTCAGCAGGATGGCTGGTAGGTGCCTGAAAGGGAAGGGCTGCTGTTGCTTGCCTGACTTTCAAAGTTTAGAGTTAGAGCTTTAATTTCTAGACAGGCCTAGATAGTTGCTACAGCCACTCACCGATGCAGGTGTCACTACATAAGACTGGAATTATGCCAAGAGGTAGGAATACTCCATACCCAGGGCCAAAAGAGGCCTGCTACATGGGGCAGGAAGTGGGGAAAGGCAGCCAAATCTTAGCTCACACTAGACGTTGGAAAGTCCAGATTGCAAAGTCAGCTGGAACTGAAGACTCTAGTGTAGGCTGTGCTTCTGTGCAACACAGAGCCTGGAGGTGGTAAGAGCTTTTCATCTGTTGGATCTCATACCATCACATGCATGGCAACTACTTGTTTGTATTCCCTGCTAAAATATATCAAGGGCAGAGAATGAATCCGTTTGCTTCACCAGCATGTCCTAAATAAATAGGATAGTACCCACTAAATGGTAGGTGCACAAAATAGTTTTTGAACATTAGATGTCAAACGACCCTTGACTTGGTGTGTCTTCCAGACAATATTCATTCATTCTACAAGTTTATTAAGTTGTATTAACGTATTAAGTTGCCTTCTCTGTGCCAGGGCCAGCACCAGTGGGTAAGGCTCAATAACATGTGGATTCTAATGAGGAGGCCAGACTTTGTCTTCAAGATTTCACTGCAGATCAAGTTGTCCAGGCTTTATGTTAGTGGGCTCAGCTTTAAGATGCAGAGAGGGAGAGGGAGGAGAGAGCCTTCAGTTCATGGGCAGGGAAAGTGGTAACGCAAGGAGGAAGACACAGGGGCTGCGCACCCAGGGGAGCAGCACAGTCCTAGAACAGCCTCTCCGAGGACAGCCTCTCCCTACTCCTTGCTTTGGTTTTCTTCCTGGATCTGCAGGTGGAAAGACAGTGGTCGACAGGTGTGCTGGTTCTTCAGCGAGGTGGGGCTCCACAGGTGTTTCAATTTCTTGATTGCAGCTCCAGCAGAGAGCTGGGTCCTTGGGAAGTTCTTGCAGCCCTGACAGTTGAGTCCTTCTGGTTACTGGGCCACTTCCATGGCAAGGAGACAGCTGTTCCTTTGTTGTCCTTGGCCTCACAGGTCAAGGCCCCCATCAGGGAGGACCACACCAACCCTGGCACTGCAAGTCTTCAGTTTACTCTCATGTCATCATTTATTAGTTAGTGGCCTTAGGAGAACCTCTGAATCTCTTCTCTGAGGCTCCTTTCTTCATCTATCCAATGCGGAGAGTGATTTCTGCTCTTCCTTGCCTCCAAAACTTCTTAAGGATAAAAAGACCCACGGAGATCTTAGATAAGAATAAGATAGAACAGGATAGGTAAGGGAGAGAATTATGTGCATAAAATAATTTTCTTCCCAATTTTCTTCTCAAAATGAACTTGGTGTTGAAAATGGTAACTATAATATATAAACTTAAAAGGATATAATTGATTCTTTTGTGTACTCATTCAGCAAATCATTAGGTACTTATTATGTATCTGTCCTGTAATTTCTTAAACAGGACCCCCTCCGCCTGATGTTTTTTGAAGCTTTCTTGTCACACATGACATTTTTCCAAGTGAGGCACTCAAGGGAATGGCCCAATTTGTATAAAATCACTTATCAGGAGTGACATAGATTGGAGATTTGCAACTTCACTAGTAAAATGGGTACCAAAGTGAGCAACCATCATTTCTTCTTTCTGCTCTATCAACTTAATTTTAAAACTATGAGGTTGCTACATATAGCTTTCAATGAAATAAAGCATTTAATAAAAATATATATATAACTGACCCTACATCAGTGGTTCTCAAAGTGTGGTCGCAGGACTGGCAGCATCAGTATCACCTGAGCACTAGTTAGAAATGCAGATTCTCAGGCCACCCCAAGCCTGCCAATTCAGATTCTGGGACTGGACGCAGCAACCTGTGTTTTCATAAGCGTCTGCTACACCAATGCTGCAAAGCTTGCTGAAGCTTCTGGGATGCATCGGAAGCAAACAGGGAAGAGGAGGCAAGGAGAAAACCTCTTAGTGTGAAGCCGATTATCTCAAGATGGATGAAACAGGTTTCATTTCTTGTCCTATAACTAGGAAATCTTTCATAATTACTTAGAAGTATTTTACACACCACCTCAGATAAAATACTTTTGATTGTCAAAAGACTATATGGCCATTATGTTTTCTGTCTCCTAGAATTAATGTGGTACCAAACATTCTGATAGTGCCTGACTGAGAGGGGAAAGAAGTAACTATTTGAAAACTAAAATTTCTTTCTTTGCATCTCTCCTTAAGTCAGAGATAGTCCAAAGCATTTTCATCTGAAGTTTCATATTACTATTTTTAATGAGGAAACAGAAAGTGCAGGAGATGATTTTTTAAATAGAAACGTCGTTACTTCCAAGTTCTTTATTCAAAAGTAACCTATATTTGATGGTATTCTCATTTTTATGGTTTTGCAAATATTGTGAGTAATCATCTCAAATAATAAACGTTTTAGCTTTGGAAACACATAATAAATAGAATGTCCTAAATTCTTAAGTATAGATTTCAATAATGAACAGCCCCCACAAACTCCTATCAAAGCCAAAAATCAAGCTAAGTTATCTAAAATTTTTGCACTTTAAATACAAAAACACCATACAGACCTTTTTAAATGAAATACTTTCTCTTTACAATAGCCTACATGGCCAAGAAATCACACCCAGAAGTACTGCTCAGTATCCATCGTGCTGGATACAGACCCCGGGGTCCAGATGTCAGAATGTGCTCAGGCACTGCTGCTTGGTTTGATCAGAACTTCCCAAAATATTCATCCTAATGTTGTTCTGAGGTCCTCATGTTGTTTTATTATTTATTAGAACCCTCTAGAGGGACAACTTTTCATTATTTTATATATATCATGATCCGTTAATATGCCTCTTACCCTATTGTGTTCACATTTAAGAACACAGAGGTCCTCAAGTTGTTTTATTTATTTATTTCTTGGAAACCTCTAGACGGATAACTGTTCATTATTTTATATATATCATGATTCATTAATATGGCTCTTCCCCTACTGTATTCACATTTAAGAATATAGCGCTAAATAGATGCACAGGCAAAATCAACAGGTGCCAGTATCTCTGATTCAACAGGTGTTAATGTGAAAATAATGATGGCTACAAATTTAACAGCTGGTGCTATGCCAGCTTTTTTTCTTCCTTCATGTGAATATAAACAGATCTGTGCTATGTATAGATTCACATCTCATCAGATGAGGTCTATGTCAAACTGTCCTTCTCATCTATAAACATTTATTCACAATCTTGGATTATAATAAGTTTTTCACTTCACCTTTCCTAATCCCCATTCACCATTTCTTTATCAATATCAATCTTGAAAATGATGGCCCATATCATATCTTGAAAATGTTGGCCCAGATGGCTGAAGAGTAAATATTTTAGCACATTTGGATGCTAATTTAGCTAAATAGTGACCAGTAGTTCTAATATGCAGTTCCCTTAGTTTGTTGTTGCTGAAGAAGGATTCTATAAAATAGAATAGGTCCTGAAATACAATTTTGTTTTCAATGGCATTCACCAAATTTTTATTTCTCCTGTACTATAGGCAATACCATATTTCCTTCTGTCTCTATTAACATTGTAGCTAACGATTCATTACCGGGGGTAGCTAAAGGGTCAGTTAACTTAGTCCTCTGGATTTCATTGAGAAATTAACGGAGAACTGTAGGACTTAACTGAGAAAATTAACATAAGGGGTTCTTTTCATAAGGCATCTGAGAAACGAAAGCTTGCTGTCAGCTTGGGTCTTCCGTCAGTCGGCACTTTCTGTCTCATATAAACTAGTATGAGACTGTAAACTAGCCTAAGAATTTTATGTGTCTCTTACTTATGAGGGGAAAAAAAAGATAATATTATGCACTGGGTTGACCAGTTGTTTCTTTCAATTGACTGAAATAATCAGGTGTTCTGAAATCACATTATCTGATTTGTCTAGAAATACAGGCAACGTGATCTTAGAAACCACAGACACCAGTAGACCTAGAAAAGTAATCTCATAAAGCTTGCTTAAAACAATTGAAGTATCTGATAAATTTCATATACAAAAAAGATAAATATGCCTTAGTACAACAACTGAATTATGAGAATATAAAGTTGTGAAAATATTACAATCATCTGATTGTCAAATGTGGATTAGTGAAATAAAATATAGTCAGCCATAAAATGAAATACTAAACATATTCACCTTAATTGTTATACTATACACGACATGGAAAGAGATCTGTACTATATTTAAGTTAAAAAGCAGACTATACTACCATATTTCAATATGACTGAATATTTCATTAAAATATATGTGTGGTGTGTTTACGCATGATCTCTAAAAGGTTAAAAGAGGTCATTAAATGTATTTAGGTCATATTTCCTTTTCTTCTCTTGTCTTTTTTTTTTTTTTCCTCTTGGAGAGTGATTCTCACTCTGTCACCCAGGCGGGAGTGCAGTAGCACGACCATAGCTCACTGCATCCTCAAACTCCCGGGCTCAAGTCAACCTCCCACCTCAGCCTTCCCAGTAGTTGGGAGAACTATGAGTCTACAAGTGTGTGCCACCATACCGTGCCTGGCTAATTTTTCTTTTTTTTTTCTTTTTCTTTCATTTTCTTCTTTTTTTTTCTTTTTGAGACAGCGTCTCACTTTGTTGCCCAGGCTGGTCTCAAACTCTGATGCTCAACTGAACTTCCCGTCTCGGCCTTCCAATGTGCTTGGATTGCACACATGAGCCACTGCACCTGGCCTATATTTTCTTCTTAATCATTTTATTGTTTTAATTATTTCTTCACTGATTATGTATCACTATATAACAATAATAAAGCAATACATATCATTTGAATACATACTTCAAAAAAAATTTTTTTCCTCCTGAGTAGCTGGAACCATAGGCATTTGCCATGTGCCAACATGCCTCGCTGTTTTTTTGTTTTGTTTTGTTTTTCTGGTAGAGACTGGCTTTCTGTATGTTGCCCAGGCTGGTCTTAAACTCCTGGGATCATGGGATCCTCTCACTTCAGCATCCCAAAGTGCTGGGATTACAGGCATGAGCCACTGTGCCCAGCTAGTTTTATATTTTTAATGAGGTACATTTATTGGGACATGGTTGCAGAAAAGTCCAAAATGTTTGACAAAGCCAAAGAAAATATTCCTAAGAGTAGTCTTTAAGTGGATCTGTTGTTTCTCAGGAAGCAAGCTTCATGTGTGAGGAACTCCCCATTATTTGGCAAAGTTTGCTGTATGTTATTCTTATAATGTTTGCTGCTCCTCTCTCTTGGCATCAAAGATTATTGTAGTTTTCAGGGTGTTTTCCCCATCGCTTCTTGCTCTTCTTTAATGGAATGTCAGCACTTCTGGCTATGGAATTGTAACTGCTGCATAAATGAAAGGTAGTCCTCAATTTGTGGACAGCATTAAGTCCTAAATGTTTGTTACTAAGTTGGTGATTTCCATCTCAGAATGCATTTTCCCATAAAAACCATTATCCACTTTCACTGTGTTCCAAAACCTGTAACCCATATATACTTGGAGACTATCATTGTTCTAATGGGAAAGATCAATGGACGCTTAGCCAGCATATGTAATGGGTGTTCAGTGGATTGGCTTGGGCAGCTAGATATGAGATTCTCCTCTGGCACTTTTCCTTCCCCACTTTTCTCCCCCTGTTTATAATAAACAATTGGGAGGGTGGCCTCCTGGTCCCTGGCAGCAACTTCACCAATCAGGGCAGGGCAGGGGCTAGGGAAGGAACAATGGGAAGAGGCTGGCTGGCTGGGACAGTGTCCACAAAGGTGAACCATCCAGGCAAAGAGCAGGGCTCTGAGGGTCAAAGTGAAGCTCTTATGGCTGAGCCTCAAGGGGCATGTCTTGATTCTGGAACAAAAGCTAGGAGTCTGATTCCTAACTCAGCCGATCAGCAGCTGGGTGACTGGATGCCTCAGCTTCCTGGGGCCCACCATAAAGTGAACTGCAGCCGCCCAGCTGGCTTTCTCTTGCTCTTTCAACTTGAACTTGGCACAGAGCTAGCTTTTGATTTTCTCAGGATTATCACTCTTCACAAGAAAGACGATGACAACAACAATCATAGTGCCCAATTATATTTACCTACAGTTCTGTAGATTAGATTACAAGGTGTTTTATAGTCATAAACTCATTTGTCCTAGAAACTCACAGGAGTTATGTAAATTTCCTGATTTTTCTTGTCAATTTTAAGAATAACAACATCACAGAAGTATAAACTGTAAAATTTACTACGGGTCTTTGTGTCTTCAATAATCCATTTCCATTGCAAAGCACCTTCAGACTTTTTGGTGGCATTTTATCTGAGGACATGGGGTTCTGCGGAGCAGACTGGAGTGGAGGAGGAAAAAAAAGCATCACTGATGCCTCTGTGATGCCTTCAGGGCTGGGAGTGAGAAGAAAGACGAAAGAGAAGGAGAACAGGAAGCATTCCTAGAGTTAAGCCTCCTCCTTTCTATGGGGCAGACTTCTCAGAATCAAAGATCCAATGGAAAGAACAGAAGAAGGAAGGTAGAAAAAAGGTCTTTTGACCACCTATGTTCAGGTGGCCTTTCAGTATATAAAGGAATATGCAAATTGCATATGTAAGGGAGAGTTTTTGCAGTGCTAAACCACAGCAGGGCAGCTTCCACTCCACACTGCAAACATCTCCCTGGGGTTGGTCAGAAATATTTCCCCACTTCATAGAGACCTACCACGGCTTAGCCACTGACTCTAGACACTGCTGTGTATCCAAGCTGCAAGTCTCTCATTAGTCATGTAGAAAATATGTTGACTAAAATCACACATTTGCTCTTATCATGCAGTGATACCATTTATTATGGTAATACTCCCAGCACTTAAAGAATCGGGGTCAATCTTCATTTTTTCTAAGAAATGGAACTCCAAATCATTATGTGTACATGTGGCCACAGATTCACGGGCACATGTGGAATGGGGATATGCTCCGGAAGGCTCA
Organism: Homo sapiens; assembly: GCF_000001405.40. NCBI lineage: Eukaryota > Metazoa > Chordata > Mammalia > Primates > Hominidae > Homo > Homo sapiens. The sequence goes on from NC_000015.10 coordinate 96,116,110, forward strand.
ATTAAGACAACTGGTGTATTTGTTTAAAGCATGCAACAAAGATGGAAAACAAAGTGACAGAAACAGGTTGAAAAGCTGCCTCAAATTTCTACCTCTTCATCCTTCTTTGTACTTAAACATTGAGTGCACCACTTTGGTTACATCTAAAATATGGGAAAGCAAAAAAAAAAAAAAAAAAATTCATCTGAATTATCCTAGACCAGTTTCTCAAGATGTAATTAGAAGTTCACACCTGTAATCCTAGCATTTTGGGAGGCTGAGAGGAGTGAATCACTTGAGGTCAGGAGTTCAAGACCAGCTGGGCCAACATGGTGAAACCCCATCTCTACTTAAAAATACAAAAAATTAGCTGGTAAGCACTTGTAGTCCCAGCTACTCAGGAGGCTGAAGCAGGAGAATCACTGAAACCCGGGAGGTGGAGGTTGCAGTGAGCGGAGATTGTGCCACTGCACCTCCAGCCAGGGTGACATGGGGAAATGCCGTCTCAAAAAAAAAAAAAAAAGAATGGACTGCAATGCTTGCAAATAATACCTGGGCTCCACCTCAAACCTTCTGGGTCAGAATCTCTCTCAGGGTGGTTCCCAAAATCCATATTACTAACAAACACCCTGAGGAAATTTAATATGTACCAAAAATTGAGAAATACTTAATATGTATCAAAAACTTACAGCAGAACATCCAGTCCTCTATTATTAATTGTACCGATTTGTCTTGTTTATATTGTGTGAAATTTTGGTTGACTATTCCAAGCATTCTAATACATACTTTTGTGCTGATATTTTTTTCTTGAAATCCCACATGTGGAAAGGCATATTTTTCGGAAGCCTATAATGTAACTTCCTTATTTTTTACATTTTTAGTTATTAGTCATTGCAAATATGTAGAAATCTATTAATAAGAATGTGGTGTTAATTACTTCTATATCAATCTAAGTGAATTGCTATATATTAAGTTATATTTTCTCACTAAGTTAAATAAAAAAACAAAATTCTTGGGTGCATTAATGCTCTCAACACTATTGAGTAGGACTTAGAATTTAATAAGAGTCGACATAATGCATGCACATTACATGTATTGTATAATATGAACCTAAAACCACCTTATTTAGAATTCTCTAATGACAATCTTTAATCCTTTAAAGTTTATTAAGAGGCCATCCAGTTAGACACATATATGAAAATACAGTTGATATCATATATTTTCACACACAATGGAATATTCAGCCTTTAAAAATAAGGAAATCCTGCCATTTGCGACAACATGAATGAACCTGCAAGACGTTATGCTAAATGAAACAAGCCAGACACAGAAAGATAAATACTGCATGATGTCACTTCTATGCAAAACCTAAAAAAGTCAAACTCATAGAAACAGAGAGTAGAATGGTTGTTACCAGCAGCTGGTGGGAGGAGGAAGTGGGGCGGTCTTGGGCAAAGGGTACAAACGTTAACTTATATGATGAGTAGGTTCTGGAGAACTAATATATAGCAGGATGACTATAGCTAATAGCATTGTATACTTGAATTTATACTTGAATTTGTATACAGTGTTATTCAAGTATACTTCATTGAATACTCAAAATTTGCTAAGAGAGTTGATTTTCAGTGTTCTCACCACACCAAAAAAAAAAAAACCCAAAAAAGTAACTACATGAGGTGATGGATATGTTAACTAGCTTGCTTGGTTGTGGTAATTATTTCACAATGTATATATCTGTCAAGCACTATGTTGTACACCTTAACAATATCTAATTTTTATTTGTCAATTATACATCAATATAGCTGGAAAAAAAGAAAATATAGCTGAGTATAAGCACACTTATCCATAGTTGAGGATATATATATTGTGAATAAAGAAAAGGAGATAATTAGGAAGGAAGAGAAGGAGAGGAGAAAGAGACAAATCCCTAGTGAGAGAGAGTCCAGTTTGGAGATTTTTTTTTTTTTGAGACAAGTCTCGCTCTGTCACCCAGGCTAGAGTACAGTGGCACCATCACAGCTCACTGCAGCCTCAATCTCCCAGGCTCCAACTATCCTCCCACCTCAGCCTCCTGAGTAGCTAGGACCACAGGTGCGGCCACACAGTTTGGAGATCTTGATGCCCAAGCATTACTCAAGCACCAACAGCCCCAGTTGCCCAGTTTACTGCCTCTAAATTTTCCACTGGGCTCATGAAAACCTGACATCAGTCACATCCATACAGCTTCAAACCTGGCACCTCATAGAGTCCCAGTTGTTTTCTCCTCTGTTTCCCTGAACACATAGCTCCCAAAACATGTCTTTTTGAAGTGGTTTTAATGATCACCTAGGATTTTAATTTTAAGTGATTTTAATGATCGCCTAGGATTTTATGCTGACCTGGAGTTGGCTTATTTAAGTGATTTTAATGATCACCTAGGATTTTATACTGACCTGGAGTTGGCTTATTTGCTCCCTGTCATATCTAGAAGGGCACAGCCCAATGTCTCCTGTCTTCATTGTCCTTTTTTTTTTTTTTTTTTTTTGAGACAGAGTCTCACTCTGTCACCCGGACTGGAGTGCAACGGCACGACTTCGGCTCACTGCAACCTCCACCTCCTGGGTTCAAGCGATTCTCCTGTCTCAGCTTCCTGAGTAGCTGGGATTACAGGCACGTGCCACCACACCCAGCTTATTTTTTGTATTTTTAGTAGAGATAGAGTTTCACCATGTTAGCCAGGATGGTCTCGATTTCCTGACCTCATGATCCGCCTACCTCGGCCTCCCAAAGTGCTGGGATTACAGGCATGAGCCACTGCGCCTGGCCTCTTCATTGTCTCTTTAATCATCATTTCTTCAGGGTTCACTAAGTTCCTCAGTCAGGTACAAAGGTGGAGTCATCCTGATTATCTGCTAGTTAACAATTTGGGCAGAGAAGGTATGTTAGTGTCTGATGCAACATTTTGAAAGGCAGATTCATTCAGCATAAAAGAAAGCTAAAGTCAGAGTTGGGTAAAACAAAAAAAACAACCAACATCTAACACACAAAATAAGATTTCTTATTTCTTGAGCGTTTGCTACCTATTAGGCCCTATCATGTTCCTTCTATGTGTTATTATTATAAAGTCTCATCATAACCTGGTTAGCTAGATATCATCACCCCAATATTAAAGACCACACAAGATGTGGTGGAAAAAGCTTCCACATTGACAAAGCTGGTCACTGGAAAATCTGGGATTCAAAGCCATATCCATTCATCACAAAAGGCTTTAAACTTTCCTCAACTGGTCACTATTTCTATTTTTTTTTTTTTTTTTTTTTTGAGACAGAGTCTTGCTCTGTCAGCCAGGCTGGAGTGCAGTGGCACGATCTCAGCTCACTGCAACCTCTGCCTCCCGGGCTCAAGCAATTCTCCTGCCTCAGCCTCCCGAGTAGCTGGGATTACAGGCATGGGCCACCACGCCCTGCTAATTTTTGTATTTTTAGTAGAGACGGGTTTCACCATGTTGGCCAGACTACTTGAACTCCTGACCTCAGATAATCCGCCCTCCTTGGCCTCCCAAAGTGCTGGGATTACAGGTGTGAGCCACTGTGCTGGCCTCACTATATTTTTTTACAAAAATATTTAGCACTTAAAGTCATACCAGTTGTTATTTTGCTTTATAAACAGCCTAAAATCTTTGCCAAAACTAGGCCACCTCTAAGTTGCTTGAGGCTCATTTCAGTTGCCTTATCTGCTCACTTGCAGTTATGGCTTCTCCACAGTATCTTCTTCTTTCCTTCTTTTCTTCTTTTCTACTATGTTGTTGTTGTTGTCGCTGTTGCTGTTTGAAACGGCGTCTCGCTCTGCCATTCAGGTTGGAATGCAGTGGCACAATCTCTGCTCACTGCAACCTCCGCCTTTCCATGATCAAGCGATTCCCCAGCCTCAGCTTCCCGAGTAGCTGGGATTACCAGCATGCGCCACCACGCCCGGCTAATTTTCATATTTTTAGTGGAGATCGGGTTTCAGCATGTTGGCCAGGCTACGTTGAACTCCTGACCTCAGATGATCCACCTTCCTCAGCCTTCCAAAATGCTGGGATTGCAAGCATGAGCCACCACGCCTGGCCTGTTCTACTATGTTCTTTTAATTATTTCTTCAAATTTATATTGAGCCCCTATCATATGTCACACTGTATCCTTAAAGAGGTCTTTAGTTCACTCAGCTTATGAATACATATTTTTGTGGAAGTTTCTTAGTGCATCTGCTACATTTTTCAAAAGTATAGATGACTATAATTGCTAAATAACTGTTTTTGCAAACTGTGGACCACAGCCCCCCCATTAGGGGTATAAATTTTATGGTTTGCAACTAGCATTTATTTTTAAAGTGAAATAGAATACAATAGAAAATACGTGTGCATCGCAGACAGTAGAGTAGCATTACTTTGGAAACTTTTGTTTCAATTATATATGGATGTTTCAACACTCATTTGCATTTGTGTTGCAATGTAAAATATATTTATTACTCGGGGTCTCAGCCAACATCATTTGAAAAACACTTCCTTGGACTAAAGGTTCGTAATGTGGAAAATAGGTCTTGTTTTTCTGTCTTCAATTGACCACATTGCTGCCACTCAATTGGGTGGGTTATTACCTCTAATTTTAAGAGAAAGTTCCCTGCTTGTTGATTCTGAATACCGACTTTAAGAATTGCAAATGATGTTCTGATGTTCTTAATGTGATTGTCTTTTCCTCCATTTATCAATGCATCAGACAGTGGGCTGCCTGGATAGCATAATTCAGTGACTTTTTGTAAAGGAAAAAAAAATCTTTCATTAGTAATGCACTCATTTATTCTTTTACAAAACACTTTTCATCATGTAGACATGGTCTTAGCACCTTGAATGTTAATTATCCACTTTGATGGCACTAGATATTCCTGTGGGGAAAATATATTTGATGAGTAAGACTAGGGAAAAAGTTCTGAAACATACCTTTCCAGTATGATTTGTGCAAGGCCAAATTTGAAAGGTCACATGGTGTAGGAGACTCCAGGTAAAACCCCATATTTGTCGCTCCATCTTAAATTATACCCAAGTTCCTTTTTTTTTTTTTTTCCTTTGAGACAGGGTCTCGCTTTGTTACCCAGACTGAAGTACAGTGCTGTGATCTTGGCTCACTGCAGTCTTGACCTCCCGGGCGGCCTCAGACTCCCAAAGTGCTAGGATTATAAGCATGAGCCGCTTGTCTGGCCTATATCCAAGTTTCATGAGTCTAGAGCTATAGTTAAATTATTTATGGAAATGAATTTCTAAATTATAACACATCATATTTTGGTGATCCAAAAACAAGAATATGATGTAAAATATGGAAAATGCACCCGTCTTCCACAATGTATATCCAAGGAATTTTATTGTCAAGCTCATATGTATGTCAAGTAGAGTGGCTTTGACGAAAAACTCCGGGTTGGTTGGAGTTGAGGGTAAGACGGGAGAGAATTTGATAAACAATGAAGGAAACCACGGTTTCAATAGGAAATCAGTGCTAGAAATTGCGCCGTCACCACTCCCCAGTATGAGAGAGAGTGTTCAAGATTAGATAAAGGATAAGAATTCACATCTCCTCTGGATGATGAGCCAATACCCTCATTGCTAGACAGATTAAAAATAAACTTTGTTTTTGCCTGTGTTTAGTCACAGATCATTTTGGCCCAGAATGGAGTCAAACAGTGTGGATGGAAAAAAATTGCCAAATATTCAATTCATTTAGAACTACTTGCCTTCTGCAGAAAGAGGCTGGACTTGCTTGGGTTGGTTATTACTCAATGTTTTCTTTTGCCTTTCCATTATTTCTGTTGTAAAAAATCTCTGCAAGATCCAATCTAGAAGTGCCCATGGGTTCCAAATTGTAGGATTCGAATCTGTGATTGGAACGAGAAACCTGGCTTTTGAGTTGCATTAACAGAGTCCTCACTAGTATTTTGACTACCTGCAACACCAAATTTGGAATTAAGAACGTGATCAGATTGATGAAAGAATTGCTACGGAAAGTGCAAGGAACAGCTCTGAAATCTTGCAGGATTACAGGCTCTCAGTGACCTATTTTGAGCACAAAATTTTAAGGTTGTAAATATTCTTAAAAGCCCTAGAAATGTCCAAGCTGGTGCTTCTGCCACCTACTCTCATACACTGATTGAAGCACAAGGAGAGATGGCAGGAGGCCAACACAGGAAAATCTCCTACATCCCAGGGACACCAGTCCCTCTGTGTTCCCACAGCACCTTATCAAAAGGATTGACACATTTGTTACACACACTATCCCCTATCCCATCCTCAGTAAATAAGATAGACCTGGAAGAGAATAAACATGTATCAGTATCAATTAAAATTTTTCTTTACCAAGGCATTCTGGTTTATGACTTTATGACTCAGAGAATAAGTCATCTTCTTCATGGTGACTATAAAGGAAGCTCTTGTTATAATTTACTCTTCTTTTGCCTAGCCACCTGATCTCACTGAATTCCAAATACTGGCATGAAGAAAACCTGATCACCTAAATCTCCAAGACACTATAAAACAGGCATTATATATGTATGTGTATGTGTGTGTAGATATATATACATGGGAGAATAAACTAAAAGGCTAATTATATCACTAAAACATATCTTGCTTTAAGAAAAATATTCTTCCTTCATCGAAGTCCTACTGATGAGTTTCTGCCTTTGAGTACAGGCATCGCCAACACTGGAAAAAAACATCCAGCCATTTACTTAAAGTCATGCCCTCTGGCTCCTTAAGGATCATGTGACCACTGTGTCATATAAGCTCTCCAAAATACATCTCAGATTCTCACCAAAACGTGGTCTTGCAGTTACAACACACCAGGTGAACAGCCCCTGACTGTTTAGGGAGCCCTCCCTGACTCACGTGGGCCTCTGATGAGTTAATATGTGCAAAAGGACTGTACATGTTTAGGTAATTTACTTATTAAAAACATTAAAAGTTTTTGGCTTTTAGAAATTCAAAGAAAAAGCGACTCTTCAAGTGACTCCTGACCCCAGCTTATCAGATGACGGGTGTCATTCTGTCAAGGCCTCCTCGCGGACCATGTAAGGAAGGCCACATTGTAGAGGTGTTTACAACTGTATAAGGTTCACGCTGCTCATTCGTGTCAACACTAGGCAATACAGATCAACTAGCCCGACTAGTGGGGTCAGGCACAAAAAGAAAAGCAATGTAGATAAATCCTTATCTAATTAAGGGTCACAGCTCTTTTTTTTCCCACAACATTTTACATCAAAAGGAGCAAACAAAACTGGAGAAAGCAATCTTCCCTTGTACATTTCCCTACATGGTAATCCATATTTCAGAGGCAATTGCTTTAAATATTTAAAGTACTGCAGAGGTGTCAGCTAGACAGCCTGAATTCCACGGGTCCCTGAAAAAGTTGGGCACTACTTTTTGCTAAATTAACTTTTTTTTTTTTTTTAAGATACTCTGTTTTAGGAGAGAAGACTATCACTTTGTTCCAATGAAAAGCTTAAGCAAGTTGCTGGACTAGATTTGTGGAGTATGCAGGCATTGATATAGTACCTCACAGTGTGTGTGTGGTGGGGGGGCAGGTGTGTGTGTGTGTGTGTGTGTACACGTGGGTGCATGCCTTGTGCACCTTTGTTTTATCTAAATTGCAGGCAATAGCAATACAATATCCCCATACAATTGTTCTCGGTCTGGAGTCACTGTGTCTGGGTTTAACTTAGAGGTAAGGGAAAACAAGTTCTTCAGGTCGCTTCAGAAACCAGCATATCTGAAGTGCATTTGAATATTTTGGTTGATCAAGAGGGATGGTTTTGTCACTGAAATATCTGATGTCTCATCTCATACTTTTTTAATCCAGTACTTCGTAAGAGGATCTGAGAGCATCTGTGTGAATGTTGCATGCCTGAATAACTGGAAAACACCCGATTTGTGGGAGTCAACTCTCTTGACAAATCAACTTTCTCTTTACTAGTTTCAGTTTTTAAAAAAACATCTCTAGCTAAGGAGATCTTCTGTGTAAATAGTATTATCTTGGAGTGATGTCTTTGGCCTGATATAACACTAAATGCCACAGGTCTACCCTAAATCAAAATCTGCAATCTCAATTTTAATTTTTGTTCATTTTGCACTCTTATGAGGATGAACTCAAAAGTAAATGATTTAGCATTACAAGTTTAATTCTATGTACATTTATAGGATAGAAAATGCACTCACATTATACTCAGATGCCTAACTTAACAATTAGCTTCTTTAGCTAAATCTTCTCAAGAACCTTCCATCCCCCATTTAGCTCCGCCTATGTATGGGAAGAGAAAAAAAAAGTTACTCCCTGCTCCTCCCCAAGATGGTGCCTGTCTACGAAGAAGCTCTCTGTGTCTTTGCGACAGCAGGAAGAGCAGGGATCAGAGTCACAGGGGACTCTGGGTACATCTGGTGTCTAATGAAGGTTGGCTGGTCTGGCTGGTGCCCACACAGGCAGGAGGTCCTGTCTCACCTGCTGACATGTCAGGCTTCTAGTCTCAGAGGTCCCAGCTGCCACTGCATCTTGACTCTCATGCTGGCCCTCTGCTAGTGCATGGCCTCAACCCAACACACCTCATCATGGAGGACTGTAGGAACCGCTGAGACCTTGTGCTGAGCACAGAAGTAGTACAGCCTCAAGCACATCCATCAGGCCAGATGCCATCGTGTGGCTGCAGCGCCAACAGGGCCTGTCACAGTGGTTTCCCAGACTGTTCCATGGGAATAGGCAAGGCCTCATGTCCTTGACTCCCCTAAATCTATCTGGTCATTTCTAACACACCTCCACATCTGTTCACCCTACTCTTTTCTCCCAGTAATGCTTCCTTCATTTGTCCTCACTGGTTCCCTCATTTTTTCCTCTAGCTATAAGGACCCCAGAATTTTAGCTCTCCATATGGCTTCTCTGAATAACAATTATATTCTCCACCTTCCTTTGCCTCTGGGTGGTCAAATGACTGACCTCTGCTAAGGGATATTAGCAACGTGATCAAATGTGGAAGTGTGGCCTTCTTTACTTTTTTTTTTTTTTTACTGGGTGAGATGCAGATGAGGTGGACAGAGCTACAGCAGCCATCTTGCACCATGATAAGGAATAAGGATCACGGCAGAGTAAAAAATAAAAAAGGTGAAGCTTGAGTCTCTTACACTGAAGAGTGCCATCCCAGCCTTGAACTGCCTTCCCCAGGCAGCCAGAAAGGAGAGAAACACATTCTATCCTGTTTCAACCACTGCTTAGACTTCCAGTCGCTCGGCATCAAGCCTAATCCTGCCACATCTGTCTCCTTTCTCTCTCCCACATTCTACCTGAGTTGAAGTGGAGTTTCCTTTTTGTCTTTCTGACTTGTAGAGATGCTATCTCATTCTTGAGTCTCCTGGCTCAGCTTTTCTTTTCTTTCTTTTTTTTTTTTTTTTTTTTGTTGGGGGGAACAAGGTCTCATGCTCACCCGGGCTGGAGTGCAGACGTGTGATCATGGCTCACTGCAGCCTCCATTTCCCTGGCCCAGGCAATCTTCCGCCTTGCCTCCCACCTTGCCTCCCAGGTAACTGCGACTACAGGTACACACGAATAAACCCAGATAATTTTTAAAATTTGGGGTAGAGACAAAGTCTCACTATGTTGCCCATGCTGGTCTCAAACTCCTGAGCTCAAGTGACCCTCCCATCTCAGCCTCCCAAAGTGCTGGGATTGCAGGCATGAGACACCACGCCCTGTTGACTCAGCTGTTTTGACAGAAGCAGAGGTCCTCCTCTTGAAGAAACAGATGATCTCATCTTCCAGGCCTGACCTCTAATGAGTTAGCCCGAATGTATAGAAATTTAGAGAAGTATTTTCCAAAGGCTGACCTACTAAAGACTCAACAAAATTCTCTACCTGATGTTAAAAGCTGTGTCCTTCACTCTTTGCAGTCCCATTAGAATAATTGTGATCCTCCCTGAGACAGCTGAATACTGTGGACAACGTGGGTGGTAGTGGTTGCGGGAGGTAAGTGGGAAATCATGCACCTGAAAAGTGAGAAAAGGAATGACATTAATATATTTAAGAAGCATTACATTGCCATTACATATGCATGTATGTATATGTACACTCACAATACTCATACGCATGCTTGGGTGGATATATACACATATGCAGTATATAATTAAGCAATTCCTGCCCAACCAATGTTAGGCATAAATAAAATATATTAACTTTAGTCTTTTCAGGATCAAACCCTCTTCTTAGCTGGCAAAGAACCTCATAACTTCTTCCCACCCTGTACCCCCTTAACAAATGCCCCTCTCCCCAAGTTATTCCTGAATAGGGTCTCTAGTGTCTCGCTGGCTTAAAGCCTCAGTGAGCATGTCAAAAAGAACCCATCTCTGTGTCCCTTGCCATGGTGCAGATTTGAAGAGCTCAGAGAGGGCTGGATGGAAGCTCCCACTGCCCCGTGTTGAGTACCTTTGCCAAGTATGCAAACTACACAACTGTGCGTGACAGCCAGCTGCCTAAAAGTCACTCGCAGGAGACAATTCACCGTATGGCAAACACCCCTGCCCCTCAAAAGCAGGACTCCTCCCTCTCTGGGGGTTCCCCTCCAGGGCTTCCCAGACTTGTCAAACCCTTGAGATATGTCACTCTTTAAGTCATGATTATGTGGCTGTTTGGTCACTCTGCATGCTGCCCAGATATGGGGCAAGTCTCCTTTTCTCGGCTCCAGATCACCGAGTTCCAGATCAATACCACTTGCTATATTTAATAAAAATCCCTAATGTAAACACCTCATGAATATTTCCCTCTCCCTTGGTGATAAAACTTCATCTCACCACCCATTCTTCTGCCTCCCCATTTCCCATCCAAGGACCAAAGCACAAAATCTCATCCCCTAGGTCTTGCCCCCCACACACCCCATCCCATCTCATCCTGTAGGAGGCTCCCCTGAGCTCCAGCTTGGCACTCCTTCAGCAGCTTGAATGCATTGTGTTCCTTCGGCTAGGCATGAGCTGTCTCCTGTGCCCCAGATGGTGGCCCATTTCACCCCCAACTCAGTAAGTCTGTGGCCCCAGCTCACCTTTCAGATCTTAGCTCGAACATCAGCTGCTCAGGGCGGCCATCCCTGCCCATGCGTCCTCTCCGTCTGTCCTCTCTCAGGAGCACTTGTTATACTCTCAGGGTCCCCCCTTTTTTTTTTAATGCTTTGCACAAATTGTTTCCTTGCATTTCTGTGTGCCAGATCTATGCAGACACTGATCCTAAGAGTAGCTTGAGGATATCTTGTTTCTTGACTTTACTTCTTCCCTTGGAAACAGGCATCATATAGGACCTCACAGGGAATGAATAGAGAGTGAAATCCTCCAAAGCATACAAAACCTAAGAATACGGACTCCTATGTGAAAACCTTCTGATGTAAAATGAAGTAAAATGAGATAACAATCTAAAAATGTTTCAGAAGAAAGGGAAAAAAATATACCATAAGAAAGCACAGTTTTTGCCAGGTGCGGTGGCTCACGCCTGTAATCTTAGCAGGTTGGGAGGCCAAGGCGGGCGGATCACTTGAGATCAGGAGTTCAAAACCAGCCTGGCCAACATGGTGAAACCTCGTCTCTACTAAAAACACAAAAAATTAGCAGGGCGTGGTTGGGCACCTGTAATCCCAGCTACTTGGGAGGCTGAGGTAGGAGAATTGCTTGAACCGGGAGTCAGAGGTTGCAGTGAGCCAAGATCGTGCCACTGCACTCCAGCCTGGGCAACAGAGAGAGACTGTGGGCAACAGAGAGAGACTGTCTCAAAAAAAAAAAAAAAAAAAAAGAGGCACAGTTTTTGGGTATTTTCTTTGACATATCCAGGTGGATGTCTACAGGAATGTCTGTATACTTCACTAATTTAGTTTAAAAAAAAAAAAAAGCATTGTGCAACAGTGAATATTGGCTGGGCTATCTGATGCTGTGCAGCCAGGCAATGTTGATTGATCCAGCTTCCCTGTTTGAATGCTGTGCCTCATCATTGCCTATGCAAGCCATAGAGCTTTTTCTATATGCCAGTTCTCAGGACAATCTCTTTTGTTGGCCTGTCTCAAATCTTTTCTGAGATGTAAACAGAGTTGTGTTGTGTAGTTGCCATGTTCAACAGGCTCTCAAGAGCCCACTGTGTACCTCTCTTTTAACTCTTCATTTGGTATCATCACACTGGTAGGTCAAAATTGGCTATGGTGGGAATATCACCAAAAGGAAATAAGCCCACAGCATAAATCAGGGCTTTATTCCAAAGTGTCAGTTGTTAAACGCTTCCCAGCACATCACTGGAGGTAAGAAAATTCATAACCAAATTGAGAATCCTGTTTTTAAACAAGTTAATTTAGGGCCACCAAGTCCTGATCATATTTCTTCTATTCCACTGAAAAGATCATGTAGATCTACTGATTTAACATGGTATTGTTAAACCTTCCATACATTTCCTGGGTGAAATTCTGAAGCCACAGTAAGACAAAATAACAAAACAAATTAAATAAAGCCTCTGATGTAGAAGTTTCTCATTAAACTTAAAGTTGCTTATCGTCTGACCTCAATGACACTGATTGTGGAATTTCCATGCATCCTTTTTCTCATATGATTAAAAAAAAGTGAATAGGTTGCTCCATTAGTCAGAAACAATACAGGAGAGTTGATGGGCGGATGGCTGTGGCCGAGATCCACAGGACACCTGGCACCTGTGCTCTACAGATTCCCCTCCCCACACCCATTTTCTCCAGTTCTCATGACAGCTCTGATTTCCTCCCACTCCAATTCTTTTCAACTTATTAAAAAATAGATTTTATGCATAATAAAAACTTTAAAAAATAAATATTAAAAGAGGGAATTTAAGAGTAAGAGTTAGAAACCTGGTTGAGATGAATGACAAATTCTGCCAATAGTTACCATCACTTAAGTTTTAAAAATGGGGAAGACTCCTTCCATTAATATAACTAGCAATGACCACAACGATTCCTTCCTCTTAAGCTTTGGAGTAAAACAACTCTGTATTTAAACTTATATCAAATCACATAAATTCTCCATCTGGAGCCCGATTCTGATAATATGTCCTTTGGGATCCATCTCCCTCTCTGTTTTTACTTGATGTGAATTTATAAATGTATAATGCAATCTTCTGGCTCTTTTGGTGCAGAGAATTTCCATTATAGGGCAAAAGTCATCAGTGTCTTTAAACACTCACACCCACACTCCTAAACAGACAGGAGCATTTTGTCCCATAAGAAACATTTATACAAAATGTAGCATGACCTTAGGACAAAGGAGGCTGACTGTGAAGACTTGAAACCAATAAAGTGAGAGCTGACACTTCGATGATATTTATGATGTGTCAGACATTGTTCCAAGCACCTTACATGTATTAACACATGTAATCTTCTCAAGATTCTTAGAGATAGTAATTGGTATTATCCCTACTTAATGGTAGACAAAATCAGGGCAAAAAGAGGTTACATGACTTTCCTGGTAGCACATACTGGTAAGTAACGGAGCTGGAATTCAAACCCTGCATTCTGGCTCTAAAATTTGTATCACTACACCAGCTCCCCAAATGCATGAGCTGGGATCATCCAACTGCAGCCCAGCAGAAGAGGTGTGCTTCGTTTGCTTAATTGTCTCCCAAAACTACCTCAACCTATGTTTTTGTGGGATCCAGAAACACTCATATCAGAAGGATAATAAATGCAAGCCAGTATACTATAGGTTAGGAAGACAATAAAGATAAATGGGTTTGCTACCAACAAGCTCAGAGTATAAAGAGAAAGACACCACAGTGTATTTTAATAATATAAAGGTTGGGAATATTTAAACTGCCCTTTCAAAAGATACTTTCAGTTACCCCTAAAATAAAACAAACATGTTTTCTCATTTTTTATATTTCTTATTTACATTAATGTTAGATAGCCAATGATAATCAAAGTAAGCACTAAAAAGAAAGTCTACTATGCTGTTGTCTAGACCTTCAAAACCAGAATCTGCCTTTCAGATAATTATCCAGTCCCAGTAATGTGTGGAGAATGGTGGAAATTCTTTAAATATTACCATTTGCATACAAGAATTTATCAATTTTGCATTAAAATTCTGCTTCTAAAACAGTTATTACCTCCACAAACCATAGAATAGATTTTTCTGAGATATATGAGTGAAATACCCATCATATGATATGGGCATTTTGTAAAAGTGATAATGTGAGTGAAATGCATGATGCTCAATCCATGGTTTGAACCCAAGTCTATCTTCATCAGATCTACTTGTCCAGTGTCTTCAAAAGTCACAAAGAAGAACTACCCTGCTTAGCTTTCTATCTCCTACTGACAGCCTGCTAACCAGTTCTCTTTCTCATGCCTTAGGCCCTGACAACGAAGTCTCATCTAATGTGGGGGTTAGAGTTTATATTAAAGGTACATGCAATGTACAGATCTAGATCCTGTACTAGAAATACATGCACAGTGTTACAAAAGTATTAACTGCTGGCTACTTGGAAATGGGCTAAAGACGAGTTTTAGCACGTCTTCATTGAGGAGAGAACATTTGCATTTTGAGAAATACATAAATTCTCCTATAAGGCAGGATAGGTAGAAAATCATAATCCAGACAGTAGTATCAGAACGTGCAAATGCATGGAAACTTGAAAGAACATGGGATGTTTGGGGAACCACAGACAACTCCTCATGCCTACAATAGGTTAATCCTTAAAGTACTTTTCCAAAACTTGGAGGGTTTTTTTGAGGTAGCAACTTTTGAAGCTGTAAAGGAAGGTAGTTGCAAGGTCAGCCAGGGTCTCAGGCATTAGACCAAGAACCATGAAGCTGATTTTGCAAGTAACCTCGATTGAAAGTTCAAACAGGAAGAGAGCATCATATTTGTGCTTTAGAGAGTTCCCATGGTCAGCAACAGGATGTGTACATTGCACAGTTAGGAAGCAACTGGAATTGTCCAGGTAAAAGATTAGAGTGTAAACTGAGAAAGTGCAGCTGAGAAAATTGAAAGGTAACAAATACTATTTAAATCAAGTAGAATTTTACATTTCCCTTATGAAGCATTACCAAAAATATTTAATATGAATCTCTCTTAAATAGAGTACTTCCTGATTTGAGTTATATCTCAAATTATTCCTTTAAGCAGTAAATGCAATTGAAAATTTTTGGAAGTTTCAAAAAAGTCTAATAAAATCTCACAATAAGTTTATCCATTTACTAGATGAAAAAATATATACACTCTGGATGTGAATTTGTACATTATAAAACCAACCAAATGGAGAACAGAAAAGAAAAATGGAACCAAGCAGCTGACTTGTATAAACAATATCATACAAGACCCTATAGCTGAATCAAACGCAATTATACAAAAGCCAGGAGGGGCTGGGCATGGTGGCTCACACCCGTAATCCCAGCACTTTGGGAGGCCGAGGTGGGTGGATCACCTGAGATCAGGAGTTCAAGACCAGCCTGGCCAACATGGTGAAACCCCCATCTCTACTAAAAATAAAAATTAGCTGGGAGTGGTAGCACATGCCTGTAATCCCAGCTACTCAGGAGGCTGAGACTGGAGAATCGCTTGAACTTGGGAGACAGAGGTTGCAGTGAGCCGAGATCACGCCACTGCACTCCAGCCTGGGTGACAGAGCAAGACTCCGTCTCAAAAAACAAACAAACAAACAAAAAACAAAAAAAAAACCTCAATTTTCTTCAGATATTGGGTACTTACGTCCTTCAAGGGAGGCTGGGTCCCACGTTCTTATGGTGAATTCATCACAGAAAGTCTCCTGATTTTTGGAGCCACCACCAATGAAGTTCTCACCAAAGGACAAGAAGGCAAGGACAATCAAGGCCCTCTGGGCAAAGCCTTTATGATTTCTGCCCTTGTTATGCTTTTAAGCAGCCAAATATAGTGGTCATGCTTGGAGCTGCAGAAGCTCTGTAGCAGCTTGGGAAAACAAGACCATCACCTTGAGAATAACAGAGCAGAAAAAAAAGTCTTCAATTTTTGATTATGCCATTGAACTGCTGAAGAAGCCACACTCAGAGATACTTACCGTCCTACCTCCAAACTTTATTATATTAGATAATAAAAGTCCTAATCATTTAAACCAGCTGAATTAACATTTCTATTGGCTGCCAAACACATCCTGATCAACATCTTATATACAGTTAGACACAGGTTTTGGTCAAAAGTGGTTTCACTTCTACTTGGTTTATCTTCCTGATTTGATCACCTCTTGCTAAGGAAACCCTTGACAGCACAGTGTTGGATATCCAGTGACCATTAGATAAATGAGTTTTTCTCAGAACTTTTTATAATTTATAGGAAAACTGTATTTTAAGTTACATTTCAGATTGTTTACTATTGGACAAAACAGAAAAGTGCATCCATTGTAACTAGTCCTGTATGACTGGGGAAGAAAAAATAAATTATTCCAACTCACCTGTTGGACTTCTCTAGGAGCAAGTAAGGTGAGATGGTTAGGATCCATTTCCATTTTTATACATATTCTTGCCATTTTCTACAACATGCTATCTATAGGTGCTGGTACTGTTTTGCAGGTTTGATAGAACAAAATTATGAATTCCATTATGCAGAACCTCCGATTGAGATCAAGAACAGTGGAATGAACATATCACGAAGCTAGAGAATAGTATTCTTTAGAGCCAAAACTTTTCCCACTGGACCATATTGTCTAAAAGAATGAGACGTGGAGGTGCTTTTCTATACTATTACAGACGTTATTAGGGCTGCCACGTGCTTTTCTTAAAGTAACACCACTGTTTATGCTTCAAGGTGGATTTAGGTCTTCCATCTTTTTTAACATTTTTTTTTTGCAACTCTCATATGTTCTTATTGAGCAAAGATTCAGATTAAAGATAGATTCAGTATTATCTTATTGTAAAAATATTAGATTCTCTATCAAATTATCCATGCCACATATGTAGAAAAAAAGAAAAAAATCAGAGCCCATGTAAATGCAAGCATGAGAATACACACTGCGCCCTCCCTGCACAGGATCACGGAGTCAGTAAGAAGTCAAGAGAGGGAAGGCACTCCAGGTAAAGGATTACATGTGGCACAGTGAAGAACAATTCTCTCAAAATAGGAACAACCCTATCTTGAACTAAATTGACAAAATGGGAATGGATTGGAAAGAATTTTTCTTCATTCTCAAAATAGTTATCCAACTACAAGAAAGCAATTGGGCCTCAGAAACAAATGGATCCACGAATACTCATGAGACCCTCTTTCCAGGCCTCACCTTTGCAACTGTCTTCGTGCCTAGTGGTTTTTGTTTCTGTATTTGTTTTTTGTTTTTCTGTTTTTTTGTTTTTTGAGATGCTGTTTTGCTCTTGTTGCCCAGGCTGGAGTGCAATGGCACAATCTCGGCTAACTGCAACCTCCGCCTCCCAGGTTCAAAGGATTCTCCTGCCTCAGCCTCCCAAGTAGCTGGGATTACAGGTGCATGCCACCACACCAGGCTAATTTTTGTATTTTTAGTGGAGACGGGGTTTCGCCATGTTAGTCAGGATGGTCTGGATCTCCTTCCTTCCTGTTATCACAGAGAATGTCGGTTCTTTGACCTATTATCCTACTGGGCTGTTATTACGGACCCAAAGACATTAACATTACTGTCTCTGCTAAACCTGCTCTCACTATTTGAACAATATAGAGAGCACTGGCTTAAGTTTTCACATTGAAAACACTCTTCATCTTCCCCTATACCCTCCAAACCATCACCAGCAATTTCTCAAATTGGAATGAAATAGCAAACAGACTGGCTTTTTTTTTTTTTTCAATATATAAATCTTGCCACTCCCTGTTCCAAGGGAACTTTTTCTCAGAAGGCAGAAGGGCCCACAGACAGCTTGGGTTTTAAATAAAAATTTTATTTCACCACACTACAATGGAAACAAGTAAAATAAGCTTCTTTACTGTTTCATAAAATGTAATTCCATTTTAGCTTATTTTAATCTCAACTTTCTTTTGTTTCTATAGAAACAAAGAAATCAAATCCCAGCATTTAGTGTTCACACAAGTGAATTTTCAATTTATAAAATGGTCTTTGTTTTAGTGTCTAGCAAATTCAAAAGTGCTATTAAAACCAAGTTATTATCATAAAATCTATAAGAAAAAAGTACCTCCACCCCCCAAACACGACAAACACCAAAGAAAATTAAACTATGTATTATAATGTTCCTGAAACTATTAATGCCATGAAGTAACAAAGTCTTGTAAGCTGACGCTTCTCTTAGGCAACTTGGTTTTATAAATTATATTTTTTAAGTGCTAGTTCCTTCTTTAATAATTTTACTTACCTGATTTGTTACTTCTCACAGTCTCTTAAAATGAAAGGGAAATTGCACTTGTGCCCATTACAATGGAAAAAATCTTTAGTTAAAAGTCCAGGAAAATGTTTTGAGAGATGGTAATGCCAGTAGACGATTTCGCATAAACAAATAGAGAAATCCAGGCCAGGCGCAGTGGCTCACACCTATAATCCCAACACTCTGGGAGGCCTAGGTGGGAGGATCACCTGAAGTCAGGAGTTCGAGACCAGCCTGAGCAACATGGAGAAACCCCATCTCTACTAAAAATACAAAATTAGCCAGGCGTGCTGATGCATGCCTGTAATCCCAGCTACTCAGAAGGCTGAGGCAGGAGAATCATTTGAACCCAAGAGGTGGAGCCAAGGTCGCGCCATTGCACTCCAGCCTGGGCAAAAAGTGCGAAACTCTGTCTCAAAAAAAAAAAACAAAAAAAAAACCCAGTATTTTTGAGTGTGCATTACATTTAATATGCTGTGGTGGGGAGAGTAGAATGTATCAAAATGACTTAAATTAGAATCCGAGTCTTGTCTTTCTT
Source organism: Homo sapiens (assembly GCF_000001405.40). Classification (NCBI taxonomy): domain Eukaryota; kingdom Metazoa; phylum Chordata; class Mammalia; order Primates; family Hominidae; genus Homo; species Homo sapiens. The sequence continues at coordinate 96,134,966 of NC_000015.10, forward strand.
AAGGTAGAAGACTTCTGGTAAATTAAGGGACCTCCATTTGCCTCAGTCTCTTCATCTATAAAACTGTGGCAAAATTTATCTTATAAAGTTACTGCACAGAAAAAGCAAGTTAGTAATAATAGTAGCCACTGCTTCTTGGGCACTTTACAAACATGATCTCTCATAGCCCTCGGGACAACCCTATGTAAGAGGTACAGCTGGTTCTTGAATAACTAATTCATTCAGTTTTCTTTACAATATTGATGGGGAAAAAAAATCTATCCCCAGCTGGGGATAAACCCACAATCTGCATGGGTTTTCTCCAGCTATCTCCTAAAGATGTGCATGTCAGGTTTACCGACGTATCCACACGGTCCCAGTATGTCTGGAACTGGTTCCTTCCGGTGGGTTCTTGGTCTCGCTGACGTCAGGAATGAAGCCGCAGACCCCCGCAGTGAGTGTTAACAGTTCTTAAAGATGGCGTGTCCCGAGTTCCTTCAGATGTTCAGATGTGTCCGGAGTTTCTTCCTTCTGGTGGGTTCGTGGTCTTGCTGACTTCAAGAGTGAAGCCACAGACCTTCGCAGTGAGTGTTACAGCTCTTAAAGGTGGCGCGGTCGGAGTTCGTTCCTCCCGCAGGATTCGTGGTCTCGCTGACTTCTGGAGTGAAGCCGCAGACCTTCGCGGTGAGTGTTACAGCTCTTAAAGGTGGCGCGGTCTGAGTTGCCCGTTCCTCCTGGTGGGTTAACGGTCTCACTGGCTTCAGGAGTGAAGCTGTAGACCTTCCCGGTGAGTGTGACAGCTCATAAACGTAGTACTAACCCAAAAAGTGAGGAGCAGCAAGATTTACTGCCAAGAGAGAAAGACCAAAGCGTGGAAACGGACCCAAAGCAAGTTGCTGCTGCTAGCCGGGGTGTCCACCTTTTATTTCCTTATTTGGCCCCGCCCACATCCTGCTGAGTTGTCCATTTTACAGAGCGCTGATTTGTCCATTTTACAGAGTGCTGATTGGTCCATTTTTACTGAGGGCTGACTGGTGTCTTTACAAACCTTTAGCTAGACACAGAGCGCTGATTGGTGCGTTTTTACAGAGTGCTAATTGGTGCTGTTTACAAACCTTTAGCTAGACACAGAGTGCTGATTGGTGTGTTTACAATCCTTTAGCTAGACCGAAAAGCTCTCCAAGTCCCCACCCGACCCAGAAGCCCAGCCGGCTTCACCTCTCACCAGTGTGAGGGAGTGTAAGCGTGGGTGGGTATAGGTGCCCCCTGCAATGGGATGACATCCTGCCCAGGGCTGGTTCCAACCTTATGTCCCGAGCTGCTGGGATGGGCTCTGATCACTCCTAACCCTGAATTGGAAAAAGCGTTTAAATAATGAGCTTATTTGTGTTTATTAATCTTTCTTAAATATATGTGTAATTGCATTTATTTCAATGTTTAATATTAGAAGTGTTTTAGGGTTTTTTGTTTTTTGTTGTTTTGTTTTTGAGATGGAGTCTCGCTCTGTCACCCAGGCTGGAGTGCAATGGCACAATCTCGGCTCACTGCAACCTCCGCCTCCTGGGTTCAAGTGATTCTCCTGCCTTAGCCTCCTGAGTAGCTGGGACTACAGGCGCACGCTGCCACACCTGGCTAATTTTTTTTTTTTTTTTTTTTTTTTTTTTTGTATTTTAGTAGAGACAGGGTTTCACCGTGTTGCCTAGGCTGGTCTTCGACTACTGAGCTTGGGCAATCTGCTCACCGCGGCCTCCCAAAGTGCTGGAATTACAGGTGTGAGCCCCCACGCCTGGCCGTGTTTTAGTTTTTATTTAGAAGTTTGATGTTTTTGTGACCAGAAGTACTTCCTAGGCCCTTAACTCTTGAGTATGTGAATTAGCCCATGGTAAGATTTTTTTTTTATGCATCATTTTGCTTAAATTCACGATTTCCAAGAACCTATGGGTGACATTGAGGACTTACTGTAATAATATCCCAATTTTTGTGGCAAGAAAATGAAGATTCAGAGGGATTAAATAACTTGTTGAAGCATTAAGTGGCAGAACTGGAATTCAAACCCAAGCCTCTGATTCTAAATCCTAACCTGTGAACTTCCATTCCCTATGTACTATATCAAGTTCATTTATGTTAGTTCATTGTTTCCCATTTTTGAAAAGCAGTGGTGCTCGAAGTGTGGTTGCCATACTGGGGCGGCAGCAGCATCACCTGGGGATTTATTAGAAATGCCAGTTCTCGTGCCCCACCCCAGATGTATTGAATTAGAAACACCAGGGATGGAGTCCAGCAATCTGTTTTAATGAACCCTCAGATGATTGTGATATGTGCTAATGTTTGAGAACCACTCCATAAAGATTATGAATGAAGATATGATTTGGGTAGCTAAAAATCAATATAAGAACAGAAAGACACAAGGAACCATAATACAAGTAAAATTCTGATTAATGCAATAAAAGAGATCAATAAAGTACAAAGAGGAAATAATGGAGGGAAAGATTAATTCAGAGTGGTCACTCTGGGAATTTGAGCAGGGCTTGAAAGAACGGGTAGGACAAGCAAAAATGAGGGTAAAGTGGTGGGCAGGGGGAGGTGAAGAGTGTCATGAAGGTAGCTCTATTGTGCTGGAGTGCAGGAGGATTGAGAGATGTGAGGGATATCAGACTGAGGACGTGAACTGGAGCCAAGCGGAGGGGGAGAATGTATTCTGTGCACAATTGGGAAGGTTTTAACAATGTTTCCAGAGAGGATAACAGGTTTTAACAATGTTTCCAGAGAGAGAATAACAGGACAATAGCTATGCTTTGGAAAGAGAAATCTGATGGCAGCCTGGAGAATGGCATGGGAGGGGAGAGAGTGATGGCAGGCAGTTAGGCTCAAAGCCTGGAGCACCCTCCCCGGCCAGAGTGTGTGCTGAGCCCCTTAGTGAAATTGACCTCACACGGTATATGAGTCTGAGAATTAGCCATGTAGAATGTATACATATAAAAAATACCTATAAATAATCTCTTCATCTTCTACTACATGGTCCTTTTTAGTTTTCCTCTTAAGAGTGATTAATTTCTGGTCAGGCAAAGTGTCTCACACCTGTGATCCCAGAATTTTTAGAGTCTAAGGTGGGAGGATCACTTGAGCCCAGGAGTTCGAGACCAGCCTGGGCTTGAACATGGCAAAACTCCGTCTCTACACGAATAAAAAAATAGCAAGGTGTGGTGGCACGTACTTCTTGTATTAGTTCTCATGCTGCTAATAAAGATATACCCAAGGCTAGACAATTTATAAAGAAAAGTGGTTTAATTGGCTCACAGTTCCACATGGTTGGGGAGGCCTCATAATCATGGCAGAAGGCAAAAGAGGAGCAAAGTCACATCTTACATGGCGGCAGACAAGAGAGAGCATGTGCACAGGAACTCCCCTTTATAAAACCATCAGATCTCATGAGACTTATTCACTATCATGAGAACATCATGCAAAATACCCACCCCTATGATTCAACTACCTCCTACTAGGTCCCTCCCACAATAAATGTGAATTATGTGAGCCACAATTCAAGATGAGATTTTGAGTGGGGACACGGCCAAACCATATCACCTGTGGTCCCAGCTACTCATGGGACTGAGGTGGGAGTATCACTCGGGCCCAGGAGGTAAAGGCTGCAGTGAGCTGTAATCGCACCACTGCATTCCAAAAAACAAAAAAACAAAACAAAACAAAAAAAACAGCAATTTATTTCTAATTGTGAAACTCATGCATGGATTAGAAATTTATAAAATTTAGAGAACTTTAAAGATGATAATACAAATCACCTAAACTTAGACTATTGTTAGCATCCTGATGCAAATCATTTGAAAGATGTGTATGCATATGTGATAGATGTATCCCTACATATGGATCAGACTTTGATACAACTGTTTTTCTTCTTATTCGTTGAACATAGTGGGCACTTTTCCATGTAATCAAAATTATCAGAAAGCACCAATTTTGATTAGTACATAGTGTTCTAGCTCATGGGTATTCTGCAGTTTATGTAATACTTCAATGGCCATCCTTCTACACCCAGCCTTGCCTAGATCCTTACAGGTGGAAAGAAGGCTCAGATCCTAAGAATATATCCTAATCTATTCTAATTTCATATCATGAGATTGGCCTCCAGGAATGTTGCACTATTTTACTCTTTAACTAATGTTTATGAATGTGTCAAGCTTACCATGACCTCACCAATGTTAAGCATCATTTATCTTGATGTATGCTTTTTATAGCAATATGATACTGTTAGAACTGATATAGCACAACACTTGCACTGCCTTTTTAGCATAGCCTGAGAGTCACTTGGCTGACATTTTTAGAATTTAACTAATCCCCCTCAAAACCACTTTTCTGATATAGCCATGGTGAGTCTATGAGTACCAACTCATACTGTCAGTAGCTATCAATAAATATCCCAAACTATGAGAAAGTGCAGAGTGAAATGTCTTGGAGACCAAAGGAAAATCCCATGAGAACCAGGAGACAACAGATAAATCTGGCTTCTGGACCTACAGCAGATTCATTTATTAATTCATCCATTTTAGTAATATACAAGGTGATAAATTTGCAATAACATACATAAGGGGCTTCATTGATTATGAACAGAACATTGGGTGCAGACAAGATTTTCTTAATGCATGAGAGGTTAAGAATGATCGCTTTTGATGTTAATTGGAAGAATTCTCTATAGGGTAGGTGCTCTCTTGACAAATGAGTTCTCAGTTAATTTCAGGGCATGGTAAGTGAGTGGTACACTCTTTAAGAAAAAGTTTTCCTCTCATTTATCAATACTGTGCCCTATAATGCTATATTTAAAGTTGCTTCACTTATGATTACATTCTTAAAAAATTAAATTCAGAGTCAGGTCAAGAATATAACCACTTTGTTTTTAATTAGTAAGGAATAGTTTACAACAGAAAACTTGTTATTTCTCTGTGTGTTGAACCGAGAAATTCCTACTAATACACAATTCAGCTCACAGCATCACCCCTGGAAGGGCTTCTTCACCATTTGCAGATTCAATTAGTCAGGATGCTCTCTCTGCTTCTGCAATCCCTTTCATCTGTCTCTGTTATGTCACTAATTGTGTTGCCCTGGAATCAACTGGTGCCATGTTGCTCTCTCCAACTGAACTGTGAGGCCCTGAAGCCAAAAGTCATGATTCTGTCCATCTCTAGTACACAGGACAGTGCCTGTTATCAATATTTTCTTGCCGAATAAATAGATTAATGAACAGGGACAGTAGTAGTGTGTCTGGAATTTATTCCTTCCTGTGGGTTCTTGGTCTCGCTGACTTCAAGAATGAAGTCGCGGACTTTTGCAGTGAGTGTTACAGCTCTTAAAGATGGTGTGTCTGGAGTTTGTTTCTTCAGATGTGTCCAATTTCTTCCTGCTGGTGGGTTCATGGTCTCACTGACTTCAGGAGTGAAGCCACAGACCTTCGCAGTTTGAGTGTTACAGCTCATAAAGGCAGTGCGGACCCAAAGAGTGAACAGCAGTAAGATTTATTGCAAAGAGCGAAACAACAAAACTCAACAGCATGGAAGGGGACCTGAGGGAGTTGCCGCTACTGGTGCAGGTGGCCAGCTTTTATTCCCTTTTTTGGCCCTGCCCATGTCCTGCTGATTGGTCCATTTTACAGAGTGCTGATTGGTCCGTTTTACAGAGTGCTGATTGGTGCGTTTACAAACCTTTAGCTAGACACAGAGCGCTGATTGGTGCATTTCTACAGAGTGCTGATTGGTGTGTTTATAATCCTCTAGCTAGACAGAAAAGTTCTCCAAGTCTCCACCCCACCCAGAAGCCCAGCTGACTTCACCTCTCGGTAGCAGTGAAGTAGAGGCACACAGAGTCCACTTGGCTTTGTAAAAATCTAAGCAAAAGGACAGTGAAGATGTCAAGTTAGATGATGATGGTGGAAAACAAGGAGTGTTTTATTCAAAGTCAGTGGAAATTTATTTCAAGTAAACATAGGAAAGTTAAGAAAAAAGGTGTGTAGAGACTGTCAATTGCCCACCCCAAAACATTTTGCACTTTCGTCCTTTCCAATATAACTCCCATTTATTGAAACAGCACTGTGTCCCGATCTTTTGAACTCCATTTCTCTGCCTCCCTTGTAGATCAGAGTGGTCATGCGACACTACCCTGCTCAATTCAATGTCAGCAAAGATTATTACATGTTGCTTTCAGGAATGCTCCCCTTAAAGGGTGGCAGATTCAGTTGGCAGATGCCCTTTGATTCTGTGATCATCCTCTTCCTTTCTACCTGAAATGCAGAAGCTGCAGCTAGAGTTCAAGCAACTATCTTGAGAACATAAGAATGAGCATCACAGAGAATGTGCACACCGACCCTTGCTTCGGTCTATCTAGCTTATAAGTGTGAAAAACATTGTGAGATAAAATTGACAGGCCTTATAATGAAACTGGGGTATTTCCTGGATCTAGAGGTCAAACAACAGTGTAGAGACAAAGATAATGCTGAAGTTTTAAGGTTTTAACACCAGGAGGTTTATTTCCATATACAAACCAAATGGCTGAGACAAAGGGGGAAGGGATAGGAGAGCTGGTTTACAGAGACAATTGAAGAGTTTTGGCTTTATATACTGAGCTTGAGGAAATCCAGGTGAAGATAACAAGCTTAGGAGAAAAATCATGGTGGCCCAGCTCGTTGGATAGAGGAGATAACTGGAGTAGCAAGAATGGATGGGTTTGCTTAAAGATAAAGGATCAGGCAAAGAGAAGATGATAATGAACAGAACCCTGAGCATGCACCATAAAACAACAGAACAGTATTCATCAGAATTCAGAAGAAAACAAAATACAAGAAGAGTGCAGCAGACAGCAAGTGCAAGGATTTTCAACATGGTCAATGGTGCAAAATGGCAAAGGAGAAGAATCAAGTTGACCCTTGGGCAGGTAAAGGGGCCTGTGAAAAATATGGTTTCAGTACCTGGGAGAGGAAAGAGCTGGAGATTCAAAAACCCATGAGGAAGTGTTCTCAAGGAGAGTAAGCCTTCAAGGATTTTTACTATGAAGGGAGGAAGAGAAAATACCATATAACTAACACCATAAAAAGGTAGCAGGCTAGTCATTCCCCCCAGAGCAGCTTGAAAACAATTTGTTCATTGGCTGAACAATATGACATTTTAATATTTAATCAAATCTAATAGTTACTAATTTTCTACATTTAATGTGTATGGGGAATATAAAATAAGCTGCCAGTCACATTTTGGGCCAGCCAGGTTGCTGGTAGTAAATCTTTGTTTTTAAGACAAGCATCCTGGCCAGACACGGTGGCTTGTGCCTGTAATCCCAACACTTTGGAAGGCTGGGGTTGGAAGATCAGTTGAGGTAGGAGTTTGAGACCAGCCTGGGCAACATATTGAGACTCCAGCTATTCAGGAGGCTGAGGTGGGAGAATTGCTTGAGCCCAGGAGGTGGAGGCTGCAGTGAGCCAAGGTCATGCTGCTGCCCTCCAGCCTGAGCAGCAGAGCAAAAGTGATGCTGTCCCTGAAAAGAAAAGAAAAGAAAAAAAGCATCCTGTGAAATCCCTAAGTCCCTAATATAAGAACGTTTGTAAACAATATATTGCTATTTTATAATTAAGAGCCCATGGGCTTAATGTTTTAATTCCACAATGATTTTATTATGGCCTTTGCATTTATTTATACCTTTTAACCTTCCTCTCTTAACGGGTGAAAATTGGATGCTAAAAATTGCCAAGGTCAGCATTGCTTCATACTTGGCATTGGCCCAGCAAGCGTTTTCCACCTTCTCCCCTAGATCCCTATATTTAGCCAAACCCATATTTTGGATCTGACCAAGTAAGCTACTCCAGGCTCATACTGGCACCTCTCCTAAATCAACTCACCCACTGATTCTATAGAGTATATAACTTCATGGAAGGAAGGTTCGGAGAGAACTCGAGGATCTATCCACATTCTCATGTGTCTGTATTTGGACTGGCACCTAGAATTATGAGTATATAAAATCACCATGATCATCATTTATACATGTATTAACAGCCAGCAATTTTTCTAGCATTCACTGTGTGCCAAATATTTTATATGCATTATTTGATTTCGTTCTCCCAACAAGACTAACCCCATTTCACAGATGGTAAAAATGATTGTCAAAGATTTTTAGTGACCCATGTAGGGCCACAGAGCTAGAAAGCAGAGGGGCAGAAATATGAACCTAAGTGTGTTGAACTGTAAAGTCCAAATTTCTAATCACTGGGATTTACTGACTTTCATATTATCATGGACACTCCAATTTTAGAAGTATTTTTATAATTTTGCTCCTCATAATGAGCCAATTAAAATGGGTATAATTATTTTTCATTTGTATTATTAATTTTACTCACAGGTAACAACTTAGACTCAGAAATACGCCATAGACATTCAGCTAGTCATGAACCAAGTCAACATTCAAGCCCAGATATCCCACTCCAAACTCTAATCCCCTTCTTCTAATTACTTTACACTAGAACGTAAAATATGTTTATTAAGTCTAGTCTCTGCTGTGGTGGTCGGACACCTGTACTACAACCATTTGGACTGATTGTTTTCTTTGTTCTTAGTTATCTATTTTAAAAACACCATCCTCCAAAGGTTTCTAAAATCCAGTAATCCATATTAGAGATGGATCCCCCAGATCATTTGGAACAAGGCTTTGGGGTCGATCATATTTAAAACCAAAAGCAGAGCAAACCGTTTTTGGTTTACTATTTTGAGGTTCTGAAATGTTCAGTTGCGTTTGTTCCTTTTGGTCTGCAGCCAGGAACAGAGGCAGAAGGGCTCAAATACCAAATGAAAGGGTGTTCTCACAGTGTTTCTGGCCAGGACCACAGTGGAAATATCGGAAAGCTCACGAGCAAAGCTGTTCTTCTGAGATTTTTATCTCAGAAACCTGTAAAAGCAAGATACTTGCAAATATATATATATTTTTTCCTCTGAGTAGTTATCTGAGGCAAATTCTTACTGTGAACTCTGACAAGCCTGACTTTCCACATCATCTCTCCATCCCTACCCATGATGTCTATTCATCCATCCCAAGACCATGTGTCTATGCCTGTGTCCTCTTCTGCTTGAATGACTAGGTGATTCTTTTACAAATACACCTCAATCAGAGGTACACTTTGCCGTTTTGCTTTTCATTCCCAGAAGGACACATTAGAAGCCATTTATTCTACTTTCTTTAAGAGTACAGCCCAGGCAAATGAGGTCACCAAAAAGTCTACATGATTATATTCAACTTCCCAAAAGCTCTTAAATTGTTGACTTAAGAGAAATAGTGCATCCTCAAGACTCCTCAAATTTTTTACTGCATCTATATCCATTTCTACCACCTATTTTAGATTGTTAGATTAATATAGCTCAAAGCATAATTTGCATTTCTAAATTTTATCCCATTCCGCTGGTTTCAAGGGCAAAGTAGGAGCTCTCAAAATGTAATTGTCTTCCCTTTATTTAACAGCCATGGACTTGTGAATTTCTACTATTTAGGTATTAATTTTATTTCTAAATTAATGGTTTAATTTTTTCTAGATCATTTGTGTTCTACCCTCATAACTACCTTAGTTAAAGTAAAAACTACAGTACTTAAACAGAATCATGTTCAATATGAGAGTCCATTTAAACTAGCAGTTCAAGAAAAGAGCAGATATCCTTCAAGATAATCAGAAAGGCTGGGTCTCAGTCGGACAAAAAACAAGCAGCAAATTCCTTGAGGGAGGTTATAGAAAGGTAGGACATTAGTTAGAGATCATAAAGAGGAGTGTTCACTAAAGCATGTTCCATCAAACATCAATAAATAATTGCCACTTGAAGAAAGAATTGGGTGGTTAAATAAGTTTGAGAAACACTGAGTTCAACCAACTTAGCCAGTTCCTTTTTGTCAGGTTATTTCAGAAACTTTAAGGTGCTAATGGTCCCATTAACAGTCTGGAAGGGAATGTAATGTGCAGCTGCCAAATATGATTGATGGTACACAGTTTTTCCATAGACCATCTCGTGGGGTTATTGCTCCTTAGAATTCACTTTGAGGAGCTCTGAACTAGAACAACCATGGCCCATTGGAAGAAAAATAAGGGACCCTCTTCTAAGCATTGCACTAGTGTCTTAAATGTATCATTGTATTTAGTCTTTGCAACAATCCTCTACGCTGAATAGAAAATGTTGTTTCCATTTTACAAATGAGGACACTCAAGTGTGTTGGATGTATTAGTAGTTATTGACCCCGGCTGCTTTTAGACAATATAGAGACCAATCTCTGACCTACTGAGCTAGAATTTCAGGAGGATGGTCCAGGTGTATATGTGCATATATAACGCTCAACAGACGGTTTCGTTGTACAGTAATGTTTGCGAACTATTGGAAGAAACTATTTCCCCATGGCCATGTAATTTTTTTTTTTTGAGACAGAGTCTTGCTCTGTCTCCCAGGCTGGGGTGCAGTGGCGTGATCTCGGCTCACTGCAACCTCCACCTCCCAGGTTCAAGTGATTCTTGTGCCTCAGCCTCCCAAGTAGCTGGGATTACAGGTGCCAGCTGAGACTTTGAATTCTATCTTCTAACTCCCAAGTGCAGTGTTCTTTTTACTATAACATGCCAGTCATGAATGATTCTCTGCTGCCGGATGTCTCTAGATAAAAATCTGGAAATTGTCAGAAGATACACACTGGCTGATTGGTACCCTTTCACCTTCACTGTTCAAGGTGGAACAATAATCTCTAAGATAGTAGGTAAACAACATCATTCTTTAGAAATAAAGGTCAACACATTAAATTGCACATACTTCTCATGAAACCACCAAGAGACATATGTCTTATAAGCATTGCATAAGGTATTGTCAGATATGAATGCTTTCCTTACCATGATCAAATGGAGGCATTGCTGCATTTCTCCAGAGAATTATATATGGATTTCCAATGTTGGGTGACTGGTCCTTAAAAATCTAAATTAAACTATATTCTCAAATATAAAATAAGCCCTTTTCTTTGGCCTCTCTAAAATCCATGAAAACTTTCCTTTTCACATACAATGGTGAGTTTTCCAGATCTGCCTGCCTGCCCTTTCATTCTGATTGTGAATGTTCCGGTTCAACTCCCATTTCTGCAATAAAACTGCTTGTTTAAAAAAAATTGTCAGCAACTATTAACCCCTTTGCTTCTGCTTCCTCTGGTCACAGATAGCAATTGGACAGACTCCTGATCTAAACACTGAGTTTGTCCAATTAAAGTGCCTCAAGTACTAATTCATGGGGGGTAGAGGGTGTATTATTTTGTTTCTAAAGCAATTTTTCTATCCTGCAGACGTTTTACATTAATCTCCTTAGGCTACTTACTCTTTGCTGGTGTCTCTGTTAATAAGGAAACTTTAGCAGGTCTTAACCAGATAGAATGCTCCCTCGTTTAGGCCACTCAACAGTAGATGAACACACTTCTCAGTTATACCCTGAACTTTGGAATGAAGCAAGCAAACACCCAAACCTTGAAAAAATGTCTCCCTTTGCTCTCAAATGGGCTAAGAAAATTACTTAGAAAGGAGCAAAGGAAAATTCAAAGAGAAATGAGCTTGTCTTGTTATATTTACAGGTAAAATGGCTGTTTGGGGATACATTGTGCATATTTTGGTAATACACGGAATATTCACTCAGTTGAGCCTAATGGCTCTTCGAAAGCCATTAAGGCGTACTAAGTAAATACATATTTTTTTGTTATGTGTGCTAATTTGAAAAACACATTGTTTTACTTGAATGCATTCTTTCATGTCAGAAGCTACTGCCCCAGAAGTGGCCCCCTGTTTGGATTGGGCAGTTTACTGAGTAGGGAAGGGAGGTAAAGCCTTGTGGAAGAGGGTTTCTGCTGCACCTGGGAAAGCTCTGGTTAACAGCTGATGTTCGTTTTCAAAAAATGCATTTGAATGTTGGAAAACAAATGCTTTGGAGGTGATTCACATCATCTAAGAGCTGCAAGCGATTCCTGACGAGAAGGAGCTAAGAATATTCATAGGAGTTAAGAAAAACCCGTTTATGACATCAAATATCAAATGCCTCATACATTTGGGAGATGGAAACTTTTGCACAGTGTGTCGGGGGGTGGGGGGTGTTTACTGTTAACCAACGAATGGGGAAGGAGAACCACATTACATGGTTTTAGTGAACCAAATAAGACTAGTTGTTTAACTAGAGGTTATTTGTCAAACCTACTTATTCTCTCAATGAGGGACAAGAAATCTGGAGTGCTAAAGTGACTTGCCCACTATCCCAGAGCTACTAAGGAGCAGAGTGAAAGCTTATTTTTGTCTTATCATCTCCATGGTCACTCCATAGTAGGCCTTCTGCATGCACCAGGAGAAGTGGTCAATGCAGCTCCCTTTAAGAAAATTTCACCAAGGTATTGAAAAACCCACAGTCAGCCCAATTCTTAAGATACTCACAGTTTGATTTCACTGAATGCCTAAACTTGGACCATAACCCTTATTCATGTCCATGTATTCCCTATCTTGGATGGTGGCACCACGTCAGGTACCACACTCCAGAGCTGAGAGTCAGCCTGGATTCTCTCTCTTCCTTCTGCGCCTGAGCTCACCCCTATCTGCCACCAACCACCCAGCCCTCCCACTGTTCTGTGTCCCAGTGAACCTGACCTCCTTCAAGCCCTTACAGCCTGGCCCCGGACCACAGACTACATTACCCATTTCCTAATGGGCTTTACCACCCTAATTGTTATTCTTCACACAGGTGTGAGCAGAGGTATTTCAGCTGTGCCCAAGCCATCGTTTGTCCTTCTGCATAAAGCTTAAGCAATTTGGCCTGGGAAAGAAAACACCCATGAACTGGCCCCTGCCTGCCTCTCCAGTAGCATCACTCTCATTGCCCCTACCTCTAGCTCTGTGCAGCATAACATTGATTGCTGGGACTTTCTTACCCCCCCCCCCCCACACACACACACACACCTCACACACACGTACACATACCATGTGGGTTCATCTCCCTCTGATTTTCCTGCTTCACTCTCTGGAATGTCCTCTTACTCTAGTCTCCCCCACCTAATCCACCTAGATAACTTCAACTCATTCCCTAAGGCTTGACATACATACCTTCACCACCACCTCTGCTGGAAAACTCCCGTGTCCCCTGACACCCCACACTCACCAATGAGGTGACCCTCCCCATTGTTCCCATAAGGCACTCCATCCTACATTTCTGCGTTTAATTCTCTGCTTGTGGTCTTCACCATGGAAGAGGGTGAAGTAACTTTTTGAAATTCAGAATCATGTTTGTATTCTTTTGTATTAGAATACAAAGATTTATCTTTGTATTCTAAATGCCTATCATGGGACCAAGAGTTTAACAGGTGCTCGGGGTTTGTTGAATAAATGGAGAAATAAAGCATTCATATCCCAGATAATTCCATTTTCCAAAATTATGCTACAGTATGGATTCTCATTTTAATGTAAGTGTAAAAATTTCAACCTTTTATTTATTTCATTTTTAGGAATTGCAAGCATGTACATTTTTACTTAGTTGACACATAATATCAAATGATATTAAGCATTTTGAGTGGGTCTCTTAATAATACTGTAATGGCCTCTAGTTGCAAATAAGCTAATCTTTCATAATTTGAAGTATTATCAGAATGAAGGATGAAGGCAGTGGAAGAAAACCATCTTTTTTTTTTTTTTTTAATGGAGTCTTGCTCTGTCACCCAGACTGGAGTGCAATGGCATGATGAGCTTGGCTCACTGCAATCTCCACCTCCCAGGTTCAAGCAATTCTCCTGCCTCAGCCTCCCGAGTAGCTGACATTACAGGTGCCTGCCACCACACCTGGCTAATTTTGTATTTTTAATAGAGATGGGGTTTCACCATGTTGGCCAGGCCGGTCTTGAACTCTTGACCTCAGGTGATCCACCCACCTCAGCCTCCCAAAGTGCTAGGATTACAGGCATGAGCCACCACACCTGGCCAGAAAACCATCTTATCTTGAGTACCCACTACTTGCTAGGAGTTATATTCTCTACTTTTCAGGTAAAGAAATAGTTACATAGAGGTCAAATAACTTGAATAGAGCAGAGTCAGGATTAGAACTCAGATCCGTCTGAATCCAAATCTATGTCCCTCTGACTGCACCAAGTTGCCTCATGCAAGAATACCATCATATTACATTTAGATTTTATACAACCCATCCAAGAATGCATGAAGAATTTTTAAATGTTTAATACATGAGAGATTCACAAATTTGCTTATAAAGTATTATATTGAAGTGACTTTCATTATTTTAAATAGCTTGTGCTTGATTTCTTTAGAGAAAAGAAACAAATAATCAAAATAAAGATATAAAAATCCTTGGCTCTGCGCATTGCTCATCCCTTTAAAGGCTACAGACCATGGCCTCTGGCTCACAGAAAGCCCAAATGAATTCTATTTTCCCTTCTCCCTCATCCAGCAGAGCACAGCTTTGCAATCCTCCTTCCATTATTACCCCTTGTTTCTTTTACCAACCCCATCTCATTTTAAAATATCATTTTTATGAAGGGTAATGTTACATGGTAGAAAACTGTAAAAAATTAATGGATAGAGTTGGTATGAGGAAAATGCATTATTTCAATAGTTTTATTACTTTTGCCCATTACACATTTACAAGTTTTGTTGTTTATATGGGTATGTTTTATAGATGGCTCTATTCAAAACATATTACTTTAACACTTTGATCATTGAGAAATTTAAATCAACACTCGGCTTGCTTTTTCCAAAGGAAGAACTCTTTCGAAATATTTACCTAGATTGTTGTTAATATTCTTATTCGTTTGTTAAAAAAAGAATTATTAGAACCTCTCACAGAGGGTCATATAAAAATTATCTTAAGGTTGAACAAATGTCATTAGCCCATTCATTTAGCTCCTGAAAGCCCAACAACAAATATTTGTTAGAACATCTATTGTTCTCAAACTCCTGGGCTCAGGCGATCCCCCCGCCTTGGCCTCCCAACATGCTGCGATTACAGGCACGAGCCTGTGAATCCGTGCCCAGCCACATCTATTGTTCTCAATATTTTGTTTTGTTTGTCACTGACTCAAGTGCCTAGAACAGTGCCTGGTGCTGGTATGTGCTTTCAAAACACATGTCCAGTGAGAAAATGCTGTCTAGTAATCCCAGCTGTCATCTAGTGATATTTTTTTCTGTGTTCACATTTTTATTCTATCACTTAGACTATCAGTTAAACTCTGACTAAATGAAGCAAAAGAAAAGAGGAAAATGATTGGAAGGATATGGAGCGGCTCAGAGAAACCAAAAGCTGGACGCTCAGATCGTGACAGAACAAAGATGGGAACCAGACAGCTTCAGGGCTCCAGGTAGCAGGAATGAATAAACAGCCTCTTCAAGGTTCTGCTCACAGGAAGAATCTGTTCCAAGCATATTCCCACTTTTGTGTCTCACCACTCGGAATTCAGCTTCCCGGAAGGGAAAGCCTGAGTGGCTGAGCTTGAGCTATTCCCCCTGCTTAAGACTGGAAGGTGGATAGGGAGTGGACTTGGCAAAGCACCACATAAACCACGTAGACCGAGACCAAGCAGGGATGACTCCCTCAGAGAAAATCCAGGTATTCCTCCTGAATAACAAACAAAATTGACAAATATCCACCAAGTCTCTGACAGTATATTGGATGAACTCCGATTGCATCTTCTAACAAAGTGATGAAATTCTTACATATTAATTTTGCATCCTGAGGTCTCAAATTTCATTTTCTACATAAAATAGCCAGCAGCTTTGTACAATATTTTCTAATTACGTGCTTCCTCTCCCATTCTATTTCCCATGC
This sequence comes from Homo sapiens, assembly GCF_000001405.40. Classification (NCBI taxonomy): domain Eukaryota; kingdom Metazoa; phylum Chordata; class Mammalia; order Primates; family Hominidae; genus Homo; species Homo sapiens. The sequence goes on from NC_000015.10 coordinate 96,150,787, forward strand.
CCACTCAGTCCAAAGAAATAGAAAACTGAATAATAAATTAAATACAAAGAGTGAGTTAATAGTAAGGGAGGCTGGAGAAGTTGATTTTGGATGAGTAAAACCTTAAAATCATTATATTGTAAGCCTAAGGTATAAAATGATTAACTATACTAATACTAAACAATGATGTTTATGAGAGTCTTTTTTAAATGTGTGAGTCTCCATAAAGAAAATCTACGTGACAGATCTGATACTCAGGTAAACACAAAAATGGGCAAATTGTTTGAAGAACCCATAAAGTGAGATTTAAGACAAACTGAGAAAAACACTTCAGTGGGAGGAATGAAGGAAGAAAGCAGTTGGTTCCTTCCCTTTCATGGTCCAAAACGTTGCTCTTCATACTTCCCCTAGCAAGCTATTCTCTCTCTCTTTCACTAGCCAATTCAAATGTCACCTACTCTTAAGACATTTCCTTTAATATATTCCTCCTTTCAGTCAGCCAAGCCTTCTGTCCTATTCCTATAGTATTTTCTAAATGCAAGTATTGCAGCTTTATTTCATTGGCTTTTTCTCTTAATCTGCCACATTCGTACATTACATTTATTGAGGATTTGTTGTGTGCTAGACGTATAAGTGCTTTATCACGCTTAGAAGTATCATAATAAGTAGGCCGGGCACAGTGGCTCATGCCTGTAATACTAGCACTTGGGGAGGTCGAGGTGGGAGGATACTTGAGGTCAGGAGTTCAAGACCAGCCTGGCCAACAAGGTGAAAACCTGTCTCTACTAAAAATACAAAAACTATTAGCTGGGCATGGTGGTGGGCTCCTGTAATCCCAGCTACCCGGCAGGCTGAGGCAGGAGAATCACTTGAGCCCAGGAGGCAGGGGTTGCAGTGAGCCGACATCGCTCCTCTGCACTCCAGCCGGGGTAACAGCAAGACTCTGTCTCAAAAAAAGAAAAAAAAGAAATATTATCATAAGTAAAACTATATTTTTATGTCTGTATTTATAAATATCATAAATATTTTGTATTACGTTATTTTATAGTATTAATTTTAAGCATTATATTATCACCCCAACAATCCTTTGGAGTAGGTCTTCTGGTTGTCTTTATTTTACAGACCAGAGAGATTAAGTGCAATCATGAGTCACTTAATGATTGCGAAACATTCTGAGACATGAAATGTTATGTGATTTTGTTGTCATTGTGTGAACATCAAAAAGTGTAGCTATACGGCCAGGCGTGGTGGCTCATGCCTGTAATCCCAGCACTTTGCGAGGCCGAGGCAGGTGGATCACCTGAGGTCAGAAGTTCGAGACCAGCCTCAACATGAAGAAACCCCGTCTCTACTAAAAATACAAAATTAGTCAGGCATGGTGGCACATGCCTATAATCCCAGCTACTCAGGAGGCTGAGGCAGGAGAATTGTTTGAACCTGGGAGGCGGAGGTTGTGGTGAGGCGAGATCATGCCACTGCACTCCAGCCTGGGGGCAACAAGAGCAAAACGCCATCTCAAAAAAAAAAAAAAAAAGTGTAGTCACACAAACCTAGATGGCGTAGCCTACAATACACCTAGGCTACACGGTATGGCTTACTGCATCTACGCTACAAATCTGTACAGGCTAATATTTGTACAGATTTGTGCAGATTACAGATCCGTACAAATATTTCTGTACTGAATGATGTAGACAATGGTCACACCATGGTATTTGTGTATCTAAACATACCTAAACATATAAATGGGATGGTAAAAATATGGTCCCATTATAACCGTCTTTTTTTTTTCTGTTTTTTTTTTTTTGTTTGTTTGTTTTGTTTTGTTTTTGAGACGGAGTCTCGCTCTTGTCGCCCAGGCTGGAGTGCAGTGGTGTGATCTTGGCTCACTGCAACCTCTGCCTCCCTGGTTCAAGTGATTCTCCTGCCTCAGACCCCCGAGAAGGGGGGATTACAGGTGCCCACCACCACGCCCAGCTATTTTTTTTTTTTGTATTTTTAGTAAAGCCCCTGGGGTTTCACCATGTTGGTCAGGCTGGTCTCCAACTCCTGACCTAGGTGATCCGCATATAATCTTCAACTGCCAGGTGCAGTGGCTCACACCTGTAATCTCAGCACTTTGGGAGCCCAAGGCCAGAGGATGACTACAGCCTAAGAGTTCAAGACTCACCTAGGCAACTTAGGGAGAACTTGTCTCTATAAAAAATAAAAACGAAAAAGTTAGCCAGGTGGGGTGATGAATATTTGTGGTTCCAGCTACTCGAGGGGCTGTGGTGGGAGAACCGCTTGGTCCTGGGAGGTTGAGGCTGCAGAGCCCCATGATGCACTCCAGCCTAGGAGTCAGAGTGAGACCCTGTCTGGAAAATAAAAACAGAAAGATGATCCTCAGTGTTAATAGTTCCCAACCTGCTGATGTCTTTAACTCAGTCAGCCTCCTCTTCACCCTCCTGTTTACCCATAGAGCCAGAGCCAGCACATTCCTTAGGCAGAAAACATTAATGGAGACGCAGCCCTCAGGAGAATGTTTCCTGGGTTTCCACTGTGATCTCCATGAGTTCCAAACCTATGGCCAGCCCTACTCAGCTTGTTGGATTATCTTGAAATCCCAAGATTCCCCCATTTCTTTCACAGAAAAATGCAGTAAAATATTATTTTATTTTGTTTAGAATCTACATTTTATTATTTCAACCAAAATAATATTTTAGGAGAAGTGGTATAATAGTCAGTACAATCTCTACCAGCCATTAGCCATGTTCTTGGTTGAACTTCTAAAACTGAAACTGGACTGTAAGTGCCTTGAGGGCAGGACCCAAGAACCATTTGTCTTTGTCTTTGTGTTCCTTCTGCGCCTAGAACAAGGGCACATGATATTTTAAGGAGCCAATCTGATAAAGCCATTTGAGCTACAACATTTTGATGCAAATGAAATATCAAACAATTTTGGGGCTTTTTATAAAAACTATTAAGTCACTAGTGCAACGGTCAATATCAACTCTATCGTATCTGGTAATCACAAATGTACCACCTCAGTCTCCTTAGAAAGGGCCATCTGTCAGGCCAGGTGCGGTGGCTCATGCCTGTAATCCCAGCACTTGGGGAGGCCGAGGCAGGCAGATCACTTGAGGTCAGGAGTTCGAGACCAGTCTGGCCAACATGGTGAAACCTCGTCTCTACTAAAAATACAAAAATAAGCTGGGCGTGATGGTGGGCACCTGTAATCCCAGCTACTCAGGAGGCTGAGGCAGGAGAATCACTTGAGCCTGGGAGGCAGAGGTTGCAGTTAGCTGAGCTTGCACAACTGCACTCCAGCCTGGGTGACCGAGCTGGGACTCCATCTCAAAAAAAAAAAAGAAAAAAAAAAGAAAGGGCCATCAGTCATCAGGAGACACTTCTGCTTGCTCATCCTCTGCTGCTTCACTGGTATCTTGAAAAGCATGCATCCCAGATTCACAAATATCATCCTTAAAGTTAAAATGCCTCTTATGCTTGGGCATATCATAATCCCCAGGGAGAAAGGGGACCCATTTTGAAAAGCATATAGATCATTATAGAATTTGAAAAAAATAATAAAAGACATTTTTCTGAATGCACAAAAATTCAAGCTCGATTTTATTTTTTTGGTTACAACAGATGATTCTATAAATCTTCAGGGATAGGGAGAGAGCCTGAGATTTTTGATTCTCAAAAGAAAGTTGGATTCAAAAGTAGTTGAGAGATCCCTATATAGATATCTTATAGATATCTTCTATATCAATAGAAGATGGATATCTTTGCTTTCTATAGACTTTGGGGTTATGTAGCATTCCTCAATTGGTTTGTAATTGAGTAGCATGTTTCACAGAAGTTAATTTCTAAATGTACTATTGAATTGACCCTTGAAAATCCCTTAAACCAGCAGTAGCATACAGGATGTGTGGACATGTGCATCATGGAGAAGAGTACTTGTTGTATACACCTGAGAACCACCACCCATGCAGCAAGATGCTCTCATCACCAGTAGGAAAGGATGGGTGATGTTGCTAAGAGTAACTGATGGGCTAGAAGATCCAAACCCTCATCCAATACTTCTCACTCCCAGGAAAAGAGCAGAAACTCATGCAATAAAATGGAGGGTAGAATTATTAACTACCCTAGTTAATTTTTTACATATACATATAGATGTATAAGTGTGTATATTTGCCAAGGATAAATACATGAATTTTCTGAAGTTAAGCTAAGGATGCAATTCCAGTGTATATGCAGGAGGGGAAGGGGCTAGAAAGATAGTTGAACCCAATTATGATCCCTTGTCCCACTTTCTATCAGCATTTAAGATCTTCAATTAAATTCCTATCTCCTCTCTCAGTTGTATAAATATAAAGCCCCTTTACAATGAAGGTGGTCAAGAGAACTAATTGTCCTATAAAGATATTGTCCTTCTTAACAGACTTTATGAAATCATTGTATTTTTCCAATGCAAGCTTATTTTCCAACACATCCACAGAAAATCCAATCAATATGGATCCTGTTAAAACTGAAAACTATCCAAAAAATTATCCAAAATCAAGATAAGTGTTAGGGACTGACCAAGGGTCAAAAATGCAGCTGGGATCAGGAATCTCCACTGTACACATTACTTGTGATTTTTGTTTTACGTAGCAACTGTATATTTCGGGTGGGCCAGCCACATGTCAGTGTCACTTAATATGTGCTCAATAAACACTTGTCAAATAAAGGTTTGATGGATCAGATCTCTTCAAGAATGCTTTAAACTTGACTGCAAATTTAATGCAAGAGTTCATTCACAATCTAGATGCTATTGTTTTAAGAACTTCAATGACATTTTTTGTCTCCATGACTTACCAATATTGAAAAAAAGTATCTCAAATAAGAAGTTTTAATTTTAGCCTCTGCAAATTGAGCAAGAAATACTATTGCTCATTGCACTATAATACATCAAAAAATAGAGTTACTTGACGTGACATATCCTCTTTCACCATGATGACCTCCCACCTTTACTGTGGTACTGTCATTTTTAGGTGACACCTGCTTTGCTTGCAACCAACAGCTCTGTGTGTGCCATGCTGCAGCAGATGGCTTGAGGCGTGATGTGTTAATGGCAGTGATTACTTTATGAATAGTGACAGCTGATCAGAGACATAATAAAACAATAGTGGCTGCCATCCTGGAAAAGGTGCTAAATAGGGGTGACATGCTTAGTGAGGACTATTCCTCTCTCTTGAACCTCATTATCAATTCCAAAGGGACACAGGAGCCAGCCAGGCAACTGCAGGCTCACACACATTGGAGAGAACCAAACCCGCCCAAAGATTTCCCTCTGAGTTAATTGGAGTTGGGGAGGGTGTACAGCTTTTAATGTGCAAGCCATTTGGGTAAATGTGAATGTGTCTTCCCAATTTTACTCCTCATACACTATCCTCTGAGATTGTGGCCTGATGCTCACCACTTTTAAGAAGTCTGGTTCCTACCACTCTTCTTCATGAATCACAGCCTTGAGCCAGGGTAGAAATCACCATGATAGACTATAAGGAAATCAACTTGTGTGTCTTGTGAAATTATATTCCTAAGGACAAGTGATTTTCTGAACAAATTTCTAACTGGAATTCATAACTCTAGGAAAAGTTAATAGTGAAGGGAATCACAGTCAGGTTTCTGTTAAGGGTCATTCATTCATTCCACAAATTGGACACTGGAGAATGAAGCAAATAAAGTGAAGTCCTTACCTTCAAGGTGCATTATCTCATAAGAAAGACATATGTAAGCAGTTATAATCCAGAGTGATGAGTTATGATTATCTTCCATATTGAGCATAAGATTAGTCTGAGGTTTGAGAAAACAATGTCACATTACAGATATATATACATATATATATATATATATATATTTTTTTTTTTAGACGGTGTCTCACTCAGTAGCCCAGGCTGGAGGGCAGTAGTGTGATCTTGGCTCACTGCAACCTCTGCCTCCTGGGTTCAAGCAGTTCTCCTGCCTCAGCTTCCAGCATAGCTGGACTACAGGCAAGTGCCATCATGCCCAGCTAAATTTTGTAGTTTTAATAGAGATGGCGTTTCACCATGTTGGACCAGGCTGGTCTTAAACTCCTGACCTCAAGTGATCCACTCGCCTTGGCCTCCCAAAGTGCTGGGATTACAGGCATGAGCCACTGCACGTGGCCTAAATGTATATAAAATTACCTAATAAAATAAACCTTCAATATTCCATTGAGTTTACCCAATCCTTGTGATTTATCCTAGATTACCAAGATACCTACTTAAACTATATAGCTTTTCACTAATTCAAAAGAACATGAGGTCTTCCATGGTCTGTCTGTTCTGTTGAAGCTTCTGGTAGGTCCTGCTCTTGTTTTTAGTTATTTGCTCACATGTAAAAACCTAATATACATAAGGCTTCTAAATAACCTAAAGCAAAAAATACTGTACACAAAATATTTTCCACTCTCTTTGATGAGGAGGGATGAGAAGAAACATTCGGCATATCTTCTCTGCAGAACAAATGAGTATGCCCATCTCCATTGGGCTCCCCTGAGCTCATGATCCACAGCCTGGAAAGGCCAGCTAGTATCATGTGAAATAAATAGGCATCTCTTCCGTATGTGCAGTCTGCCACCGGTATTCTCTTTATAAGTCTCAGGACCCAAACTAAATGAGAATATTACAATGACTTCATCCCGCCCATTACAGTATCTCCCCAGAGTGACTATTAGAGAATTACTATATTATGTCTGCCCTGGAGACATTTGAAGGTCCTGATATATTTCAGTGATTTTACTTAACCCAGTAATTAGTTTACACAGTTTTATGAAGATTTTACTGCTTTAAAGATGACAGTTTTTCTTCTGAAAATTAGTTCTGATACCCAGTCACTTCATTTCATGGTTTATGAGAGACTGGATATATTGGGTAAAAGATCTTCATTTAAGAATATGGAAAAACATCCCCTTTTACTAACTGAATATGGTTTGGTACATTCTCCCTTTTTTGTTAATTTTCCTTTTTTGGCCCATATACCATGTGGGATTGTTTACAAGGCCAAGGAAAATGTAGTTTTGCTTATTTTTTAATGCAGTCTAGATGTACAGCTGACTCTTATTAAGAATAATAGGAGTCTTGCATATAAAATGCGGGAAAGTGATTTAATAACTTCCAAGGCTTTGAAAATGTTACACACACATCTGTAACAAGTAACAAAAACACCCTGGCCCTGTTAATTCAGTGAATAAATTATTAGTTGTGCACCTTCTATGTTCTTCACACTGTCCTAGGCATTGAGGCACAGCAGGGAAAACAAAATAAATTCCCTTCGTTCTTGAAATGGGCATTCTAGAGGAGGGAAGAAAACAATGAACAAAAATAAATAAATACAAATAGAGGAAAGAATGATGAAGGGATCAAGGAAAGCTGGAGGAGAAAGGACAATTGGGAAGAGATCTGAACCAGGCGAGGGAATAGGCCGTGCAAAACGTGGAGAGGAATGTTCCAGAAAGAGGGACTAGCTTGTGTGAAGGCCTTGCAGTGAAAAACTGCTGAAGAGCTCCAGGCAATGCGGTCCTAGCATGGTGAATGAATACCTAAGAATGCCTTGCAACCTGGCTTCATTGATTTATTGATATTAATAAATGAGAGTACCAAGCGGCTGGTGCCGGGGAACTCCTGCATCATTTCAGCTACATATATGAGAGCGTGTAAAATTTCTCAGACACAGCAGTGAAAAAGACGTGGATAGAAAAAAATGGCCGGGCCCGGTGGCTCCCACTTTTAATCCCAGCACTTTGGCCAGCCAAGGCGGAAGGATCACTTGAACTCAGAAGTTCGAAACCATCCTGGGCAACATGGCAACCTGTCTCCACTAAAAATACAAAAATTAGCCAGGCATGGTGGGGCCTTCCTGCAGTCCCAGCTACTCAGGAAGCTGAAGTGAGAGGATCATCTGAACCCGGGAGGTGAAGGTTGCAGTGAGCCGAGATCCTGCCGCTGCACTCCAGCCCGGGTGACAGAGCAGGACCCTGTCTCAAAACAATAAATAAATACATACATACATAGCATACTTTTACATGGTTCCTTATGTACACAAGTGTAGCTACTTTACCTCATCTTTTTTTTTTTTTTTTGGTCCGGACTCTCCATCTTCTTCCATTGGCTATTCCTCCACCAAGACAAAAAAGCAGCAGAGCTGAAAGGATGTTGCTTTGGCTTGTTGACACCCACTTCCGACTCTGGGATTAAACTGAGTTTGCTTACTAAGAACCCCTCCTGACCACCAAGCAATGCAGTTCCAGGATCAGAGGTCATCCTCTTCCAATCTTTGACTTCCACCCGGAGTTGTAGATAACCCTTCAGGAAAACATGTGGTGAAAGTCATTTTGCTCTGTGAGCCAACAGAAAATTGGCCCTTGAGATGACTTTTAACGGGATTTTGTAAGCCATGAGCAGAAAAGCACGGGTTCCGACCAGGCATGGAATTCAGAGTTGTAATAGAAAACATTTATTTGGCTTCAGCTAAACATCCTAACACATGTTAGCATTTGCTGCCAATATGCTTCCTAATTAAGAACAACATAAAATCATAGGAAATCCTGCATCCTGTCTTCATGCACTTCTCATGTATCTTTAGTGCCCTGGCCTTCTTTCTCAAGCACATACACATTCACACACACAATACAGGTTGATTCAAAAGTCCTGTTTTGCCAACCATGAACTGTGGTGTCATTAACAAGATTAATGTACCTTCCAGAAGGTACCACCAAGCATTTTTTCTTCCTTCTTAAACAAATGCTGCTATTAAAAACTAATTTTTAAAAAGCTAATAAGGCATCCCCCAAATAAAAGACCAACAACATTTAATTTGTAAAGTATTATCTGTAACTGATGTGAAACTTCAAATAGTGTGTGTATATATATATATATATATATATATATATATATATATATACATATATCTTCTCTCTAGGCTTGCCTGGACTATTGGCTATGTTTCGATGAACAGATTCAACATGATAAAATATATGAACATGACCAATAGTCCTCTTTCAAGATGAAGGACAGACTAGGATCCGGTTTTCCTCTTAGTTCCTCCTTAAATCCATGCTCATTTCGTCTGAAAATATTTAAAGATATACCTGTGAGTGCTGAATCATCACCCCCTCATGACAAATAAATGAACATTACGTGATTACTGCACAGGTGAAAATGTATTTGATATTTCTAATTACGACTAGAATTGTATGAGTTAATCTTAGAATCCCCAGATTTATCAGTGATCCTACATAGCCAAACTAATTGCTTCTATTCCCCACCATCAGGCAGAAATCATTAAAAAAAAAAAAAAAGCAGAGGGAAACCAATCACTCAGGCACATTGTATGTTAAGTTTCTCCCACTAGTTCCACATGATTTTTTTTTTTCATGCACTGGAATAGACTCTGAAACAACACATAGAAATAAAACCTGGGTCTGAAAAGCTATCTTAAAACATTTTCCTTAAGACTTTTTAATGATTTTCAGAATCATTAATTTTTTTCAAATGAAACGCACATGCTCTTGTTGCTTCTTTCCTGAGCATAGCTTTTCATTCCTCCTCATCTTTTTCCCCCTTCCAAATCTATTTATTGCTTGTTGTTCTTGGCTCTTTCTCACTTTCCATTTTTCATGATTAGTTCTTTATGATCGTGTGTTTCCTTTTCTTCTCCCCGCCGTGGCTGCCAGCCCAGTTGTTCTCTCCGGGCCCTCGAGTTTCCCTTCACTAATGAAACAAGAGCTGCCTCCCGCCCTGGCTTTTGCCATCCAGCTGTTTCCTTTTTAAGATATAAACTCATCTTTATTCAGTGAAGTTCCTGGGCAAACCTGATTCCTTTTGCAGAAGAGTTGATAATAACCTGAGCGATTAAAAAGGTTTTAAGAGGAACGTATATCTGGAAAACTTGGGAGCGGGTGGAAGGAGGGTAAATAGAAAATGAAATTCATTTTTGAAAGATTCTGAGGAAAAAAGAACAACAACAACAACAAGCATTTTCCTTAATGTTTTAATCCTCCTCGGCAGCTCATGGTGGCAGCCTGGCCTTGAGCATTCTCCTGGAAGTCCATCCACTCCTTCCCAGCAACTTTCACCTCCTACCTTGCCTGCTTAACATTTCTTGGCCTCTGTGAAAGTAGCCTAGCTAACACTGCAAACCTGGATTGTATATGATTAGGTGGTGAAAAGGTGCCAACCTGAAGTGTAGCCTGCCAAGTCAAGTCAATTTACTGTGATGCTTTGACTGTGCAAGCAGGTCTTAATCCCTCTTTAATCTCCCATGTGCCCTTGACATCATGGAAATTACTGGCAAAGCTAATGGCATCAGATGAACCCTGGTAACTCTTTCAGAAAAGGTTCCCTGAACAAAATAACCTGTTTACTTCCTAAGTTTTCAAATCCCCCAAATATATCAAGAAAAAACGAATTAGCCCACAGCTATCATCTTACCAAAACAGAGGGGCTAATTCTTTCTCAGTATTATAACTGATAAGACCTCATGTGACTTGGAATTTATATTCTACCCAAGCATCGGTTGAGTGTGTTATAGTTAAGACTTGATTGATTAGATAAAGGGGTTTCCTAGTAGCTCTAGCTGCTCTGACTTTTAGGGAAACTTTTTCCTTTAAATCTGAGAATCCCTTCCTTTTCTGAAAACACTTGTTCTGATATAAAATTTCCAATGGAATCATTTTTCACCAGAAAACTAAAGAAACAAAAGCAAAAAGAAAACAAACAGAAAGGAAACAGAAGAAAAAGGAATTTAAAAAGTATTTATCGGATATAATCTCACCTGAAAACAATTATCAAGCAAGATAAAAATCAGCATCTACATTGGACAGAAATGGGATTATAACAACAGTAGTTCTTCACCATTTACAAAACACTTTCCCACATATATATATAGAGAAAAAGAATACATCTCTCTGTGATATATATCTCACATATATATTATATAAAAAATAGAAATATATAGAATAGAAATATATATAGAAAATAGAAAATATATAGAAAGAAGACAGATAGATGATAGATAGATAGATAGATAGATAGATAGATAGATAGATAGATAGATAGATGGGAGATAGAAAGTTAGAGTTCTTTGATGACAAGCCTCAAATGTCCCAAAATAAAGATTTTCTTAGAACTCGCATGAATCAGAATGTGTATCCTGGATACTTGCAGCGTGAGGGTTCTCTTCTATGGGAACCTCTCAGAAGATTCTCCTGTCTTAGAAGGAAAAGAGCCTGAGAGGACAGGTCTGATCTTGACTACCACATTTTATTCTCTAATCAACTCCGGTAAAAATAATTCCAGAATCTCCTCAATAAAGAAGAGTGACACCCATTTCCTGTCCTTTTGCATGGTTTCACACCTAGTGTCTATGAGCCCAGGAAGAATCCCTTGAGTCCTACCAGGAAAGGAAGGCAGGAAGATCTTGGATCCTGAAAAATGAAACTTGCTTGATTTTGATATGAATACCTGCCCCACCATGCATGCCAACTGATATCATAGCTCAGAATTCTTCCTGACCCCTGGTTTCCGTTGCCTGGCTGACCTTTCAACATCCCCTGTGCCTGCTGTTTCCCTCCCTAGCTCTGACTCACAACACATCTCATTGCAACCATTGGACTCTGAGACATTGTCCCCAAGGTAGATCCCAACCTCTGGATTCTGTTTGTCCCTCTGCCCTCCAGAGAAATATTGGTCTGAGGTTCCCTTTGGCCTTACCTGCCCACAGTTCCTCCCAGTCTTGTCATCAGGCCAGGAGCAGGGCAAGATATGAGTCCCAGGGACTGTGTGCTCACAGCAGCTGTGCCCAGAGATTAAGCTATGAGAAGCCAGGCGGTCTGGGAAAAGTGAACTGCTAACCTCTCTAGTTGCACTCCAAACTTTGACCTCTGTAAATCCAACCAAGAAAAGTTGGTGAGAGCTCTAAAACTTGGTTCCAGCAACTCCTCCTTGGAATTTATCAAGGGAAAAAGAATTTAACTAAAAGGTACTTCTCAGTCGTCTCTGTGTCATCAATGACAATATTTAATTTTCTGTTTTTAGGTTGAGAATAATCTTTAAATACACTAATGTGTAATTTAAGATTGATCTTCCCAAAGTTAAAAAAATGCCACTCCTCATTGTTGCCAGGTCATTCTTCTTTATTAGCAACAAGAAAAAAATAGAGACGGGCTTGATACATGAATACAGATGGATTTAGCATGAAGCTAATGAAGCTTGAGCTTCGACTCCTATGCAGATTCCTTCCAATGCCTTGGGAGGGACCGTAGCAATTTTGTTTCACTTTTATTATATATATATATATATTTTTTTAAAAGCCCTAAAAATTGTATACTCTTCATGCCCCACAAAACCTGGACCCCGCCCCCAAGTAAGTAAATTACGGATTTCTGCCAAGTGAAGGTTAAATGATGTTCCAGTATTCTGTGTGGACCAAAGTTTTGCAGTAGTTTAAATACAGAAAAGTGTTAAGGAATTGTCTTATACATTACAAGGAAATATAGGCATACTAAAATCAAAACATCATCAGCATACCAGTTGGAACAAAATTAATGCTGTGAGTAGCAATTAAACGTTAGCAAACCATTGTCCATCACATTAAGTCAGTGTTGTTAATTTGAAGGCTGAGTTTGTCATTTTCTTTGAATTCAATTTGTAAATTTGTTTTGGATTTGCAATTGTATAAGAGCCATAAATTTCAGGAATATATGCCTACTTTCAAGTTTGTATATGCTCTAGGAATATTAGACTATGAAGTCATTTAAATTCAGGGAAAGGAAAATAAGGAAAGAAGGAAGGAAGGAGGGAGGGAGGGAGGGAAGAAGGGAAGGAAGGAAGGAAGAAGGGAGGGAGGAAGGGAAGGAGGGAAGGAGGAAGAAGGAAAGAAAGAAGAGAATTCAATCAAGAACCCCCCCATGACGACAACGTTGTAGCCCAAGGATCCAAGATTTCTAATCCGCCTCTAGTTCTAACTTTCCAAATCTAGCCTAATCTGTCTTCAATGCTACAAAATGAGACCCTTCCTAAGCAGGAGCATTTATTTATTCAACAAATATTTCTGACCCAATTGTGTGTGCAGAGCACTATGCTTGAGTCTGTGAAAATTGGTTTATTATTTTCTTTAGCTGCCAAGAAGGATGAGAGTGAGAACACACATTCTTAAGGCAAAAACACACATATCTAAATAAAAATAATCTCATTTATGTAATCATTACAAATGTTTATAGCATTTCAGATAATATGTGAAGGCTGGTAAGGTGCTCAAGATTATGTTTTTCTTTAAGATTAAAATAACTTTGGGATTTTTTGCCACATTAGTGCCAGAAAATGTTTCATCCTCCATATTCCAATTGGCATGCTCTTGAACCAACTCCCTCCGCAGTTTAACTTCAGAGCTACTCCGGGGAAACTAACTAATTTTTAATATTGGGCTAAGCAAAACATAATTAGGAAGGCAAATTTCTGGGGGGGAATGTCATACGGGATATTCCCAAGCCAATGTACATGATTTTGCAACAAGCATTGTTTGAGTTTTCCACTGCATCTCTCGCCTTTACAGGTAATCACGAGTTGCTTGTAATTAAATAATCTCAGGTAACTGATGGCAAGACCATCCCCCTGAGATTGCTTCCTAGGTCTTGTAATAAGCCTAGATTTTTATATCCACCACAATTTTTGCTGCTCTGCTTCAAACACGAGCAGATATAAGAACTTCTCTCTTTTTGATCTGGGAGGAAGAAATATTCTGATTTATATCTCCAACTACCTCTGGACTCAACAGCTGAATTTTGCTTTCTTGACCACTTTATCCTATCTCTAAATGAATGGGCCCAGAAATGAAAGGGCACTGGGCTATTATTGATTCAAAGAATGTTAGAGCTCTAGAGGACCGGAGCAATGATCGTGTCCAGCTGGTCCCAAAGAGGTTCAATAAGATTCTAAGTATTCCTTTGTCTACTTTGAGAACAGCCTTGTTAGGCCTTCCATATCTGAATGTTTATTTCTAAATTTGATTTTCCTAAAAATTATTGAATACCTTCTTTATTTAAGGTGTTAAACTAACAACAATATCATTCAAGGAAATATACTTCTTATTCATATACTGTTGATTTTTTCAGAAAGAACACTTATCAATTTTCCCAGAGATGCAATTCTTGATTCCTACCTATCTCAATAAGGGAATAAGTGTGAAAAGGAAAAATGACGATGCACTAAAATGCCCTGTGATTTTAAACTGCACTCATAGAAGAAGAATTCTATGTTTAGATTTGGTCAAATTATTTACCCTCTTGTAAGACAATAATTTCCACTTGGGATCATTGGCTGCCATCTACCTGTTTACCCAGGGTTTAAATTCGAAGATGCAAAATCAAACAGGCCTTAGGTTTACCACACAAAATGAGAGAAAAACAACGACTGAGAGCTAGTTATATGACACTCAATTCTACCCCGCTGTTTTGTTTCCTGACACAGCTCTGTCTCGCTGAACTCTGCCCCACATCCATAACCCTATATCTAGGACATGAGCAGAGCCAAATCTCCAGGAATTATAATAAATAAAAGGAGTTTTTTTTTTTAAAAAAAAGCAAAAAAGAGTAAAGCTACAGTTCCAGGAAATCTGAATGTAAATTACAATGTAAATGAGAGTTTCTAATTATTCCTTTTTTAAGGATAGCACTCCACTTAAATTGTAGATTTAGACGTAGATGTTTTACACACACACACACACACACACACACGTATATGAGTATGGACATTATGGGAGGGGGGTGTATTTCATGCCTTTCTCCTAGAAGGTCAAAGTTCTGTAATATAAGAATTTAAAGATCATAAAATGCCAGTGCAGCAGGGAAGAGTATAGGAGGCATAGTGTATATAAGCAACTAAAAGTGGGGAGAGAAAGAGAACAAGATTCAAATCTGTTTCAACCACTTAGCAGCTATGTGATCTTGGGCAAGACCCTCTTGTTATTTGCTGCCGAGAGCACAGTTGTCAACACTAAATGGCTTAATAGAAGTAAAGCACTGTGTTTAGTATATAGTAGGTACTCAATAAATGACAGAGAGTTTATTATTGCTATCACCATATGGGGGAACTTGGAGTTATTCAGGCTCTGTCTGTTCCACTTCAAAATAAAGGTTTGCGATGTGCAACAGGTGGTCAGTCAATAGTCTGCTGTATCTTCATGATACTTTGCAACTGTTTTGAAAATTTTTTTCCTAAACAGATTCTTTTTAAGGCCTATATTATAATCTCCCTAACCTGCCCTCCCCCTGAGCCCCCTCTCTACACACACACACAATTCACCATTTAATTGCCTTGTTGCTTTAGCTTCCTGGAGACACAGCCACAGAGCTAAATATAGCTCTGTCCTTCCCAACAAGCAATCCTTTAAAGGAGCTAAATTGCCTTGCTTTTTTACTTCTTACCAAAACTTGATCTCAAGCTTTATAAAAGAGAAAAACTAAAGGCCTTCTACCATAGAATGTTTAGCAATCGACATGCTGTCCATTGCTTGAGAGGTTTTGTGTACTGGCACTTAATCCTTGCTTCAGTTACAACCCCTGTAGGGAAATTTGAGTCCTGTACACGGGTTCTTCATTCATTTCTGAGCCAAGATAATTCTAGGATTACCATTTAGAAAATTGGGAGAACAGACTTTTGCACAGTTACCAGGCAGACGGTATTGAAAAAAAAGGGGCATGTAGACTACCTTTTTGGTGACAAGGTTAGGGATAGGTATTGTGGTTAAATCCCATTAGCAAGAACATCACACTCATTAAGTGAATGCCAGAATGTGAACCAAGAAGCCTTCCTCTTCCCCACCCCGCCCCGCCCCTATTTCTTCTCCTCCTAATGGCATGCCCCTTCAATACAGGGGATTCCTTGCCCAGGAAATGCCTCTCCAGCGTAAATCACAGAGTACTCCCATGCCAAGTCGCTCCAAAGCCAGAGCGCACTGCCTAGGACACATGCCATTCTCCAAAAATCTACCAGCATACACGATTCATAAGCCGTCTCTCTCTTATTTCTTGGGTGACCTTTAGGGTTTGGAAAGTATTCCTTTGTGTTAAAGCAAACACAAACTATTCTGCGAGCATAGTTCAAGAATTTAAAGATTCTATTAATCTGATGTCTTAATTGTTATTGAGAAGAGGAAACAGGAGTGCCTTTGTTTCCCGAATGACCACATGCTTCTAAAAAGTGGCCCACAGTGTTGGAGTTTGCATCTCAAGTTGCAGGCAGCTCTGTATGAAGTGGAACTTCAGCGTAACTAATTCCCAGACATTAAGAGGGATAGGGAAAGAACAGAAAGCTGGGCAAACCCGAAGCAGGCTGCAGCAGGGCAAACTGAAGGAGCCCTGCTCCTGGACCTGCCTGCATTCCGAAGACCAGTTTAAAATAATGATTGATAAATGTGGATTTCACTACACAATACATGCGTGTAAGAAACCTGCACCTGTACCCCCTAAATGTGTACAGATAAACACAAAATTTAAAAGAAATCCAGATCAAAGGATTGCTTATAAATACTACCTTGGAACAGCAGTTCATGAGACATTTCACAGTATCCTCTCTCACTTTGGATAGTCACATGAAAAAATACATTTTATTTACTAGGTCAAAATGGGAAAGATACATAAATAAATGTGTATTTCAAAACTAAAGGTGCTAAGCAGGACATAGCAAATGGGGAAACACACACGCACACAATGCTGAACAACAACATGCAATCAAAGGAGAAAGAAAAAAATCTTACACGGATGAAAATATAAAAATCATTGTAATTCAATAATAGCATTCTGTGTGCCTACTATGTACAAGGCACTGAGAGTCCAGGCTTAGAAGAAAGAAGCAAGATTTATTTAGCTCCTGTCTCCCAAGCATTTACCTTCTATTAGGAAAGAATAAATCAAGTATAGAAATATCTACGATACAGGCTGAATACAATAAACGCCCCAAGAGGAAGAGCACATCTAGCTTGGCTGAGAAAGAAGTATATGGAACTAAAAATAGCTCCATGGACAGGGTAGCATTTGAAATGGGCCTCAAAAAAACAGTTAAAAAAATGCAGCTTAAAAAAATGATTGAACAAACATTCTGATTGAAGAAATAAAATGAGCTAAAATAGGGAAGCAGAGAGATATAAAGAATTTAGAGGAGGCCAGGTGTGGTGGCTCACGCCTGTAATCCCAGCACTTTGGGAGGCCGAGGCAGGTGGACCACCTGAGGTCGGGAGTTCGAGACCAGCCTAACCAACATAGAGAAACCCTGTCTCTACCAAATATACAAAATTAGCCAGGCATGGTGGCACATGCCTGTAATCCCAGCTACTTGGGAGGCTGTGGCAGGAGAATTGCTTGAACCTGGGAGGCAGAGTTTGCAATGAGCTGAGCTCACACCACTGCACTCCAGCCTGGGTGACAAAGTGAGACTCCATCTCAAAAAAAAAAAAAAAAGAATTTAGAGGAAAATAAGCAATATTCTGTATTGAGCATAGGATATTTAGGAGTTTAGTGGAAGATAAACAAAAAGACATTGTGGGTGACTTGAAAAAAGAGTAGTTTACCCTGGATTGAGGAGAAAACTAGTTACTGACAGTTTTTGAGCCCTGAAATAATGTGATCAGAGATGATTATTATGAAGAATACAGTAGTATGCAAAGCTATGTAGGATTATATTTTGGAGCAGGGACCCTGGTTTAAGGAGGAGCCACTCACTCATTCCTTCATTCAACAAAAATTAATTGAATACTTACCGTGTGCCAATCCACAGTCCAATTTAATCTATCTGGGAGGCAAAGCTCATCGTTTATGAACTATACATTTTAAAAGCAGAATCTATAGGACTTGAGAACTTACAGAAGAAAGTGGGAATGTGAGGCGGACTCCAAGTTTTGAGGCCAAAAACAATGGCAGAATGGGTTGGGGTGGGTTAGGTACAGAAATAGAAAAGTCAGGACGGGAAATGGTTGGAAGGTGGAGACAGAGCTGGAGTGGGTGCAGGTGTTGATTTGTACTTCACGCTCACTCTGAACTCCCCTGCAGAGTACAGCCAGCAGCTGGAAGAGATTGACGGGAGATGGCAGAGGAAAGAGGAAAAGAGAAGTCAGAGCTTAAAGAATGCCCGTATCAAAAAAAGAAAAGCCTTAGGGAGACAGAGGAAAAGACAGCGTGAAGGGAGAAGTTGATGTTTTTTGAGTGTTCTAGAACGGGGGTCCCCAACCCCAGCCTGCGGAACCGTACCAATCTGTGGCCTGTTAGGAACCAGGCCCCAGAAGGAGGTGAGCAGTGGGCGAGGGAGCATCACTTCGGATCATGCTTCCTGTCAGATCAGCAGTGGCAGTAGATTCTCATAGGAGCTGACCCCCATTGTAAGCTGCTCACGCCAGGGATCTAGGTTAGGTGCTCCTTATGAGAATCTAATGCCTGATGATCTGAGGTGGAATAGTGTCATCCCAAAATGATCCCCACAACCCTGTCCATGGAAAAATCATCTTCCACAAAACTGGTTCCCGGTGCAAAAAGGTTGGGGACCACTGTTCTAGAAGATAGCAAGGGTTAAACAGTGAGCAATTTAAATTTTTAAACTATCGCTGATAAAAGTGTAAAAGTCCAAAAAAAAATCTATCTTGCCAAGTTCAAAGTGTTAGGAATTGATCTAGGAGGTCCCACTTCCGCAGACATAATACGGCAGTCTCCCCTTGCGCTTGAGGGATACCCTCGAAGACCCTGAGTGGATTCCTGAAACCGAAGACAGCACCAAGCCCTAAACATACTATGCACACATTTCTCTTTCCCTCTTCGCAGTTTCATGGATACTATATTCATTCTTATTGTAGATCTCAGCAACCTCAGGATACTTTTTCTTTTCCTTATTAAGTCCAGAACTTTCACCTTTTCATTTAGAGGAAGCACTTTGCGGCTTCCCTTTGGCATCTCCGAATTGCCAGCATCACTATACTTGCACTTTGGGGCCATTACTATGTAAAATAAGAATTACTTGAACACAAGCACTGTGACATTGTGACAGTCAATATGACAACAGAGATGGCTCCTAAGTGACTACGGGCAGGGGTGGGCATACAGCATGGATCCGCTGGACAATGGGGACAATTCACAGCCCAGGCGAGACAGAGCAGGATGGCAGAAGATTTCATCTATTCAGAACAGTGTGAAATTTAAAACTTAGGAATTGTTTATTTCTGGAATTTTCTACTGAATATTTTTAGACTGTGATTGACCACGGGTAGCTGAAACCATGCAAAGCAAAACTGCGGATACGGGGGACTGCTGTACTAGGAGTCGACCAAAATTTATAAAGCATTTTTTTTTCTTTCCCCCTTCCTCATAGGAGGAGGAAGTACCAAATTATGGTAGTCTTTATGGAGAAATGCTGCATAAATAACTGCCAACAGCAAACAATGTATTATCCCTATGGTTCAATCATTTCTTGGAGGTTAAAAGATCACACGTGAAGGCCGGGCACAGTGGCTCATGCCTGCAATCCCAGCACTTTGGGAGGCCGAGGTGGGTGGGTCGCCTGAGGTCAGGAGTTCGAGACCAGCCTGGCCAACATGGCGAACCTCGTCTCTACAAAAAATACAAAAATTAGCTGGGTGTGGTGGCAGGCGCCTGTAATCCCAGGTACTTGGGGGGCGGTGAGGCAGGAGAATCTCTTGAACCTGGGAGGCAGAGGTTGCAGTGAGCAGAGATTGTGCCATTGCACTCCAGCCTGGGCAACAAGAGCAAGACTCCATCTAAAAAAAAAAGAAAAAGAAAAAAAAAAGATCATACATGCATCTTCCCTACCATTTCTAGATTTGTATTAATAAATAAGCCAAGTCGGTGAATTCTCTCTCTCTCTGTCTCTCTCTCAACTACTATTGCTTTAATCTTCCTGAAGTAAAAGTTTTTAAAAGAGAGAAGGAAGGAAGGAAGGAAGGAAGGAAGGAAGGAAGGAAGGAAGGAAGGAAGGAAGGAAAGAGAGAGAGAGAGAGAGAGAGAGAGAAAGAAAGAGAAAGAAAGAAAGAGAAAGAAAGTTGGATTGTTTGATAGGAACATACCACCCTTGAGTCTTCCCCTCATGAAACATGGATGCAGAGTTTTGGCCGGAATTAAAATTGCTAAACTGTGTTTGAGGTTGGCAGAGGAAGTGGTATGGAATTTACCAAGACAGGCTGGGAGTTGAAAAAAATTATAATCCAGGTGCCTCACCTTTTCCTCCACTGGTTGCTTTTCCCCCTATGCCCTGACGCCTGGGAGCTTATTTACCGAGTCAATTAACAAAAGATAACCTCCCATTGTGCAACCATCAATAAATCAATCGTGTTAATACTATCTTGGAATGTCCCCGACTATTGACTTTCATATTGTTTACATTAGCCACTTGAGAAAGCCAGAACCCTTGAGTCGGCTTGTTTGGGCGTTAATGGATTCTGGAGTAGCCATTACTACATATAAGTCTCTTTACAAAATATTGAAGTTTCTCTGAGGTTCACCTGCTTTCTGAACACTGGCGGTACACTCTCCTCCCTCCCCACACGATCCTGCAGCACCGAGTTTGATGAATACTTAGGAAGGCAAACAATCATGATCAGTAATGGAACAGTCACTTAGGGTACACCTACTTCTTTGTGAGTTGAATAATCTATTTCCACCCACCCCAGCCCCACACTGTCAACCACCATCAACAATCCGGGGAATCAAGTTAATCTTCAATTAGGTGAAAGAATTTCAGGAACGAGTGCAGCTCAAGTTACCAAGTAACTTACTGTTGTGAAACGATTCATACTGCAAGCCGCCTAAATGCAGGGCTTTTGATGATATTCCCCGCCAACAAGGTAAGAAAAATCTTTCCAAGCAGTGACAATCTCTACATAGGGAACCTCCAAAACTTCTCAAGCTATCTTGAAAATTAATGCAACAGAACAAAATCTTTCTATATTTTCTCCATACATATTATAAAAAATAAGGTTGAATATCATAATCATAATTATAAAGCTGGGGTTTAGTGGGGTTTTTTGTTGTCATTAGCATTTCCTTCTTAATGGCATCAGAAATACTTAGAGAACAGGTTTTCCCTCAGAAGTCACAACTGCTCTGCTTCCAGGCCAAGGTAGTTTGCTAAGGCGCTCTATGCAGAGGGATTAAAAAGGAAGGTTGGGGGTAGCGAGGTGGGACACCAGTCCAGGGACTACAGAAGGTTCAGATTTCAGTGCTGGCTGCAGACCTGGGCAAAGTTCACTGCTCCCTTTTCACGACATGCTACATACTTTTCAAGTTCCCACTTGCTTCTTAGAGAGGAAAAAATGTGGCCTCCGAGTTCAGGTTGCTAAGGACAAGCTGAGCCAATTTAACCATGCATTCCTTTTCTAAAAGATAGGCTGGGTTGTTGTTGTTTTTTCACTGTAAATACCAGAAAGTCTTGATCCTCCCTACTCTAAACAAATACTTTTGCTACAACTTTGAAGTCATCTATCTTCCACGGTGGGAAACCAAGGATTGCATTCAGTAGCCTTTTCCTGCCTGAGTTTAGACAAAATTGAATAGTATTCTACTTTGTAGCACATCTTCTTACCAGACACCAGGCTTCGTTTTTCCTCTTGATAATGATGGGTATTTAAAATGCATATGACTATTGGATAATAAAACTCCCACTGTTCTAAGGCTTTCTTTTTGTCTTTCTTTTTTCTTTTCTTTTTTCTTTTTTTTCGCTTTGACTTCATGATATATATGTCTACTTAGGGTGTTTTGAAGAGAGTGAAGGAAACAGACAGGACTTTGAAAGGAAAAACAGACATCTAATTGGCTGTCTCTTGCCGACCCTCCAGTGACCCTGCACTGAATACCTCTAATGGACGTGTGTGATCTTGGAGCCTCTACCGCAATAAACGAGTTTTAGACTTTCAACTTGTTTTTGCAGCAGAATTCTTTATTCTCCTTAAAATTGATTTTTTAAAAAACGAGTGAGCAAGGCATTAGCATAGGTATTTTACACAAAAGGGTGAAATGGTTTTCTAATTTTATAGATTTAATATTTTTAAAAAGAATTTGGCTTCATTATGAATTTAGTTCATGTTAGTGTGTCATTTTACATACTCTAAAAAGTGGTTTTTTTAATATGGAAAGCAAATATTTGCCTTCAAAGCAGTAGTTTCTAAATCCAAAAAGTTCAGAAAGTCAGTTAGGAGGCAATAATCTTAACTCCAAAAATTAATAACTCTCATGACATTGTTTATGTGAAACCTTGGAACTTCCTGTGCTGTAAACCATCTTTGAGTCAAGCTAGAAAATAGTAAGAGTCAACTCAAATCCTTTATGCTTCAAAAAACACATGAGACTATTGAACAGGCTTTATTAAGTGATGTGGGGGTTAACGGTGAAAGCCCCCATTTCTATTTTTGTCAAAAGACTAGGAGCCTCATCCCCATCAGAGAGCTTTGCATTTCCCCTGCCACCTTAACTTCCTGGGAACTGCCAGGGTACACTACCTCCTTTCTTTTCTTCTTTTCTCCCTTTTCACTATCTAGCATTTCTTCCCTTTTATTGTTCTTTCTTCACGTCCATGTTGACCTTTTTTTTTTTAACTTATCATCTAGGATGAGTCAAGGCCTGCCTTGATGTTGCTCTGTGTCCTACCAGCAATTCTTCCTGGAATCGTCTGTTCACATGGATGTCTAAATGTTTAAGCACCCATGTAAATACTATGGTATCACTTTCTCATCAGTAGAGCTTTTGTGAGTTACAGAAAGGCTGAGACCAATGCCACAATTTGAGATTCCAATATGTGAAATAATAAAGACATCCCCTAACAGGACTTTTTAATAAATTAGGCTTTAACATTTGATATTTATAATGTTTTCTGAGAGTGTTCAATATAACAGAGAGTAGTATTCCAGTTATTATATATATTTATTTGGAAATAATGCCAAAACTCTACATTGTAGGCATGAAGGTGGGGCTTGCCTCCATCTGGCTCTCCTGCCACTTTCAACAACACACCCCACATCCGATCCTGCTTAGAGTCGAAGATGAATCTGGCATAATACAAACAGCACTGGACTGGAAGCATGAAGTTTCTCTTATCTGTGCCTTGGTTTCCTCATGTGGAAAATGAAAATGTTGACATAAATAATCACACAGGTCTCTGTTAGTACCATTTTGTGATTTTATATCGTGCTTACCACACCTAGAAACAGGGGCCATCATTCCAGCCAGCTAACAGAGAAAAAGACGATACATAATCAGGCTTGGGAAAATAAATTTCAGAGACCAAGTAAACAAAGACAACAATCTAGTATAAGGGTTATAACTGGGGGATGAGGGGTTGCAAATGGAGATCTGCCACAGTCAACTCTATTTGGATTCCCCTGTTCTCAACAGGCAACAGCAATCATAATGGGCTTGGAGCACCAGTCCCACAACATCACAGGACATCCAGACATAATTGCATTAATAATGTTGTGCATAATCGCACAACTCTCTGGTTATTCAGCATCGTCCAATATGTGAATAAAGCTCTGAGGAAAAATTAATGCTTGCTTAATGCTTTGACACATTTCCCTTTACAAAGCAAAGATCCCTACTCCTCTCACTTTCTCACATGGAGAAAAAATTAAAGTAGCATTACAACTAGTCAGCATCCACATGAGGCCTTATAATTAATCAGATCTACTGAGAGTTAGGTCCAAGATCCAGCGTAAGGAGAGATCAAGCAGAAACAAAATACACAGCCATTGCTCTGTATCTGTAGGAGATTGGTTCCAGAACCCCCTTCAATACCAAAATCTGCAGATGCTCAAGTGCCTTATATAAGATGGTATAGTATTTGCATATAACCTACGCATACCCTCCTGTATACTTTAAATCATCTCTAGATTACTTACAATACCTAATATAATGTGAGTGCTACGTAAATGGTTATACTGCATTTTTATTTGTATTACTTTTATTGT
Organism: Homo sapiens; assembly: GCF_000001405.40. NCBI lineage: Eukaryota > Metazoa > Chordata > Mammalia > Primates > Hominidae > Homo > Homo sapiens. The sequence goes on from NC_000015.10 coordinate 96,174,760, forward strand.
TGTATTATTACTTCTTTTTTTTTTTTACAATTATTTTTAATCTGTGGTTGCTCAAAGCTGCAGATGTGGAACCCAGGAATATGGAGGCCCAACTGTACTTTTACCTTATTATGTAGGCTATGCTAATATTAATGACTAGAATGTTATATTATTTCTTCTCAGATTTCAACAACAGTTGAGCCTCAGGGTCAAAGTATCCGGCACTAAATTGAAGAGAATGCTGATGATTAGGACAGGAAAGCAACTTAAGCATCTATTAGTCCAGCCTACTATGAAAAGTAGGAATTCCTTCAACAAAATTCTCGCACATGCCTATCCAACTTCCCAATGACTAAAGCAATAACAACAGTAATGATAATAATGAACACATATTTCATACTTACTGTGTGCCAGACACTGTCCTAAGTATATTGAGTAGTACTGACTGTGAATCAGCACTGTTCCTAGAACTTCATAGACACTCAACTTATTGAATCTTGAAAATGCCTCTAGGAGGTAGGATCTATTATTGCTCTTATTTTATAGATGAATCAATGGAAACAGAAAAGAGTTCACTAACTTGCCAGAGGTCACACAGATAGACTGAGAAGAGCTGGACAATTGCACTAAACAGACTAGCCCTGTAGCCTGTCCTGCTAATTCTATGCTACCAATAGGGGCAAGGGACAGAGACAAAGTAGGGAATTAGAGTCCATTTCAACACTACTTTAATTACTCAGTTTTCTGAGCAGAAGCTGCCTCCTTTAGTCTTCATATTGCCCACTAGTTCTAAACAGAATAATTATTCCTCCTTCCATTTGACAGTGCTTTTTTATCAAAGATTGACAAACTATGGCTCGTAGGCCAAATCTGGCCCACCATCTGTTTTTATGTGGGCCATGAGCTAAGAATGGATTTCAAGTTTTCAAATGGTTGGAAAAAATATCAAAAGAAGAATAATATTTTGTGACACATGAAAATCACATGACATTTAAATCTCAGTGTCCATAAATGAAGTCTTATTGGAACACAATCACACTTCACTTACATATTGTCTGTGGCTGCTTTTACTTTACTATAAGTCGGAATTAAGTACTTGAAAAAAGACCACATGGCCCAGTAAAGCCTAAAATATTTACTATCTGGCCCATTGCAGAGAATGTTTGCTGATTCTTGCCTTAAATAGTAGAAGGTAGTTCTCCTGTCCTTTCCTAAAAGTGCCCTTTTTTATAGTAAAATACCTCAGGTCCCCCCAACCACCACCATCTCATTATCCCGGAAACTCTTCTCTGGCATTCTTTGGTGCATATTCTCTCTCTCTAAAAATTCTCCTCAGTGGTATATGGCTACAATGGAATACTACTCAACAATAAAAAGGAACAAACTACAGTGGATACACACAACAACATAATGAATCTCCAAACCACTATTCTGAGTGAAAAAGCCCTGCACATCTTTTTCTCACTGCGTGATTGTATCTACAGGAAATCCTAAAATGGGTAAAACTAATCTAGGGTGAAAAATTATATATCAGAATAATGGTTGTCTTTGGGAAAATGGGGCAAGGATTGGTGGGATGGGCATGAGAGAACAATCTGGGATGCTAGAAACATCCCAGATCTTGAGAGTTGTTTGGGTTACACAGTTGTGTGTATTTGCCAAAATCCACCAAAATGTACATAGTTTGTACATTATACTGTATCTACCTCAAAAACAAACCTTGTAAATAAATATTGAATTCTAGTTAATGATCTGCATACTGAAAGGTTTAGTGGTAACAGTATCAAGGCCTGCAACTCATTTGAAATGCATCAGAAAATCAAGACGGTTGGATGATTGGGTGGAGGGAGGGACAGATGGCAAGAGATATGAAAAAGCAAGAGAAGTAAAGTGTTCATTGTCGAAAGTGGTTGATGGATACCTGGATGTTCACTATCTAATTCTTTCACCTCCTCTGTTTAAGTCTTGTGACAACAAAATTTCCTTCTAAAATAACATTTTCAAAGTAAAATTTTTATAATAAATGGGGCAGAAAGGATAAAAGTAATGTCTGGCATGAAACAAACTACTCTAAAAGTTGCACAAAGCGACATCACTATTTCCCTTCCTTTGGCCATTTTTATGTTAGCATTTATTTTCCTTTGATGTATCTGATTGGACCCTGAAGTATCCTACCTTCAAGGTATCCAAAAAGGTATCTTGGGTATCACCGTTAGGACTAGTGATGAGAATTTATTCTATGATGGAATCTAATTCCATGGCAAGTGGCCAACTTTCATTTCTTTGTTTAAATTTTATGATAAGAGATGCATACAGTGAAAGACATAGAAACATCCCCAGTCAGATGCCTCCGCCAAATCCGCTTGTGGAAAACTGTAAATTCCACAAGTGAGTTTACGCTCTTGTCTCATGAATGTGTAGAAAGAATAATGCATTTGTTTGTTTGATTATAGCTGAATTTCTGCCTTTGTAACCCCACCAGTAGGTGGTCATGTATTTCTCATACTAAGGTTCACTACCACTTCACAAACAATATGCTCAACACTGTTGCAAGCATCAGATGAGAGTGTGTGCCTGACAAAAATTTGAAAAAGTCCTCAAAATATGCAGCCTAATCTCTGGATTAACTGTTTCTTTAAAGGGCCTCTGCAGTGTATAATCTGCAGACTTGTTCTGTTGCTTTTATGCAATGCCAATATTATTAGTAGCAATAATACAATCACGCTTCAACTATTTGGAGGTCAATTAGCTGGAAAGTTCTGCCTTCTGAATGGAAGCTAAGAAACCAGTAAGTAAGCAAGAAAAATCCTGTGGGCAGTCAAAATAGCTGCAAAAGCTTCAGGGTGCCAAGCTCATATATTTGCTCATGGAAGACTCTCTAAAGCCAATGCTCAAAATCCTATGACACTTATTTATGCAAAATTCTAACAAGCCTGGGTTTCCAGCTCATAACCCTAACAGAGGTTGCATATAGGCAGGCATGGTGAAAGCACCAAGAATCAGAAGAGTAATCAGCCATCATTCAAAACTCAAAAAGGACTACAATTTGGGAGGATGGAATTCAGGGGTGGAAAAGTCCACCCTAATGCTACCAAGTTAACATTTTATAAACTATGTTCCTAAAATTATAGTTCCACAAGATATTAAAGAAGGTTTTTTAAAAATAAAAAAGAGGACTGGGAGTGGTGACTCACACCTGTAATCCCAACACTTTGAGAGGCTGAGGCAGGAGGATTGCCTGAGCCCAGGAGTTCTAGACCAGCCTTGGCAGGATAGTGAGACCCCCTCTCTACTAAAAACCAAAAAAATCAGTTGGGTGTGGTGGCATGCGCCTGTGATCCCAGCTAGTCAGGGAGCTGAGGTGAGAGGATCACTTGAGCCCAGGAGGTCGAGACTGCAGTGAGCTGTGATCGTGCCACTGCACTCCAGCCTGGGTGACAGAGCAAGACTGTATCTCAAAAAATTAAAAAAAGTAAAAATTAAAAATAAGAGGAGGTGCTATCCTCAGATATGTTTAGAAAATACCGGTCTAATAGTGCTTCAATATTTCTATTGTGATTCTAGCAAGTTCTAAAAAGAACACTGGTTTTGTGGTTGTTCTTCCTTTCCTCACTCCACATTTTTTCTTTTATTTTGGCTGAAACTTACAGATATTTTTTTTTTCTCATCATAATGATGTCCATCAGTCTGCCCGAATCTTCTGGTCTGGGTGTGGCTCTGACTTTTCAAATACCCTTCTTAAGCAGGTGTTTCCTCTCCTGCCCCAAACATTGTATTCCCTTTCGTTTGTGTTGTATAGATTCCAGGCCACATTTCTACTTTTTGAGGACAGCTTCCAAACCATCCACATGTTCACTTTCTTTTCCACTTCCCTCGGTTTTCACTTCCTACTTCCTTTCCCCATCTTTTTCCTCTCCAGATTGTATGCCAGGCATTCTTTGCCTATACTCTGCTTTGAAATCCTTCCTGCATTTCCTCTCTATCTCACAGCTTTGCAATTTTTGCTACTCTTGCTCCCTTCCTGCGTATTTCCTTCATATCTTGAATCCCAACTACCTCTCCTCTCCTGCCAAATCAAATGCATCAGCTGAAAGCCACCTGAAAATCCCTCTTCTCTTCCCATCTGTGCAACCCCACTAGTTTACCTTTAACATGCATTGTTCCTAAGTGAACCCACCAGCTTGCATGGGGAGAAGGGATATTAGTTTATTCTTCTTTCCTGGCAGCCCTTGAGTACAGGGCTATGAGCCCCTCTGACAAATACTGTCCTCCATGTCATCAACATTGGATTTTGAGTCAGTAGAACTGTGTTCCATCTTAAACTCTGCCTCTTATTTACTTGGCTCAGTCACTTAATTTTTTTGAACCTCAGTTTCCACATCTATAAAAGGGCAATAATCCCTGATTTATCCCAGGGGGCTGAGTGGAGGCAATGAGGCCATGTTTGTGCAAGCTCTTCAGCGCGTGGTGGATGTGACAATTTTATTCTTTCACTTGAAAATTTTATTCATATTTGAGGTCCTGGGAGTAGAGCTTCATTCTCTTTCTTTACTTTCCTAGAGATGGGGTCTCATTTTGTCACCCAGGCTGGAGTGCAGTGGCGTGTTCACTGCAGTCTCGACCTCCTGGGCTCAAGAGATCCTCCTGCCTAAGCTTCCCAAGTAGCTGAGACTACAGGCTCACACCACCACTTCTGGCTCATTCTCTTTTATAGTCTTAATTTCTTCTGGTTCTACCAGGTTTTTGTTTACTGTTTACGTACACCAACTGAGTTCTCCAGTTTGATCAGATCACAGACTTGTCAAGAGGGAGCCTGTATTAATAGCAAAGTGGTTAACTGCATGATCACCATCTTCCAACATTCTGGCTGAAAACCTGACTCCATCATTTAGCAGGTGCAGGAAATTGGGAAAGTCCACTTATCCTGGACTTCCTGTTTCCTTACCTTTTTCTTCTTTTCTTTTTTTTTTTTTTTTCGAGACAGAGTTTCACTCTCGTTGCCCAGGCTGGATTGCAATGGCACAATCTCCACTCACTGCAACCTCCGCCTCCCAGGTTCAAGCAATTCTCTTGCCTCAGCCTCCTGAGTAGCTGGGATTACAGGCGCCTGCCACCAGGCCCGGCTAATTTTGTATTTTTAGTAGGGATGAGGTTTCTCCATGTTGGTCAGGCTGGTCTCAAACTCCCGACCTCAGGTGATCCACCCGCCTCTGAGATTACAGGTGTGAGCCACCATGCCCAGCCCCTCATCTTTAAAATGGGGTGACTTCTGTAGTGAGTGAGGCCACTAAGGAAGGTCACTGTGATGATTATGAGTCCAAAGGAGTGAGATCTTAGCCCACATGGTTATTAGCCCTGCCTCTTTGCCCCTGCCTCGGTTTTCTTCCTTGGTTCCTCCATTCTCCATTTCTCACTGTTGTCTCTCTCTTCCTGTCACCCCACGGTGGTGCAAGCTGGTGCTCCCTGCACATCCAGTAAAATGTCAGGGGAAAAGTTCAGCCGTTGCAGCCTCCCGAGGGGCTGCTCTCCTTGGGCTGCTGCTGGCTGTGTGGCTCCTCCTTCCTCCCCTGGATTCTTTCCTGGCATCCTCCCGTGTTTTCACTGTCTTTCTGATTAGAGAGTATGTCAGTGGGGCAGGATAATTTACTGATATATTAATTTGTGTTTTTATCTCAGCGTTTGCCCTCTGCTCTACAAAGGAAGTCAGGCCTCTCTGTGCCCCTGCCTCGAGGGAGGTTTGTTTTAAAAGTCCAAAGCCAAGACACCTGGCTTTTGTTTCCCCAAAGCTCAAGCTGTGGGAGGAGATAATGCCAGCAGGGAGGAAGAGGGGAGAAGCTCGAGGCCTTTGAGAGGAGGGAGAGAGAGAGGCAGGGAGACAGAGAGAGATTTTGATAGATGGAAAGGGGGCGAAGGCCAGAGAAGCAGGCCACTTACAGACAAGCCACAATCCATGGCAGCCCCTGCAGAAGCGGCTGCCTCTCAGAGAGGATGAGCGTGGACCACTGGCCCCTAATCCCAGGCTGACAGATGCAGCAAATGCGCCACCCAAAGTTCCCAGCACCCAACACGCTTGTGGGCAGCACAGCCACAAGAGGGAAGCTCAGGTAGGTGGGGACAGTGGCAAGCAGAAGAGAGAAGAGACAGGGACAGCTAGAACCGTAAATCAGAACATCTAATGTTTGCTGCCCACTCAGAACGTGCTAAGCACCATTCTAGGATCTTGGCAAATATTAGAATGGTCACTCCTGAAGACAACCCTCCATCCCCACATTCACAGCAGAGGAAACAGAGGAACACAGAAGTAAATTTTCCAAGATCACACAACTGGGACATGGTAAAACCAGATACATAGAAATATTGAGAGACCACCAATTTATTGCAAAATGCTAAGAACGAAATACTGCATAGGCCAAAAAATAATACAGAAACTGAAAACACAAACCCCTCTGAGTGCCACTGGAAGAAAACTGCAGCAAGGCCTGGACTCTTTCTAGGCTTCACTAGCTCTGTAAGTGCTATTCCATTGTATTTTGATCATGGAAGTATTATCTTTCTTCAGATAAATCAGAGGTGTGTATGTTCAGAGCATAAGGAATAGCCTGGGATTTCCCAGTTCCCCTTTCAGTTATCTGGCTTCCTAATTTACCCTGTGAACACTACCTGACCTTGCTACATCTTATTTACCTTTCTCATCTGTAAAATGGGTGTAGGGAATCACCTAGGCTAGCATTTATGATCACTGAGTACCTGTTCCATAATTAGGAGCTGTTATTATCATTGGCATCCCCATGTCCAGTCCTGCTTAGTCTTAGAGCCTACCCAGCACCTAGGCTGCCTTTACTATCTCTGCAGGTCAGACACAGTGCTGGGTGCTGAGTCCTGTCTCTCAATGCCTCCCCCGTCTAGTTGGAGGAGAGAACCATGAGCAGATCTTTAGTGTAATATGATAAGTGCTACAGACAGAATAATCCCAGTATCCCACAGGGGCCCAGGATGAGGCCCCTAGCCATACTGCAGGCTGGGAATGAGGGCAGATTTCCTGCAGAAGTTAACGGCCTGAGTCTTCACAAACAACGGTAACCTCCGCTGCCTCACAGTGGGGAGTGGGCCAGAGCCTCCCCACTCCCTCTTCCAGCCCTCAAAAATGGCTCTTGAGCCTGAACACACTCCTAACACCGCCCCAGCAGCTAATTTGAGAGTTCTGAGCTACGCCTAACTTGCATCATTCTGGGCCACAGACCAAGCCAGCAGCGAAGAAGCCAAGAGCGTTCAGGGCTGCCGACGCATTCCATAAACCCAAATTTCCAGTGTTGCCTTGAGTAAGATGTATACAGGAAATTTTCCATGTGTCAATTAAGCTCATTGAGCATGTGACATAAAAAGGAAATGTAATGTGGGATTCTGATTGGCAAAGTTCAAAAGCCTGTGATTTTGATACCCAGATATAGATCTGCAAGCTATTAAGAGTACTTGACTTGCAACATCCAGAGGTTGTGAAGAAACGCCTGGCACATCAGAGGAAAAAAATGCAGCGCTGAATAGCAGTCTTGGGAAAATACTTACTTCCCAGAGTAAAATGTACACATTAAATGAGTTCAAGAAGCAACTCAACTGTTCTACTTCTCTATCATTTCAAAATCCCCTAACAGATGTTCAGTTTTCAAAGAAAATAATGTTGCATTTTGACCGTTTTCCCCTCTAGATGCCCTAGACGGATGTGAGGTTGTCATACTAACCTTGACTTTGAATTGCTTTTCAGTTCATGTCATTGTAAACTTAGCATAAAACCCCGTGCTTCCCTGGAAAGTATGTATCTTGTTGCTAGCACAATGATTGAGTCCACTTGTCTATTCCAGGACACGAGAGGATCTAACTAAGTCAGAACACCCCACGTCTAGCCCATATATCTATTTATTACCGAATTCACCGGGAAAGACAAGCTGAGTTATCACTTAGCTGAAAAAACCTGAGAGGCATTTATGTGCATGAAGTACAGCATAGACAGAACCATCAAGGCAGGCTTGAAGGAAACACATTACACACTCAGCCTACACAAATCGCCTCACCGATGCCACTGGAGCCGAATGAATGGTGCAGGCGACAAGAGCGGCCCTAGGATGCTTATCTTCTCCCCAGCCCCCATCCCAACCCTCAACGATTACGAATACAATCGTTTGTGACAGATTGCTCCCCAGTCTTCCGCCTTAAATTCTATATGATAAATTCAACATGAAGTGACAGTCACAGCAAGTGTTCAGAGCTCTATCTAAAAAAACTAATTTTACTGAAGTTAGGACTCAATGAACAAGAAAATGTGAAGGTACACCTAAGGCGGATCTCAAAACTTTAATCTCTATGAATTCCATCATGGTTATTTACAGCTGGGATGATATTAATATTTTAAAATATTTCGCTAAAGAAGCACTATGAGACTTTAAAGTTGTATTGTTATGCAAAGGTGGATAATATCTCAATGGGTCCTCCCCAGTGCTGGTATGTTAATGGGGCAAGAGAAAGAGAACAGCTGCTTTTGTTACCCAAGCAGCAGACATAACAACACTGTCCTGTGGTTAATTTCTAGGAAAACGCTCTTCTTCCTTTTTTATTATTTGGGGGTGAAAAAATGTCTTGGGCTACTATTGTCTGTTTAAATTAGGCAAATGCAATTAAGAAGAGTCAAATGTACACAGGCTCCAATGATGGGTAAAATTAAGGTCACCAGTTGCAGCCCTAATCCAGCTGCATTGCTTAATCTCAGCTTTAGCCATTACCATTGTGTGGAATGGAAATGTCTTCCTCGTGTTGGGGTTAATGTGGACTGACTGGGTAGCTGGAGATCAATCCTGCAGGCCTGCTTGAATGTGCAAGTGCTTAACACTGACATTTTGAAAAAGTAAAATTGGGTTTCATTCCCCAGGATTAGGTCAGAGTCCTTTACTTGTCCCTGCCCCTGCCCCCGACCCCGCCTCCCCAAACTAAGCAGAGAGCAGAAGAACATTTTTTCTTGCCAATTGTTTTTTTTTTTTTTTCCCCCTCAGGGATCCTTCGCATTTGCCATTTGTGTACATCTCTTGCTCATTCCAAACAGGAAAGTTCTGTTGCCTCAGAAAAAATAGCTTGTCTGAGCCCTCAGAAAAAATAGCTTGAAAAGGAACTTGTCTTCCTTTTCATATTCATAAAGGTTATATTTGTGTGGCTTGATATTATTTTACCTTGTTAAGGAGTTGTTTCAGGTACTCAGTAGATATAGAGAAAACATTTAGCATATAAAAACAAAAAGTTGACATTTACAGCCAGGAGCTAGGTACGCAATTGCAAAGGTCATCAATGAGTAAACAGATATTAATGGTTAGCCGGATAACTGGTACATAAACAGGTCACATTAATAATTAACACCAGGAAAAGCTAGCACTTCCAACCAAGCTCAGGAAAGTGGGTGCCAGAGGAACCCCCCGAAAAATATAAGAAAACCCCAGTGGTGATTTCTGATTGTTAGAGAGTGAGAAAATTACTTCTTCATTTTTACATTTCTCATATTCTCACCAAAAAACAGTTCTGAGACAGTCATGATAGGAAGTAAGTGCAAGGATGGAGGGAATTTTCTGGACGATCATTGATCTGGTAAATTGTACTTAGTCTAACATTTGTGGTTCCCTTGTTTTCCTTCCATGGCAATGGGTAAAATCACTCAGGAAATTTATTTTATCACTAACCTGCAAAGCCTCTGTAAAAGTATTTGCTTCCTCATTGAGTTATTAAGTCCATGCCTTGTTTTAAAACTTCTGCGCTAAGAGGGTTACATTTTGTACCTGCTGATTGGCATTCACCCAGTTTTTTAATGGGAAAAGGTCAAGTCCAAGCTGTAGACAGGAAGGCAAAGGTGTTGGGGATGTGGCAGGGAATCCTGGTGAGTGAAGTGGGTGCCCCAGGCACCCTGAGGAACCTGGGAGTGAATGTGCCTTAGCCCCACAGCGAGCCCCTAAGAGCCACAGCATCATATCTTTTGATTTTTTAAAGAAGCCATATTTTGTGTGAAATCTCTAGATTTATAACTCATGGGCCAAACAATACGTTATCTACTGCAGGCCACACCAGGCCAGTTTAAATCTCCTGTTTAAATTAAAAACAAATAAATAAACAAACAAAAAAGAACGCCCGAAAATTTGCCAATGAGGAGGAAAGTCTGAGTGTATCTCTACAATTTATTCAACGGTTTCTCTTCTCCTTTAAATACACAGTTCACTATAGGATTGTCCTAAAGAGAAAACTAATAAAATAAGACAATAGACTTCATAGAGAACTGGAATATCCGCAAGGACCTGAAACGGATCCTCGGAACTCCGTAGATAAAAGTCAGATGAGATACTGTTATACATGTAGCCTAATGGTTTACAGATGAATGAGTAGCACTGCTTTCAAATATAATGTGAAGAAACCAATTTTTAAATAAATGTGTAGCTTGACTATCAAGCCCACAGGAGATACTGTGACTTACCCAACCTGAAAATCAAATTATTTAAGGCTGGTCATACTAATAGCAGCCTCTAACCAACCGCTAAGGTGGACTATCAACCCAGACTAGCCACAGGCAGCAAACGAGATGGGTTCAAGAGGAAATGGAAAGAAATAAGATACAAGGCTTGTTTACTAGTTAAATGTGGGTAGACTTCAACAGATGTGAACTACAAAGTGTATATGGGAACTTGTTTCTTGCTGAAGGACGAGTGTTGGCCAAATGTCCTCATAACCTGGTGCCTCTCCACTTCTCCACAGCCACATCCCCACCACACGGTACCTTGTCACCACTGACAACAGCCCCAGAGAGCCATGCTTTCTCCTGTCTCCCAGACTCTCTTCACCTCGAGTATCTCCATGTCACCCTTACTTTCGCTTGTCCCTTTTGAATCCTATAAAATTCAGCTAAGTTCAATTGTCCCCTCCCCTCTTCCAGAAGGCCTCATCTAAGCCACCTCAGGGGGCCTTTCCCTTGTGTTCCCTCAAATACCTCTGTCAACCTCTGGGCCAGCAGCTACTTCTCACTATAATCATGGGTGCAAGTGCCTATCACCTCACAGGACTGCAAATTCCTTGCTGAACGCAGAGGCTACCGCTTTCATCTTCAAACCCCCACCACCTAGCCCTGTGCTTGGAAAACAGTGTATTAATGCTGGACGAATGCATAAATGAATGAAATGAATGGGGCTCCAAGCGATAATGCTTAGAAAACAGACTCTGATAAGTGAAATATGAATGTGTAAATCTACTACAGCTTTTTTTACTTGGTCTAAATCTTTGCACATGTTCGCTGCAATTACATTTGTGACAGCAAGTTTTATTTTGAATGGATCTTATTAATAAGAGTAATAAAATATCAAACAATTCAGATCTTCAGCTTTTTAATCTACAAAGGGGAGATTGATAACACCTGCCTTGCTAGGCCGAGGGGGTGGTTGAGAAGACTACCTGAAATGATGTATGTGATCATATACGAGAGTGAGCCCCAACTGCAATCTGCACTGAGTGGGCGGCCCTCCTGACAGCTGCCATCTCTACTCATTTCTGACTGTCTGGCTCTATTGAAACCCTCTGCCTACTGTCTATGACCCAATCTTTGTATGAGCAAGCCTCTGCCTCTAGTCTTAGGATCCCCAGACCTAGCACAACATTGGCACATAGCAAGTGCTCACTAAGTGTTTGTAATATAAGGAGGTCCATGACAAACATCGTGGTCATTTCATTCATTCCAGTTGTACAAGGCACCATTAAACAGGACAAAACGTGAAGGCAAAAAGGGGGAAACGGAAATGATTGAGAGGCTACCATTTATCAGGCACCCTATATATCTGATTTTATTTCCTAGGTTATTTCATGTCACCTGTGAAATAGCTAACATTGTCCTTATTTTGCATGGAAGGACTCTAAGCATTAATAAGTTAGTATTACGCCAAAGAATGACAGGTCAGTAACAGGCAGAGCCAGGGTTTGAACCCAATACACCATACTGTGTCCCCGTGATAAAACCTTTACGCTCCAGGCACTAACAGTCTCCAGCACATCTGATGTCACAGAGTCAATAACATCCGGAGATGAACAAAAACTCAGGGCACGTCTATTCAACCCCCAGATCACAGATGAGGAAACTGAGGTTCAAAGGGAAATGTATGAATGAGGCCAGAGAGTCAGTAAAAAAGTATGTTAGTAAAAAGCTCTTTTTTTTTTTTTTTTTTGAGATGGAGTCTCGCTCTGTCACCCAGGCTGGAGTGCAGTGGCGCGATCTTGGCTCACTGCAATCTCTGCCACCCGGGTTCACGCCATTCTCCTGCCTCAGCCTCCCAAGTAGCTGTGACTACAGGTGCCCACCACCACCCCTGGCTAATTTTTTCTGTATTTTTAGTAGAGACAGGGTTTCACCGTGTTAGCCAGGATGGTCTCAATCTCCTGACCTCGTGATCCGCCTGCCTCGGCCCCCCAAAGTGCTGGGATTACAGGCGTGAGCCACTGCGCCCGGCCGTAAAAAGCTCTTACGATTCACACTCACAAGTTAAGTCATATTTCTATACCACTTTCATTACATTTACATGTGACTGTTCATGTTAAGAGTAATAAAATGTCAAACAATTCAGATCTTCAGCTTTTTAATCTATAAAGGGATTTTAAAATAATTATACTTTGTTTCATCAAATGGACCTTTACAAAAATAGCATATAGTTTCAGTTCACAAAGAATTATATCTTACATAACTGAACAAAGTTTTCTCTCCTCACAAGATACCAGTGACCTCTTTCTTAGACAGCAGGCCAAGACTACTGACTGAAACCCTGGCAGAGACAGTATAACTCAACAGAGAAAGGCGTCATAAACAATAACTAAAGGAATAATTAAATACTAGGAAAGGGCAAAATCATTTGCTCTTTAAAAATCAAATGAAAAATAAAATAATAAAATAAAATAAAATAAATCCTCTGTGAACATTGCTTCAGTCATTTTTAAAAGCTTTCCCAAATTCCAAATGGCTCTGTTATTAGCGATTCTTAATGCATGAGGTAGTCATATAGGAATAAATCTTTCAGTAATTCAAAACAAGGACTCTTCAGTAAATAGTTGAAATTAAGGGGGGAGTTCGAGTCATCTGGTTTCCATTAGGATGATAAAATAGTTCACTCGAAACCTTTTACAATATGCTTTGTTACCGGGAGGTGTCTGTGCATCTCACTCCATCACTAGCCATTTGACACAACATAAAAAGCTTCAAAAGCCATGTTAGGCCTCTTAATCAAAAACTAATTGTAATAGATATTGGGGAGTGTTAACACGGTGACCGCTAGCTTGTAGCGGTGGTATGGAAGCTGCAGTGAACATTAAACACAACCCCGGGTTGATAGGGCTTATCTCCATTTCAGAGCTGAGTGCTAAGTACTACAGGCCAGTATCTCCTTGCTATGGCTTTGTACCACTTTTGGAGTTAATTGCCCCAGAAGGCTTCATCTTCTTAATGAAATTTATAACATTGTCAGAGAACTTGGAAGATACTGCTGCGGTTTAGCAGACTTTACAGAAAACAGAGACATAAACAGAAGGGAAAAGAAAATACATACTTGGAGCCTAATGCCTCTGCAGCCTGGGCAGAGGTGGTGCAGAACTCCCCAGGCACAGAGGCATTTGCAGCACATTAACTCTTTCAAGCCTGTAATGGAACAGTCATTGAGTGCACTCTAAGGGAAAGGTAATAATTGGTATCGTAGGGCCAGTGGTAGACATTCAATAAATACTTAATGATCAGCTTTCCATGGCTAGAATTACCGGCAAGCAAGAACCGGCATCTTTTTTGTGTGATTCCCCTGCCGAACATGGTGCCTAAGATATGACTGGTGCTGAGGAAATAGTTTCTGAAAAATTGATGAATGAATAAATGATCTTACTGGAGTGAAATACTTGATAATTTTCAGAGTGCTTTCATGTTTGATTCCCACAACCATCCACTTGACAGGTCTAGGGTTTTATTCATAACTAATCCTGGTCTCAAACAGGCAGTTCATAGTTCCCCTTCCAGTCTCCTTTGCTTCAGATGGACTAGAGCGAATGTTCTGTACTACCATGTTTTTAAATGACTAAGGAGGATTTTAAAACTTAAAGACTACCAGCAATTTTAGATCGGTGACTGGATCCTGGAACACACACACACACACACACACACACACACAAACAATTAGAAGAAAAACTGGTGAAATCTGATAAAGTCTGGAGTTTAGTTAATAGTATTATGCTTAATTGTAGTTAATTTCTCAGAATCACGCTTGTGGGTAAGAAGTTAACTTAAGGGCAAGCTGGGTGAAAAGTGTATAGGACTTCTCTGTACTATTTTGAATATCTCTGTAACTCTAAAATTGTTTAAAAATAAAAACAATTTGATAATAACTAATTTACCTTTAAAATGATATGTATTAACATATTGTATTGTATTGTATTGTACTGTACTGTATTGTATTGCACTGTATTGTATTGTACTGTACTGTACTGTACTGTACTGTACTATACTGTATTGTATTGTACCGTACCGTACCGTACCGTACCGTACCGTATTGTATTGTATTGTATTGTATTGTATTGTATTGTATTGTATTGTATTGTATTGTATTGTATTGTATTGTATTCACATTATGGTGCCAAATTGGCACAGGGAAAATTATAAGTAAATATTCCTGGAGAAAAGCAAAGTATAATTTTTCAACTAACTCCTTAGGAAAACCATTTGCAGGTGTGTAAAGGCAACATAATTTCTTATTCCAATTTATAAGTATTATTTTTTGAGACAGGGTCCAGTTCTGTCACCCAGGCTGAGTGCACTGGTATGAGCATGGCTCACTGCTGCCTTGACCCTCCACCCCACCCCACCCCCCCAGGCTCAAGCAATCCTCCCATCTCAGCCTCTGGAGCAACTGGGACCACAGGTGTGTGCCACCTTGCCCAGCTAATTTTTGGATTTTTGTAGAAATAGAGTCCTGTTATGTTACCCAGGCTGGTCTTGAATTCCTGTGCTCAAGCAATTCTCCCACCTCAGCCTCCCAAATTGCTAGGATTATAGGTGTTAGCCACCATGCCTGGCCATCCAATTTATATTTTCTTAACAGTGTTTTTGTATCCTGATAAGGTAGAGTTGTTTTGTAATTAATACATATAAGTGAAATTTTTACCAGTTTTCCTTTTTAAAAAATTATTAACATTAAAAATAATTTAAAATTAATTTTTTTAAGTATTGACTGGGTTTCATCATGTTGGCCAGGATGGTCTCAGTCTCTTGACCTCATGATCTGCCCACCTCGGCCTCCCAAAGTGCTGGGATTACAGGTGTGAGCCACCGTAAAATTAATTTTTAAATGAATAATTTGTTTTAGAAAGACAAAGAGCACACAGGGAATTAGAGAAGGCTAATCCTGATGATAGAACAAGCCATATGATTTTGAAGTTTTAGCCCTTCCCAATTCTTCAACCACCATCTCTGCAGATGATTCCCAAACTTAAATTTCTCACTTGGACATCTGTCCTGAGCTTCAATCCAATTATCTGCAGCACCAGTCAACTTGAAGAGCTCAGCATAATCTCCAACCATTTTCCCCTTTGGTCACTCTGCTATATTCTGACCTTGGCTAATGTCTACTGCACTCACCTCTCTTCTGTTCCCCCCTGGCCACACCCTTCCACCTGCTGAAGCTCTCCACCTAACCATCCAAGGGGTGGCTCAGGTCACCTTACTCTTCTACATCTTCCTCCAGTCCTCTTTTGTTCCCCTCAACTTGAACTACACTTCCACAAAAGTCCATTTGAAACTCTGCTCTTGTGTTTCAAATTGTGTTTTCTATTTGCTATTTATGCAGACAGCTCCTACTTTAAACGTCCAGAAGATCGGGACTGGTCGTATGTGTCCTGATACCCTCAGAGTTTTTCATTTGGAACCATCTGAACATAGATTCATGGGAAGGAACAATAAATCTTAAAAAATATATATCATGACCCCAAAGATGTTATTCTATAAGTGAGAAGATTGGTTTGACTGCTTTAAAAGTGGCAAAAATAACAATGGCCAATATCTGGTAGAGAATGTATTTCTCTTTGGCATTAGAGTGATTCTGTAGGCTCTGCTCATCAAGTGGCCCAGCATCCCAGCTCCCAACGGCATTGCTCTTAACAACCAGTTCAAAGATGGCAGCCAGGCACACTGGCTCATTCCTGTAATCCTATCATTTTGGGAGGCTGAGGTGGGAGGATTGCTTGAGCCTGGGAGGGGAATGTACACCATTGCATGCACAATATTTTTAGCATTAAAAATAATTTTAAATTATTTAATTTTGTAAAAGAATAATTTGTTTTAGAAAGAAAGACAAACATGCCACTGCATGCCAGCCTGGGGAGTCAGAGTGAGACCCTGTCTCAAAAAAACAAAAACAAAAACAAAAAAACAATGGCTCAACCCCTCATCTGCACACTTCAGCCTGCCTAAAATGGGAAGGAGGACATAGACAGCCAGCAATTTTCTTTCAAGGGTACAACAGAGCAGTTTCACAAGACATTTCGTTCTTACCCTATAGGCCAGAATTCAGTCAAATGGGTACACCTACCTGCAGCTGGGGAAAAAGTCCATGATAATGGCCTTACACTCATCTAAAACAGACAAGAGAAAATGAGATATTAGCAGGAAAATCTGAACGCCTGCCTCTGTTTTTTTACCTTATAAAAACTTATCTACCAAGATGTTTATTTTTATACACATTTTCCTACAAAGCATATTACTAGATTTTATAACAGCATTATTGAGATATAATTTACATACCATAAAATGTGTCCTCTTAAAGTGTACAATTCAGCAGTTTTTAGTAAATCCACAGTTATATAAACATCACCACTATCTAATTTCAGAACATTTTCAACACCTCAAAAATAAATCCCATGTCCATTAGCAATCACTCTCTATTCTAACCTCTCCTTGCTCCTGACAACCACTAATCTACCTTCTGTCTCTATGAACTTGCTTGCATTAGACATTTCATACAAATGGAATCATACAATGCAGGGGTTTTGGTGTCTGGCGTCTTTCGCCCAGCATAACACTTTCAAGGTTCATCTGTGTTGTAGCGTGCATTAATACTGTACTTCATTCATTTTTATGACCAGATAATATCCATTGTATGGATATATTGCATTTTTGTGTTTCAAATAATCAGTTGATGAACATTTGGGCTACTTCCACTTTTTGGCTATTATAAGGAATGCAGCTAAGAACATTCTTGAAGAAGTTTGTGTGTGGACATATGTTTTCAAGTCTTCTGGATTTATACTTAATCATGGAATTACTAGATCATATGGTAATTCTATCTTTAACATTTTGAGAAACTGCAAAACTGTTTTCTATAGAGGTTGCAGCATTTCACCATTCCACCAATAAAGTATGAGGGTTCCAATTTCTCTGCATGCTCACCAACACTTGTTATTGTCTGTCTTTTTAAATTTTAGCCATTCTAATGGGTGTGTCACGAATCTCATTGTGGTTTTGATTTGCATTTTCCTAGAGACTAATGATATAAACCATCTTTTCATGTATTTATGCCCATTTGTATATCTTCTTCAGAAAAAAAATGCTTATTCAAATCCTTTGCCCATTTTTAATTACATATTTGTCTTTTTATTATTCAGTTTTTTTTTTTTTTTTTTTTTTTGAGATGGAGTTTTGCTCTTGTTGCCCAGGCTGGAGTGCAATGGCACGATCTCAGCTCACCACAACCTCATGTGCCACCATGCCCGGCTAATTTTGTATTTTTAGTAGAAGTGGGGTTTTTCCATGATGATCAGGCTGGTCTCAAACTCCCAACCTCAGGTGATCGGCCCGCCTCGGCCTCTCAAAGTGCTGGGATTACAGGCATGAGCCACCGCGCCCGGCCTATTATTCAGTTGTAAGAGCACTTTGTATATTCTTTATACAAGTCTCTTCTTAGATATATGATTTGAAAATATTCTGTCATGTTCAGTGGATTGTGTTTTTACTTTTTTTTTTTTTTTTCGAACTAGGTTCTCACTCTGTCACCCAGGCTGAAATGCATGGTGTGATCACAGCTCACTGCAGCCTCAGGTGATCCTCCAACCTCAGCATACCAGGTAACTGGGACAACAGGCGCACACCACCATGCCCAGTTAATTTTTTGTATTTTTTTGCAGAGAGGGCGTTTCGCCATGTTGCCCATGGTCTCCAACTCCTGGGCTCAAGCAATCAGCCTGCCTCAGCCTACCTAAGTGTTGGGATTACAGGCATAAACCACATGCCAATCTGTTTTTACCTTTTGGTGGTGTTCTGAAGCACAGCAGCTTTTTTTGTTATGCTTAATAAAGTCAAATTAGGCCAGGCGCAGTGGCTCATTCCTGTAATCCTAGCATTTTGTGAGGCAGAGGTGGCCAGATCACTTCAGGCCAGGAGTTTGAAACTAGCCTGAGCAACAAAGTGAGACTTCACCTCTACAAAATAAAATAAAATAATTAGCCAGGACTGGTGGCACACCTGTGGTCCCAGCTAATGAAGAGGCTGAGGTGGGAGGATTACTTGAGCCCAGGAGGTTGAGGCTGCAGTGAGCTATAATCGTGCCACTGCAGTCCAGTCTGGTTGACAGAGTAAGACCCTGTCTCAAAAAAAAAATTAAAAATAAAAATAAAGTCAAATATACCTATTTTTTTTCTATTGTTGCTTTTGCTTTTAGTGCCATCTAGGAAACCATTGCCTAATTCAGTTTTACAGTTTTGGCACTTACCTTTAGGTCTATGATCCATTTTGAGGTAATTCTTGGATATGATGCGGGATAGAGTATCTAAATTTACTCTTACAAGTGGATTTCCAATTGTTCTGGCATCATTTTGGGGGATTATTCTTTCCTCCATTGACTTGCCACCCTAGTCAAAAATTAACTCACGGAACATGTAAGGGTTATTTCTGAATCTTCCATTTTGTTCCATTGATCTAAATATCTACCCTTATGCCAGAACCACACTATCTTAATTACTGTACCTAAATTTTCAAGTTGAGAAATGTTAGTCCCCTAATTTTGTTCTTTTTCAAGGTTTCTTGTTTTGTATATTCTGGATCCCTTGCATTTCTATTTAAATTTTAGGACCAACTAGTAGTTTAATGCAGAGCGGGGAAGCAACTAAGATTTTGAAAGGGAATGTCTTGAATCTGTGGATCACTTGGGGGAGTATTGCCATCTGAACAATATCAAGTCTTCCAAATCATTAACATGGGATGTTTTGCCAATTATTTAGGTCTTTTAAAATTTCTTTCAATAATATTGGGCAGTTGTTAGTGTAAACATTTTGCACTTCTTTGTTAAATTTATTCATAAATATTTTATTCTTTTTGATACTGTTAAAATAGAATTGTTGTCTTAATTCCATTTTCAACTTGTTCATTGCTAGTGTATAGAAATAGAATTTATTGATTTTATCACATATTGATATATCGATCTTGTATTCTGCAACCTTGCTAAACTCAACAATTAGCACTAATAAATTTTTAATAAATTCCTTGAGATTTTCTGTGAACAAGATCACGTCATCTTCAAAGACAGTTTTATTTCTCTCTTGTCAGGTTGGGTACATATGTGTTTTAATTTTAAAGTCTTTCAGATGGATTGACCCTTTTATTATTATAAAATGTCTATCTTTGTCTTTAGTAACACTTTTTGTCTTGAAGTCTATTTCGTCTTCAAGAGAGCCACTCCAGTTCTCTTTTGGTTACTGTTTGCCTAGTATGTTTCCATCCTTTAACTTTCAATGAATTTGTGTCTTTGAATCTAAAGTTTGTCTCTTGTAGACAGCATAGAGCTGGATTATGTTTTTTGTCCATTTTGCCAATCTCTGCCTTTTCACTGGAGTGGTTAATACATTTCTATTAAGTAATTACAAATAAGGTAAGTTTTTATCTTCCACTTCGCTATTTATTTTCTATATATCTTCTACCATATTTGATTCCTCTGTTCATCCATTATTGCCTTATTTTATGTTAAATACATATGATATAGTATATTGTTTTAATGTCCTTGCTGTTTGTTTTACTTTTTTTTTTTTTTATTTTCTTAGTGGTTGCCCCATACATTATGATCAACATCCCAATTTAGAACAATTTAGTTCAAATTACTACCGACTTAATTTCAATAGTGTACTAAAATTTTGTTTCCATATAGCTCCATTTCTTCTCTCTCCTTTGTGAAATTTTGTCAATTAACTTGTATCTTTACACAGTGTAAGCCCATAAACACAGTTTTATAATTCTTGCTTTATGAAGTAGGTGTTTAAATAAGAGAATAAATGATTTACAAACAAAATACATTTATGCTATATTTTTATTTACCTATGTAGTACATTTACCAGTTACTCTCTAATGTCTTTTCATTTCAGCCTGAAGGACTCTCTCTTTAATAGTTCTTGTAGGGCAGGTCTGCTAGTAACAATCTCTCAGTTTTTCCTACTCTGGAAATGATTTTATTTATCCTTTATATTTGGAGAAAAGTTTCATTTAATATAGAAGTCTTGATGAATAGTCTTTCTATCATCCTTTTGAATATGTAAACAGTAGCCTTTTGATATTCTTGGGTTTTTACCAGAAGTCAACTGTTAAATCTTATGGTGGACTCTATGATTCTTTTGCTGCTTTCAAGATTTTCTCTGTCTTGATAGTTTATAATGTATCCAGGTGTGGATCAATTTGTGTTAAGTTTACTTGGAGTTTTTTAAAATTTTTGAATGTACAGGTTAACGTTTTTTATCAAGCTTGGGAAGTTTTCAGCCATTATTTTCTCAAATATACTTTCAACTTTTCTTCTCTCCTCTTCTTCTGTGATTATTACATATATTTTAGTACACTAGCGTCCCATAGATTCATTTTTATTCATTTCTTTTTTCTTTTTCTTCCCGAATCTGGATAATCTCAGTTGAACTATGTTCAGGATCACTGATTCTTTCTTCTGTCAGTTCGTATCTGCTATTAGGCAACTCTAGCAAATTTTTATTTCAATGATTGTATTTTTTCATTTTAGATCTCTATTTTTCTTTTTTATAATTTCTATCTATTCATTGAAATTCTTTATTTGGTGAAGTATTATTTTCATGCTTTAATTCTCTAAATATGTTTTTCTTTCCTTTTTTCAACTTATTAATAGTAGCTGACTTAAAGTTTTTGTATAGTAATTCCAACATCTGGAATTTTTCCTGTTTCCTTGTGTAGCTCATGCATATTTTTTGAAAACTGGACATATATATAATATAAAATGTAAATAAAATATAAAATAAAATTATAAAAATATATATATATAAAATTATATAATGTGGCTATTCTGGAAAGAAGATTCCTTCAAGATTTGTTACTCTTAAAGTTTATTGTTGTTGCTGCTGTTTGTTCAGTGACTTTTTCAAACTAATTCTGTAACATTTGTAGTCTTGGTCATGTACAGCCACTAAAGTCTCTGTTTAGAAACTCTGTGCTTAGCTAATGCTCAGACAGAGGGTTTTCTTTTCTTTTCTTTTCTTTTTTTTTTTTTTTGAGACAAGGTACAAATACAGCTCACCTCAACCTCAACTTGCTGGGCTCAGGTGATCCTCCTGCCTAGCCTCCCAAATAGGTGGGACCACAGGGGCATAATTTTTTTAATTTTTTTTTTTGACACAGGATCTCACCATGTTGTCCAGGCTGGTCTCACACTCCTAAGCTCAAGTGATCCTCCTGCCTCAGCCTCCAAAAGGGTAGGATTGTAGTCACGAGCCACCACACTCACCCCAGAGATTTTCTTAAATGACTTGAAACAATGAGTCCCCTAGGCTTCAGTAAGAAGTTCTGGAAGAGGGGAGGGCATCTACAATGCTCAGTCAGGTCATTGAGAATTCTGCCTATGCCTTCACTTCCTGCTTACACAGAAACTTCAGGTTAGTCACAGATGAGAACTCAGAACCTCCTCGGATCTTTCTGGAGCAGGTGCATAGCCCCGAACTTGCACGTGGACTTCTAGATTCCTGGGAATATGTTGGAGCTCTTCAAAACCTTCTATGCTCATATCATTCTTCAGTTTTTCCTTTTTAAATGTTTTGCTCAGCCTCTTGGTAGCCTCATCTGTTATTATCACCTCAGGTAGCTGCCACATTAAATAATTGCCACTGACTGTTTTCAACAAATAGTTTAGCAAAAGGCTATTTGTACAGAGTAAAGTCTGAGTCATATCAAAGACAAGCTGTGAGACAGGTCAAACAGTGAAAGTTTTCTGGAGATGGAACTTCTCCCCTTCAGTAGCTGCTAGGCTGCTTACATTCAGGACTACCATAATTGTGAGGCTGTTAGTTTTCAATATTACTACAGAACTGGAGAGAGTGGAATGGGACTAGGGCAAGTTAAAACATCACAACACTTATTATTCTTACCAAGATTCAGCCACCTTTCTTGAATCAACACTCTTCAAGTTACTGAAAACCTTTGATTAATTTTCAGAGTTCTGAAAAAGTTGCTTTTAACTATTTTTCCAGTACTCTTATTGCTTTTATGAGGAAGTGGTATGTATTTTTTTTAATGTCCTCACTCTACCATTCCAAAAGTGCTTTCTCACATCTTTGTATTTTAAGCTAAATAAGTTTATACCTTCAGAGTTTGTCATCATAGCATGAGTTGGGCCAAAATATAACTATGGTACTGGGCACGATGGCTCACACCTGTAATCCAAGTGCTTGAGGCCAGGAGTTTGAGAGCAGCCTGGGTAACAAAGTGAAGCCTTCATCTCTACAAAAAAAAATTTTTTTTTAATTAGCCAGATATGGAGGTGCACACCTGTAGTCCCAGCTACTTCGGAAGCTAAGCCAGGAGGATCACCTGAACCTAGGAGTTTAAGGTTACAATGAGCACTGTGATCACACCATGGCACTCCAGCCTGGACCACAGAGTGAGACCTTGTCTTTTAAAGAATAAGTTTATATATATATATAGTTTTATATATATATAGTTTTATATAGAGAGTTATATATATAGTTTTATATATTTTTATATATAGTTATATATATATATATATATGTATATATAAAACTATGGCAAGGAATTTTTTTTAAAAGCCCAAAATAGCTTTTAGTCAAACCCAGGAGTGAGTCACCTCAGAGACTGTCTTATAAAAATCACTTTGAATGCAAAAACTGAACTTCGCCAGTATGCCAATGCTGACTCTCCAAATATTTGAATTTCAACAAATATTATGAATTTCATTCTACATGCAAGCATCTGTGTTAGCTGCAATGGAAAATCCAAAGACATGATACATGAGGTCTTCTCTAAGATTTAAAGAACACACACATCCCAGAAGCTAAATTATAAGACAAAGATACACGCCTCTCATTCACCCATAGGCAACACTAACCCAGAGATACAGTAGGACCATAGTAATGCTAAAAATTTACACTCATTCCCTCTTATCTGTGATTTGCAGAAACTCCAATTCCCATCACCATAGTTTTTTCTGTTTCCACAAGCAGTCCTGAGTTCTTTAAGAGGTATCTTAAAGAGGCTGCTTAGCCCAGTGGCTGTCAGATCTAGAGTGGTTAAAGGATAATGTCCAAGCCAATCCCACTTAGAGGAGCTTTCAGGGGCTGTACAGCAAGAGCTTGGGCTCCATAAATGAAGGATCCATTTTCATCTCTTCTCCAAGCAGAAAGTGGTTCTTCTTCCCAAAAGTACTTAAACTCACTTTTCACACTCCCTCCTGTGGGCTTTGAATTCAAGCAGAGAAAGATCTTATTGCCATTTTCTATTAGGCTCAAGACTTCAGACATTATTTATCACTTAATGTCTAACATGTAAAATGGAAAAACTAATGCCTACCTACCACTTGGGGCTGTAGGAATTAAATGAGATAACATATTTACACTGTTTGGCTCACAGAAAACTTTTCATAAATGTTTATTCTTCTTCTCAAAGCACGAATCTATTCTTTTGAAAGATCACCAGGAGATGAACCTCATCCTGAGGGATCTGCAGGTATATGAAGGCAGCTCCTTTGTATTGCTCCATTTATTTATTTATTTCTTTATTTGAGACAAGGTTTTATTCTGTCACCCAGGCTGGAGCACATTGGTGCTATCACAGCTCACTGCAGCCTTGACCTCTCCTGGCTCAGGGGATCCTCCCACCTTAGCCTCCCGAGTAGCTGGGACTAGAGGTGTGCACCACCATGCCTGGCTACTTTTTTTTTTTTTTCGGTAGAGACAAGGTTTCTCCAAGCTGCCCAGGCTGGTCTCAAACTCCTGAGCTCAAGCGATCCTCCCACTACAGCCTCCCAAAGTGCTGGGATTACCAGTGTGAGCTCTGGGTCCCCGCATTGCTCTTATCTCAACTCAAGTATCACCTCCCCAGAGAGGCCTTCCCTGACCACTCATCCAAAATAAATTCTCATTTAGCTGCTCTCTTTCCCATTACTAAGATGGCCAATCAACCCAGTTTGCCTAGGACTGAGGGCTTACCTGGGACACAAGATTTTCTGTGCTAACACCAGGGCAGCCCTGGGCAAACTAGGAAAAGCTGGTCAACCTATCATCATCCTGCTTTGGTGTTTGTTTGGGGGTTTTTTGGCATAGTTTTTGCCTTATCTGATAAAATTCAGTTTACTTTTTTTGTTGTTTCCTCATTTCCTTCAAGCTAAAATGGGAACCCCTTGAGGTCCAGACTGGATCTTCTCTGTGTGGTTTACAGCTGTGTTCAGATGCCTGTAACACCACATGACACACAGTAGGCACTACATGCTGTTAATATTCATGGAAAAACTGACTGAATTGCTCATTCATTAATTGATTCATTTTCTAAAATGCTCACCTTTCTATTCTCCAAGTTTAATAACCGAAACACATAGGTGATGCCAACTTTTGTATGATACCACAATTAATAAAAAGGCATTTTGCAGGCTATGATGACTGGGTTATAAGCACTTGAACCTCTGTGGTAGGGAGAACTTCAGACAGCTGTGTTCTTTTTCTTCTGATCCCAAACAATATAATTAAAAAGGATTCACTGAAATGTAGACGTTTCTACCATTTACCCTGGAATGTTGGCTCTACCAAATATAACCCAGTCTGTAAATACAAGATTAGTGTCTGTGAAAAGAAAGCTCTCCTTCTACAAAACGGCATTCAAAGGAAAATCTCCACCTTTTCTTCTTCTTACAGAAGCAGGAGCATTACTCATAAGACCCATAAATACTTTAAATATTCCACAAGGATATAAGAGCTACAAATGTTAAAACAATCTGAGACCGCATCTTTGGACTCTACAATGAGCCAGATAAAGATGGTGCCCTTTTCTCCACTATCAGTTTACTACATAAATGAGAAGACATAAAGTAGTTTTAGATTTAATTAAAGTAATTGACTGGATTGCATTTTGTAGTCCTGATCGTCATTAACATTCTTGACCTCTCTGTCACACAGATGTGCCGGAGAATTTTTCCGATGGATATTTATTATGAATATTATCATCAATAAGCACCATCAACATATTAAAATTAATTTTAACTTCTTTATGGAAGACTGAAAGCACAACCAGCTTTTGAAACCATCCGCTCTAAATCATTTTTTATCGATTCAACATGACTAAACCTCAACTACAACTAATAGGGAATTTTATGTGTGTGTAGGCAAGTTTCTATATATATAAAATATTTAATGTTATTTCATCTCTAACTCTGGTTACATTAATCACGTAACCATATTTTCCAGAGCCTAAGGATTCACTTGCTATTTTAAGCACTTACTGTGCACTCCTCACGCTGGCTGGCTTGTTTCATGTCCACATGGTTACGCAGCGACACATGGACATTTGGTCTTATTTTGACTGCTCGCAAAGGGCTTAATAAAAGACAGGCTTTGGTGCATCAAAAGAACTTAGCCCACAGGTGTTCTGAGCTGGGCTAACTTGTATGTAGAACAAACAATTAAGCTCTGGAATTTGAGACTCTAAATTGTATCAGTGGAGCACCTGTTCTGAAGAGAGGAAAACACCTTTCATTACATTACCCGAGGGCATGACAGGCTCTGGGCTGTGTAGAGTTACAGCAGATCCTATTCTGGCATGCTAGCTGAGATGCTGCCACTCCTTCTGTTAATGCTGCCAAGGACTTCGAGTTGAACATTTTTAGAGAATACCTCCGTCTCTCTCTCCATCTCCATTTCCATCCATGTGCCTCTCCATATCCCCTTCCACATGTACCACTTTACTGAGCACCTACTACAAGCCAGACAAAGTGCTAAAGATTTTAAACATGGTACATGTAATCCCTCCCAATCACCCTGCAAGGCTTAGTACCGAAAGTCATGTCAGTTTTAGTGGGGAAGTCAGGATTCAAAGCCAGGTGGGTTGGACACCAGAACCTGTAGTCTTGATCATCATGCTATCTGGTGGGCAGCCTCCAGGTTTTCACAGGCTCCGGGGTGTCTTCTGGCCTCCTTTCTGGCCCCTCCTTCAGGTCTTAGATCTTCAGCCTTCCTACGTCTCTATTTTCGGTCCTCTTCTTTCTCACTCTAAGGAGCTCCCTGATAATTCCATGCACTCCCATCATGGCCCCAGTCACCATCCATGAGCCACCAGCTTTAAAACCTCTCCAGGGGCTGGGCGCAGAGGCCCACGCCTGTAATCCCAGCACTCTGGGAGGCTGAGGCAGGTGAATCACCTGAGGTCAGGAGTTCGAGACCAGCCTGGCCAACATGACAAAAACCCGTCTCTACTAAAAATACAAAAATTAGCCGGGCATGGTGGTGCACACCTGTAATCCCAGCTACTCAGGAGGCGAAGGCAGGAGAATCACTTGAACCCAGGAAGTGGAGGTTGCGGTGAGCTGAGATGGCGCCATTGCACGCCAGCCTGGGCAACAAGAGAGAAACTCCGTCAAAAAATAAATAAATAAAAATAAAAAATAAAAAAATAACCTCTCCAGGGAGGTTTTACTTCAACTGACTGCTCCCATCTGCATTGGAGAGACTCTCTCTTGGACCGCCCCAACATTGCCCTTCCAGAACTGACCTAAGTGAGCATCTTTCTCAGCAAGCCTGCTCCTCTTCCAGCATGGCCACCCTGGAAACAACAGCACCCATCAGTCACCTGAGCTCCTCCCTCTTCCTCTTCCTCTGGATCTACTTCACTCCCTCAACCCATTCTCCACCTGGCACTGCCAGAGTAATCTTCCAAAAACACAAATGTAGTGCCTCTCCTTCAAACCCACCAATGGCTTTTGAATTCCTTTGCAGATAAAAGACTTGTTGACTTGGCCACAAAATCTGGCATGTTTTTTAGCGAGCTTCAAACCACTCTTTTTCTTTATCTCAGCTGCCTTCTCTTCCCTATCAGGCGACATGATCCTTTACCTTTTGAGAATTTCCTTAGCCCAAGTACTTCCCAGATTCTTCTTCACATCTGTGCTCAAATGTCATTGTAACAGAAAGGATTTCCCTGACTTTCCCAACTCTCTGTCTTCCATGTCCTACTTTAATTTTTTCACGTCACTTACTACCATTTGTTATATAATATATTAGTTCATTCCCTTGTTTGATTTCTTTCTTCTCCCATCAGAATTCAGCTCCATTACAACAGGGTTGTCTGTATTTTGTATACTGTTGTATAACAACTGCATATAACTGTGCCCGGTAAATAGTAGGCACTCGATAAACGTTTAGTAAATAAACAGAAGTTCTTTTTCCTTGATTCATATATATTTATCATGTAAAATATAAAAGGACTCGACATTTTATTTTGCTGAACTATCTTAGTATAAACAATCACATGGATTCAAGTGAAATTTAACCTAAATTAACTAAAGGGCTGAATCTGCCCAGCCACTGACTTACACCTGCATGTCCCCTGATGTCCAGGTCAGGTATACCAGGTGGACACGCTAGCCACAGGCAGGGGCCAAGTACCTCTTCATGCAAGATACAGCACTTGGCCAGGTGC
This sequence comes from Homo sapiens, assembly GCF_000001405.40. Lineage (NCBI taxonomy): Eukaryota > Metazoa > Chordata > Mammalia > Primates > Hominidae > Homo > Homo sapiens. The sequence continues at coordinate 96,202,730 of NC_000015.10, forward strand.
AGTGGCTCACGCCTGTAATCCCAGCACTTTGGGAGGCTGAGGCAGGCAGATCACTTGAGGCCAGGAGTTCAAGACCAGCCTGGCCAACATGGTAAAACCCTGTCTCTACTAAAAAAATTAAAACAAATTTTAAAAATTAACTGGCCATGGTGGTGCATGCCTGTAAGTCCAGCCACTCGGGAAGCTGAGGCAGGAGAATCACTTGAACCCAGGAGGCGGAGGTTGCAGTGAGCCAGGATAGCACCACTGCACTCCAGAGTGAGACTCTGTCTCCAGAAAAAAAAAAAAAAAGACACAGCACTTATATTGAACCAGAAGTCAGAATGCTTTGGACTATGTGTTTGCTTGTGAAATTCACTATTACAATCTGGATGGACCAGAAAATGCAGGGAATGTGGCAGTCACAGCAACAGGCTTTCTCTCTCTGGGAGGAAGACCATTCTTTGCTAGACAATGGATACATCTAACATACCTCTCTCTGCCTTTGCAAAGAGAGAGGGAGCCTCTTTGGATGCCAAAATATTTGGAATATTGAGGAATTTTGATTGCCCAGAATATTGGGCATGTACAGTCATTATAACAAAAAAGGGACCTTTTTGTGTCGCATTCTTAGCCACTGATGTGATAATAATGACAGCAGCTGACATGTATGATTGCTTCCAATACATTAGACACTGTACATAGTCTCATTTACTCTTCGCAACACCTCTAAGAGGTAGGGAGTTCATTGTCCCCATTTTACAGATATAAGAAAGCTAAAACTTAGTGAAGTTGGGTAATTCGCCCAAAGTCATGCAGCTGGTTAACCAAAATGTGACTGAAATAACTGTCTTGATCCAAAGCTCATGTTTCTTCACAATTCTGCCTTCCAACCTAAAAATTAGAACCATCAATCCCTTCAAGAAATTTTAAAGCTGGTTTTTGCATAGTAAAGATGAAAAGAATGCCATTATAAACATAAATGGTGAAAGGAACACCAGAAAGTAGTAGTAAAGGAACACCAAATAGCCCAGCTAAAAAAAAGTGCTTCAAGAGTTAGAGGAAAAGCAATGTCAGTCTGAGTTAGGATCATCAGAGTGGGCTTCATAAAGCAGGTGACATCTCTGTTGGATGAGCTTGAAAAGATAGAGGGGATAATGACGATTTTTCCCAAAAGGAGAATCCAAAAGGCCATCCAAACTGGGCATCAGAAAGGGAGAAACAGCATAAACAGAGCCATGGCAAGAGAAGTTCAAAGAGGTTAAACTGGGGCAGTGTTTTCCAAACTGTTCAACAAGGTAACCATGGTTAGGTGCAGAAAAGGGTTTAACATTGATCATGCTTGGTAAGTGTTGAGTTAATCACATTTTTGCAGGACTTCTTGGAGCCTTTAGTGAGGCTAAGTACATTAAGTGCCTCATGAAGAGTGAGGATATTATACATTGGGTTTGTTTTCCTGATGTATTTGACTAATAGACTCCCCTGCCTCTTTTGCTTTGATTTGTTTTTTGTTTTTTTTGTTTTGAGATGGAGTCTCGTTCTGTCGCCCAGGCTTGAGTGCAGTGGCATGATCTTGGCTCACTGTAACCTCTGCCTCCCACGTTCGAGAGATTCTTGTGCTTCAGCCTCCAGTCCTTCAGCTGGGACTATAGGCCTGCACCACCACGCCCACCTAATTTTTTATATATTTTTTAGTAGAGACAGGGTTTCACCATGTTGGCCAGGCTGGTCTCAAACCCCTGACCTCATGTGATCCACCTGCCTCGGCCTCCCAAAGTGCTGGGATTACAGGTGTGAGCTATCAAACTAAGCCAATTTTTTTTAATGGAGAAACTGTGAACATCTCATTAAACTGGCAATCCACTGAACGAGTTTAAGAAGTGATGTTTTAATAAAGGGTATTCAATTAGGAAAAGAGGAAGTCAAATTGTCCCTGTTTGCAGATGACATGATTGTATATCTAGAAATCCCCATCGTCTCAGCCCAAAATCTCCTTAAGCTGATAAGCAACTCCAGCAAAGTCTCAGGATACAAAATCAATGTGCAAAAATCACAAGCATTCTTACACACCAATAACAAACAGAGAGCCAAATCATGAGTGAACTCCCATTCACAATTGCTTCAAAGAGAATAAAATACCTGGGAATCCAACTTACAAGGGATGTGAAGGACCTCTTCAAGGAGAACTACAAACCAACCACTGCTCAACAAAATAAAAGAGGACACAAAAAAATGGAAGAACATTCTATGCTCATGGATAGGAAGAATCAATATTGTGAAAATGGCCATACTGCCCAAAGTAATTTATAGATTCAATGCCATCCCCATCAAGCTACCAATGACTTTCTTCACAGAATTGGAAAAAACTACTTTAAAGTTCATATGGAACCAAAAAAGAGCCCGCATTGCCAAGTCAATCCTAAGCCAAAGAACAAAGCTGGAGGCATCATGCTACCTGACTTCAAACTATACTACAAGGCTACAGTAACCAAAACAGCATGGTACTGGTACCAAAAACAGAGATATAGACCAATGGAACAGAACAGAGCCCTCAGAAATAATACCACACACCTACAACTATCTGATCTTTGACAAACTTAACAAAAACAAGAAATGGGGAAAGGATTCCCTATTTAACAAATGGTGCTGGGAAAACTGGCTAGCCATATGGAGAAAGCTGAAACGGGATCCCTTCCTTACACCTTATACAAAAATTAATTCAAGATGGATTAAAGACTTAAATGTTAGACCTAAAACCATAAAAACCCTAGAAGAAAACCTAGGCAATACCATTCAGGACATAGGCATGGGCAAGAACTTCATGTCTAAAAGCAATGGCAACAAAAGCCAAAATTGACCAATGGGATCTAATTAAACTAAAGAGCTTCTGCACAGCAAAAGAAACTACAATCAGAGTGAACAGGCAACCTACAGAATGGCAGAAAATTTTTGCAATCTACTCATCTGACAAAAGGCTAATATCCAGAATCTATAAAGAACTCAAAGAAATGTACAAGAAAAAAACAAACAACCCTATCAAAAAATGGGTGAAGTATATGAACAGACACTTCTCAAAAGAAGACATTTATGCAGCCAACAGACACATGAAAAAATGCTCATCATCACTGGCCATCAGAGAAATGCAAATCAAAACCACTATGAGATACCATCTCACACCAGTTAGAATGGCGATCATTAAAAAGTCAGGACACAACAGGTGCTGGAGAGGATGTGGAGAAATAGGAACACTTTTACACTGTTGGTGGGACTGTAAAGTAGTTCAACCATTGTGGAAAACAGTGTGGCGATTCCTCAGGGATCTAGAACTGGAAATACCATTTGACCCAGCCATCCCATTACTGGGTATATACCCAAAAGAATATACATCATGCTCCTATAAAGACACATGCACACGTATGTTTATTGCGGCACTACTCACAATAGCAAAGACTTGGAACCAACCCAAATGTCCAACAATGATAGACTGGATTAAGAAAATGTGGCACATATACACCATGGAATACTATGCAGCCATAAAAAAGGATGAGTTCATGTCCTTTGTAGAGACATGGATGAAGCTGGAAACCATCATTCTCAGCAAACTATTGCAAAGACAAAAAATCAAACACTGCACGTTCTCACTCAGAGGTGGGAATTGAACAATGAGAACTTTTGGACACAGGAAGGGGAACATCACACACCGGGGCCTGTTGTGGAGTGGGGGGGAGGGGGGAGAGAGAGCATTAGGAGATATACCTAATGTTAAATGATGAGTTAATGGGTACAGCACACCAACATGGCACATGTATACATATGTAACAAACCTGCACGTTGTGCACATGTACCCTAGAACTTAAAGTATTTTATATATAGAGAGAGAGAGAGAGAAAAAAAAAAGAAGTGATGCTTTGCAAACTTTATGGCCAATAACACATAGAAGACCAACAGGAACCATTCCATGGATGACCTGGGTTGCTCTGGTAAGATGCTCTGGCACTGTGGCCCTAGGGCCCTGGTGGAGGTTCTGGATAGGGCCATGCCATGAGCAATTGTTTGAGAAAATTTTTCTGGCAGGAAAGGCAAGCATCAGACCCAGGCCAACTAATGAAGCTACTGTGCGATCCAGTGGTAAGGTGGTGAGTGTCCGAACTAAACTGGAAAACATGGTCTCTTCATCCTTCTCCACTTCTGCAGTTCATCAACACAACAGCTTTCACGCCCTAGTCAATTTTCTGAGGTCATTAGAAAACTGCATCTACATGGTCAGCGGGGAGAAATTGGGCATCAAAAAAATCCCATGAAGATGCAGGAGGAAAAAAAAATCCTAGAAGCTAGTCTGACTGATCATATAATTTCCCTGCTTAAAAGTTCTCAATGTGGGAGGCCGAGGCAGGCAGATCACTTGAGGTCCGGTGTTCAAAACCAGCCTGGCCAGCATAGCAAACCCTGTCTCTACTAAAAAAAAGTACAAAAATTAGCAAGGCATGGTGGCATGAGCCTATAGTCCCAGCTACACGGGAGGCTGAGGCAGGAGAATCACTTGAACCCAGGAGGTGGAGGTTGCAGTGAGCTGAGATCGCACCACTGCACTCCAGCCTGAGCGACAGAGCGAGACTCCACTTCAAAATAAAATGAAAAAAAAATTTTTTTAAGTATTCAATGGGTCCTCCTTTCCTTTAATATTAAAAATAAAATAGTTTCCCTGCCCTCCAGGGGCCTGTATGGCCTGGCCATTGTCCACCTCTTCTCTGCACCTCTCACTCTGCTCACATTCCCACTGTATCCAAGTCCTTGGGCACTTCATTTGACTGTAAGCTCCATGAGGTCAGGGGGCTGTCTGCTTTTGTTTATCTCATAACTAGCACATAGTAGGAGTTCAATAAATATTTTTAAGGGAATGGGTGGATGGACAGCTTATTTGCAGGAACAGATGTGATTTGTTTTATAATGCTTTCTAGCAGATTCCACCGAAGTCCAGTCCAATCCCCCAATAACAAGATTAACAAGTTTTAAAATAAAACTTAGCAACTATGCATGTAGCCCTGTTTGACTTTATATCTCACATGACCTCTCCTGTTTCTGTGAATCAGAGCTTCCAGCTGGCTGGGATTCTATCTGTCATTTCTCAGCAGGCAGAAACCCAAAGGCCACAATCTCTGGTTGCTTTATTCTTTTTCCTCTTCACAGATCACCTCAGGGGAGACACCATCTACTATCTTCCTCACAAAACTTCAGCGTCTTGAATTACCTTCCTGACTGCAAACACCTGATTCATCCATTTCTTCCTGGAACTCTTAACTTAGCCAAAATTTTAGGTTGTATTCAATTAGGAAAAATCATACAAAATACCTATTCCCACTCAATTCTAGATTAATCGAAATCTTCCTGTTGAGTTGGTTATGCAGGTAAAACTACACCACCGGCTTTGGATATTTAAAAAAAAAAAAAACACTCGAGATAGTCAAAGCCTTCCATATCTAGCCTAAACTACCATTTTCTTCTCATTTCCCACAATATCCACCAATAAATTTACAGTTCAGCCACTGTAATTTCTTTTTGTTTTTGTTAAAACAGAGTCTTGCTCTGTCGCCCAGGCTTGAGTACAGTGGCATGATCTCTGCTCACTGCAACGTCTGCCTCCGGGTTCAATTCTTGTGCCTCAGCCTCCCAAGTAGCTGGGATTACAGGTGTGCATCACCACGCCCGGCTAATTTTTGTATTTTTAGTAGAGACGGGGTTTTGCCATGTTGGCCAGGCTGGTCTTGAATTCCTGGCCTCAAGTGATCCGCCCACTTCAGCCTCCCAAAGTGCTGAGATTACAGGCGTAAGACATCATGCCTGGCCCTAGCCACTATAATTTCTAATCGATTTCAATATTTAGAACTGAAGATTATTTTATTTGTACTGCTGTTTTCCATTTGCCAAACTCTTTTATCACCTTATGGGGCTGCTTGTGAACTTCTCTTCTTCCTTAGGCCAGGCAATTCAATGTTTCAAACTGAGTAGGGCTTTCAGACACTGATTTTTATCTTAAAATGGGAGTCGAGAGCATTTTATTCCTTTATTTATTTTTTCTTTGAGACAGGGTCTTGCTCAGTTGCCCAGGCTGGAATGCAGTGGCTTGATCTCAGCTCACTGCAACCTCCACCTTCCAGGCTCAAGCGATCCTCCCACCTCAGGTTCTTGAGTAGCTAGGACTACAGGCACATGCTGCCATTATATTTATTATACATATTAAATATATATAATATATTATAATTATATATACAAATTAAATATTTTACATATATATATATGAGAGATGGGGTTTCACTCTGTTGTCCAGGCTGGTCTCAAACTGTGGGGCTCAAGCAATGCACCCACCTCAGCCTTACAAAGTTCTGGAATTACAGGCCTGAGCCACTGCACCTGGCCTTATTGTCACTTTTTCTAAAACATATTTGTGAGAAAGACAAATGGACGCTTTAAGACTCCTTGAGAAATCAATTGAACCCCTGTTATGCCAGATGAGCCCAAGGACATAGTTTTGAAGCCTGGATCTGAGCACTGTGCTGGACCTGGAAACACTTCACTGCTTTCCTTGAGAAGGCAATCTCTCCAATGACTGAGCCCCAGGCACATCCAGGAGGCTTCATAGCACAACACCAACAGCTAGCAAAGGTTGCCCTGCAACTTTAGGTTAGCACTAAGGCCAGAAGTGGGAAGAGGTTGTCGCCAAACACCTTCAGCCATCTGAGCAGCTCTTTCAACTTGGTTTGTGCTGCTTTGTCCTGGGGACTGTCTAAAATGAAGGACCTCTTTGGCTGCCCTCTGCTTTCCCTCTGACTCGCTGAAACACCCGGAATGTTCTCCGAGACGCCTGGAGGTAAATTAAAAGTTCCATTCGTTTATGTATGCCGCCCGTCAGCACTCAGTCAACATCAGCACATACCTTTGGACATTGCCCAGATAAGTTGTATTTGATCTGGTGACCTAAAGGTGAATTGTAGGTTATACTTAATTACACTCATGAGCCAAGTCCAAGTCAGTAACAAACCTTTCTATTTCACTCCGAAATACCGTGAAACCCCTTAAGGGAGTCCACTGATTATACCAAAGAGGTTTGTATGAACCAACTAGGGTAAATAATTAGACTGTATTTTTAATTAATATTGCAATGCCTTCCAGCACAACGATATTTAAGATGATGACAGTATTGGAGATAAGTAGAGAAACAGTCTTGCGTTTAAATCAGGAAGAATGAAGGAAGTTTTGTCAGATTGACAAAAATACCCTATAATTCTAGCAATTTTGTGTCAAAAGTTTCCAGTGTGTTTAAAGGAAGTTTTCAATTTAGTAAATGCTCTGTTTGCCATGGTGAAGATATACAGAAAAATAAATACAGAGAAAACGAAAGGCAGGTAGTATGCATTTTTTTAGTCATGTGAACTTTATGGGAATAATAACAATTAACACAGATTTCATAATGGGCACCATTTCAATTTTTGTTTCATTAAGCTTCGTAAAAAATATAGGCTTTTGAAAAAAGCCAGTTCAATTAAAGCATGAACTTTTCATTATTTTTTAACACATTTTACCTATTTTTAATTGATAGAAGTGTTACATATTTTGCCAAGCTAGGAGTTTTTCACACTTCTTTAATTCAAACCAGCTTGATTTTTGCAATTCAAATAGACACATTATTATTTGGTATTACCTGGAAACCAAATAAAGTAACAGTAAAACTTATTAAATAGATCACAATGCATACATTATTTCCTAAAGAAATTTATTTTATTATACTTTCAGAATGAAGTAAATCTTTTTTTTTTTTTGTTTAACCCTAGCTAAACCTCATAACTCCTTAATGAGAAAGACACTAATAATCTACAAATAATATTTTACAAATGAAAAAACCCAAGCACTAAAAAGTTATGTATCTTGCCCTAGGTCACATAGCAAGTGAAAGGTCAGAATCTTAACACTGCTATTCTGACCACTTGTAATACCTTCTCTAGGCTTAAGATAATAAACAAATTAAGCAAGGGATATGTCTTTTTATTTTTCCCTTTTTTGTTTGTTTGTTTGCTTGCTTGCTTTTTCTTTACGTAGTATTGCTGTGCTAGGCACATGTTAGTATCTCAACGAATAATTTGTATTCAGCTTTCTATTAAGCACAGCTCTCTACAACCTGCATTGTTAAACATTTATAGTCAACAACATGATGTTAATTATGACGACCTGAAGACATTGCAAGATAATAGAGTCACTTGAAGCATCAAAGAAAGATAAAAATATGTTCATCTGTGCCCTGAACTGCAGATTATTGATAGGGACCAGAGCCAGGGAAACTCTGGGCAGAAGAGGGCAGGTCCCCGGCCCCACCTTCAAGCTGAAAAGCCTAATACTGCAGCCAAAAGTGGGAGTAAAAATCCCTGTTGTCCCTCTTGAATGTTGCCTCTCCCAAAACCACCCATGGCCCACCCCGTCCCCCATCCTGTGACCATAAAAACCCCAGGCTCAGCCAGCAGAGAGAGGAAAAGAAGCTGGATGAGGAAAAACTATGGTTGGACACTGGAGAGAAGCAGCTTGACTTCAGAGGGACAGCTTGACAGTGTAGCCTTGGAAGGAGTCCAGCTGGAGATGACCAGACTCCAGGGGAAGTTCACCTTCCTGCTCTTTCCCCTTTTCAGCTCCCCTTCCAGCCACTTTCACCAACAAAATCCCCCACATTTACCATCACCAATTCATTCATGCGACCTCATTACTACAGGATACCAGACAAGAATTCAGATGCCACGAGTGCAGGTGCAAAAGGCTGTCACACTGACCCTCCACTGAGCTGTTAACACTTAAGTGATCCACAGACAGGAAAGCTAAAGGAGCACTGTGGCACTCCTTCTGAAGCTTTAGAGGTAGTGGGCACTCCCCTAGATGCTGCTGAAGGGCCTGCACAAAGTTTAGCTCCTGCCAGTGCCCAAAAGCACTCTCCCTGGCTCCTGCACCCACTCACCTGTTCTCCCCCCGCTCCCACAAGGGGTGAAACACAGCAGGACCAAGAGAGTGGAGTCCACCCGTGCCAGCACCAAAGTGGCCAGCTAGTTCTAGCACCCATGCACTCCAGTTCCCACCCATGAAGAGGTCAGGGAAATACCTTGCTTCATTAGTATCACCAGTTGCTGGCTATGAGTTGACCATCTTTATCCGTATGTCCCAAATTAAATTGTTTTTCATCTTCTACCCAACACTTCTCTGTCCAAGCTTCCCAGCTAGAAACTTGGGATTCACCTTCAACTATTTTATTCTCTCATTCACCATCCTTGTGGTTATGGAGTATCCATTCTACCTCCTAAGTATCTCTCAATTCTATCTCTTCCCTCACATTTTCACTGCCCTAATTCTGAGCCTCATTTTCTTGTGCCTAGAAAATTTTAACAGCCTCATTATAGGTTGCCTTGGGTCTAGTTTCTCATCCTTGGCGTTTTCCTTCCCAGGTGCTCAGTGTTACCTTTCTGAAATAGAAATCACTCACTTTCTAAAGACTGCTGGCAGCTGCCTCTACCCTAAAGCAGCCTTTTCTATGCTGAGATCCATGAAACCCTGTGAGCACTATGAAAAGGGAAAGACAAATAGGTACAGGGCAAGCTCTTGAAAATTTATGATGCAGAGTAGCATATTAAAGACTCTGAGAAGTCCTGCCGGAAAGTTAACCCCAGGTAACTGGCCTACCCCAGTGTTTGCCACATTACTTGGCCTCAGAAGCTCCTTGTATTTCCAGACAACACCAATCAACACCTCGAGGAACCAGTATTCTTCTAAGCATAGTTTGAGAAAACACTATGCTACAAGATAAATTAAATGTAGTACCAGCTCTTCTCCATGGAGCACAGCCTTCCTAAACCAATTACACCATGTTTATTGCTATTTAAAAGGCAAAAGCATACTCTTGTTTTGCCAAGTTAAGTAGGAAGTTCCTTCAAAATAGGATACATTTCCCCCAACTTTTTCATCCAAGGAACTTTTACTAATAACTTCAAGTCCCAGCCCCAGTGTTACTACCTGTCCAACACCTTCCTCAAGTCATTCTTGGTGCTTGCTGCCCATCAGCTCTTTAATTTTGCAGGCGTCTGTTCGTAAGTCCACCTTCCCTACAAGAATATTAGGCCCTTTTGTCTTTGGAACTGTAACGCCTAGCACAATTCCCAGCATTTAGTAGACACTCAACAAAGCTGGTAGAAGGTATAGTTTATTGTATTCTAACATAATAGCTTACAGGTAGTTGGTGTTGATGCATATTCATATAAAATTTCTCCAGAGAGGTAGAAGTGATTAAAAGAACATATAACCCCTTTTCTCACTGCAGCTGAGATAAATGGGGTTTTCCAGAGGGAGATGTGCATGTGGCCCTGCTCTGTCTCAGGAGGCAGATGCCTTTGGCTAACCCATCTGGTTGTTAGGTGATTGCTTTCCAACATCAGCTTTGTGCATACCTTCCTGCATCTGTACTTCCCTAGAAGGCAATTGTCTCCAAAAGAGGAAGAGATCATTTTCAGCCACAGATATGATGAGGCAGTGAAAGACACTGGTGTGCCTCAAAGTATGGTCCTGGACACCCACTGAGTGACAATCCATGCCCAGATGTTTATGGTGCCCCGTGGCCCCCAGGCTTATAAGCACTTCCTTTCTACTCACTGATAGGACAAGGTCTACTGAGAAACAGTTATTAGCTGTACGTAGCACTGAAGAAATTAATTTTCAAAGCGTTGCATCCAAAATTTGTCAATGATGAGGTAGATCTGTAAATGACTCTGCCCCTCTCCAGCTAGCAAGCTATTTCACCTCTTTACACCACATTTTCCTCATCTGTAAGATGAGGATAAATGAGACAGCATTCGAAAACATTCAACACCTTGTTTGACACATAGCAGGCAATCAATAAAAGTGTATTGCATTTGATTCTGATTTCTACTGAATTTTATAGTGTATAAAAATAAAAAGAGAAACTACTTATATAAAATTAATAACCAACTCAAAAAACTGTTACTAAGTATATTTTGGACAGATCTATTTGTCTTTGCCATTGTCAGTGTTAAATTAAAATTAAAACACACTCTAAAAAGCCTCCTAATTCAGCAGAACAGCATTCAGAGTTATGCATCTGAGCCATACATTTTAATGCTGACTGACTCAATTATCACCCAAGGTCTAGCAATTTGAGACCTCAATGTCATTAAGGTAAAGTCCGGAAAAGACATGTTGCATCAGTGGTATGGTTCTGTTATAGGAGAGTCGGAGATCCTGCTTAGAACTGAGTAGAATGCAAACATTTCTTTTGTAAGGTTGGAACCTTTCCCCTATTATTTTGTAAGGGAGTAAAATGCATGAGGCAATTTAAACACGCCAGGCAGGGAACGTTCCACAGCTCCCACTGGGTATGGGCCAAGTCATACACAATGAAGTCCTGAGCCACCATGGGGTAAAGGCACCAGCTCTCAGGAACATGGGTCTCCCTAGCACTGGAGTTAATGAGGCCATTGGTTCACTTATTTTCCTTTCCAGATATTATCATGATCAATTTGCATGATGATTATGGAAAAATTAAAACACTATTCCCAAAGATCAAGTTAATAAAGGCCTTTGAGACTTTAAGCTTCTTCGAGGAGAACAGTAGATTGTTCTCCAAAAGGGGGGAAATAATTTGAGATAAACTATAGTTTAGTTCAATGCACCAAGGCTGACTTCTTCCCCCCGCCAACTTTTTTTTACTGGTAGCATCTTCCCCACTCTTGAGAACCTCTCTCCCTTAAGAGCATGTAATGAATTTAATACAAACTCAAGGGGAAATAAAATGAGCAGAGGGGACCAAAAAAGAGTCAAAATGAAGGGAAAAGAACATGAATTTGTGAAATAGTCCTGTGGTTGAAAAGCCATGTGGCCCTTGTTCTGCCCAGTGACAGATTCTACACTTTCTAGATTCAAATTGAATATCATTTCTCCTTCCATATGTCAAGCCAGGCTAAGAGATGAAGGACTTCAGCAACCCCTCCTTAGGAGGGACAAATCTCATCCCTAGCATCTGACTCAAGGCAGTTGCTTCATTTCCAGGGAAATTCTTGTTTTCAGTTTGCACTTTACCCACTTCACCCTCCTTTTTTCAGATGGGGTCGTGCTCTGTTGCCCAGGCTGGGGTGCAGTGGTGTGATCTCAGCTCACTGCAACCTCTCTGCCTCCCGAGCTCAAGAGATCCTCCCATCTCAGCCTCCTGAGTAGCTGGCCACAGGTGCATGCCACCATGCCCCATAAATTTTTGGATTTTTGGTAGAGACAAGGTTTCGCCATGTTGCCCACATTGGTCTTGAATTCCTGAGCTCAAGAGATCTGCCCTCCTCGGCCTCCCAAAGTGCTGGGATTACAGGCATGAGCCACCATCCATGTCCAGCCCCACTTTTTAAACATAAAAGCAGATACTGCTGGTTTTTTTTTTCTGCATGGACATTTCTACTCTCTGCTTCTTAGAAAAAGCAGTTAATCACTTTGGAAGTTGGTTTGGAGGGTAAAATCTATGAAAACAACTTACATTCCACCTCCTTCTGAGAGTTTCCTCTTTGCAGGTGAAGTGGTCAAAAGCCCAGTAGATCAAGGGGGAGAAGTGGCAAGTAAACAAGATCTGCATTCTAAAGATTTCCCTATGATACTACCACAAAATGGGACAAACAAAAGTCCAAAACAGAAGACTGTACAGCTCTTCCATTTATTAAGGATTTTACTTTTACCATCGAGACCACCTTTAAAGAATAAGAAGAAGGCAAAATAGTTCAAACCAATATTCTATACCACAGCTAACATTTTCTGTGAGCTTTTCTTGGTTTCTGTATTTCAGCTACCTTATCTAATCCTGGGGAATCCCACACATGTAAAAATGTAAATATCCTTTTAAATTTTTTGTAGAGATAGGGTCTCACTATGTTGCCCAAGCTGGTCTTGAACTCCGGGCCTCAAGTGATCCTCCCACCTCAGGCTCCCAAAGTGCTGGGATTACAGGTGTGAACCACTGAGTCCAGTCTAAATATCCTTCTTTAATTATTTGTCCTGCCTCAGTTTCTCCAAGCTTTTCTCATAACTGTAGTCCATGGGCCCTCCAATCACTTAAAAAACACACAAAACCCTTAATGGTTTATAGCCAGCAAAGCCAGAAGGAATGAAATACTGTATTCTTTCTCATGATGGACTCAAAGAAGAAACATTTAAGAACACAAAAGAATACTGTTGCAGTGACTTTTTACATTTTACCCATAATTTCTCTATTATGTTTTTCCAATGACTAAAGTAATCTCTTTGAAAACATAATGCCATCATTTTCTGCACAACAGTGACTGTAATAAATTGAGTTGGAAAACATTTACTGACTATGCACTTCGGGCTTAGCTGTGCTAAGGGCTCACAGGGCCACCACAAACAGTGGTGTAGATTGTGCCCAGACATGGGAGCCCGGTTGAAGGGGCAGCTGAAAACCACCATGTTGTCCTCCCACCGAAGCCACCATTACTGACTACAGCAGCCTGGAGAAAGGGTGGCTTTTTTGTTATCCATCTGTCTCAAGGGGCACAGTTTCCTGCTAACCTTTTGTGACAAAGGAAGCTCACGGAATAAGAATACAAGGAGCTTATAATCTAATGGAAGATAATTTCAGTGAAGGGCCACATAAATTACCTGAAGTTCCGTCTTTTTGAGACGAAAGGCAAACAGTTGAGTGATCCTCACTACTCCCTTTATAGTTTCTGTATCTGACCAACTTTTTGGTGGCCACACTTTGGTGGCCCCACTGTGTGATGTTCCCTTTCCTGTGTCCAAGTGTTCTCATTGTTCAATTCCCACCTATGAGTGAGAACATGTGGTGTTTGGTTTTTTGTCCTTGCGGTAGTTTGCTGAGAATGATGGTTTCCAGCTTCATCCATGTCCCTACAAAGGACATGAACTCATCATTTTTTATGGCTGCATAGTATTCCATGGTGCATATGTGCCACATTTTCTTCACCCAGTCTATCATTGTTGGACATTTGGGTTGGTTCCAAGTCTTTGCTATTGTGAGTAGTGCCACAAATCAGAGAGTGATTCTCTTTACCATCCCTTCTGCCTCCTCATTTTTAATCAAAATCATGAAATGTACTTCCCATATTGTAGAGAGTAAATGAGAACTGGAGGAGCCCTATGAAGCACTGTGCGTTGGACAAACTCAGAACAGATGGGCTCCTAAACCTTCTTTCCCATACCTACTATGGGTCAAGTACAAGGGCACTGTCCTTCTCAATCCTCAACTCTATGGGGCAGGTCCTGAGCTCCTTTGTCCAGTTCAGGGAAATGAGGCTCAGAGACATGAACACACTTGCCTCAGGCTACCCAGCAGCTAATAAGTGACCCCAGGACACCATGTCCTCCCTGGACACTAAAGTGGTTTCTTTCCAGAGGAAGGAAAATGGGGACTGGAGTAGGGAGCCTGTGTATTCAGCATTCTTCTCTAATGCCCAGCTCAGCTCTTGGCACAGGGCACTGATACTTGTTGAACTGAACTCAAGAAGGAAAGTTGGAGAACAACCCATTCTTGAGCAGGCACCTCAGATGAGACAAGTGAGGGGGTGCTCTCTCTCGGGTGGCCTCACTTGCTTTACCCTTGTCCCTTAACTGCTCTCATGTGAGCTGCCCTGCTCTCCCTTTCTTCCACCCCATTTTCCATCAACCCTCTGGGGCTTAGGGTCTTTTGTTTCCAAGTCTCATGGATAGGCAGAAGTTCAAACTGCTCCCCACAGTCTCCACTCTCACCTTCCCACTGGCCTTTCTCCAGGTTTACTGCCGCACCTGCACCAAGAGGCACGAAACCCCTCAAGGAAAGTTTCCCATACATCTTCCTGGTGGTCTTTCATTTCTTTGCCAATAAGGCAATCTGCTTCACAACACACTTCGATATATTTGACATCTGTCATAAAACCCAGGTCAGGCAGATCTGTCTTCTGTTAAAATAAGCTATTCTACAAAGACACTTCCTCTGCTGTTAGATCCCCACCAGAAATAATTATTGACATATTGTCCACACGTCCAGCCAACCCTCTTAATAGAAGCCATAAATTTCTGGTGCTGGTTTCCCCTACTTGTATCAGAGAAGCAAGGTAACACTTAGAGAACCAGAAGGAAACCTGAAGGGGAAGCTCTGTCTGAAGTGACTGGCTTCAAACAAATACCTGCCTTTAACATCTTTCAAAAGTTAATGACTGTGGCAACACACAGCTGTTTCTTAGTGATGGAGCATGAATTTTCTCACAACATTACACTGAGATGAGTCTTATGTTCACACAGCACAGAAAGGAGTTGATAGAAGTTTTCTGTGCAGCGGTGATTCCTCTAGATTTAGGGTGGGCTCAACCTTTAGCAAGGTTCTATTCTACATGGGGCAGAATTCTGGGCACTCAGAGTCCCAGACATGCTATGAGTATGAGAGAGCATTGATCACTTCCTGTTCTCATTGATCCCTTGAGAGGCACCCATACAAGTGGCTGGTCTCAGTTTTCCAAAAACCTGCCAGTTGGAAACCCTGTGAAATTGTTTGCCTGTGTCCTCACCCAAATCTAGTCTTGAATTGTAGCTCCCATAATTCCCACATGTTGTGGGAGGGACCTGGTGGGAGGTAATTGATCACTGGGGCAGTGTCCCCCATACTGTTCTTGTGGTAGTGAATAAGTCTCAAGAAATCTGAGGGTTTCATAAGGGGAAACCCCTTTCACTTGGTTCTCATTCCCTCTCTTGCCTGCCGCCATATAAGATGTCCCTTTCACCTTCCACCATGATTGTGAGGCCTCCCCAGCCACATAGAACTGTGAGTCCATTAAACCTCTTTTTCTTTGTAAATTACCCAGTCTCAGGTGTATCTTTATCAGCAGTGTGAAAACAGACTAATACACCCCATTACAAGATTGCTAAGATCAATGCTATACTCAAAGGTGTTTTAGCCCCTCTGAGCCTCAGTAGGTCAAGTACATGGAGGACATGGACATATATATATACTTCTTCCTGCTGATCAGTTAGTAGGAAAAAGCCTGACTTTTATAAAGGAAGGAGGATTTTAGAAACACATGTGCTGACTTGGCTATATTTTTGTTGGTGTAAGGGATGAGTCCTTCTTTTTGAAGATATTTACAAATGTTTCCTTGAGGAAATATTTGCCACAGAAGTGACATTTTAGCAGCTAAGATATTTCACACTGAACAAAACATGTGAGCTGAAACAAGTGTTTTACTTAGGGGAAAGGAAAACTTGCCGACATAGATGAAGCTGCAAATACTTTCTAGATTCAAGGCCAGCTTGACCATGTGAGCAGCCCAGCAGCTATTTGGTGGAGGAGGGGATGGTGTGGGGAGCCCGGAGCTTCCCCAAAAGGACTTTTAAGAACAGAGATTTGTGCAGAGAAGAGAGAAGCCCCCAGATATCAAATGGCAGTTACAATAAAGTAATCATTTCTAGCTGTAACATGTTTCCACATCCTTCTTTTCATCCAAACCTTGAATGGTTGCCAGATATTTTTGTTTCCACACACATAACCTGCTTGCTCCATATTTAAATGAGAAATTGACTGTCTTGTTCAAACTGGAATAAATTGCTGAAAGAAATATAAGTGAGGCTGGGTGCGGTGGCTCATGCCTGTAGTCACAGAACTTTGGGAGGCCGAGGCTGGTGGATCACTTGAGGTCAGTTCGAGACCAGCCTGACCAACATGGTGAAAGCTTGTCTCTACTAAAAATACAAAAAATTTGCTGGGCTTCATGGTGGGTGCCTGTAATCTCAGTTACTCAGGAGGCTGAGGCAGGGGAATCGCTTGAACCCGGGAGGCAGAGGTTGCAGTGAGCTGAAATCATGCCACTAAACTCCAGCTTGGGCGACAGGGTGAGACTCCATCTCAACAAAAAAAAAAACAAAAGAAAAGAAATACAAGTGCTTAAATGACTTCTTCAGGACTGGGAAATCATCTGTCATTTGGACTTTGAGTTGGAGCATTCTAAAGAAACTTGTTGTTTACACTGATGCTGCTAAACTAAGAATAAAGACTGCCGTTGAAAGAGATGCTTTAGCAGTATCTGGATGAGAGATTAACTCCACAAGAAGCAGCGGAAATCACCTATTTCCCCTTGTCCAACCCACTCAACTCAAACCACCCAAAACTGTCAGTGGATTTGAAATGACAGGAAGTGCCTAATTTTATGACCAATAACAACATTGATGGTTAAGGATGTTAAGATAAGGGTAATTTAACTCATGTTTCTAACTATGAACAAATCAGCGGCAGGAATCAGAAAAGCACCAGCAATGGCAATTGACTCAAAATGATCAATCTTGGATGTTCCAGACCACAGATTTTCAAAGCAAAAAGTAGTTCATTTTATCTCAAGTGGGCATCCACCTTGTCATGCAGTCAGAGTTGTACTTCTTCACCAAAGTTTAAGTTAGACCAACATGTCAGTGCCAAGCAAGACTTCCCAGCCTCCCAAGATATGAGAGGGTGTCTATTTCTGAACTCAGCAATAGGACTGTCATCCATTAGTTGGTCCCATGTAAATGGTTGCTAAACAGCAGGCCACTAGCAGGCATTCTGAGAGCTGTCCGACCCCCCTCACGTGGGCTCACTTTCCCTTTCATGCATAAAGTACCTCAACGGGATGACTGCAGTGAGTTCTGTGCCAGTGGCAATGGAAGTCACGCCAGAAGGTTGTTCATTTTGCACAGCAGACATTGGGTGATTGACATACTGTAGAAAATTAAGTACATTTCACGTCAAGATTTTGGCATGTTGCTTACTTTGGGAGTTGGGGAGGGGGCACCTTTTTCACTCAATGTCATCTACACAAACAGATGTGCTATGGAAGAATTCTCCCACCTTCTTGCCAGATTTTGACATGTGGCCTGATGCCCATGTTTGGAAGGAATCAGTAGCTCTTCCCCTATGACTGAATATAAGGCAACATATTGTTGGTCCTTGAGAAATGGCTCATCTCCCTTACAGAGGCAAAGAGCTGGGTTCTGATCCCAGAGACTGCTCTGGTATTTGCTGCCCATGTGCAAAGAATGAAACAATCTCCTATCTACAAATGATGATTTCTCTTGTTTCCATGGTATGGCTTCTCAATGAACCTTGGCGTGCCTCTTGGGTATTTTCAGTTCTGCAATTGTGATTTTGCTTTCATCCTATCCAGCACAAAAATCAAATGACACTTGTCCAGGTTTTAAAGTCCTTCCCCTTGACGTGCCGATATTTAAACACTCTAAGACTGCACACTTTCTGTGTTGTCTTCAGCTGCTTAAGCCTAAATCTTGTGCCTGTAGGTGGAAAATGACTGGATACTATTACCCTGATAGCTGATGATAATATTTCTACATCCGTTGCTAAGCTTCTTAAGTTTCTTCTTCACTTTAGCAGTGTTTCGCATATCATTTTCTAGAAACCGTACTCAATGTGCCTTAGGTAAAAAGTAAGATTCGATACTGCGTTCATGGGAGATTATCTAGGACTAAGCTGCTGAGCGAATGTCTCAGCCTCACTCATCCAGTCTCTCCATAAATGCACCTTTATGTATCTCTCAGGGGTAAAGTGGGTCACTTGATGTTGTTTCAGAACATCTGGAAAACAGTCGCTGGGGTGGAAGGGCTGTTAAAGCTCTTTGTGCTAAGGCTCAGGGGATATAATGAAAACATGGATGTGACACATACCAAATGATTCTAAAACATCCACTTGTTTGTAAGTACCCACACTACTCATTATCTGCTTTTACTTCAAATAAGAGAGGTTTGGCAAGGATGCTGAGTTCAGATATGTATTATTGCTCCTCACAAGCTTAAAATCCCTTTTCTGGCATTTTGGGGCAATCGAGAAGCTAAGAGCGACTGAACTGAATATCCATTTTGCAGTCCTAACCAAGGCAAGTTCTAGAGGGGCAAAAGCACGCAGATGAAGAGGGTACAATGATGGTTGTCAGGGGAAGCGCGTGAGGAGGGACGCGGGCGAGTTAGTGAAAGGGTGCAATATTTCAGTTATGCAGAGTGAATAAATTTTGGAGATCTAATGTACAGAAAGTAACTTAGTTAATAATAATGTATTGTATACTTGCAGTTTGCAAGGAGAGTAGTTTTTTGTTTGTTTGTTTGTTTGTTTGTTTGTTTGCTTTTGATACAATATTGCTCTATCGCCCAGGCTGGAATGCAGAGGTTCCACTCACTGCAACCTCCACCTCCCAGGTTCAAGCGATTCTCCTGCCTCAGCCTGCCGAGTGGCTGGGACGACAGAAGCACACCACCACACCGGGCTAATTTTTGTATTTTTAGTAGAGACGGGGTTTCACCATGTTGGCCAGGCTGGTCTCTAACTCCTGACCTCAAGTAATCCACTTGACTTGGCCTCCCAAAATGTTGGGATTACAGGCGTGAGGCACTGTGCCTGGCC
The DNA here is from genome assembly GCF_000001405.40 of Homo sapiens. Classification (NCBI taxonomy): domain Eukaryota; kingdom Metazoa; phylum Chordata; class Mammalia; order Primates; family Hominidae; genus Homo; species Homo sapiens. Next base: position 96,222,165 of record NC_000015.10, read on the forward strand.
TGCTAAGAGAGTAGATCTTAAATGTTTTGACCACAAGGGAGAGAAAGGTAATGATGTGACATGATGGACATGTTAACTAGCATGATTGTGGTCATCATTTTACAAGGTATATCAAAACCCCACATTGCATGCCTTAAAGTTATAACCTTTTTTTTTTTTTTGAGACAGGGTCTGGCTCTGTGGCCTAGGCTGGAGTGCATTGGCTCAATCTCAGTTCACTGCAACCTTAGCCTCCCGGGCTCAAGTGATCTCCCACCTAAACCTCCCCAGTAGCTGCCACTACACCTGGCTAATTTTTGTGTTTTTGTAGAGACAGGGTTTTGCCATGTTGCACAGGCTGGTCTCGAACTCCTGGGCTCAAGCAATCCACCCGCCTCAGCTCCCAGAATGCTGGGATTACAGGCATGAGCTGCCATGTCCAGCCTAAATATATAATCCTTATTTGTCAATTACACCTCAATAAAGCTGAGGGTGGTGAAGAACAAGCACAGGACTGAGCCATGAAAAACAAGAGCCTACAAGAGACCAGCAAGTTTCCACACAATAGATCTGATGTCGTCTCTATTTGTAGCTATTTCTGGATCAACTGCCAAACGTGACCAATATTAAAAGCAGCCAGCAAATTAATAGACCTTACCTTCCTAAGCCACTTTATTCACCGGCTTTAAGACTTTTTTCTAGGTAGAGATTCACAGTTTTCAGGTATAAAAAGTCTTTCCTGGAGCATCTTTAATTCTAAGCCAAGGAACTTCTTAAGTGATTGAGTAATGTGTTTTGTGATTCTCACTTCCCTTAAAATATTAATTAAGAAAATAAATGAGAGCTTCTCCTTAAGGGGTACACTGAGAGTTAAACTGACTGGCCTTCAGTGCTAGCCATATTGCACTTTCTTTCCTGATTAGCACGGGTGCCAGGCTGTTCCTTCAAATTAAGACAATATGCTTATAGTGATGAGCCGTATTGGCCATCTATCTTCCTTTTGTGATCTGGCTCTCGTCGAGCTGAAATGAAGCCATTTCTTCTGCCTGGGGCTGATTAAACACAGAGTAAACCCAGTTCTCTAAGGAGGCTCTAATGATTCTCTGCAGAGCGCGTGTCAGCCCGGCACCTGCAGGCTTCAGCGTCTCTGTTTCTATCATAAAATGAAGCATCTGTTTCAGGGAGGTGATATCTTTTTATCATCCAGTGTATCGCTCTGGTCGGAGTGGATGCAGCTCATTTGGTACACAAGGCTTCTGCGCCACAGGTAACAAATGGTCCCCCAGGAAGTTCTGCTCTCATCAGGGGTAAAAAGGGCACAGCTTTTGGCAAAAACTTTTGGTAAAAGTCTTCCTGGCTCACATCAAGTGGTCTTCTTTTAGTAAAAACAGGTTAGAAAGTGTAAAGGGGGATCCTTGAAATAAGGCAATCCTTTATTCATCAGCTCATTTATTCATTCATTCAATGAATATTCATCAAGCACCAACTAGGAGCGACGCCCCATGCCAGGATCTGGGGAGAGAGAATAAATATGGCAGATGCAGCCTCTGCCCTGTTGGAGGTCAATGCTGGTGATGGAGACAGACATTAAACAATTAATGGTGAATTAAGTACTTAATTACCACTGGGAAGGGTATCCCAAATCGGAAAGCACCCTGGGAATCTATAAGGGGGGCCTGATGCTTTGGGGCTTCAGAAAAGACTCCCCTGGGGAAGTGACATTTGAGCTGAGATCTCAAGGACAAGACAGAACAGTGCATTCATACAAGGGTGAAAGATTATTTTTCAGCCAAGGAAATGGCATATTCAAAGACCCTGGGGTGGAAGGGTGACACTGTCCCACATGAGAAATGAGAAAAAAATCAATGAAAAGGAAAATGGCTAAAGATGGGGCTGGTGACATGGACAGGAATGAAATCAGGCAGGGCTTGAAGGTAGTCTTATCCCAGGAGCATGACAGGCTTGGGCGGTTTGTGCCAAGAGCTTTTCTACCATTTATCTAGTAGGAACCACATAGCACTTGCGTTGCCAGACACTGCCCAGACACATTTAATTTATGATTTGCAATCAATCTAACATTCTTTCAACAAAGACATTTTAGCCACTCCTTGTAGGTGAGGAAATTAGGACTTAGAGGGGTTAGAGATGGGCCAGGTCCATGTAGTCAGCAGTATGGGCCCAGGTCTCTAACCCAGCCCAGCCCAGCCCAGCCCAGCCTAGCCCATGTCCTGGCTTTTTCCTCTGTGCCATGCTGCCTTCCCACCCATGGACCAAATAATGAACTGCTAAAAGTTTGTGAGGTTTGTGCCACATTGTACTTTTTCCAATTGTTTGACTCTTTGGGAGAATTTCTAAGTTACTAATTGATAATATTAAAATAATAATAGCTCTATTCATATCATTATAGAATTAAAGATAGTACAGCAGATTTGCCTTATCTCTTAGAAAGAATTCTTGGCAAGAAGGGATTAAACTAGTGTCATGTAGAAGCTCAAGGCCTGAGATCTGGAATTAGATTGACCTGGGTTCAAATCCCACCTTGTCCAGTAACCTAGAGTAACCTAGAGCAAGGTGGTTACAAATATTGAGACTCAGTTTCATCCCTGTAAAATGGACATATTCACGTCTACTTCAGTTTGTTGTTATGAGGATTGAATGAAATAGCTATGCAAATAATTTTCCAAGTTCCTGAGTGGCTCAGTCCACATTCGCACCTGTCATCACCACCACCACTGCCACCATCTTCTTCATCATCACTGTTAGTTAACAGAGTTGCCAGGTCGGTGGGACATGGGACATCAAACAGCTCATCTCTTTCCCCTGGCAGGTGTTTTTGAGCCTATTGCAAATGTGTTGTCCATTTTCCTGCTTTCTCATTATTGAAAGGAATGTGAACTCATCCCTGGCAGGTAGCTGAGGACTAAGTCTGCCTAAGAATGTCGTGCAGACATTAAATTCAAGAACATTTGAAAATGACACAAGGCAATTCCAAAAAGACTTAAATAACTCTACAAAAGGAGACATAGATGAACACAGCTGGATAGGGGGCATTTAAAATGTACCTGTCTTTTAAAATAAATGACTATACCAAATGGGAGGACTTCATTTTGCTTTGAAAACTGCTTTTTTGTCATTAGAGTTTTATGCTTTTAAAAAAACTTTTGAGGCATCAAATTGATCATTTTTAAATAGAACAAAGAGTTCACATGCAAATATTATATAAATATAACATAGGTGTGTACAGATGTGATGCAAGTTCCCCTGAAAAGTATATAAAACATCTAAATTGGGAAAGAGATCTAGACAAAGCCACCTGCTCCCTTGATGGTTATCTGGATTTCACCAGAGTACCTGCCATGTCCCTCCTTAGGCTGCTTGTATCCAGGTTTATACAAAAAGATCCACAAAAATCACTTAATAAATTAAACAATGCTTATAAGAGCTCCCTGTCCAGTGCCTGGCACCTTGTCAGACTTTGATCAATGTTAGCTATTGCAATAATACAACAATGATACTTTAGGATTGCAAAAGCTTTTAAAGTCCTCCACTTTAATGTCTATGTTTCACAGATGATAAAACTATGGTCCCAAGAGGTCACGAAACTTTCACAATATTTCAGAGCTACTAAGACCGGAGCCTACCTGTAAGGGCATGAAGAAGCTTAAGCAATCTGAGATCTGAGATAACCAGAAAGTTTCAGAATGCCTAGCGCTCTAAAAAAGCTATTCCTATCTCATGGGATTGTTCTTTCATCACACTAATTCCACTGGCATTCCTTTCTTCTCATCTGTCCCCACTAGGTTCTGTGAGGGCAGGGATTGTGTATGCCTCATTTCCCACCTTCTCCCCAGCAGCAGCACTATCACCTGGCATGTGGTATGCATTCAATGAAACGTTTGTAAATTGAATGGAAATGTATCAGCACAAACACAATGCCAAAGGACATGCCAAACTGTCATGATGTCCATCCCAGAATGACATGCAGGACTTAGTTAAATGTTAACCTTTTACGACTTTGAGAGATTAGACAGTTTTGTTATATAAAGAGGTGCTGAACAAAAAACAAAAGGTAACATGTGCCCAGTGAGTCAAGCTTGTTGTGGCTGATCCCTTCTCAATACAACTTCCTGGCTATCAGAGAGAGAACTCTATCTGCAATGAACAAAACCAGGTTAAAAAAAAAGTTAGGTGAAGCAGAAGCTGTGGATTTAGCAGAGAACTCTATACACTATAGACATGCTGATGACCACCTTCAGGCAGAAGATCTGTCCATTTGGAAATCTCATTGCCAATCCCACTGAAATTTGTTCACGGTTGTCTTAAATGTGGTTTGATACTCATTGTGGTCCTAGGGGCAAAGTGCCAGTGGTGATGGAGAATCCTGTGTCTCTATAGGAAGGCTCTGTCAACTGTCACTAGCCCAACCCATAAATTCAAACACACCATTTGTCAGCAGCCCTTCTTCCTGCCAGGCTTGCAGGGTAATGCTCCTTTCCCTCAACATAAAGTGTCCAGAGATGGGCCACAAGAAATGGATGGGGTGAAAGACATGCCCGGAATTGTAAATCACTCACTCTCTCTGAAATTCAAATTCATCTTCTATAAAATAAGGACTGTAAGGCTTGCCCAATCCACCCCACCAGATGGGTGCAAGGTACATAAAAGGCCACTGACAGGCATCTTCCAGAATGTAAAGTTGATACAATTATAAACTGGTTTTCATGTCTTGAGAGTGTCCCACTAGGTGTTACAAGGTTAACAAAATGAATACCACATGGCCCTGCCCTTCAAGGAGATTATAGTGTAGAAGCATGGTGAGTTGAAAAACATAGAAAGATAGATATAGAAACACACACACACACACCTGTTCTCTTATCAAATATTCTCGTGAAGAAATCCAATATAGAATATGCTAAAGTGCATATTAAATAATCTTTGTTTGATTGATATTGACTACTCTCAATTTCACTCGAATCAGCATATAAAGTTTTACATCTTTAGAGGAGAAGAATAAAAAACTTATAAATGGGGTCCTTTATATGAAATCCTATAAATTCAAAACCAGACATTATTAAAATGGATGAGAAAGATGTTCTGGAGTACATGTCTGCCTCTTATTTCCTGTACAGGACCCGTGTTTTCTGTATGAGTCCACAAGATCGAAGACTTTATGGACAGAAGTCATGTATCTTCAACACAGGTAAAGGACTTGCGCTCATGAAAAGTTGGGGGTTTCCCTCCCTTATCAAACAAACAAGCACGCTTGATATTTTGCCAAAACTGATTAGATTATATCTGCACTTAACTTTGCGGTAAATGCAAAAACAAAATCTCTAACATTTATAAACAAAAGTTTCTTTCTTACTTCAGAGTTCAAGGCAGGAAACAACTTTCACTGACTCTTAGACATACTACAGCTTGAATGTTACGGGGACATAAAATGTATTTATTATTGCTGTAGCTCAAAATTTCCATCCCACCACATTTGAACACTGATTTGGGGTTTACAAAAATAGCATCAGCAACATTGCCAAGGAGATCCTATAACCTTAACCCAAAGTAAATATGAAAGCAGAAAAGAAATGCAACCTTTTTAAAGTTCTCTCTATGCAAATATCATGCAGAAGTCACTGACTACTGAACACTCCCATGCCTCTCCAATATCTGAACCACCCCGGAAAAATACCATGATGATCTCCTTGTTATTTTGATCTTTCACAGATTTCCTTTAATTCTTATTCACTCTTTGTGTTGGTGTCTGTATCTACAGCCATCATCTATAGGTGGTAAATTTATTAAAAGTCCAATACAGTCATCACCACAAAATCACAAAAGAAGCTTTTTATAAAACCTCTGGGTCTATTTATATTCTGAGATCAAATTGTCACTCTATGCCTGAGCCATCCGTCAAAAGGAAACATATTAATAGTAGTGTGGCATGTGCTAAGACTTATGGGGCTACAAACTTCCTACCCTGCTATCCCCAAAACACGTATCTGCGTGAATTTATGTCCAACACTGCTGAGGGTCTGGACTAAAAAGAACTTTGGAACACAAGGTTCTGGGAAGACATGGGAAGCCAAGATGGAAGAGAATGCTGTGTGTTTCCCAGATGGTGCCAGAAACTCAGTCTGATGCGCTCTTTCACAAAAGCCATTATGAGACTCAGGTCCAAACTGTACTGCCTACAGGCTAAAGTGATGAAGTGAGACACACAGACAGAGGGATCTGCCCCACACACTTCACCACAGACTTCACAGCCACTCTGACTCCTCCAGGAACAACAGTGGAGAACTGCTGGGCCCAGTGGAGCCCAGATGAAGCAAAAGAAGGGACCAGCCATGACAGGTGGTCTTGTTGGGGCCATGGAAGGATCTCAAGAGCTATGAATGTTCATTTGACTTCATGTATTCCCATAACTGAGACCTAGGAATATCCAGGTGCCCTTTGTGTATGGAGTGTTGGATTGAACTTGCATTACTCACCTAAAATATGTGCATAAAATTTGCGAAGTTTAAATTTAAAATTTGAGCATCACTTCAAGAACACTTAGCACTAAGGTCCCTGAAATGCTCATTGATGATATGAAGCTGAATAAGAAAGCCTGTCCCTAGGGTTCCTTTCTCTAGGACAGACACACCACCAACACTGGCATATCTCTTCTGTGTATTAGCAAAGAATTTTGTTAGCATATCTTCATACAGCTTCTAAGAGACCTAAGTTATTAACACTCATTTAGTCCCATTGTGTAAACACTGGGAGAATCTGGCTGTCTTTTAAAATGCATTCAGTATTCATAAAACCTAAAAAGTATGGCTTACCTTCACAAAATGATTGGTGTCCATAATTGTGAGTGTCAATATATGTCTAGAATTTAGCATTTACCTTGTGATACACAATGAAGAAAATACAACTAACTACTCTTGAGAAAATAACTCAAACTCTCTAGGTGGGGAATAGATTAGTCCATCAAGGATACAAGCGAGGAACACTTACTAACTATAAAAAAAAAAAAGTTGCAATATCAGAAGCCTTTTAGTAACACGGTAGCCTAAACAGAGGAGAACAATTCAGAACTCAATTGTTTCTTCTAGCTTCTGGCCAAAGCTCTGACAAGAAAAATACCATCTAAATACCAAAGAAAGTTTTATTGTATATGCTTTTTGGTTTTTGTTTTGCTATACAAGAAATTATTAAAATTTACACTTGTAAAACTAGTTATATAAATCTTTCCTCCCACACCATCCTTGTCCCCTTAGCAGTTATTAAAGCAGGTGTGTTTTCCCTGAATTGGATAAAATACCATCAAGGTCCAAAATAAAAGAATTACTAGCAAACTTTGATGAATTCTAGAAATTGATACAAGAATAAAATTGTATCATCTCCTTAAACAAGACTATTGAGGGCTGGACGCAGTGGCTCACGCCTGTAATCCCAGCACTTTGGGAGGCCGAGGCGGGCAGATCACGAGGTCAAGAGATCGAGACCATTCTGGCCAACATGGTGAAACCCCGTCTCTACTAAAAGTACAAAAATTAGCTGGGCATGGGGGCACTCGCCTGTAGTCCCAGCCCCTCGGGAGGCTGAGGCAGGAGAATCGCTTGAACCCAGGAGGCAGAGGTTGCAGTGAGCCGAGATGGCGCCACTGTACTCCAGCCTGGAGACAGAGCGAGACTCCATCTCAAAAAAAAGAAAAAAGACTATTGAAAAATTTTACCCAGTTAATTCAAAGCTTCTTCGTGTGGGGGAAAACAACAAAACAACAACAACAACAACAACAACAAAACTCTTAGTATGAATGAATATTTTAGCATTTTGAAAGCAGGTCTTTGTGAGAAAATTCCATAAACAAAGAAAACTTTTAGATGTGTCAAATTCAACAATCTGCTTACGTTGGTGACATGAAACACACTAAGTCTTTCAGGAGGTCCAACTTTAAAAATATTTTAAATGACCAATGACATGAAAGTATGAATTTGCTTCACCCTTTTCTTTTTGATATCAGTGATATATTAAGGAAAAGATAAAGTAACTCTTAACAAAGTAACATTTTATTTCCCATGATTAGGTCTGTTGACAAATATAACAGGTATAACCAAAGTTTTATTAAGCAGTTAAATTTCCAATCTTGGTAAAAGATATCCAGAACCAGTCCACATTTGTATTTTAAATGTTTTTGTTTAACTCTTCTGCAGGAAAAAAAAAAAAGTGTTCCTCAGTCATTCATATGTGATACGAGATTCAGTGCATCTTGCAAAATATTATGTAAATATTTGAAAAAAACTGCTCTTTTCAATTGCAAGAAGGCAAACTGTAAAACGCATATTGTGTGGCAGCATAGATTTACTGTTTCAAATTGGATGATGCAGGCAAAAGTACTTTGTAAGTGGTAAATAAAGTTCTGCATATTTGCAAGTTATTCAAACTGCTTGTGAAGCTTCCTACATGAAGTTGATGGTGGTGGTGATAATGAATAACAATAGCTATTATTTACTGAGTGAGTGTGCCAGCCACCATTCTAAGCACTTAACATATATTTGCTTATTTATTACTCAGAAGAATTGGTGGAAGTTTGGTTGAAGTAGATACTCTTATTATTGCCACTTGACAGATAAACACTGACAGTACAAAGAAGTTAAGTAAATTGCCTTAGGTCATACAGCTCATCACCTTATGACTATTAAAGTAGTTCTTCATGACTTCACGCAACTGTAGTCACAAATGAAACTGCTGGCACAGAATTTATGAATTACTGTCTAGTTAGAATATATGATCCAGGTAACCCAACCTATGGCCACATTTCTTTTTGGTTATTAAAGTAAAAGCACACATGCGAACTTATTTAGATACCCAAAGATATGGCAGGCATCTTTGAACTAACGCACAGACTTGTTCTCTTTGTTTGAAATTGATTCAAATGAGTCATATGATCTGTACAAATGCTCTTCCTGTTCTAGAGTAAGACATGCTAAATGTTTAATAAATGAGTGTGTGCTTCCCAGTGTGGCAGTGTTTGCCTTTCTTACTTGGTGTGTTACTCAGAAATCTTTGGTTTGCTGGCTGGGTGCAGCAGCTCACACCTGTAATCCCAGCACTTTGGGAGGCCGAGGCAGGTGGATCACCTGAGGTCAGGAGTTCGAGACCAGCCTGGCCAACATCATGAAACCCCATCTCTACTAAAAATACAAATAATAATAATAATAATAATAATAATAATAATAATAACTGGGCGTGGTAGTGCATGCCTGCAATTCCAGCTGCCTGGGAGGTGGAGACAGGAGAATTGCTTGAGCCCGGGAGGTGGAGGTTGCAGTGAGCCAAGATTGCGCCACTGCACTCCAGCTTGGGTGATAAAATGAGACTGTGTCTCAAAAAAAAAAAAAAAAATCTTTGGTTTGCCATGAGTAAAAAGTCAACTGAAACCAACTAAAACCAAAAAGGAGAAACATATTAGTTCCAATAAGTGAGGAGTTTAGAGAGTTCAGTTTTCAGGTGTGGCTGGATCCAGGTACTCAAGTAATGTCATCATGCGCATCTAACTATTGCTCCTGCTCTGTGCTGCTCTGCTTCCTTCTCCATTGGCATCCTTCATCAGGCTTTCTTCACTGCAGTTAATGGTTTATATGTGGCTCTTCTAGAAGTGAGCATACTTCTTTCTTTACATCTCCAACCAATGTCTCAGGCAAGCCTTGTATTGGCAGAGCCTGGTATCATGTACCCATCTCTGAACAAATCACTTCCTTCAGAAGAATAAGACATCTGACTGGCTAATCAAGAAGTAGGAGGAGGAGAAAGTGGGGGGAAGGGAAGAGAACATAGAGAAGATGATGGTGATAAATGGACATGTGACATAAGAGTAGCCTCTCGTAGCCCAGAGGTGTCTTGCTGATTTTTATCTTTAATGTTATCTCAAAAATTTAGCTTCCAAAAAACAAAAAGAAATAGACCATTCCATCTCCTCTTTAGGTTATGTTGTTTATTTGTGCCTTATTTATTTTATTTAAAAGAAAATACTACAGAGTAGCTTTGAACAAGGCAAGGCTTATATGGATGATGCCATTTAGGAGCGAGATAGTTTCTTTCTCTGCTTCATTGTACTTGGTGATAATTATAATCGGTGCCCATGGTGACTCTTTATTGTGTCATTCCAATAAATTCACATTCATATTTAAAATCATAAATTAACAAGGGTTACTACAAAGTGTTCCTTATTACACATTTATAATTTCTCAGACACAAGGAAAATAATGGGAGTTTCCCTGTGGTCATTTGTCACATAATAATATCCTTCCGCCCTGCTGCATACAAAGGTCCCATTGATTGGAAGAGCAGCTACACTTGTGCGCAGGGCCAAAGGATTGGGGAAATTCTCAACTGGTTTAACAAGAATGAGCACCACACATTCTGAAAGGTCTGCAGTGACCAAGTCACCAAAACTGGGTCTGCAATGAGAATTGGGAAAAATTAGAGAAGTGCCTTTAGGCAACTAGAAACTGAGAGACCGAGAGTTCACATAAGAGCAAATGAGTATCTTGGGCCATGCCTTATATTTCTCCTGAAATTTCTTCCCACTCTCAACAGAGAGAGAGAGAGCCAAGGGAGAGAGCTATTCCATAGCCACATGGGTGCCGGTCCTCACACCCAGACCCTGAAGCCCCCGTAGCATTACTGAGAATTATATTCTCCCCCTTCCCTTGACTTTTTTGTTGAACTTTTCTTTTTCTTTTAGACCCAGGACAGAACATTGAGTAAGTCATACTCCTCAACTCATAGCACGCTATCGTTACAAGTTTGTGCCAAGCCCTTCACTCATGTGTTCATTAACTTTTATCTCCTTTTCCCCTTCCATTTTCCTCCCACAACCCATAAACAATAGCAGTATTGTGTTCGATGACATCCTTGAGTTTGTATGCATTCTCATAAGACACCCCAAATTTCCTTGCTCTGTCTGTATATGTACCTTATATACACATACGTTTATGTATAAGCATATATATACATACATGTTTACATATATACACATATGTATGTTTATACATAAATGGTGCCCACAGATGTTTTTGTGGTTTTCCTCCCTCTTAGTCAGTTTTTAAGATTTAATCTGCACTGCTTCATACTGCTGCATAGCATTGTATGATGAGCCTCCCTGACATCTCACTACCCATCTCCCCAGCGAAAAACACCTCAGTCACCCCATCCTCACCACCACACCCAATGCTGGGATGGGTTCCACTCCCAGGAGCAGGACAGCTGGGTCATGGGGCTCATGGATCAGTCTCCATCTGACTTCCCTGCGTTGACTATGAAGCACCCACCATGATGATGGTATCAGGTTCATAGCATGTGAATGGAAGAATCTGGGGCTCAAAGAGGTTAAGTGATCTGCCTAACTTCACATCGCTAGTTAAATGCTGGCGTCTGGATTTAAAGCCAAGTTTCTCTGACTCCCAGGTTCACATCCTTCCACCGTAGACTGCCCTCTGAGACAGCCACGTATAAAGGGGTCCTGGAGAACCTCTGACTGGCCTGCACACTGGGAGGAGTGTGGAGTCTCGGGAAGCTCATGCCATTTGCAGGAGGGAGGAGCCTGGCTCCTTCTCTTCCTGGGTGGTACCTGGGATTCAGCCTGTGAGGTGGGAAGCCTGTACTAGCAGGACTCTCACTATGCTGAGAATCTGCTTCCCCTTTTATTCCCTTTTGCCCAATAAATTCCGTTTTTCTAACCCTTCAAAGTGTCTGCAAGCCTAATATTTCGTGGTTGTGTGACAAGACCCCTATTTCAGCTGAACTAAGGAGAAAGGCCTACAACACTTCCATAGAGAGCTTATGTTTCAATATCCTAGGCTATAGGTAGCAAAGATTTGGTTAGCAATCTTTCTTGTAAGAAGGCCAGAAAAAGTATTCCTTCCCTTCATCAGGCATCCAATCCCCCCAGTGCCTTCAGGCCTGCTGGGAGTGGAGAACAGGGCCTGCCACAAGGTCATTGTATAATCAGAGGTGAGGGAGAGCCCCACTGGCTAGGGGCCAGGCAAACGTAGGCCTCCTCGCACCCCTGATGCAAGCAGATTAACAGCTGCCATCTGGCAAGCACAGTTTCTCCATGCAAACTGCAAACCTCACCCCCCGGGTGAATCACTGGTGTGTCCAATACCAGTCAAGCCCGATGAAACTCTGATGGCTCTATTAATGAAGATGAAAACTTGAGATACGCCAAATACAGATTAAATGGCATCTTGGTAACATGATTATCTCTGAATTACTAGCAGCAGAGAGACAGCCAAATGACTAATCTTGGGGAAGGCCGAGTGCTTTGGACAGAGGATTCGCTACTTCAGCCCCAGGGCATCATTTGCTGTATCAGAGTCGTATTTTACCACAGGGAACACCCAAGAGTGGTGGCTTCCTCTGCAGTAGAAAGTCACTCTGTTTCCAGAGAAGATTTACTTTCTTCAAGTTCTGAGATACCAAATGCAGAATGGTCTGAAACAAGATGACGAGGGAGTATGTCAGGAAAAAATGAGGAGGAATCACAGGAATCTGGCAGATGTTCCTGTCGATAGCATTGTTGAAATTAACAGAAATGAAAGGATAGAAATGATTGAGAAGGAAGCCTAAAAGCCACAAGCCAAGTCATTTTCTCCTGCTTTCTTTCCACTTCCGTCTTTAGCTCTCTAGTATTTAGTAAGCTCTTCATTCTTTTTTTTTGTTTTTTTTTGATGGAGTCTTGCTCTGTCGTCCAAACTGGAGTGCAGTGGCACAGTCTTGGCTCACTGCAACCTCTCCCTCCTGGGTTCAAGCAATTCTCCTGCCTCAGCCTCTTGAGTAGCTGGGACTACAAACACCTACCACCACACCCAGCTACTTTTTGTATTTTTCTTTTTTCCCGAGACGGAGTCTTGCTCTGTCACCCAGGCTGGAGTGCAGTGGTGTGATCTCGGCTCACTGCAACCTCCGCCTCCAGGGTTCAAGCGGTTCTCCTGCCTCAGCCTCCCCAGTAGCTGGGATTGTGCCACTGTGCCCAGCTAATTTTTGTATTTTTAGTAGAGACGGAGTTTCACCGTATTGGCCAGGCTGGTCTTGAACTCCCAACCACAAATGATCCTCCTGCCTCAGCCTCCCAAAGTGCTGGGATTATAGGCATGAACCGCCGTGCCCAGCCTGTTTAGTAAGTTTTTCTATGCTAGTGCTTTCAATCCATTAGCA